>NC_000009.12:71345552-71970552 GCF_000001405.40 Homo sapiens
CACAGAGAGGGGAACATCACACACCAGGGCCTGTCGGGGGGTGGGGGGCAAGGGGAAGGAGAGCATTAGGAGAAATACCTAATGTAGATGATGGGTTGATGGGTGCAGCAAGCCACCATGGTACACATATACCTATGTAACAAACCTGCATGTTCTGCATATGTATCCCAGCACTTAAAGTATAATAAAAAAGTGACAAAAGATGTGTACAGTTATATGACAAAAGAAGATATATAAATGTTTAATAACCACATAAAATATGCTGAATATTATTGGTTTTCAGGGAAATGCAAATTAAAATTACAAATTACACCACACATCCGCTAGAATGGCTCACCTTGAAAAGGCTGACAACATAAAATATTGGCAGATGTGGACCAACTGGAAGTCTTAACCTTACCAATAGTATGCTATGGGAAATTGTTTAGCACATTTTTCTTAAAATGCTTGTTAAAAGACTTAGCAATAGCACACAAATATGTTATCAAAATAAATGAAAGCATATATTCTTTAAAAGAATTGTACAAGAATATTCATAGCAGTTTTACTCACTCCAAAATTGGAAACAACAATTTCTACCAACAGATATGTGGATATAAAAATTATATGACATATTCATACAATGGAATGCCACTCAACAATAAAAAGAAATGAATTATTGATGCATAAAACAAGGATGAATCGTTAAAGTATCCAACTGTACACTTAAAATCTACAGACTTTAAAAAATTGTTTAATTTGCATGCAATAAAGTTAACAACAAAATCTTGACCCTTCTTGTTATGCTCATTTTTACTCTTTGTCTCTGCATCTCACTGTGTCCTGGGTTTTAGGAGTTTGCTGCTTCTATAGTCTTAGGGGTGTACTTTAAGAAATAAAATAATGCAAGTACAAAATTAGGCACCGGGCCTCATTAAATTGCATTAGCTTTCTGGTAAACCATACAGAGTGCTAAACTCTTTGCAAGGGAGCTAGTGTCACTAACAGCTGTTGTAAACTAGAAAAACAAAAGATAAAAAGAATTTTAACTGGAAAGAGGTGCCTTTGGGAAAGAGGTTCCATTGGCCAAGAGCCAAGGGAAGCAGGGAGTAGCTCACAGGAAAGAGGTTAGCCTCAGATAAAGTAATGAGAGAAAATATAAAAATTAAGAGGAGTGGTATCTTCATCTTGTTGTCTTGGCTGAAACAGAAAAGCAAAGAGAGACAACCAGCAGCTGTGTACAGAAGGGAACAGAGTAGGGGTGGGAGGTAGAAGTACTATCTGCTTTTGGAAAAACCTCATTGATTGGGATGGGGAGTGAGGATCACGACAGAGAATCTGTTTCGTATTTTTATTTTCTGGGCAGCACGGATAGTCAGGATACAACATTGCTCTCACCACTTAGAAATGTGGCACAAACTATGAGTGAACTCTGATGAGAGAAACTGACATTTCTGATACGTTAGGAAATCTGGTTATTAAACAAATCCCAAAAGGGGAGGGAGCTTCCCAATAATGAAAAGGTAAGTCATATGTGCTGACTATATATTCTGCTTTTCACAAATAGCTCTGATATATTCCTTTTGTTCCAATATCATGTTTGGTTTAGCATTTTAGTGGTTGAAGTTATCCCCACCTGGACAATAAATCATATGATCACCTAAGAATAATGTTGCTAGAAAGGTTAACCATGATAGCAAATGTAAAAATGTTGATACATGATAGACATTCAGTTACTGTTAGTTGTTCCTGTAACTCTCCTTAGAACCCTTTCATCAGTAGTACCCTCATAAGCATCTGCAGTTTTCCCCCGCAAAGAGTTGAGGTTTTCTTGTTTTGTTTTCTGACAAAGCATAGAAAAGCTCTTTGTCCATAGATTTTACTTAGTTCTCTTCAATTTTTTAGTTAATTTACTTGCCATTATTGAAATACACTATTATCATGCTTGACACAGTGGTTGATTTTAAATTTTTCAAAGCTTTTACATGGATACTGTGGTTAGTTTTAAAATCACAAAATAAACATTTTGAATAGCTTAATTTTTTGCTCCCCAGACAATAAATTCATCATCTGTAATTTAACACGATATTTAAGAGACGTTAGGCCAGGTGAGGTGGCTCATGCCTGTAACTCCAGAACTTTGGGAGCCTGATGGATCGCTTGAGGCCAGGTGTTTGAGACCAGCCTGGGCAACATAGTGAGGCCTCGTGTTTATTAAAAACATTTTGATTAAAAATAAATTAAATGAAAAATAATACTAAAATAATTTTAATTAAAATTTTAAATTAAAACTTTTAAATTAAAATTGCATTTATTAGGTTTTAACACCTTACATTTAAAGATGTTATTGATTGCTTATTTCTTGAAAAGTTGAGAAGATACACATTCCCTGCAAATAGGGCTGATTGATTTGCACTAAGAAATAGTATGTTCCTCTCTGGTTGAGAAAAAAGTTAAAATGAACAACTCCCATGAGCTTTAAGGAATATTTTCTTTTTAGACAAAAGTGACAAATGACCTAAAGAAATAAAAAAAATTGTTATTTTCTGATTATTGGCAAACAGCTTAAAGTGTGAAGCTCCTAAAAAGAAAATTATTTTTGCCCTATTGAGAATTTAAAAGTTACACATACACAGAGACACATTTCAGTGCGCAATGAAACTAATAATTTAAATAAATGTTAATTATTTAGAAATTACCCAGAAAAAGTTTTGTGGCTTGTCTATGAATCATTGCTACATTTGATGAACAGTTGCTACAGCTACTAGTCTTTAAATTTTTTGTGATTGAATATCTCACAGCAGCACAATTCAGTTACCCCACTACTTTCTCCTGTATAGTTGTTGCTGTGCTAAGTCCTTTCATAAACAGTATGTAACTCATTTAATCTGCAAACTAACCCAGAAAGAAAAGCAGACTTTTCCCATTTTTTTTTTTTGCAGATAGAGAAATTGTTTCAAAAATTCTGTCATTTTCATAGTTTGGTAGTTGACTTTTCTGAAAACAGTTTATTTATTTATATATTTATTTATTTATTTATTTATTTTTTATTTTTTGAGACTGAGTCTCATTCTGTCACCTAGGCTGGAGTGCAGTGTCGCAATCTCCGCTCACTGCAGCCTCAGCCTCCTGGGTTCAAGCGATTGCCTCAGCCTCCCGAGTACCTGGGATTACAGGTGCCCCCTACCAAGCCAGGCTAATTTTTTTTTTCGTATTTTTACTGGAAGTGGGGTTTCACCATGTTGGCCAGGCTGGTCTCAAACTCCCGGCCTCAAATGAGCCACCCACCTAATCCTCCCAAAGTGCTGGGATTACAGGCATGAGCCACTGTGCCCAGCCAGTTTTGATTATTTATGACAGAATGAGAATGTAAGTTAGTTATTCCTAGAATGGCCACTGATCTGTTTTGTGAAATTTCCTGAACAAAGCTATTGAAGATCAGTTAAGTTAGCCAACATGTGAAATCAAAAGCAAATCAAACATGCTGTGCTTTAAATTCCCCCTTCCTGGGCTTCAAGTACACTGTATGCTCAAGAACATCACCTGGCTCATATTAGGGCTAGAAAAGTACTACATTCTTCTGAAGATTGCCTGCTCCAATGGTAATTCAGATTAGAAAATAAGAGATGGAGATAATGTGAATCCAAAAATGCATCTTTTATCAGTATTATGATGGCTCTGAAATTACCTCTCTACTATCCAAGAATCCATATATAATTTAAATCAGTCTTTGACTGAGAAAATTATAAAACTACATATTTTCAATATCAGGACCTTGTACTGTTTTGAAAGCTCAGTAGAAGAGAGGCAATCTGGTAGAGCCAGGGGAACTCCCACCTTAAATCACAATGGAAATGTACATTTTTAGAGGCTTCATCAGAGCTGAGCAGATTAAGACTCACAGAGCAATTCACATTCCAGAAAACCAGCAAAGAGAAATTCCACTAAGAAGACTTCAGCATAACGTTCAGTAAATCGTTTCCTTAAATGGAGATTGAATTTAGGTTTTTAAAACCCCAAGATATTTTATAATATTTTAACGGTGTACGTTTGCCAAAACCAAAACAAATCAAAACCTACATGTAAAGTTAATGAATGCTCTTTCATAGGTCCATTTTAAAATACGATTACAATCAACAATCATTCAAATGTCTTTTCTTTTGACCAATGTCAAAATATATTTGAAAGGGAGCCTCAGAAACTATTAGACTATGTTGTGAAATCTTTCCCCCACGTGAATTCTTACACTCTGCTACAGAACTGGGACCTGTTCATCTCGTTGAACAGACTACCAAATCCTCCACACCACTATTGGACTCTGGGGAAGAAAAGTGATAACATGGAAGCCTGGGATCCATCACTCCATCATAATAGTGTTCTCATTGTAAGTGCATATATATAGACACTCCATCATAATAATGATCTCATTGTAAGTGCATATATATATATATATATATATATATATATATATGGGCCTAAAAAATGACCTGTGTAGAAGTTAAAAAATTAACATTTGCTCTGACTTAAGGGTACTACTAATTATACACACTCTATGGATTGGAGACTGTATCAAATGGATTCTTCTAAAATCTTGCTATTTATGATTTGTCCTATCTGGAGAAATCATGAGATGTTTCCACAAATAAATGAGCAAATATCTCACAGTCTATGAAAAGAAGTCACAATTTATATACTGTTTCAATTTAATCTCTTCAAGGTATTTCATGTCAAGTACTAGTCAATCATGACAACAGAACTGTAGGTCATTACATAGAAACTAGTTTTCATAAAAATTCTTCTTCGATGGCACTATCCCCAATCTTTCAATACTCCGGTTAGTTTGCTAATTCCTGGTTTATCAATGTTCCAATGACAATGCAGATTCTAAACTGCAAAAAAATCTCTAGTTGTCGTCTGACTAGTTCCTAAATACAATAGGTGGATCGCTTCCCTTGATTGTGAAATTATACTTCCACCTAAGGCTGTTCCTGTAGTCTTAAGTTTGCATTTTCAGTTTCACAGAATAATTGAACTGTTGACTCACATGAAGATTTGTATCACCTAAAATCCTCAGATATTTCACATGAAGTGTTGTCAAATATAATTGACCAAGTCCAATGCTTTTACATTGATTTTTGAATTTTTCCTTTCATTCTAGTTCAATTTATTTTGTTGACTTGGATTTCTTCTTCCATCATATGAAATTGCCAGCTCTGTCATCTAACTTCAAGTCATTTGCCAAGCTTTATGTCATCCCAAATTTAATAAGCTTTATCTTTAGTCATACAGCAGAAAGATGTACCTTCCAGTGAGAACATTTGAAAGATCAATGGTAACTGGTGTGGAAGATATTTTGGGGAGGGGGCGATAGTTCTATAAATACCCTGGCAATTAGGCTATGTTGATATCTACCTCCATGCTCATAAAGCAACTATTTCTAAAACTTTCTGGAAATTAGGAATGACTAAAAACAAAGGCCTTTTTGATTTGGAATCCAAGACTGAAAAGGCCAAGAGTGTGACAGGATCTGATTGGGTGATCTTTTCTTAAAGTCATCCTTTTTAAAGGTGAACCTGATGAGCTGTCCTGAATAAGTTAATATGAAAACATTTTTCTTGTAGATTGTTGTCAATTTGTTTGGCCCTGTTACTAAACTCACTAGAGCTATAAAGTATTGGGTTATGGAATACAACCAGAGTGTTGGCTTTATTATGGCTAACCAGCTACTATCTATTTAGAAAATCAGCCTTAGTTTAGACTGTAAGCTTAGGTACACAGCGTTAAGGCTGTAATTGGATTCACGTGAACAAATTTAGCGATTGTTGCAATGTTGTCTGCCTTATTACACACTTCTTTCTGAAACAATGATTCTATAACCTAGATGATAATTGAAAAGAAGGAAGGGGACAGCTATAAATGGCAAAAACTGAATGATCGAAACTATATATATGATTAGTGAAAGAATTTGACATTAGATGGTTTCCAATTTAAATGTCTGTCAACAGGAGAATGAATAAATAAATCATTGTCTTTTTAAACAGTCAAATACTACAAAGCAATGAAAATGAATGTAGTAGTAATATATACATAGGTATATCTTCAAAATATAATGGACAAAAAATGTTGTGGAAGGATATCTGCAGGAAGCTATGATTTACATAACATTTTAAAATGTCCAATTTGCTATATATATTTGTTGGGTTATGTGCTTACACAGAAAGATATTTTTAAATGTCCTAAATGATAAACACTAAGTCCAACAATAAAGGTTATGGGAGGAGAGGCAATAAGAAGGTAGGAGAGAGTAAAGGAAATGGGAAGTTTTTGTTTGTTTGTTTGTTTTTGTTTTTTTTTTTTTTTTTGAGACTGAGTCTTGCTCTGTCGCCCAGGCTGGAGTGCTGTGGCGTGATCTTGGCTCACTGCAAGCTCCGCCTCCTGGGTTCACACCATTCTCCTGCCTCAGCCTCCCGAGTAGCTGGGACTACAGGCACCCGCCACCACACCCGGCTAATTTTTTGTATTTTTAGTAAAGGCGGGGTTTCACCGTGTTAGCCAGGATGGTCTCGATCTCCTGACTTCGTGATCCACCCACCTCAGCCTCCCAAAGTGGTGGGATTACAGGCGTGAGCCACTGCACCCGGCTGGAAATGAGAAGATCTTTTAAGTGAATAGTGTATATACAAATGTTCATTATGTTATTTGTTTTACATTTTTATGTATTAGAGAAGTTCCATAATTCAGAAGAAACATTAATAAAAAATTTTCAAAGGAAAACTGACTTAATTTCTCCCATGAGTATTCTTAAAGCAACTCAAATATAGTATAACTTCATATAGTTATTCATTATATTCAACTTATTTTTCCCTGGAAAGAATAGCACAGAGATGTCACTGAGGTTATTGAAAATGATGATTCTCTGTTTATGTTCTTTTAGAGTTACTTACTGAAAAAAAAATGGGATATGCTATTCCAGCATTTGACCTAGGCAGTTAGTGCAAAATATTCGCATATAGTGTCAGAATACTAACAGGCACTTGGTCACATGGTTCACATGCAAAAGAAAGCACCTAAATGAACATTATTCATCCTATAATGCAGCTTTTTGCCACAAGTCTTTATAAATACTTCCTAAACTATGTATTTTTTTCAAACAAAGAAACAGGTCCTGCCATGTCACTTTAGTATCTCTTCCAGTTGTTTCCCTGGCTGGCCCAACCACTACCAGATTTTCCCAGAATTTCTAGCCTTTGTCTATCTCAGGCACCACCAAAACCAAAGTCTACCAGAGTGGGAAGCTCCCTTGGAGGTGTAACCTTTCATATTTAACTCAGCTCTTTTCCTGCCCGCTTCCAACACGATTCGAAACTCCCAGGTGGGGCCTCAGAACCACCTGCCTCCACACAGGTCTCCTGGAGTCAAACTATCCTGGCTTCAAAACCACTTTGTTCATAATATAAATATCCAGGTCCCATCCCACACCAACCAAATCAGAATCGCAACTGATGTTCAAGCAGCCAGATTGGCACCAGCCCAAAGTTTAACAGCTGGCTCTAGATTCTTACCACCTGCTCTCTCTGCTTGAAATAACCTTCAGGTCATATTCATCCTTCAGGTTACTGCTTAAATTTTACTCCTTCTCCAATGCACCACCCCACCCTCACATGTTCTGACTATTCCCAACCTGTGTCAGCATTTCTCACGCTGTATTTTAAGTGCTATTTGACTCCCTATGTTCCTCTACACTACACTAAAAACGCTGTGGAGGCAGGAACTGGACTTCCCTTGATTACATTATTTCCTTAGTGTTTGGAACAGTGACTGGCGGTTAGTACACAGTAAATAATGGTTGAGTAAATGGGTGAATGCATAAAGGTAAGAGATGTCCAAGGCCCCTACTGTCCCCTGGCTTTTCCTTCTCACTGAATGTCTCTATATCTATCCATGGCAGAGTTAGGCTGCAGGGGTTAAGGGCAATCAACAGTCAGGGCATCTCATCACTACCTGTGTTGCCTAGGGCGAATGACTTCAACCTTCTGTGGTCTCTTTCCTTTGCCAAAATTGTATAAAGATTAATGATAGAAAACACTTAGAATAGTGTCTGTCAATTGGAATGTGTTTCTTATTATCCTTGACAGATATCGCTCTTTGTTTTTATTATAGTCCTCTGTACCCAGTTCAGACCCCAAACCTAAGTTTCCCTTCTTTTGTAAATATTTGGCAGTTTTATAAAATAAAGCTTCCCCAGTGTTGAGGGCTGCATATTCTTCATGAATCATCTACCACATATATTGGTGAACAGAAAGTTGTAAACATCCTTAACCACAGTAGTTTCTAGCCAAAAAGGAGTTTAGAAAACATCTGGTTTCATCTGAAAGATGAGGGATTTGCCTAAGCCACAGATGGTTGGTGACAAAGCTTGGCCTAGAACCCAGCTCTTCTGTCTCCCAATCTTTCTATTCCATCTCATGGCCTCTCATCTCAAGCACTGCAGACTATTTTAAGATCCAGGCCACTCATCATATGCTGTAACTGTAGCCCTTCTCTGTTATTTCCGTATGCTTTCCTCTCTCCGCTCCTGAAATTTTGTTCATGTTTTGCTGACATTTGAGATTCTGATGCATGAACAGTCTAACCACTGTCAACCCTCACTCCCCAAAACTCTGGGAGAGAGTCAATAGGGAGGTACACAAGCAAGTTGCAATAGGCCACAGAGAATGTCCAGCTACAAGAAGACTCGTCCTGTAATAAGTGAGGAACACAGATAAAGGTTGTCAGATGCCACCTTATCAATGACTCTATTTTGTGACTTGGCAGACCCCAAAGATACTCCCCGCATCCCATCCACCCACACACTCATTAGGTACACGACTCAAACCTCACTGTGGAGACTTTAAACAAGCTTCGATGGGACCCGCTTCATAACCAAGACACTTAGAACTATGCATTTCCCACAGCTTATTTATCCAATTACAACTTATCCTTTGACAGAATTTTAAAAGTTATTTTATTTCAAAAGATACCTGAGTAATAATCAAATACACAGCTTGTCAGCTTTTCAATTAATCCTTAATTTTTCATCATCAACTTACACAGAATCATTATTTGTAATCACATGATGTTCCTTGTAATATATTCTTAAATCTTGAGACATCCCTGCCACCGAAATGTCTTATTCTACTTATTTCTAAGTTATCCTCTGTCCTCTGTCACAATTACTACCAGGATGATGCCATATCCTATATAAAATGCTCCAGTTAGGTAAAAGGGCTTGGTTTGTATTTCTGCCCCTGTGCTTACAACAAATCTGTTTCACTTCTTTCCACAAGGTGGCAAAGGTAAGTAGAGGCCTCAAATCAATGAACCATAAATGTCCTTGTAGCTCCTTTTCCAAATAGTATCTCTCTGTTATTCAAACATTCTTAACACGTAAATTATTTGTTTTACATCTATAGTCAGATCTTTCTTAGTTCTTTGAGCTGCTAACCTTTCTTAAACTCCTGGCAACTTATGAAAAGAAGTGTCTCCGTTTCAAATGTTAAATGGGAACATAATTAGCCACTGGTACCCATTGCCATATGTTTTCTTGTCTTTTTCCTTCCAATCTCATGGTTCAATTGCAATTAATGGTTCCTGTTATACATTGAATTACATCCTCCAAAAAGATATGTCCAGGTCCTAACTCCTGGTATCTGTCAATGTGAGCTTATTTGGAAAAAGTTTTTTACAGATATGATCAAGTTATTATAAAATGAGGATTAGAGTGAGCACTAACCCAATGTCTGGTTTTCTTTTAAGAGGGAAATTTGGATACAGACTCACAAAGAAGAGAATGCCATGTAAAGACAGAGGCAAAAATTGAAGTCATGTTTCTACAAGCCAAGAAAGGCCATGGGCTGACAGCAACCACCAGAACCTAGGAGAGAGGCATGGAACAGATACCCACTCAGACTTTCAGAAGAATCCAGCCCCACTGACAACTGGATTTCAGACTTGAAGTCCAGATCTGTGAGAAAATAAGTTTCTGTCATTTTCAGCCACTCAGTGTGTAGTCATTTCTTACGGCAGCCCTAGGAAGCCGATAGAGTCCCCCTGTGGTTATTTGAGGCCATGTGACTATTTCTCTCCAACAAGGTAAAAGGAAGTACATGTATTATTTGTGGGCAAGAACTACCAAAGGAAGACCCTCTGGCTTGGGTCTCTAACAACCCGCCATGGATGTGGATACAGAGCATGAGCTAGGGCAAAACGTTTGTTCTTCATAAAGCATTAATATTTAGATTTTCACCACAGTAAAACACAAAATATTCCATTTTTTTTTCCAGGGATTAAATTATATCCCTTAAAAGAAAATAATATTTTGAAAAAAAAATAAGATTTTTATTAGACAAGTAAAACTTCTATTAAAGTCTGAATGATCTAAACCATTACACTTAGAAAAAGCACACTTCAGGAAAAACAATCTGCAAGCTAGCGAGTGGTTGATTGGGCTTCAATGCGTTCTCATTCCTGAAGGAAATCCCAAATCATGAAACTTCAGGCAATAACCAGCAGGTGGGTCTCTCTGCCACTCTTGAAATCAAGCCAAGCAGGTGATTCCATTCAACGAATGGAAACAGCTACTTTTACTGTAGCCCTGTATATCATATGCTTTTAACGGAATTTTTTTAAACTTTTATTTTAAGTTCAGGGGTACATGTGCAGGTTTGTTACATAGGTAAACTTGTGTTATGGGGGTCTGTGGTATGGATTATTTCATCATCCTGGTGTTAAGCCTAGTACCCATTAATTATTCTTTCCACCCCCCAATAGGCCCCAGTGTGTGTTGTTTCCCTGTATGCATCCAGGTGTTTAATGGAACCATTTTTGTATGGTGTCTGTGACCCACACAACCCATACAGAAAACTCAGAAGTTACTGTCTCTATGCTATGAGACTGTAAAATAGAGACGTAGTTAGGAGGATGGGCCTGAATTCAAACCTCAGCTTCTTTCTGTCTTTATGAGGCACATTACTTCACTTAGCTAAGCCTGTGTTTTAACAACTGTAAAAATGGGGATAATAATTTCATTCAGTTACTGTGGAAGTTAAAGGAGATAATCCATGAAAACCACTGGGGTTGGTATCTGGCCCATAGTAATTTCTCTATTAATGCTAGCAATTGTTATTGTGAAGAGAACTTTTTGATGTAGTAGCACAAAATTGAGAGATTTCTGCCATTTTCTGTTTATTATGCATATCCAGTTCTGAATCTTACTCCCTTGTGTATTCCAGCCCCGAGCCCCAGAGAGAGAGATCAGTGAGAGAGCAGGGACCATGACATAATAATATTGTTCACTTGTTTCTGCACTTTTTCCTATTCCCCAAGGCCCTTATTGCATTAAGACCTAGGACAGAAATGTAGAGTGAGTAATCGAGCCCATTTTGACAAAGAGAAATTTGTTTGCAACATAGAATGTCATGTAACATGGCTCCTGTCAAGTCACGTGGTTGATGGCAGCCTTGAAAAACAAAATAGTGATAAAAGGACAGCAGAGTATGTATAAACAGAGAGCCCACCTGCCAGAAATCTGGCAATCAGAGTCACCCCCAAAACTATATTTGCTATGGGGGAAAACAATTATTAAAATAATGAACATACTGCTTCAAAGTTATGTCTTTGACTCATTTTCAAACACTGCAAGCTTTACTTCTTGCTGCAGTATCAGTACTTGCTACATGGTGTTATTTCTAAAGAAGCAAAAGGCACTATGTCTAAATGTACAATTTTATGTCAATTATTATGAAACCAAAGTTGTGATATTTCCTAAAAAGCATGTTCACATTCTTCAAGCGCCATTATCCCAGACAGTGAGGGATGTGTAATGTGATAATGAACCAAAGTTTAGGAGCTCCAAATGCAAAGATAAGCAGACACGTTTTATTGTACTGAAATTCGTAGCAGTTCTCTCCATTGCATACAAAGATAGCAGTACTGTCCCCTCGCTTTGGCAGGAATTTGCATCTATCAGCATTTTCTGGCCCAGTCTCTAATTAACAGCATGCATTTTCCAGATGTTTTGCAGGATTTGGGAACACTGTCTGTGGTCATGTGACACACCAAAATTAACTAGCCTTATTTGAAATACAAATCATGCTGTCTGCTCACTGGGATGATATTCTAAGTAGGTCTAACTGCATCATTCTCAAGTGGTATGCTTTCCATAAAAAAAAAAAAAAAATGCATCTTTTTCTTATCTTTTCTCTTTTCTTTTTCCTCTTCTTTATACAGAGAGATTGAGTCAAATAACTATTCAGTTCCAAAGCTTTTCCTATGAATCTGTTATGAAGGAAAGTGATTCCAAAAGCACTTGTAAAGCAATATGAAACATGATATTCTATGTTGCAAACAAATTTCTGTTTGTCAAAATGGGCTTGATT
Source organism: Homo sapiens (assembly GCF_000001405.40). Lineage (NCBI taxonomy): Eukaryota > Metazoa > Chordata > Mammalia > Primates > Hominidae > Homo > Homo sapiens. The sequence continues at coordinate 71,357,948 of NC_000009.12, forward strand.
GCTCACTCTACCTTTCTGTCCCAGGTCTTAATGCAACAAGGGCCTTGGGGAGTAGGAAAAAGTGTAGAAATGAGTGAACAATATGGCGAGAGTACAATATTTATTGTATTTTAAGAGAACACAATAATTTCTCAAAAGAACCTACATACTGACTAGAATATGCCAGTCATTTTATCTTCAATAAATTTGATAAGCTTGGGTTCAGATTTTACTTTTGGCAAAATAGTCTGAAAGCTCAGTAACAGGATATCAACTTATTTTGCTATCAATCATAATCATTCTCAACAGCATCTTATTGTTGATGCTTTTTCTTTTTGGTTTTATCTATAAATAATTCATTCATTAGTAGGGTTTAGTGAGGCCAAAGTTATGGATTCAATCCCCACATAGATCTGTTAACTCTAGATCAATTGGAAAATCACAGACTTACAAGCTTTTAGAAAATGTGCATCATCTGTCAGGCAGGGCTAAGTAAAATCAACACAATCAGCAATACTGGAAAAACAACTAAGGGAGTCTACCCTATTGATTGGTTAGGGTATAACTTCCAAAAATCTAGGGCTGCAAGCATACCCATTTGCTCAAGCTCTCTGTTCTCTTCACATTAAAGAGGCCATGAGCCTAAATGCCTATCTATCAGCAAGCCCTCTAACAAGATATTTCAAATTTCAAACCCTAAATATAAAGGTGCTGGAAAGTAAAGAAAGAACAGAACAGAAGGTGTAGTTAGGAAACTAGAAAGAACAGAAATGAAGCAAGGTGAAAGGAGGAGTCAACAAAAGTTTTAAAGTTGTGATGTGACATCTATCTTCTACCACCAAGCACTTGATCACGGTGAAGTGGATCAAACTCATAGCTCTGGAAATGTGGTTTTATCCGTCTGGTTATCAGGGTTTGTAATGCATAGGTGCTATTATTACCAAAGGGATGAACACGTGTAGCCTATAATTTCCAAACTTTCTGTGAGCTGCAATCACATCTCATGGTCTTCTAAAATTTTTATAAAATACATGGTTCTTTACGCATCAAAATAAATAAACTGAACATATATTAAGAATTTGGTAATACTTCTTTTGATGATATAGTGCCTCACTGAGTTTTCTGAAATGAAAGCCAAGAATCATTTATCTAAGCACTAAGAACTAGGTGGGCAAGATTAACTGTAGCAATTGTCCTATACTACCCAAAGAGTGACATTAGGGAAGAAGCATAAAATGTAAAAGAAAAGTCTTAGAGCTTGAATGTGAGGTAATGAATCTGTTGGAATTTGCACAATCTGTTCGGTGAAGAGTCAAATAGTGGTTAATAAAGTGAAAGGGGAAATCTCACAAACTGAGGTGGGTGTGTATGTGCGCATGCATGCACGTGTTCACACATGTGTGCAATATATCTGTAATGACCAAGTATGGCTGCATCCATGAAGAAAGGGAATTTTAAACAGAAGTTACTGAAACCTTCACAGAATATTTAAAATGTGCCTATGTAAATGCCTCCAGTTGACTTAATTCATCTCATTTAAACCAACATAATTTAAACCCATACCTAAGACCTCTGCTATTAACCCACTGCTATTTATTATTCTAAAACATAAACCTACTGCATGATTTTTTTTTCAGTTTAATTGCTAGCAACAAATATTATGGGTGCCTCTCCTAATTCTTATTATGCCCATATATTTATCTTTTCCCTGTCTTTTCTTAGTAACTTTCTTGGGTGCATGTTTCCATCTAGGATTTTAATATGTCCCTAGAGCTTCACATTAAGCAGAAAATTTCATTATTTTCAGGAGTCAGGGCAATTCAAATTCTGGGTGTCCCATCTTATCTGTATGATCTTGGGTTTAAGATACTTAAGCTCTCTGTCAATCAATTTTCCTAACAATAAAATGCGAATAATGAGAGTAACTATCCATAAAGTTATTACGTAAATTTAAAGAATGGGATGATCTATATAAAATACTATTATAAGATAAGATGCCTAAGAACAGAGATTTGGGGTTTTGCTTATTGTTACATTCTAGCACCTAGAAGAGTGGCTGGTACTTAGTGGGAATTCAGTGAACACTTATTACATACAAAAGAAAGAATGAACAGTGCTAGAGGAAGAGTGGCCGGCACATAACTACAATTAGTGTTAGTTATTATTATTTTCATCATTATCATTTATATCATTATCATCCTAATCTTTACTTCCAAGCTGGGTGATCTTAAGATAGGTTAGGTAATCTCAAAGCTCCTACTGGATTACAGAAGGCACTAAGAGATAGTAGCCAATGTCCTAGCCCAAGACTCAGGAGTCAGGAGTCCAGTTCTAATTCAACCACATATAATTATTTGACCTTGAACGAGTCTCTACCATTTTGGTAATCAGGGAACTGATAGAATGGTATTATATACATCATAATTCTGTTATAAACATTTCTGAGTACAGGATCATGAAAGCTAAACAACAGATCAGACTTAAGAATTTCAATATGACACGTTAATTTCACCAAAATCAGCTTTAAAATAAGTCAGATATTTCATCACAAGGCACTAGATTAGGTACTATAGTTGGGAATGAAAGAACAAAGATGCATTTGATTTCTAATTTTATTCTAATCTCTAAATTGAAAACCACAGTCTAAATATTAAGCATATAAGCTCATGCTGCTCTCATGAGCTTGCAGTTTAGTAGATGATTCATAATAAGGCAATATCATATACCAGCTCTTAGAGGCAGTCTCTGATTGCACAGCATCAGCTCTCTTTGGAATCAGATAAAACAGTCAATTTGTAGTTATCTGTGCATTCAACTGAATTTTTCTAAACAAGATTTAATGCCCAGAGCACAGCACTATGTCATCAAGTAATAATGGTAGAGTTTGCATTAAAATGATCCAGAAAAATAATCTGGAAGTTTGCATTAAAATGATCCAGAAAAAAAAGAAGGAAGAGGATTGCCAAAACGTTGAATTTGTAGAAGTGAGCTGGTAGACATATGGCAGTTCATTATATTATTCTCTCCTTTTGTGTATATTAAAAATTTTTGTAACAATTTTAAATTTTTATTTATTTTCAGATGGAGTCTTGCCTTGTGGCCTAGGCTGGAGTGCAGTGGCACAACCTCAGCTCACTGCAACCTCCAGCTCCTGGGTTCAAGTGATTTTCCTGCCTCAGCCTCCCAAGTAGCTGGGATTACAGGTGTGCACCACCACGCCCAGCTAATTTTTGTATTGTTAGTAGAAACAGGGTTTCACCATGTTGGCCAGGCTGGTCTTGAACTCCTGACCTCAGGTGATCCGCCCACCTCAGCCTCCCAGTCTTCACTATTATCTAGTTCTGAAATGGGTTTTGCGATTTCAAAAACTAATAAATATCTCAGGACACTAAATACCTCTCTGTGCTATTTTGAGAGACCATAGCGTAAGAAAAAATTAACTCCCAAAGAGTTATGGGAAAATTAAAGGGACTAGGTGGAGATCAAGGAAGAAAAAGGGACTAGAATAATGTATCCACACACACAAGTATTTGATAGCAGAGGCTGGTTCATGCTTTGTCCCTGTGCCTGACCAGAACCAAAATTGTTGATTAGAACGTAGTAACTACAGGAGTTTTACATATGAAGGGCTCAGGTATGTCAAGCTGGCTGGAGAGAGAGCAAGGTTTATTCTCTTGCATCTGTGTTCATATGCAAGCTCTCCTTTGGACTAGATTGCATATTTATCGGTAGGGTCCCCATGGCACTGTCACAGTAATGGAGCAACTTCTGGTGTTAATAATGGCTTTTATTGTCTCCAGTGCCTATGAATTATTCTGTATGAAATTGCTCTAAACTTTTCAGTCTATACTACACTGTAATTTCCACCAAAAAGCTGAAACAATTTAAGCTGGATTTATTACAAGACTGAAGGACTAATCAGTTATCCCTGATCGGGTTCAAATATATTTGAAATGAAATCTTGCTTTTTTTTTTAAACCTGCAATCCAATGGAAGCTAGTGTGTAAAAAGAGATGAAAGAGATTATAGAATCACAGAATGTTCTAGTCGAAGCCCCTTCATTCTGCAAGCCAGAGAACCAAGGCTCAGCTAGGAGGTAATTTAAAATCACATACTACTTAATCCACATTGGGAAGGCACCTTGGGCTGCTAAATCCCAGCTAATACTCCCTTTACCACACTAATCATGCCCACAGATAAGGCCCCTGAAGGCCACACTTCACATATATGAAGGGAATTCAGGCAGGGTTCCCCTATCCCCAGTCTGTCTGTTCCCATATCCTGAACATCTCTCATTCCAGGGGGTTAAGGTTCCTTTATTCAAAAATAGTTGATTGCAAAATCAGTTCCCCTGGGAGGAGATGCACCTATAGCCGTTAACTGTCAGCCCAGACCTAAGGATACTGACCTCAGAAACAGCAGGGTTGAAAAATAGTCAAAGATGCTCACCTCAGGGCCTTCTTTCAGAATAGCAAGAAGGGTGTTGGTGCTGGAAGTTGTGAGTGAAACAAAGAAAAATTCTGCTTTCTTGACTATTTCCCATGTGGCTGGCCCTGAAGGATACTGTACAGTAAATAGTAAAAGTACACTGTTACTATTATCCAATTAAAGCATATTGCACCAGGGCAGCCAGTATACTTATACACTCTAAAAATATAAGAGTTGAAATTAAAGTTTTAAATTAACAATGATCAGAATGATCTCCTCCATTTTATATTATTTCCTGTCTCTATGACTACAGGTAAACCTTCTGAACATAAGCGATAACAATTTTTGTAACTTGTAATTAAATACATTTTCTTCTAATATAATGAATTAAAGTTTCAAATTAAATAGTATCTGGTAGCTACTAAAGCTGAGAGATTTGGGAACACAGATTATGGCTCCAGCTAATGATTGCATGTAATTTAGTACAAAACTTGTGAAGATAAAAAATAATAATTCCACCTTAGGAATTAAGCTTAGCAGGCATGGGTTTGAAAAAGCCTAGTGGTATTTCATTGGGATTGCTGAAGAATATAAAGAGTGATTCTTTCATTTAAAACAAGCAAACGAACCAAGAAAGCAAAATTGTCTTTAGAGCAATGCTTTGAAAATAAGAAGCCTTACTAATTTTAAAGTTGAGAAAACAGAAATGTTAATTGCATTCGTTTTACTGTCTGTACTAATGGTCCTTCATACAATTTTCATATGGCAAAATTTCTGCAAGTGGGCTCTGTTGGAACCCAACAAATTACTACTGAAGAGTTAAGATTATATTAAGAGAAATGCCCAGTGAAATGAGAAGACATTTGATATTACTCTCAGGTTAATAACACTAGTCTACCATCATTTTCTTGTGTAACTACAGAATTGCTAGTCTTAAGTCATGCCCATACTAGTCAAATAAGTAGTTCACCTGCCAACAGGCCTGGAGTTGTGTGATTTTTTCCTAAGCCAAATTGGGAGATTACAATTACCATTAATTGAGATTACAATTACCATTAAATAGCAGGGGTTAAGATTGGAATTCAAGCCTTTATCATTCCAGTGTTATTCTATTTGCATGTCACCGTACTGCCCCATCTGGTTTGAATTATATGTTGTTTTATTTCTAACTCAACAAGTTGGTTTTGGTTTCAAACAACTTTTCTGGCTCTATCCACCTATATAAAATACATTTGCCAGAACTAGAAGCTCATAAGCCCAGAAAACGTAAAAATGTGCTTTGTAAAATCTCATTTTCTAAGCTAACTCATTCTCACCCATCAAGTCTTAGCTTATACGCACTGCACTTCCTCTGGGAATTCTTCCTGACCCCTGGCCAGGAGGCCCCTGGTACTTTCCTGTAGATCCTGGGCACTACCATAATACATCACACTAGATTTAAGTGCTTGCTGAAGCCTGTCACCTTCCTGGTCTACAAGTTCTGTAAGGGTAGAACCTGAGCCTGGCATAGACCCCACTGTGTCCTCAGGCCTAGCATATAATAAATGCACAAAAATAGTTATGAAATGCATGGCCCAGCACATAAATGTACAAAAATCGTTACAAAATACATGGATTAAATGATGCGCTAAACTTGAGGTGTTTAAGTTCATTTAGCTTTTGAAAGCTATTTATTAATGCCAACCAGGAAAAAAAATAAGACTGGAAAAAAGATTCAAGGCTATCTCACAATAGGGTGATGAGAGATCTATAGGCATGCAAAAACCAAAACAAGAAAAAGGAAAGCAAATAAAAAGCAGAGCATACGAAAACAAGACTACAACAATAAAAAGAACTGGGCTCTCTCCTTTAAAAAAAAAAATCACTGTTATTCTCGGGGAAGCCTTAATATTTTTATTCGCCACTGTTAGGATACATCAGTTCTAAAAAATGTTGAAAACTAATTCTTGAACCATTTAAGGAAACTTGAACATTCAAAGATAATATGAGACACATGCAGTCATTGTTTGGCCATGCCTAATTAAATGGGATACTCTTCTGGACATTTCCAACCACTAATTGGCCAGAGTAAAATGTGCATGTGGTGGGCAGATTACCTCAACATATCTGCCTTCAGCAGTGTCAGGGAGACAGAGTGATTAAAAGAAGGTCAGCTAATTTGTTTGCTTATCACAGAACCCAACTGGTTATTCCAAATGACTATAAAGAATCATAAATCCTCTTAGAATTTCATGTGAGGCTCAGAGCTAAACTGGGACAAGGAAGTGATTTTTAAAATCTTTGTCAATCCTAGGAGGCAGGAGGTGGTAAGGACTTCATGGACAAGACAATAAAAGAGTATTTATACCTACAGCTTGAGAGTAGTATGTCTCATTAAGTAAAATGTCTTCTATCATTCTGGGAAGTGACCCAGGGCACTGAAAGTAATGACAGAGAAGTCTACAATTAAGCAAACCAGTAACTGAGTCATTAAAGATTTACTGATACACAAGAATACATCCTTTTTCTTTTTAACTGAATCATCACATGAATGTTCATAAGCATTTGCATGGGGTAAGGAATCTATTCTTTTTTGGAAAGAAAATAAAATAAGATACTATCTCATTTCTCACTAGAATCTGCTGGTTTTAGCAATGTAGACCTGCAGACATAAAGAAAGACCCGATGTTAGTCACACCAGGTCAGGAAGGGAAAAAAGGACAAAGAAAAGGTACACAAGGAAATAAGCTAACTGACAAGGACTTAAGCGCAGCAAAGCCAATTTCTCTTTTAGTGCAATGTAGACAGACAAAGCTTCCTCCACCATTCTGTGACCCCTGGCTACCTGGAATAAATGAACAAATGAAGTCTACCTACAAACATCCCATTGGCTCATAATAATTGTTTAATATTAAAGCACATAATAGCATGTTTTTGGTGAAGTTTCCCTTCCCACTAAGAAAACCCCAGGCTGCATGTAAAGATTATAATGAAAAATTATTTCTCCACTTTTTTATTATTTTCCAATATCCAAGTCTCATATTAAACTGATCTTCATTTTATTTTTCTCATCTTATAAAACTGTTTCCTTTACCTTAATTTCATTCAAGACATCACTTTATCTTAGATTCTGAAAGTTCCCCAAATATAAACATATAACTGGACTAGCTGTACAGGTAGAATAGATAGTAACATACGGATTATGATTTTAGAGATCTCAGGTATGTGGCTTAGCAAAAAAACTGTCCCTTGAATAGCTATTTTGTCACCCTCCATTTCTTTAATTAGAATCCCTCCTTATTATATTGGGGTTGTAGAAAGTTGTGGCATGGTATAATGACAGAAGAATCTGGAGCCAAACAAGCCTGGATTATTGTCCATTCCCACCACTTCCTACTTATGTGGCTTTGAGATCATTATTTAACTTCTAAGCCTCACTTCACTCAACAAATAAGTATATAGCACCTATTGTTCTAAATATAGCGAATACAGAGGCAAACAAAATGAAGTTCATGCTCTCGTGGGGCTGCCATTTAGTTGCTGTACCAGAATATAAACCAATATACAGATAAATATTTAATAGTATACCCACATGATAAATGACATGAAACAAAGTAAAATAAAAAAAGGGGGATAAAGAGAGATGGGGAGGGGTGCATGTTAGGTAGGAATGCCTTTCTGAGGTTCCATTTGAGCTGAATAAAATGAGGTGAAGGCTGTTAAAAGAGCTTTTCAGAGATTGGTCATCATAGGAAATTTACAAATATAGTATCTGCTATGGTAATTGCTTAGCACATAGTAACACTCCAAAATAGTACAAGAGGTAACTTAAAAATTTGAGTTCATTTCTTTTCTATAGTTAAGGCCCAGGTTGTTAAAATACAAATGTGTTATTACCTGTCAAAGAGTACGCACAAGTACATGGGCACCTTTATCCTACTACTGTTTCCTTGCAAGACAGAATAAATGAAGTTAATATGGAAGGAATGACACTTGGTGGGGGTACCTGGGAGTGGGACAGGGAGGGGCATGGAGCTTGGAATATGCATTGGCCAAGGAAGGGAGAGGCCCTGTTGAGCTCTCAGCAGCCCTGGAGACAGCCAGGGTCTCATAGCCTAAGTACCAAGAGAGGTCAAGGTGGTATGAGGGTAGGAGAGAGAGGAAAATATGAGTCTCCACACCTAAGCTACCTACAGAACCAGTTGGCCTAGGACTTAACCTTGTAGGGCCACTATAATTACCTTTGTATTTTAAGGACACATTCAGTTGCTGTCTGAAAGTATTATCTTCCCAATCAATCTCCTGCTAATAATTTGTTTTGTAGGGCAGTGGCTCATGGGAAGAGCTTCTGTTTGTATATTTAAAATTTATATACATATTTTTTATTACATGACAGCTATACCTAAAATAAATTCAGTAATTTCAATGCAGATTACTATTTTTACTATTTACTCATTACTATTAGAGATTATTATCTCTAATAGATAAAATTTGGCAGGGGTAAATCTGTACATTCAGAAATTTACAAATTCAAATGGATTTCTTATAGAAATCTTATAGATAAGATTTCACCAACTGAAAGAAGTTGAAGATTTTTATAGAGCAAATGAGTATTTAATTTGCTGTTTTTAAAAGTGTCAGGCAGATAGAGGCATTAACTTGTATTATGATGAATAGAATAACAATTACAGGAGGTTTTTGTTTTTAAGGAACTGTCTTGTTCCAACAAGAGAATAAACAAACCAAAATGATTTTGAGGAAAACATTCAATGCAATCTCAGAATCCAATTTCCTTCCTTAAAATAAGAGTCTGAATAATTGAGAGATACTGGCAATGCTTTACCCCAAGCTAAGAGGACATTTTGAAAAGAATGTATATGAATGATCAAGAGCAACCATGTATTTGATCAATATGATCAAGACCATGAATGCTCAAGAGAGACCAAAAGTATTTTGGGAAGTCTATCATAATAACAGCTGACCACCCTGGAATGTCTGCCTCTGTCCCAGACACTAGGTCTAAGACTATTAATCTTCAGGAGAGCTCAATGAGTTCTCCATTTTGTAGTTAAGGAAATGGAGATTTGTTGGTTCACCAAGTCTAAATTCACCTGTAAAAGGCAAGTTTGTAAATGTAACAGTTTGTGCAGTTTTTTTCTTTTTAATTTTCTTTTGATTGGAAATAAGGTCACGTAGCAGAAAAAGAATATTACATGAGGACAAAAAAGATCTGAGCTGTGGTTATGATTTCACCATTTAGTAACCAATCTCTCCAAGTCTGTTTTCTCACCTAAAAAGATCTAGTCCAGGTTCTAAGCTCATCGAAACCATCAAATAAGAGGATGGTTATTTGAGGATGCATTAAAGGCAAAAGTGCTCTGTAAACTAAAGAGAACAAGGTATGAGGAATTAGCAATTTCCCCCATGTTACTAAGTTACTGGAAGAATTTCCATGGGAAATTTACTACCTCTCTTGAGAAACAGGATACGCAGCTAATTTCTGGACAGGCATATGTTGCTTTTTGCCCTCCTAACGGTTATTTTCTCCTACTTCAAATGTCTTAAATTGCTGATCTTTCAACTTGCTGTCTTAGTATCTTCCTAAGCATTTGTGTGTGTGTGTGTGTATATATATATCATATATATGCACATATATGTGCACACACACATGTGAGTGTATGTGTACACACACACATATGAGTATGTGTACACACACACACATGAGGTTCACTGGCTAAAGAAGTTTCAGTAACCAGGGTTACACCTAAACATCTGAAGAAAGGACCAAGATTTTTTTTTTAGATGTGCCACAGTGACCTTAAAATAAATCCTTTCTTTGCTAAAATGTGATGAGACTCCCAATGCTACCATTCCCTCTGATTGTGAGTAAAACTGTAGAAGTTGATTTGACCATCTGATTACTTGTTTGACAGCTGCAGAGTTTATCCATTAGCCCAGGGAAGCTACTGCAACCCTGAATCTTTCACTAGCCAACAGTGATTGGAAAATTCTCAGGCAGCTGGCTAAACTCCAGGCCTGAATTTCCATGTGAATCGTACTGACAGCAAGGAAGCTTTTATCTCAAGGCCTCAAGGGAGAAAAAGTTCAGCCAACAAACTTTTTGTGTACCAAGGGAATAGAACAGTGCCTCACCCAGTAGTTGGAAAGGCCCCTAAGTCTATCTTGTTCAATCCTATTTGCCAAGCAGAGATCAGAAGAGCTAGCACATAAAAAGTGATCTGAAAAAAAATTGAATGAATTTTATAATGCTTTTTTAATAATAAATATCTCCACCCTTAATAGAGTTGCATGTAACAGCTTTAATGATTTACTAGTCTGAAATGTTTGCTTTAACACTTAAGTTTAGGTGAAAAAATAACATGTGTTGGCTTTGGTTCGTTTAAAAAAGCAAATCTTTATGATCTATAACAAAACGAAATCTTTTTGATTCACAACAGAACAATTAGACAAACACTAATAAGTAAATTTGACAACTTGTAATAAATATTGGATTCAGTTGAACTCAATTTCAACAAATAAAAATATTAAGTAGAAAGGAAATGTGTGACGAATATAAAAATCCCCCAAATAAACATGGATCAAAGAAGAAATCACAATGGAAAGTAGAAAATAGTAAACTGAATGATCATGAAAATAAGACATACATGTAGGATGCAGAAAATGCCATGCTTAGAAGATAGTCTTATATACATATATTGCAAAAGAATAACTGAGATCAATAATCTTACTAGCTATTTTAAGAATTTAGAAAAAGAGCCACAAAACCTCAGAAAAGCAGAAGGAAAAAAATAAAGAGCAGAGAACACAGATGCCCAAAATAGGTGACAAGTTTATAATAAGAGAAATAAACAATGAAATGTGTTTATCTGAGAGGACTAATGAAATTCCTAGTAATGCTGATGGAGGAGAAAAAAGAGGGAAAATACTAATTGGAATACTAGAAGTTTTTAAAGGACTAATACTCCATGTATTAAAAAATCAGAGGATATAAGAAACTTTATGACAATGCACTTGAAAATATAAATAAAACGAACATGTTTCTAAAGAATCGAAACTTAGAGATACTGAACAAAAATAGTGACTCTAATAAACCTATATCTAGGTGTGTAGTAAATGCAAATGAGGCTGAAGGGAACTTCTGATTTGCTGAGAATGGTCCATTTTTTATAACACAGAGTCTCACTCTGTCGCCAGGCTGGAGTGCAGTGGCGCGATCTCAGCTCACTGCAACCTCCGCCTCCCAGGTTCAAGCGATTCTCCTGGGCATGGTGCCCACCTTGGCCTCCCAAAGTGCTGGGATTACAAGCGTGAGACACCGCGCCCGGCCGGGAACAGTCAATTTTTCAATCGGGGTTATGGTTGACTAGGTGTGTTTACTTTGTAAATATCATCACTTATAATTTGTGTACTTCTTTGCAAGCACAGGCAATACACCATTTTATTGCACTTCACTTTATTGTGCTTCATGGACAATGCGCTTCTCACAGATTCAAGATTTTGGCAAACCTGCGTCAAAGTCCAGCAGCTCTCTTTTTCCCCAACAGCATGTGCTCACTTCATGTCTGTGTCTCTCATTTTGGTAATTCTTACAGTAGTTCGAACTTTCTTATTAATATTATCATATCTGTTATGGTGATCTGTGATCACCAATCTTTGATGTTACTATTGTAATGGTTTTGGTGTGCCACAAACCATACCCACATAACATGATGAAGTTAATTGATAAATTCGTGTGTTCTGACTGCTTCATCTATCAGCCATTCCTGTTTCTCTTCCATCCTCTGTTTCTTTCCCTCTCCGTGGGCCTGTCTATTCCCTGAGACAAAACAATATTGAAATTAGACCAACTAATAACCCAACAAAGGCCTGTAGGTGTTCAAGTGAAGAGTCTCACATCTCTCACTTTAAATAAAAAACTAGAAATAATTAAGCTTAGTGAGGATGGCATGGCAAAAGCTAAGATAGGCCAAAAGCTAGGCCTCCTGGCCAGTTAGCCAAGTTGTAAATACAAAGGAAAAGTTCTTGAAAAAAAATTAAAAGTACTACTACAGTGAACACACAAATAATAAGAAAGCAAAACAGCCTTGTTGCTGATATGGAGAAAGTTTTAGTGGTCTGGATAGAAAAAAAAAATCAAACCAGCCACAACATTCCCTTAGGCCAAAGCCTCATCTAGAACACGGCCCTAACTCTCTTCAATTCTATAAAGTCTGAGGTTAGGGAGATGCAGAAGAATAGTTTGAAGCTAGCAGAAGTTATTTCATTAGATTAAAGGCAAGAAGCCATCTCCGTAACATAAAATTACAAGGTGAAAGAGCAAGTGCCAATGTAGAAGCTGCAACAAGTTATTCAGAGATCTAGATACAATAATTGAGGAAGATGGCCACACTAAACAACATATTCCCAATGAAGACAAAGCAGCCTTCTATTGGAAGAAGACCACCTAGGACTTTCACAGCTAGAGCAGAGAAGTCAATTCTTCAAAGTTTCAAAAGACTGGCTGACTCTTGTTAGGGGCTCACACAGCTGATGACTTTAACTTGAAGCCAGTGCTTATTTGCCATTCTAAAAATCCTAGGTTGCTTAAGAATTATACTAAATCTACTCTGCCTGTGCTTTACAAATGGAAAAGCAAAGCCTGGGTGGCAGTACATCTGTTTACAGAATGGTTTACTGAATATTTTAAACCCACTGAGACCTACTTCTGAGAAAAAAAAAAAAGATTCATTTCAATTATCACTGCTCATTAACAATGCACCTGGTCACTCAAGAGCTCTGATGGAGATGTACACGGAGTTGAATGTTGTTTTCATGCCTGCTGACACAACATACATTCTGCAGCCCATGGATCAAGGAGGAATCTTCACTTTCAAATCTTATTATTGAAGGAATACATTTTTTAGGTCGATAACTGCCACAGATTGTGATTTTTCTGATGGATCTGGGCAAAGTACATTAAGATCCTCTGGAAAGGATCCACCATTCTAGATGCCACTAAGAACATTCACAATTAATGGGAGGAGGTGAATATAGCAACCTTAACAAGAGTTTGGAAGAAGTTGATTACAACTATAATAGATGACTTTGAGAGGTTTAAAGCATCAGTGGAGGAAGTAACTACAGATGTAGTAGAACAGCAAGAGAACTAGAATGAGAAGTGGAGCTTGATGATGTGACTGAATTGCTGCAGTTTCATAAAATTTGAATAGATAAGGAATTGCTTCTTATTGATGCACAAAAGAAAGTGATTTCTTGAGATGGAATCTACTCCTGGTGAAGATGCTTCACCAGGTGAACACTGTTGAAATGATAACAAAGGTTATAAACTTAGTTGGTAAAGCAGAGGCAGGGTTTAAGAGGATTGACTGATTTTGAAAGTTCTACTGTGGGTAGAATGCTATCTAACAGCATCACATGCCATAGAGAACTCTTTGGTGAAGAGTCAATCATTTTGAAAAAAATTCATTCTTGTCTTTTGTTTTTGGTTTTTCTCCAACTTTTAAGTTCTGGGGTACATGTGCAGGATGTCCAAGTTTGTTACACAGTAAACTATTTGCTGCACAGATCCTCTCATCACCTAGGTATCAAGCCCAGCATAAGCTATTCTCCCTGATGCTCTCCCTTCCCACATCCCCCCCACAGGTGCCCAGTGTGTGTTGTTCCCTGCCATGTGTCCATGTGTTCCATCAATCAGCTCCCACTGATATGTGAGAGTATGTGGCATTTGGTTTTCTGTTACTGCATTAGTTTGCTGAGAATAATGGCTTCCAACTCCATCCATGTCCCTGCAAAGGACATGTTCTCATTCCTTTTTTATGGCTGCACAGTACTCCATTATATATATGTATTAATACCACAATTTCTTTATCCAGTCTATCACTGATGGGCATTTAGGCTGATTCCATGACTTTGCTATTGTAAATAGTGCTTCAATGAACATACGCATCCATATATCTTTATGACAATTATTTATATTCCTTTGGGTATATACCCAGTAATGGAATTGCTGGGCCAAATGGTATTTCTACCTCCATGCCTTTCAGGAATCACCACACTGTCTTCCACAATAGCTGAACTAATTTACACTCCCACCAACAGTGTAAAGGCATTCCTTTTTCTCTGCAACTTCACCAGCACCTGTTTTTGGCTTTTGGTTGTTGTTGTTGTTGTTACTTTTTATTAACAGTCATTCTGACTGGCATGAGATGGTATCTCATTGTGGTTTTAATTTGCATTTCTGTAATAATCAGTGATGTTGAGCTTTTTACCATATGCTTGTGGGCCACATGTATGTCTCCTTTTGAGAAGAGTCTGTTCATGTTCTTTGCTCACTTTTTAATGAGGATCATTTCACACATAACAATACTAACCTTAAATGTAAATGGGCTAAATACCCCAATTCAAAGACACCAAATGGCAAGCTGGGTAAAGGGTCAAGACCCATTGGCATGCTGTCTTCAAGAGACCCAACACATTACATAATCATATGTAATCAATATTTACCTCTATCATATGATAGAAGTAAAACACTCCTCAGCAAATGCAAAAGAACTGAAATAATAAACAGTCTGTCAGACAACAGCACAATCAAATTAGAACTCAAGACTAAGATATTCACTCAAAACCACACAAATACATGGGAATTGAACAACCTGCTGCTGAATGACTCTTGGGTAAACAAGGAAATTAAGGCAGAAATCAAGGAGTTATTTGAAACTAATGAGAACACAGACACAATGTACCAGAGTCTCCGGGATGTGGCTAAAGCAGTGTTAAGTGGGAAATTTATAGCACTACATGCCCACATGAGAAAGCTAGAACGATCTCAGTTAACAATCTAACATCTCAACTAAAAGAAACATAGAACCAAGAGCCAACAAACCCCTATGCTAGCAGAAGACAAGAAATAACCAAGATCAGAGCTGAAGTGAAGGAAATAGAGACATGAAAAACCCTTAAAAAAAAAAAATCAACGAATCCAGGAGGTGGTTTTTTGAAAAAAATTACAAAACAGACAGACTACTAGCTAGATTAATAAAGAACATGAGAGAGAAGAATCAAATAAACACAATCAGAACTGATAAGGGGGATATCCCCACTGACCCCATAGAAATACAAACAACCATTAGAGAAAACTATACAAACCTCTATGCACATAAACTAGAAAATCTTGAAGAAATGAATAAATTCCTAGACGCATACACCCTCCCATGACTGAACCAGGAAGAACTGAATCTCTGAATAGACCAATAACAAGTTCTGAAACTGAGGCAGCAATGAATAGCCTACCAAGCAAAAAAAGCCCAGGACCAGACAGATTCATAGCTGAATTCTACCAGAGGTACCAAGAAGAGCTGGTACCATTTCTACTGAAATTAGAAAAAAAAATGGAAAAGGAGGGACTCTTCCCTTACTCAATCTATAAAGCCAGCATCATCCTGATACCAAAACCTGGCAGAGATACAACAAAAAAGCAAACTTCAGGCCAATATCCTTGATGAACATTGATGCAAAAATCCCCACTAAAATACTGGAAACTGAATCCAGCAGCACATCAAAAAGCTTATCCACCACAATCAAGCTGACTTGAAATCCGTGATGTAAGGTTGGTTCAACATACACAAATCAACGTGATTCATCACATAAACAGAACTAAAGACAAAAAGCACGATAATCTCTACAGATGCAGAAATGGCCTTGAATAAAATTCAACATCCCTTCATGTTAAAAACTCTCAAAGGCCAGGCACAGTGGTTCACACCTGTAATCCTCACACTTTGGAAGGCTGAGGCAGGCAGATCACCTGAGGTCAGGAGTTCGAGACCAGCCTGGCCCATGGTGAAACCCCATCTCTACTAAAAATACAAAAATTAGCCAGGTGTGGTGGCACGTGCCTGTAATCCCAGCTACCTGGGAGGCTGAGGCAGGAGAATCACTGGAACCCCGGAGGCAGAGGCTGCAGTGAGCCAAGATCATGCCACTGCACTCCAGTCTGGGCAACAGAGAGACTCCGTGTCAAAAAAACAAAACAAACAAACAAAAAACAAAACAAAAAAAACCACTCTCAAACTATGTATTAAGAGATTATACCTCAAAGTAAGAAGAAGCATATATGACAAACCCATGGCCAATATCCTACTGAATGGACAAAAGCTGGAAGCATTTCCCTCGAGAACCAGCACAAGACAAGGATACCCTCTCTCACCACTCCTATTCAACATACTATTGGAAGTTCTGGCCAGGGCAATCAGGCAAGAGAAAGAAATAAAGGGTGTTCAAGTAGGAAAAGAGGAAGTCAAATTGTCATTGTTTGCAGGTGACATGATCCTATATCTAGAAAACCCCATTGTCTCAGCCCAAAAGCTCCTTAAGCTGATAAGCAACTTCAGCAGTGTCTCAGGATGTAAAATTAATGTGCAGAAATTGCTAGCATTCCTATACATCAACAACAGACAATCAGACCCAAATCATGAATGAACGCCCATTCACAATTGCTACAAAAAGAATACAATACCTAGGAATACAGATAACAAGGGAAGTGAAGGACCTCTTCAAGAACTCCAAACCACTACTCAAAGAAATCAGAGAGGACAAAAACAAATGGAAAAACATTCCATGCTCATGAATAGGAAGAATCAATATAATGGATATGGCCATACTGCCCAAAGTAATATATAGATTCCATGCATTCCCATTAAACTGCCAGTCACATTCTTCACAGAACTAGAAAAAACTATTTTAATATTCATATGGAACCAAAAAAGAGCCCAAATAGCCCAAATAGCCAAACCAAAACAGCATGGCACTGGTACAAGGACACATAGACCATTGGAACAGAATAGAGAACTCAGAAATAAGACCACATATCTACAACCAGCTGATCTTCGACAAATCTGACTTAAACAAGCAATGGTTTCAGAAAGGACTCCCTATTTAATAAATGATACTGGGAGAACTGGCTAGCCAAAGCAGAAAACTGAAACTGGACCCCTTCCTTACACCATATATAAGAATTAACTAAAGATGGATTAAAGACTTAAATGTAAAACTCAAAACTGTAAAAACCCTAGAAGAAAATCGAGGCAATATCATTCAGGACATAGGCATGGGCAAAGATTTCATGATGAAAACATCTAAAGCAATTGCAACAGAAGCGAAAATTGACAAATAGAATCTAATTAAACGAAAGAGCTTCAGCACAGCAGAAGAAACCATCATCAGAGTAAACAGACAACCTACAGAATGGGAGAAAGATTTTGCAAACTACCCATCTGACAAAGTTCTAATATCCAGAATCTACAAGGAACTTAAATTTCCAAGAAAAGAAACATTCTTGTCCTATTTTAAGAAATTGCTACAGCCATCCCAACCTTCAGCAACCACCATCCTGATCAGCCAGCAGTCATCAACATTGAGGCAAGACCCTCCACCAGTAAAAAGATTACAACTCACCAATGGCTCAGATTGTTAGCATTTTTTAGCAATAAAGTGTTTTTAAATTAAGGTATGTACATTGTTTTTTAGACATATTATTGCATACATAATACACTACAGTGTAGTGTAAACATAACACTTATATGTACTGGGAATCTAAAAGATTTGTGTAACTATTGCAGTAGTCTGGAACCGAACCTACAATATCTCCAAGGTATATCTGTGTATTATACTGTAATAAAACATATCTTTGATAAAATTAAATGATGCATTTAGATACTGCCTGACAAGACTATAATCTGTTTCCTTAAGCAAACAGATCATAATTTCTAATTTGGGTGGTGAGGAGGTGGGGTGATATTGCAAATTTTGCTGAATTAACTAGAAGAAGTCACAAAAATGATGAGATATAAAAGTCCATTTCTTCTAAGAAATGGACTAGAAGAAATGGAATTTTATATCTCATCATTTTTATTTAGGTTTAAAGACTATCAGACAAGATATAACACACATTTAAGAATTTTAAGGCAAATTCTTGTAATTTTGAAGAAACAATTTTCCCTTGCAAGTGATTTACATGAATATTTTAATAGAATAAGGTTATAAATATGTATCATTGCTTTCATAATTATCAGTAAATGGATATATAACTCCTCAAGTAATTTTTCAGGAGTTCTATATTTGTAACCATGTATAAAGTAATGCCTTAATATCTTTCTTTCCTAGTTAGGATAATAGAATATAAATATTCTATTTCATCCAATTTGTTAGGAATAGGTAAATGAGTATAAAACTAACAAAGAACGTCTGGCACATGGTAGGGGTTCAATAACTGTTAGCTATTTATCGTCATTATTATCCTGATCAATACAGTCATAATTCCTTTTATCTAAGTTAAATGCATATTTTCAGGTTCTAGTCATCAAAAATAGGCAATATGATTTTTATTCAATTATATTCTAGTTTAATAACATACTGAGAAAACTGAAAATTTGGAAATTTCTGTTCACAAATGCACAGTGAAGCATGGATTAAAAATATATTTAGATCTCCACTCAATATTTAAGTTGAATTTTTAAGTGTTCTCTATTTTTTATGCTAATCATAAAATTTAATTTTCAGCTCTCTTACTGCACATTACATTCTCTGGAAGAATAGACTTTGAAATTCAAAAAACTATACAAATTACATTGATACTAATAGCCACCAATTATTACATAGCTGCCACGTGCCATGAAAGTGTTATTATACTAGTTTGCAAGTTAGAAATGGCTCACAAATTAAGGAATTTATACAAATGTAGAATAAACGGTAAAACTGAACAAACTTTTTGGAGATGCCGAATTATTTGTTCTCTGTACCACGCAACACTGCTTCACGTAGATAGAATCATTTAAACATAATGGCCATTCATTAACAATTCCTATTGACCAAAGATACTTCGATAGCAGATCATTATAATAAATCTAGAATATATGGACTTTAAAAGCCCTCTAAGAAATTATTTTTTAATCTCGGAGATGGAATATTAACCACCATCCAAACACAATCATTTCAGGCATTTTACAAGAAGGGATCAGCCACACAGAGGGTCTCACTAAATTTCTTTAAATCAAATCTCAAGTTTACACTTAATGTAAAATATAATTATTGGCCCTCTGAAATTGTTTGCATTCAATAGACAGAAACATGATATGGACCTTGCCAGAACCAACTTACCATGAGACAGTTCTGTAGCAAATCACCATGCCCACCTCTCTCATCTCTCAGAGTTTCTTTCTTGGTATGTTATTCTCCAGGTGTGGCTAGTCTGTATCTTTTTTATGTAAAGTTTTATTGAAGTATAACATATATAGAAAAAAGTATACTATAAGCAGGAAACTACACAAATCATAAGTGTATAACTTGATGTCTTTTTAGTATGTGAACACACCAATGTTACTAACATCCATGTGAAAAGCACCCAGATAAAAAGAAAAAAATAGGACATTAGCTTCCCATAGATTATTTTTGCCTGTTTGTGAACATATTAAAAAAACTCATATGTACTATTTTGTGTCTAGATTCTTTGGCTAATATTATGTTTATGGGAACCATGTATGGTTTTTATGTGGTTATATTTCATTTTACTCATTGCTATGTAGTATTTGATTATATGAATATATCACGATTTATTTATCTATTCTAGTATTGATGGACATTTGGATTGTCCAATGACACTATTTAAAGAGTAAAAAAGCAAACTACAGAGTAGATAAAGATATTTCTAATACATATTTGTAAATGATTCATTCTAGAATATATCAATAACTCATAGATCAAAAGTTTAAAAAAAGACAAC
Organism: Homo sapiens; assembly: GCF_000001405.40. Classification (NCBI taxonomy): domain Eukaryota; kingdom Metazoa; phylum Chordata; class Mammalia; order Primates; family Hominidae; genus Homo; species Homo sapiens. The sequence goes on from NC_000009.12 coordinate 71,378,130, forward strand.
CCTACAGAAAAATAAAGAAAATATTTGAAACAGGCACTTTGAAAGAGAAGATACGCAAATAGTCAAACAGACCAAATAGGGTTTAATTTTATTAGTCACCAAGGTGATACAATTAAATCACAGTAAGCTACCATTATATACACACTGAAATGCCAAATTGGAAAAGACCAAAAATACCAAGAGTTGGCAAGAATGTGGAGCAACAGAACTTGCATATACTATGGATACAACCACTTTGTAAATTGGTACAACCACTTTAGAGAGCTATTAAGCAAAATGTTCATTGCAGCTTCAACTGTCATATTCCTTATCTAATAATGCTATAGTTAGAGCCAGTCCAAGGCACTGACAGCCTGTGCTATCATTTTCCTGGTTCTGACAACATGAAAGTGCTATTCAGTCAACAATCGCTTATTGAACACCTAATAAATCACAGACACCACACCAAGTTCTGAGGATAAAGGACTCCAACTTTATTCTTTCTTGCATTTCACTCAGATGCTTCCTCTTGCTGCCCCTTTGGAAACCGGAGAGTGTTTCTATGTTGTCACTATTCAAATTGTCAAAACATTTGATTTTGAACAATGCCTTTGAGTTAATACCTTCAAATATCATTTAAGTAAAACTTTTTAGTAAATCATACTTGCTAATTAAAATATAAATTTGCTTGGGTAGGATCCAAGTAAGTCCAGCCTTTATACTAAATACTATTACAGCATTATATATTATTGAATAATTATATATAATGCGTACAACTATCTCTGAAACACAGTGATATAATTTAGATTTGTGTCTTCCTACTTCAATGTCTAGCAATAGTAAAATTAGAATTGCCATGTGCTATGGGTTTGAAGATACAAATACTAAAACAGTACACATTTTTAAGTAATAAAAACCAGTATTGTCTCCATTTTAGGTGTAAAGTGGCATTGCAGAAATTTATAACTACATTATAGTTATCTTGTTTCAGTTTTCTTATTGTACAATATTTAAATAATCTGATTTCAACTTTTGCTACGTGAAATACTTACCTAAAGTGGCAAATTTATATTAGGAAAATATAAACGCTTAATCTATCTTTATGATGTGTGACAGAATGGATCTACACTGTCCAAGTAGGTCTTCTGCAGATATAAAATGTTGAAGAGCATTACTTGGAACCATACTTTAAATCATATCAACTTTTCTGAAACAAGATAATGGTTACCCTGGTTTGTGAAAGCATACATTAGTTTTCATTGCTTCACAATCCTTTAGCATAGTCAATTGACTAACTGGCATTTATTTACATTCAATTCTGTCACCAAAGCCACTTTCTGATTGTTGGGTCTTGGTTTTTCTGCTATGATAAGACACATAAATTTTGGTGTTACCGTCAGAGCAGTGGCTCTTAATTCTGGCTACAGATTAGCATCACTTACAGAGGTTTTTAAGAATACCTAAAATAGCCTCACCCACTTAATTGATCTGGTGTGGGCTCTGAATGATGCAATACCTTCCAGGATGACTCTCAAACACTCACAGCTGGGAATTGCTGGTATACAGAATTTTTTTTCTTTCCCAGAATCTTTTTTTTTAATTCAAATAAATACTTGGTCAGTCTTTATATGTTGAAAAGCATAAACTTACATATACATCTGTGAATCAGACAGCCCTGACCTCAAAATATTTATAGTCTAGCAGAGAAGAAGCTCGAATGGTCAAACTTCCTATACTTGTCTTGTAAAATGTGTCAAGAGAACCATAGGGTCAGTATGTCATTCACTCCTACAGCATACGCAAGTAACTTTCTTCGTGTATGCCAGGTTCTTGTTCTTAACCACTATGCATTGCCATGTGTTCAGTCCCTAGTTTCTGGTTCTATTTTCATCTAATTTTAAGATGGAGCAGGGGGAGGCAAGGCAGATTCTACTGATGTTTTTCCAAGAGTGTGTATGTATAGTTTCAGGAAATACAAGTCTTGACTAAAATTGTTAGTATACAACATTCTCAGCATTAGAAGGGACCTTCATTTTTCCTCAATGTGCAGTGGTCTTCTTGGCTATTTGCTTGCGGGGAATTCTTCCTTCTAGAGAAAGGCTGCTAACATGTCATTGATGTTCTTTGAATTCAAGTCATGGGCCATTCCAGTCCCAAAAGATAATATATACAAGGCACAAAATGAAGAGAAAACAATGATTAAAAAAAAATCTTTAAATACTTTAAATCTTGCCCTATGTTGCGAGGAAGTATGCATGCTTGTGAGTTGGTAATATTACCAATTAGAGAATGAGGAAGCCCAACTCTCAGCACCACATCTGAGAATGGAAAATTTTTAATTTGATTTTATTTTTGTCAATCATTTTATTGACTAAGCAGAGTGGCCTTAATCCTGGGGAATCAGTAACCAACTCAAGCCCACAGGGTTGGCCACGAACCTACCTCTCTAACCTACTTCTTTTTAGGGAGACAGGTCTTCCCAGAGAAAGAAACTTCATCAGCAGAAAGCAAAGAAAATAGTATGGCTAATATCTGATTATTATTTCATATTATCTTAAACATAAAATAAAAGTGACTTTATTAAATAAGGTTCATTTTTCCTGAGTTTTGTCCCTTGAGTTTCTAAATCTTTCACTTGCTGCTTCATAAAGAAAACGTATTTACTAACTTAGGTCCTGACAGGGACATGGCAATACCCTGACCTTTGGCCAAGAAGACCCCTGAAGCTCTCAGCATCTTGACTCAGAACTGCTTAATACTTTCTAGAGGAGAAGTTTTGCAGCTTGGCCATATATAGTAGGGAGTAGGGGATGACAAAATGAAGACGACGACAAAATGAAGACGACGACAAAATGAAGATCTGGAACCACTCCTGTATCCACTGGAAGGATACTATATACACAAGTTAAGATAAGCAAGTGTGAGATTGGTGTTGAGATTGAAATAAGACTCAAGCATGACTACACTTAAGAAATACAAGACAATTACTGCCCTTAAATCTCACCTGCATGCAATGATACCAAACAACCTCAGCCAGCATAAAATAGTGTTACATAATATGGTAGAGCCTAGAACTCTCAGGCAATAATAAATGATAGAGGACAGGGGTGACTTTTTGGACAAAGAAAATTGAAATTAAATCTAAAAGTACTAGTAACATTCAGACTGGTAGATTAGGGAAGAGGATTTATCCAGGCATAGAGTGAATATAATCAAAGTCACAGAGGTGGAAGACAGTAGGTGGGTATATCACTGGGGACCAACTAGTCTAATGGGAAATAAGATTCCCTAAGTAGGGTCAGTTCACAATGTGGCCATTTCAATGACTAGGCAAGGCCTGGTATGTCATTTCATACTTTCAAATAGTGATTAAGTGGAATTCTAGGCAATTGCCAACTTCAAAGCTGAAAGATATCTGCGGCTGCATTAAAAATACGGTGGCACTAAAATATTATTTCTAGCTACCATGTGTTGAAGGCATGAATGTTTACATGAACGTAAACCTATGTAGCAGCACACCACAAGTGTTCACAACATGACTTAGTCACTATTAACCACACTGACAGCTAAGAAAACTAAGGCTCAGAGAAGTTAAATGTAAATGAAGATTGGAATGGGAGTATGTCTATCTCAGAGCCCATACAATTCACAACACTACACCACTTTCTCTAATATTAGGGATGGCTTCAGTTTTGGATGAGATGATTATTAAATATTCTTTCCAGGTTTCTCATCTTTCTTATTTGTCCCCAGCACCTAAAGAAGGGCCTGGGTTCAGCAAATGTTAATGGATTAATTCTACGGTTTTTGAGCACCTCTCTTCTCAGACCTACTTCCCACACGGTGCTATCAAACTTGGGAGAGGGGAAGGTAAAAATTACTGTATACTGTGGTATATGCCAAGTTAGTGTATGAATAGATAAATGCATGCATGTCATTAACACAATTTAGTAAAGTGTTTAAAACTGTGGTACTGGTTAAGAACATGGCTTTAGTGTTAGACTGTTTTGAATCCCATTTCTAGCATTATTAGCTATATAGCCTTGTATAAGATTTAGTTTCTCAAAACTCCAGTTTACTCACCTATTAAATAAAAATTTTAATTAAACTTTTAAAACAGCTACATCTCTAACCCTCTATGAAAAACTCAACTGCTTAAATTATAAGTAAAAGAACAGGATCCAGTTTATAGGATTTACCATGTGCCAAATGCATTTGAAAAAATTTTCCATGCGTCATTTCATGCTAAGTAAAATTTTCTTGTACTTTACAGGTAAAAAAAATGGAGGCTCTAAAAGGTTAAAATCTAAATCATGCTATTGGAAAATAGTAAAGCTAATATTTGAGTCTTCTTACTCTAGGTACAGTGGGATATTTACAATTGAATATAAATAATCAGTGAAAAACCAAACCAACCAGTTCACACACATAAGGCTATATGAAAAGCAACTACTAAAAAATTACTGCCTTGTGTGGAGTCAGCAAGAGTACCAGATAAACCCTCATATAAGTGGCATTCTTGATTGGAATTTTTTTAAAAAAGAAGCGAAGAGCAATATAACTTTTATATCTGTATAGTCTTTTTTTTTTTTGCACTTTATCATATATAGTTTTTAATGTCCCTTGGTCTCTTGAACACAGATTCTTTGTTCTCAAATAAATGATTAGCTCTTGAAGGCCAGAACAATGTCTTACATTTCCTTCACTCCTACTTAGAAGTGACCTTAGGCATCATACTCATCAACCACTGGGATGGTTTATATAATGTCTTCTCTGGTGGTTTATATAATATCTAATATTTTGGTAATCCTTTTCAGGACCGAGATACTTATCTTTAGAAAATGGGACTATATTCTTTAGCTTACTCTGTATAAGCCCAAAACAATATTGTATGCTCTAGGCGGATGCTGGATAAATGATTGTCAACAATGAGAAAGTAAAACTAATTAGTTTTTAAACTTTAATCATACCCTAACATTAATAACACTCAATTTTGCTTTTTTAAATAGAGCATAAAAGGAATTATTTCTCTAACATTTTACACCAGCATTTTATATCACTGTTAGCTCCAACTGATACATACACATATATGCATATATACGTGTATGTACATGTATATGTGTGTTTTTAAATCATACTAATTTTCTTGACGCGTTGAAATATGTATCATTTCTGGTGGTACTGGACATCTTGTGTTTGCCCTTCCAGATTCATTTTTGACCCTTCTTTTCCTTGTTTTGTGCCCTTGTAAACTGACCACTATGGACTGCATCTATTTGCATCTTTGACCTCTGGCTTTTGTTGGGTTCAGCCAATAGGAGATAACAGTAGGAGACTGAAAGGGTGGAGAGAGTGGCTGGGGTATTTCCTCCCTCAGCTCCTGCTAATTAGGCTTCTCTAAGCTGGTTTCTGTGTCCCTGTACAAAAGGCAACAGCCCCTGTCAGGTGGCCCTCCTCCACAGCTACTATTTCAGGTTCTGGGACTGCCTCCTTTCTTGTCTCTTTTAGTCTAAGAGTTCAAACTGCTTCCAGCTGGCACTACCCCTGAGGAGACTACCCCTTTTTTGCTTTTCCCTGCTTATAGTTTTGTAAGTTGTACATTTCCTAACATAAACACATCAATCTTACCAAGCAGGTCTCAAACATGATTACACAAGCATCTGCCCATGAAACAAAAACAAAATGTGTTCCCAAAGTATTTTAAACCTTAGGCATAAGGCCAGTGTTTATTTCTATGATTGAGTCAATCCTTCACTAACACATAGTATATCCATCCTTAATTATGCACACAAAACACTAAAGGAATGATCCATTTTGCTAGTGCTTATAAGTTAGAGTTTTTTGAAACACACCAACAAGAAAAATTCATCAAAAGCTGTTACAAATGGAAGCATAACTTGAGTAGTAATTAGCTTTGACTATTCTTCCATTCCATGACGCTGTAATAAATCCTGTCTTTTGATACCATAAGAGTAAAACGTTATTAATATATCATATATTCTGGTGGCTAATTGATGTTCATATACATCAGAAAACTTAAATAACTCTAGTTGTTTTCATATTTAGGGGCACTGCTCCTGGAGATAAATGTTGAAATGTAAAAGTAAATAAATTGAAAAAACCTGAATTCTTTTGGTTCCTTATTTCAGAAATGCTGCCAAAGGAGTTATTTTGAGTCAATAACCTCTTTGGTAGTACAAATATTTAAGAATGTTACTTTCTCAAAAGCATTAGAACAAATGGAATCCCTTATTTTAACTATATGTTTTCCACAAAAAGTAAAGCATAATAGAAAAGATATTAATTTGGCAAAGACTTTTCTTCTAAAATAACCCAATAGGCTTTTAAAACAAAATCTCATGAGCATACATTTCCCATTCACACGGCTGTCGTCATGGAGACCAATCTCTGGCACATTTGATGGTGTAACCTATACATCTTTCTAGCCCGAAAATTCCGTTGTTGCCATGGAAACTGCCAGTCACTCACATTTCTATTCTTTGATGCTCCCATAGATACCACTGAAATTTTAGCTATGGTTTTCCTAGCCTTTAGCAATCTTAGGATTTTTAGGCAATGCCAGAAAGAAAAGCATAACTCTTGTGCCTTGTACCTAAATGTAACAATTTATTTCAGTCATTAAATTCTGTAAGAACACCATATTAAGAATAATTTATTTTGACAGAATCCCAGGTGAGACTTTAGATTGTACAGGCACTCTCCAGAGTCTAAAATAAAGAAAGATTACTTCTAATGTCATTTTTAAAAACAGCCATAAAAGGCATTCATTCTTCAGTTAATAAAAATCTTTTAATTAAAAGAGAAAAAAGTAATTTGTATAATGGACTCTGAAGTTTATCCCTTCTGGCAAAATATAACCAAGAAATTAGAAAATGTTGCATCTTCTGAGATACCTCAGTTGAGACAGTCACATGATATCCTCCTTTAGCGAATGAAAACACACTTATTACTAGATAAAGGAAAAAACAAAAATGCTAAAAGCTTTGAGTAGCACAAGGGGAGCCCAAAATCCCAATGTCAGAAGTTTGTTCTTGAAGTTTTGAAGAATGGTTCCAGAACATGAGAAGGTAGAATAACACCTCCATATTTGTCTCTTTTGTAGTCTCAAAATATCAATCTAGAAAACTAATTATTTCTGAAAAATATTTCTTTCTTTAATAACTATTTAGAAAAAAGAACACAATTTAAACGCATGTAAAATTTGGTACCCAGCATGATCTATATGCATAAATCTAAAACTAGCAACTCACAAGGTAAATTTAACTTATGGAACTTTTAAACTGGCTTGAGACATCTTTATTTGTATTAGAGGGTTACATTTACAAATCAGGATTCCATACAAAGACCCAGATTTCTAACTTCTTATAAAATGCTGAAAAGATCTGAACACACTGAGTCTGTACTTCCAATATGGCTTATTTCCAGTTTTTCACAATCATGTTGCAACCAGACCACAACACTCATTCAAATTAAATGACTAGTCCTTATCTACAATTTTTGAAAAGTAGTTACTATTGATATAATTACATTAACAGATTATCTGTTATATTTAAGTGAGTCTTGGAATATTTTATTTTATTTTTTATTCATTTTGAGACAGGGTCTCACTCTGTCACTCAGGCTGGAATGCAGTGGCACAACCTTGGCTCACTGCAACCTCCGCCTCCCGGGTTCAAGGGATTCTTCCACATCAGCCTCCCAAGTAGCTGAGACTACAGGTGTGCACCAACACACCTGGCTAATTTTTTTTGGTGGGGGGTAGAGGCAGGGTTTCACCATGTTGGCCAGGCTGGTCTCAAACTCCTGACCTCAAGCGATCCACCCACCTCAGCCTCTCAAAGTGCTGGGATTACAGGCGTGAGCCACCACACCTGCTGAGTCTTAGAAGATTTAGACATAAAGTCAACAAGTAGTAGTAGCTGGTTGGACGTGGAAGTGGCAATGCAAAGAATAGAGTTAAGAATGAATCCAAGATTTCTAGCTCAGTCGACAGAAAGAGGCAGAAAAGTGGTGGGCTGTTCCTTAAAACAGTGAATACAAGCCAAGCGTGGTGGCTCCTGCCTGTAATCCCAGCACTTTGGGAGGCCAAGGCTGGCAGATCACGAGGTCAGGAGATTGAAACCATCCTGGCCAACATGGTGAAACCCCATCTCTACTAAAATACAAAAAATTAGCCCGGTGTGGCGGTGCACGCGTGTAGTCCCAGCTACTTGGGAGGCTGAGACAAGGGAATCACTTGAACCCGAGAAGTGGAGGTTGCAATGAGCTGAGATTGCACTACTGCACTCCAGCCTGGGGACAGAGCAAGACTCTGTCTTTTGAAAAAAAAAAAAAGATAGCAAATATAGGAAGGGAACACATTCCGAAGAGCTGAGTTGGCAAAACTAATAAGAATAAGCCTAGAAATCTTGGCTCTGAACTGTCTGTGCAATATCAAGGTACAGATGTATCTGGTAGTCAATTGGATATTGGAACTGTGTATATATAACTCATTTTCATTGATTTTCATGCTGCAATGGTAATCCCTAAATAATTATTACTATATGATATTATTCATTATATAACACTAAACCAGTTATTATATAGTTGGCCTGTAGCTTAAGCCATGGATAAGGGCTCAAAACATTAATTTATAGCAATAACTTTAATAAATATTCCAAAACCTGAGAATAGATTATAAAGTTTCTGAAGAAAATGACAATCAGTGTTCCGTAAAAATCAATTTGATTCTTAGTTTACCATGTGTTTGGCTGACAGACATATACACAATACAAACATTTATCCTTTTCTAGTAAGTACATGTGATCTTCCATTGGCACTGAGAACATAAGCTAACAGTCAGAATTTTTGGAAATGATTTTCTCAGAGACAGCATTTGCTCAACTGATGGTTCTTACACTTATTAGATAGTTATCTAACATATAAGAATAAGTTAGGTCAAATTTTTCAGGGAAAGAGACCGAGTATGAATAGATCAATGATCTATGAGGTTAGAAGGAATAAATTAGACTCGATTTTTGAAAATTTAGATTATCTAAAAGGGCAATGGTTTCCTAATTATGGATGGAAAGTAAGCCAGTTAAGAAGCTTCCTCAACAGCCTCAGGAACCACTGCATTGAAGACCAAAGAACGCCAAAGAATTCATCAAACCTAGTTTCTGAATTCTAAATCCTCATGGTCAAACCAGATAATTGAGCATGATCTTTAATTTTATAGCAGCAAATCATCTGTGGGATCTCTCTCAGGGAAGGACCTAGTGTTTATAGAGCCACAGATGTTCAAAAGTGACAGAATCCTAAATACCACATCTTAACTTATACCAACAGCCATTCTACTTTACATCTATAAACTGCCTATGAAGAGATTTCTTGAAGTATAATAAAATGGAAGACTTTGAATCTTCATGAAAAGGAATGTTAATGCCACAATTTCTGTAATTAAATATTTGTTGTTGGCAAAGTAGGAAGAAAAAGGAAAACTTCTTTTGAAACAGCAACATTATTTTATTACTTATTAAAATATGTATAATATTAAGTAATTTGAGAAGTGAAACAAGTCAGATATCGCATTCACAATGCCTAACATATAGTAAGCCCTCAGGAAAGGTTACCTCCATTATTAGTTAATTTTACTGCAATTTTATTAAAAATTTTAAACCAAAATACTATCTCTAGAGACAACCACTACTAACATCAAAATAAATATTCATCAAGACATGTACAGACACGGGCACACACAGATGCATACGTATATAACTTTTCTATTATGTTATAACATACTTTTCTACTCAATCATATATTGTGCATATATTTCTACATCATCTACATTCTCCAATAACTCCTTAATTGCTATATAATATTCTTTGGGCAGCTCTGGTTCTAAGAAGATGAAGGGTTCTTTTCCTATCTTCAAAATAACCACAGTAATCAAAGACTTGTTAGTCAGGGATTTCTGTGCCACTGTCAGGAAGATCTTGGCAGCATCCATCTTACATAGTTATACAACAAAAAGAGGAACGACCAGTTATATGATGAGCTAAGAGGAAAAAACTTTCCTTGAAGCTTGACTTTCATGTTTTTATGTTTACAATCTCATACAGAAACATACATAGACACACAAAGTTTAGAAGAATAAAAAAAGTAAAATCGCTGTTTTTTTCAAGAAAAGTAAAATATCTGGTTATTTTCAATCACTTCTGTCTGACAGAGTCTAAGTAAGCGCCTGGGTGATGAGAAAGATTTAAAATAAAAATGTAAAAAGTGAGAAGAAAAATTTGCCACAAATCATTCCCCACAAAACTTCTGAGACGGAGCCTTAGTGTACATGCGTGGAATTGGCTGTATTATTTCAGCCTCAATGTAAGATGCACAAAGGAAAGCCAATGACAGTATGAAAAACTTCCTTAAGAAAAATGTAAGTCATCAACACTGAAGCAGAATTAATCCATACTCCTCCCAGTCCTACCTATTTCAGCCTTGAGAATAGTTGACAGAGTACAGAGTATATTCGGGCCTACAGACACATTCACTAGCCTCTCAATTCTTTAACAGTTCTACATGTACCACCCAAGGGAGACTTTAGCTTCAGAGCAAAGTCACTTAAAACTCAACAACAACAAAAAAGAATTTTTTTCTTCAATTTCCCTAATGTGGCTTCAGTGCCCCAGGAGAGGAAATGCAGATTTGCCATCCAGAGCCCAGGGATCAACAGAGTCTACTGTTTTTCAGAGCATCAAAATGAGGTATCTGGGAACTTAAACTAATGTGAACAGGTTTGGCCACTTGCAAAGTATCAGATCCTGCCGTAAAAATTATAGCAAAACAACAGCTTCTTTGAGCACAAAAGGAGAAAATAACAAAATGTTACATGATAAAAAGAAGAGATGTCTTAACTCCAAACGAAATTCAAACAACCCATCCGGAAAACTTATTTAGAAGAAAATCTTCACCATCTATACATCTGACAAGGGACTAATATCCAGAATCTACAACGAACTCAAAGCAGTAAGAAAAAAACAATCCCATCAAAAAGTGAGCTAAGAACATGAATAGACAATTCTCAAAAGAAGATAAACAAATGGCAAACAAACATGAAAAAATGCACAATATCACTAATGATCAGGGAAATGCAAGTCAAAACCACAATGTGATACCCCCTTAACTCCTGTATGAATGGCCATAATTAAAAAAAAAAATCAAAAAACAGATGTTCGTGTGGATGCGGTGATCAGGGAACACTTCTACACTGCTGGTGAAAATGTAAACTAGTACAGCCACTATGGAAAACAGTGTGGAGATTCCCTAAAGAACTAAAAGTAGAACTACCATTTGATCCAGCAGTCCCCTCCTGGGTATCTACCCAGAGGAAAAGAAGTCAATATTCAAAAAAGATACTTGCACACGCAGGTTTATAGTAGCACAATTCACAACTGCAAAATCATGGGACCAACCCAAATGCCCATCAATCAACAAGTGGATAAATAAACTGTGGTGTACATATATAAGATGGAATACTACTCAGCCATAAAAATGAATGAGTTAACAGCATTTGCAGTGACCTGGATGAGATTGGAGACTATTATTCTAAGTGAAGTAACTCAGGAATGGAAAACCAAAGACCATATGTTCTCACTGATATGTGGGAGCTAAGCTATGAGGATGCAAAGGCATAAAAATGATACAAAGGATTCTGCGGAGTTGAGGGGAAGAGTAGGAATGGGGCAAGGGATAGAAGACTACAAATATGGTATAGTATATACCAAAAGCTTAAAAATCACCACTAAAAAACTTGCTCATGTAGCCAAATACTACCTGTACCCCAATAACTTATGGAAAAATAAAATTAAAAAAAACTTATTTGGAAAATATTTCAGAACATTAGTGAAATACATACATAGAAGCACACATGTGTGCACACTCATACACAGTTATCTACATTCTCCAGATATGACACATGAGTTAAATAGATATCAGTAGATAGTTAGGTATGCAGAGATAGATAAGATAGATGGATAGGTATCCATGGACATCCACAGATAGATAAATATGCACGGATAGATTCATCTCACTGGCATATGGAAGAAAGCAGGAGGCAAAATTATTAGGAGTATATTTAAGAAAGAAGAGAAGTGGGTAAGGGACAAGTGGAATGAATTTACTATGTTTTTTATACACATAAAGGAAACTTAATGGTAAATTCACTGTATCAACTAAAACTAACTTTCTCATCTGAGTCAGCAATTGAACTTGGCTCTTATACTCTGAATAACATTTGCATTTCTAATTCTCCAAATTTCAGCATTAGTTACTCGCAAATGTTTATATTCTGATCATTTTGAATACAGAGCTCATGTCACTGGTTTCACTAAAGGCAAGATTCTCCTTTCTACCAGTTTCATAAATAAGAATCTGTACTTCTTTTAGGTAGTTTATAGCTGGAAAATGAGTTTGAGACCAGCTAACAGACTCTTATTCCATCTTGGCTGTGCATGGGCCACTCTTAGGTCTTTGTCTATAAATGTATGAATTAAAACTGTCAATCATTGATTCTCAAGTACTCATTAAACATTACAATACTATAGGCCAGATACTATGCTTGGTTCTGTAGTAACAACAACAAATGAAATCAGCATGGTCACTGTACTAGTAAAGGTGTACTAGCAAAGGTGCAGATATTAAACACTGAGCTCCACGATTACTTTTCCATTGCAATTGTGATGAGTGCTGCAAAGAAGAAAGAAGTACAGGGTATGGAGAAATGGGCCCTAGTGAGTGTGGGGAAAATTATAGTTCAAGCAAAGATTAAGAGACTTGAAGTTGTCTGGGACAAAAAAAGCAACAATAGATGAATAGGTAAAGGTACTGAGACACAAAGTCAGAGATACTTATTATGTAGATCCAAATGAATAAAACGTGAGTAGATAAGAAAGCAAATATTTTCCCGAGTCTTGATGATTACAAATTACTGTCATTTGTAACTAAGATTCTCCCTAAGACCACCGCTGCCTGAACAAAAAAAGGAAAGGAAACTGAGTGTCTATTATGTACTAGGCATATCCTTGAAATCTTTTACATGTTCTCTTATTTGATCCTTCCAACAAGCTTGTGAGAAAGGTATCATTACCATTATTTCTATTTTACACAACAGGAAACAGAAGATAAAAAGATGAAGTGACTTGTTTCAGACCAGAATTAAAGTTCAAGTAACTGAGTCCATGATAATACTCAAGCAACTACAACTGTCTACTTCTCTTTCTTTCTATGAAAAAATCGCTGATAAAATATGACGTGATCTTGCCTAAGATGTTACCTTTCCTCAACAAAATAGTGATTTTTCTATTTTAAGTATAGATTAATGATATTTATTCTTCATATGCCCAGATTAAAATGACTTTTTAAGCTCAATTTATAAATACAGTGGTCAAGCTCTATCAAACGTTATTGAAATGTTTCCATATGAAAGATGCTAAATAAACAAATATTTAGCTATAAAATTTTAAAAATCCATTTCGGGGAGTTTTATAAATTTGCAAGGTAAAAAATCGAATTTGACTATTACATCAAATGCTTTCAAATTGCTGATATTCAACCATTTGGACAAACAAAAGTAGTAATTCCTTATGGTTCAACCTAATGTTTTTTGCACTCATGCTGAATTTAAGTCATTCTTGTGGGCATGAAATACTTCTAGTTCTTTCAGCTGGCTGAAGAGATAAGGTATAATAGTTAAACATTTAAGCAGCTATTAAATCACTCAATTTAGAGGTATTTTAAGGCAATACATAATTTATAACTGAAAGGCATAAAACAGTATGATCAGAAGAGAAAGAAAATTTAAAGATAGAAGTTATTTCTATGGGCTACAGTGGCTTGGACAGTCTTTCTTAAAGAAAAATTCAGTAGAATTTGAGTGAGCTCAAGGGATTTTAAATCCCTATGACAAGAGCCTGAGCAGAAACTAAAAAGAGAAAAGCCAATTTAGAAAATATGACAATGAAAATTAGGCAGACTGTGGTGAAATAGAGTGTGCTTGCCCCACATTTAGGCATTCAAATTTAATTTAAAAACAAACACTGCACCTACAAAGAAAACACATTTTCAGATGTGAATTGGGACATCAGACTGGCAGTTTGAACTTTGGTTAGAGAGAAAAGTAAGAGCCCACTAGCAGAAAAGTAAAAGGAAAGGATAAAATGAAATCAAAGCATTGTCAGACAAGAAAGCCTAGGACAATGTGGGTAGGGAATGGAAGGAGACATGTCCAGAAAGATGGCTGTCCATTATCTGGAAAGCCCTCAGAGCCAGAGTAACAACTTCGAATTGGATAACTTGAAGTTCCCCAAATTTTGTTGGGGTATTTTTTGCCTTGGCTGGGTATTGGTTTTTTTCAGATTATCCTCTCCATTTTCAAATATGCTGCCTCATTTCTCCTTGTGTCTACATCCTACTTTCTTTCAGATATGGCTTTAAAGTAGTATCTTCCCCTATGCCTCTCTATCAGAAGGAATTATCACTCTCTTCTCTCAGATTTAGTAAAACTTTGTCTCTCAAGACTTACAGCACCTTCTATATAGCACTATAGTTAACTATGTGCACCTCAGTTTTCCTGCTATACTGTGAGTTTCTTGGGAAGCTACATCAAAATCACATTTGTACCCTATACAGCATGGAGAATGGCATTTAAGATATTCTAGTTGAATAATTATTCAATTGAAAGCTCTTTCCCCTTTAGGAAATGGAGTAATCATCAAATGTTTTAGAGTACATGTATAATATAATCAAAGTAATGTTTTGGAATGTTATTTGGTAGGAATATAGAACAATGTAGAAAGTAAACAAGAAATCTAAGTCATACTTATGGGCCTGGAGCAATAGGTATTAAAAGGAAGGAATGTAAGAAACGATTTGTTTTCTAGGAAGGACTGGATACCGTGTTTCTAATTGGACAGTGAGATAAAGATGTGGAAAATGTCTGGGCAGTTTTGAGTCTAAGGGGATTGGAATAATTTCACAGTAAGAAAAGAGCCTGGTTCAGGCCAAGGGAGTCAGAGAAGTGAATTGACTTTCAGGCCTATTGAGGTTTCTATAGCAATAAAACAGCCAAGGGAATGCATAGAACGGAAGTTTGAGAACAATCACCTCTTTCAAGGAATTTCTACAGATTTTGAATAGCACAGCATAGGGTGAAACATACTATATGTTGAGAAAATATCTTTTTATTTTTGTGTCCCAGAACAGTACCTAGCCTAGGTTGAAAAGAATAAAATAGACAAGACAGTGATGGGGCAAGAAATGAAAAGGGAAATGCTGTAAGTGCTAATTAAGAGTGCTTGAAAGGGAGAATTTGGTAGAGCTTGAGGATGGAATACCAAACAGAAAGATGAAAACACCTGAAGGAAAAGTTAGAAATCACCAAGGAAAATCTTTGGATACTTTCCCATTGTGAACCAAGCCAGTCGTGTCTGCAAAGAGACTTGTCTCTAGGCTCTGAAGATGTGACTTCACAGTTCTGCCCAAGTTAATAACCTAGAGACTCTTCATACCCCTTCCAACCGCACACAGCCAATTTCATCAATAAAGACGTTCTGGTACAATGGCCTGGAATAAACAAACTCTAAAGATGGCCTCAGGGTACTGAACAGTTGGCAATAAGTATACCACACAGCACACTCAGATCATTAAGTTCCACTGAGACCAGCAAGTGACAGACATCTCAACGTCACAGTTAAATTCTTCTCCTGATTTTTCCCATATTTGAAAGAAAGTTTGTACTGAAAAATTGGAATTCATAGTCCGGGATTTATATTCCTTTAATGGATCCATAGATAGTCTTCAGGAGGTCTGGAGACCGCTTTACAATACAGAAAAAAAAATGTGTATTGTGTATGTACACACGTCTGAGAAGAGATCCACTGATTTCATTAGACCCTCAAAGACATGAGAGAAAGCAAGAGATTAGGAAACACTGCTAAAACACCAGAAAAATCAATGAAGCTTCCTCATCTGGGTTTATTTAACATGAGAAGTTTTACAGAACTGATAAATGAAGAATACAGTACAATTATTTGGCCATTTATAGTAAATATTCTATTATTGATGCATCATAAATATTCTTATAAAGAGTTTAACGTGCAAGTAAAATACTTTCATAATTTTAAATTTAAAAAACAGGAAACTAAATTGTGTATATTGTATGACTTCAACCACAGAAAACATAGTTTGAAAAAAATTCCTTGGTGAGGTAATTTTTAGTTTCTTTTTCCAAAATGTTTGGCATTCTTCACATTTTAAAAGATAAAACATGTATTTGTTTACTATTATAATTACACATAATTTCTAAAGATACATGGAGACTACAAGCTTCCAAAACTAGTCCAAAGCTTGCTTCACTAAATATGAAGGTCTTTTCCCTGCACAGGCATATAAGTCAGCCAAAAATGACCCATTCCCAGATTTTTCTTGAATTCACCAATTTCAGTAACTTATATTTTTTTGGTTGCTATGTTGCTCTCACACATCCCAGCCTTTTTGATGTATGATCTGCCTATGTCACACAATCTTTTCTCAGATCCACAGTAAAGTTTTCCCTGGTTGACTACAAAACTCAGATTTAGGAATAATTTCAAGAGAAAAAAATCAACCTGTTTCTTAAAAGCATCCAAGTCTACATCTTCTCCTAAAATACGTTACAGTGTCAATATACAAACCTTCACCTCCTGTTACTTGGCATCATAAACTCTGTGCCTCAAAAGGCCAAAATTCAAACTGTCCACAGGAGGATGACATGTCCCAGACATGGCTCCCAACCAAGGCAAGTACAACATCCAAGTGAGTGCTTTGGACCTATGCGGGGTGTTTTGATTGCCCCTGCAACTGGAAGTACCACTGTCATTTAGTACTCAAAAGCCAGGGATGCTAAACATCCCACAATGACCAGGCAATACCTCATGATGAGACATTGTGCTACCAAAATGCCAATAGCACCTCTGTTGATCATCATGAAGCCTCACCAGTGCTCTTCCCAGCCTTTCGTTTTTTCCTGCACAGCTCAAGTCCACATCTATCTTCTCAATGAAATTTCCCCCAGAACACTTCAGTGTATCCCTAGTCTGTATTTCCATCTCTTGTACTCAATTTGGCACTTAATTATGTGATTTCTAATACAAAGATTTAACAGCTTCAGATATAAATGTTTTGCCTTCCTCAGCGGAACTGTGGACTCCTATATCACCTAGGAAAATGATAAATGCTATCATGTAGGAAATTCTAAGTAGTTTCTTATTGAACCACAGTACACTACATAGGAAAAGGTCTGATAGTACAAAAACTTTAGACATTCTAGGGAGAGTGCTTTGTTTGAGAAGCAATGACACGTGGAGCTGCCCTGTGGAAGAGTTAACTTTAACTTCATGTAATTGACCGCAGCAGTATGGTTCTCAGGTAACATTGGTACCAAAATAAAAGATCAACTATCATTAACTATTTTCCTTTCTGATTTTTCTGTTAGCAAATTAATTAAGCTTGTTTCAATCTTTTGAAAGATCAAAATGTTGACTAAGGTCTTAAAATTCTAGTTAATTATTTCTCATCATGACCAAAAGCACTTACTAGGTTCACGGAATGTGCTCTCCTGGGCAAGCTTCATATCAAAGAAAATGCCTTTTAATACCCTTTAATCAGTGAGGTGAGAAAGTTTTAGTGAAAGAGATGGAAATACAGAATTAATGTAAAATTGTAAAACTTGACAATCTGAAAGCAGGAGGACAGTTTCTACTGGGTATGAATTTGGGGAATGTACAAAGGTGGGAGTGGGACAAAAATCCAGTGAAGGAAATGTTCAGGAAAACCATTTAGAAAAGCTAAAAAAGCAAAAATGAGAATAAGAAACGTTAATAAAAATGAGAGAACGGCTTTGAAGGACTTGGGATGTGGTCTTAATTCTATGATCAATGGGAAACAACTATTAGGATTAAAAAACAAATTCAAGCAGGCAAGTGACAAACACGTTTGTAAATGGTTTTCTGCTCTGCCTTGTGATATTTAGAAGTTATCACTGGTAATTTGACAGATACGTATTTTTCATCTTCAGAATGGTAAACTGCTTTCAAGAACTACTGCTCTTCAGTTAATGACCTAAGAACAAAAAACAAACAAACAAAAAAAGTGCTATTGCTAAAAAAAAAAAAAAAATCCTTAATTAATGTGCAAAGAGTTATGCGGCAGCAATGATTATCAAGGCACAAATTTATTTAACAACTTTTAAGAGTCCAAAAGGTGACACGATTTGATCTAAAGCAACTATAAAGTAAATTACAACTTACAACTTCCATTTTAATTTTCATTTTAAACGATGGGTTCATTACCATGGAAAAGAATATTTTAAAATCAGGAGGCCACATCTTTAGATGTGAGTCATCCTATTACACTCTTACACTTGAGAAACCCCAGCCACAGGAGTTTCCTCAGGAGAAAGACGATTCTGAGAACCAAATCTAAAAAGTTAAAAGTCGAACTTTGGAATAAAATTCCTCTTTAAGGAAAAAAAAAAAAATGCCGGGCGTGGTGGCTCACACCTGTAAATCCCAACACTTTGGGAGGCCGAGGTGGGCAGACCACAAGATCAGGAGATTGAGACCCATCCTGGCTAACACGGTGAAACCCCATCTCTACTAAAAAAAATACAAAAAATTTGCCAGGCATGGTGGCACGTGCCTGTAGTCCCAGCTGCTAGAGAGGCTGAGGCAGGAGAATCGCTTGAACCCGGGAGGTGGAGGTTGCAGTGAGCCTAGATCGCGCCACTGCACTCCAGCCTGGGCAACGGAGCAAGACTTCATCTCAAAAAAAAAAAAAAAAATTAAGCCTTATATACAGTGGAAGGAAAACATGCACCAGCTTTTCTTCCCCTTCAATGTTCATATATACACATTTCCAATTCTCCAACATAGAGAATTCGGCAACATTAATGTAGTACGATAAGATATTTCTAAATAAAAATAGCACAGTTGGTAATCAGAATAAAACCATGGTTTTCCAATAATAAAATATATTTCCATTTAGATAAAGATCATTTTTGCAGCTACTATTATACTCCTTTACAGCCAGAATAATATGGTTTTTATCTGGAGGGTATTGGTCAGGGAAAATACATTTTGTTTGTAAAGCATATATTTTCCAATACTATTGTAATATCTGTTTTTTTTAAAAGGGGCCTTTAAGTATAATTGTATTTCTCTATCTTTGCTTTTCCTTTTTATCCTATAGGATGCATTCTTGAAATCAGATAATCTTATAAACTGTATCTTAATAACTGTGATTCTTTGACACCCTAAGTTCTGTTGAATGTTATATACAACATCACAGTGACTTAAAGTGTTTGTTGGGTTAAACCTAAAATAATGCAAACTTCACCAAGGAAGAGTTGGAACTTTTTCACCCCTACAAGGCCCTCTTTGGATACATTCTTTCCAAAGCAGAAGGAATGACAATGAATTTAAATTCTGTCATTAAATTTCTGACCACCTATATCAGAGAAGCTTGAAATAAATTTCAGATAAGATTATGCAATTTGAAATGCAGTCACCTAAATTCCCATGGTCTAATATTACGTTTATGCAGAACTCTTATGTTTACATCAGAAAAAGAAAAAGAAAAAGATGAAGAGTCTACATTATATTTCCAGAATATTGGGTACATGCAAACCTCTGAATACACATTAGAGATTTTTTAAGTTAGCAGAAACTGCTTTCAAATGTAGATCTGAACCTTGACTGACAAATATAATGGACTTTTTCCCAAGCCAAACTCTTACTCAAATATTTTGGATTGTCAACTGTAACAACCATGTACCCTCCTGGCAACTTTAACCAGTTTATCCAGTTTAGACCGTGCCATTTGCTCAGCAACAATGAATTGAGTCCCTAGCCTGTATCAGATGTTCACATCAGTGCTAGTAAGCTAATCAGCCCCATGATCTGCCCCATGATAAGCTTCACATTACATCAATTTAATTATACAGTACTCGATATTCTCATGTAGTGTTAGTTACCCTTTATAAGTTCAAGGATCTCTCCTTTGAAAAGATATTTTTTAGGCCAGGGCAATGTTAATAGAAAAAAGCTCAGTTCTTATCCCGGCTGCATATTTGAGTAAGTAACAACTTTTTAAGTTTGTCTTCATCTATAAAATAGGATTAATACACTATTTTTCCCACAAGGTTGTTATAATGAATAAATGAGAAGCTGTGTGTACTTTGAATCTATAAATCACTGATATGGTTTGGCTCTGTGTCCCCATCAAATCTCATGTTGAACTATAATTCCCAATGTTGGGGGAGGGACCTGGTGGGAGGTGATTGGATCATGGGGGTGGATTTCCCCCATGGTGTCCTCATGAGAGTGAATGAGTTCTCAGGAGATCTGATGGTTTAAAAGTGTATGTCACTTCCCCCAGCTCTCTCTTCTGCTCCACCAAGGTAAAACGTGCTTATTTCCCCTTTGCCTTCCACCATGATTGTAAGTTTCCTGAGGCTTCCCAGCCATGCTTCCTGTACAGCTTCTGGAACTGTGAGTCAATTAAACCCCTTTTCTTCATAAATTACCCAGTCTCAGGTAGTTCTTTATGGCAGTGTAAGAACAGACTCATACAATCTCTATACTAATGCAAAATGAGAAATTTAAGAAAAGTCCTCATAAAATATAAGACACAGGTTATGAACAGGCAATCGATAAGTAACAATACAGTACATAAATATTGAAAAATATTCAATTTAATGAATAAGAGTAATGTAAACTTTAAAATGAAAATTCTTTTTCATCTATTAAAGAAAAAATATCAAAATTGATACTATTAATCAGTAAAATGAACAATGCCCATAATTTAGCCTTAAATAATTTTGACTATATCCTTTGTCCCAATAGTGCTAAGTCAATATTTATCTTCTAAAAAAATCAATAAAATGTATTCTGAAAGATCTGCCTTCAAGAATCTTCATAACAGCATTTATATAAAAAATGACAACCTAATGGTACAAAATAGGAGACTAAGATAGTATAATTATATAATGAAATACAATGAAGCCATTAAAAATCATGACTTAGAAAACTACTTAATGGGGAAATAAGTTGTTCTTGTTGATGCCCAGCACATGCCAAAGAATGTTCAAAGCACTAAGAACAAAGTGGAAAGTAAACCCACAACCTCCTTGCTTTATGAAGTTCTAAGTAGAAATAAACTACATAGAAAACTGTATATTTTATGTGATCACAGTGATTATAGCTAAGTTACATTATGTATTCAATATAGATTCAAATGAAGGACTGCAAGGGAATCTATAAAGTAAGCTATCTTTGGATAATTTAAAGATAGATGATATTCATTTTACTCCTTATATTTTCTTTTGTTTTTTTTTTTTTTTTTTTTGAGAAGGAGTCTCACTCTGTGGCCCAGGATGGAGTGCAGTGGTATGATCTTGGCTCACTGCAAGCTCCACCTCCTGGGTTCACACCATTATCCTGCCTCAGCCTCCCAAGTAGCTGGGACTACAGGCACCCGCCACCACGCCCAGCTAATTTTTTTTTGTAGTTTTAGTAGCGACAAGGTTTCACCATGTTAGCCAGGATGGTCTTGATCTCCTGACCTTGTGATCCGCCCGCCTTGGGCTTCCAAAGTGCTGGGATTACAGGCGTGAGCCACTGCGCCCAGCCTATATTTTCTTTTCGTTTCCAGAAGTTGTTGATTTTTTTCTGAATATAGTTTATTCTTTTTCTTGAATATGATATGAAAATTTTAAAAAATCCTGGCCTGGGTGTCAAAAGATCAGGTTCTCTGGATCAAAGCTAAGCGAGCTTGACCAAATTACTTAAACTTTCTGATCCTCAGTTTCTTCAGGTGAGAAATAAGGGAGTTGTTTTGGGTAACCACTAAAGTCCCTTCAGAAATTGAAACACTAAGTCAGAGTCCTGCTCAATGCCTCTCGGTTATCATTAATATCAACTACATTACAGAATCATGTAAAAATAATTCTCGTTTGGGAGATTTTCATTCATTCATTTTGCCACTCCTGGACTCAAGCAATCCACGCACCTCAGTCTCCTAAAGGGCTTAGATTACAGGTGTGAGCCACCATGCCTGGCAGGTTGGGAAGATTTTCTGATCCTTACATTATGGTTGATGGGAGTTTTCTACACTTCCAGCAGCTAATTCTAAGTGTTTGGCTCTGTAATTAAAACATAATTGAGATATTTTGGTATTATACTCAAAGTTTACTTTGACATTCACTGGGATGATCTAGAGAGGGATTTTTGTTACTTATGTTCTTATTTAATTCTGTTACTGTTGAAACCCTCTTCTCTCATCAACTGGGTGGCAAAAGAGTTGCATGGGGGTAAAAGAGAAATCTTGGTTAATATACTTCTAATTGAGGAAGAAGTAGAATAGAAAGTATTTTTATTCTTTAATTTTTACATTTATTAATTTTAACTTTTTCAATTTTCAAAATTAAATTTTTTGAAATTATTTATTGCTAATACTTAAAACCAAGGACCTGCCATAGTTTACTATTACTGGTAAAGAGGTATAATCTACTGCCAAAATATTAATACTGTACCAAAAGCAAACGGTTTGGTTCTATTTTTAAGTGTATGGCAATGTATTTTACTAGTTCTTTTTTTTTTTTTCAGAATCCAGAAATTTTAATGACACAGAAAAAACAACTTTATAAAAATACATTCAAAGAAAGGTATTCTAATGCTTATTAGTAAAACCAAACACACATTTATTAAGAATCAATTACTGGGTACAGTGGCTCATGCCTGTAATCCCAGCACTTTGGGAGGCCAAGGTAGGTGGATCATCTGAGGTCAGGAGTTGGAAACCAGCCTGGCCAACATGGCAAAACCCCGTCTCTACTAAAAATACAAAAATTGGCCAGGTGTGATGGCATATGTCTGTAGTCCCAGCTACTCGGGAGGCTGAGGCAGGAAAATCACTTGAACCTGGGAGACAGAGGTTGCAGTGAGCCAAGATCGTGCCACTGCACTCCAGCCTAAGGGTCAAAGTGAGACACCATCGCAAAAAAAAAAAAAAAAAAAGAATCTATCATATGGCTAGTAACCTCTGCTTTCAAGGAACTTAGAGCTCTTTTAACTGAAACAAACACACGTGGGGTGGAAGGAAGATGAGGGAAGGTTAGATCAGAGTAGGCTAAGGTAGTTAGAGGACTCAGGCAACTGGAAAATCTCAGAGGTTGACCAGTGTTCATCTGAGCAGACTATTGGAGGAGGGCATGCAGATGAAGAACATGGTTTTGGCAGGCCCAGAGGACAGTAAATAAACCCATCTGTCAGGAGTAGTGTTTTAAATTAGGTAAAAGAGAAAATCGTGTGTTAAGTAGACAGAATGAGATTAGATTTCAGAATCTAAAGCGAAGTTGAAGAACTTACCCTTGATGAGGTAGATGTCAAGAATTCATTGCATGTTCTAGAACAAATAATGATATTCTGAAAGCAGTTTTGTAATAATATTAATACATACGGTGGTTAGAGAAGAGAGTAACCAAAGAATGGAAGATATGCTACTAAGCTGAGGTATTAAAGAATTGGATTTGAATAGTGGTAACTAGAATGGATGGGAAGGCAAAGCACTTGCTTGCCATTTCAAAGGACATCAGCCTCAGATTTCTAAGCCTATGTCAAAATAAAGCTATGCTCAGATTTGACTACGGACTACTCAATAATTTATCCAGCTGAGCAGCCTTCAGGCAGAGACAAAAATTGAAATTCTAAAAGTTCATATTATCCCCTCAAATCACTCTCATGAGTTACTGGGGAGAGACAGTTCTAAAAAGGCATACCATGTATTATCAGTGTGTAATCCGTAAATTGATGGCTGGTTTTTGTATCAGAAGTGTTTCTGCCAACTTTCAGCCAGCGAGGTTGAAATGAAGAAAAAAATGAACATTCAAACAAACTGTCGTCAATTACTCATCGCAAATTAGAAGCAGCATGCAAGTCTACACAGCCTGGCACTTTGCTGCTTACTTTTGCCAAAATAAATTGAAATCCAAAGCTATTTAAATATCGAGTTCACTTGTATGTGTCTAGACAATTTAATGAACAAACATGAAAAGGTGGCACAAAATCTTGCCTCTTTAGTAGTCAACGAAGAATTATAGTACACAAGATAATCAGAAATCAGAAAAGAGGTGTCTAAATTTGATCATTTTCTATCACGTGGTTTGCCAGAAGTCTCCTCGAGATAAATTCTTCTTTGGGTTTTGGTAACCCTTATCTTTAGTCTCCTCCCTACTCAGCTAAGTTGAAGATGCACAAAGGTCTTGTCATGCATATATCAAAGGTCTGTAGCATTTCTCCTGTGTATTTTGATAATCCATTAACAGGCATTTCCAAAGCCTACAACTAATCAGCATCCCATTCCCAAACACTTTCTTTCCTACATCACTAAATTTAAAATTGTACTTAACTGAGTGATCCTATTTCTAAGAAATAAAAAAACTGTTTATATTGCATCATTTCATTTCAATGACCTCTGAGAGTTGTACTCCTTGGTAGGGAAAATAATTATTTTAAAGCAAACATGAAGTAGTATATGCTTATTTTGTGTTATCTGTGAGACAGGGAGGCCATGCCTTTCCCAGCTATGATCCATGCTGATTGGGCCTCAATTTGAACCTTACACTAATCTTATCAGTGTAGGTCAGATTTTTTTTTAACAGCAATTGAATCAGAGCCAGTGCACAGCATCCTGTTAATGAAATTCATCCATTCACTCAAAAAACATTAATGAACCATTTCTACCCTTGCAAAAGTTATAAAGAGATGACAAAGACAAGATACAATCCTTGTTCTCAAAGTTCTTCATCTTATGAAAGATATAAATAATTTCCTGCATGTAAAGTGTTCAGTAGGAGGTAATGAGTGGATAAAGGCTCACCTAGAATGGCTCCCAACTCAGACTGGGAACTTTGAAAGAACTTTCTAGGAAAGAGGTTGGCAAACTATGCCTGCAGGCCAAATCCAGCTGGACATTTGTTTTTATAATTAAAGTTTTATTGGAACACAGAATAATTAGTCCTTTAAGAACTGTCTATGGCTGCTTTCATGCTACAATGGCAGCATTTAGCAATTGTAACAGATACCATATGGACCTCAAAGCCTAAAATAGTTACCTTCTGGCTCTTTGCAGGAAAACTTTGCCAACTCCTGTTCTAGAGAAAGAAGCAACGGAAGATTTAGAAACTGAGTTTGTCCACTCCAGGTAAGAAAGTATGTATAAAGACAGCAAAGCAAGAAATGCAAAAGGAATATACTTGTTTCTGGAAACTGTATGACTCAAGGGTGTTAGGTCATTTTAAAAAGATAATAATGATGATCATTTTTAAAATGTTTGCTATATGCCAGGTTCTATTATGCTAACTATCTCACATTTTCGTTGACGCTTCACCACAACCCTGTGAAATAAAGCTATAATCTTTGCTTGATGAATGAGCAAACAAAAAACGTATATGCATAAAGAATTAAAGTGAAGTCATAAAGCTAATAAATGACGGAGGGGGCGATCTGAACCCAGACAGTGTGACTCCTATGCTCTATACCACTTGTAAGGCAAATATAAAATAGTTCTCATTGTCAGTCTTCAGGAGACACCATCAAAAGAGCTAAGACCCATGGAACCTCAGAGACTGCTGCAAGATAAACAACATGGGCATCTTAAAAGGAGAATTAAGAATCCACAGGAATCAAACTTAAATTCAGAGGATGTGGACAAGTTGGTGCTTTCTAATGATCAATTAAGAATATTTCTCTTTCCAAAATCCTAAAACACAGAATATATTAAATTGATATACTGAGGCAGAGTAAGCTAGAAAATAGCAGGGTTTTTGAATTAGAAATGTCCAGTGTTTGTTCTATTAAAGAAACCTCTTACAAGCTTAGCAGGTTACAGAGGAAACGAGTCACTCAGCGCCTGGCCATCTTTATAAAACAAGGGCTGTAATACATACATCCCAAGGTGATTGCAAGAATGATAAAAATGTCTATGTCCTTGGCATCGTGCCTAAATAAGTAGCAGCTCAATAATACTAGTTATTGTTACTGACTTTTTAAGAAGAAATCAGTGTCCAACACATAAGAGATATAAATGATGAATAATTGCTTGTTACATTAATAGGTTTTCGTTAGGCAATAAGTTTGTTTAATATCAACCTTAATCAGATGCATTTCCACCTGAACAACATAGTATAACATGGGAATCTTTTTAGGATTTGAAATTATACCAGATGCCTTCCTCTAACTTATTCATCTCTCTTTTTTCTATAATTCAGTTACTCATCAAGTTCTTTCAAATCTGCCTTATAAAATCTTAAGTCTCTCCTTCCTCTTATCTCTATGTCTTATGTCAGACAGACCCTGGCCATCTCTCGGCTGGACTAATGCTATCACCTTCTGATTGCTTTTGTTGCCTTGCTGGCTCTGGTCTTTTCCTCTCCACTAACCCATTCTTAAAACTAGCTGGAGGTATTTCAAGATAATGTCACTGGTCTGCTTACATCATCCAATGGCTCCCCATTGCATAGAGAATAAAGCCTGGACTTCATGCAAAACAAAAGACCCATGCCTTCCTAGACTCCCTCTAACTTCTATGCCCTAATTTCTTCTGCTTTGTCACAAACCAGGTCCTTTTGTACCTCTACAGCTTTGCACAAGCCATTGTCCCTGCCTGTTATACTTCTGTCTCATTCAACACCTAGAAAATATCTCTAGATCTAAACCAAATATCCAGTATGCATTGTAAGGTCCTCTTCAACTTATCCAGGAAGCATTGGTCCATGACCCCTTCGGCTCCTGCAGTACTTTATACATAGCTACATTTTGATATTTCTACATTGTGCTATAATTAACATGTATGTTAAGTGGATACCTCTAAGGCATGGATTCTATCTCATTTTACTTCACATTCCAACACCTTGTATATTTCTTGCCTCATACGAATTATCAGTAAATATTTGCCAACTGGTAAGTAAAATGATAATTATTCCTTGTCTGTCTTCATCGAGTGTAACATATAAAAACAACTTTATTCTATTAAATTTTGCACTTGCTTACTTACTATATGCATGGCCTTATCCTATACATACAGCAAAGTGCAAAATGCACAAATTTTTTTTAAAAAAATCTTCCTTTTAGGAATTTAAAAAATGGTACAAATAATCATTAGACATTGGGTTTAGATTTGGAAGAGACATAAACCAGCTAAACATATCCTCCTCCTACTCCAGAAGATATTTTTAATACCAGCAGATAATTGCTAGGTTTTATTCTCATATAAACAAAATCTTAACCTGAAATTTGATTCATACACATGATTTTTTCCTTTTCTTCAATATTATACAAACAGATGTGTCTCTTCCTTTAGGAATGTGAAAAAAACAAAAGTAAGCTTAAACCACTCTTGAAGCTCAGAGAGTCCTGTTGAAACTCTGTTTGCTTTTTACATATTGAGATCTAATTCTAATTGTTTTGTAATAAAATGTCATTTTATGAATTTTATTTTCTCCTGATGGTTCTTCTCCTTTCGTGCTTATAAAATTATCAACTCTATTTGTCCTTATTCCCTGTACCAGGGCTTCCTCAAAGAGCAGTAATATTTGGCAGATTACAACTAATACATATTCCAGATGAAAATATTTTTAAAGGATGCCAAAGGCTAAGAAAGCATCTATGTATCTATTCTTTATTGCTTCACATCTAAGTGCAGAAATATTCAGAAGTAATAGAATAAAAACAAGAAAGATAAAGCTTTCCATCATTTAATATCGCGTTATCTTTTTTCAAACAATAAAAAATTGGTGGCTGGGCACGGTGGCTCACACCTGTAATCCCAGCACTTCAGGAGGCCAAGGCAGGCAGATCACGAGGTCAAGAGATCGAGACCATCCTGGCTAACATGGTGAAACCCTGTTTCTACTAAAAATACAACAACAACACAAAAGTAAACAGCTCCCTTTATGAAAAGATCCAAGCCTATCTATTTTGCTTACCATGTTATTACTGGAGAGTTGCACGATGCCTATGCTAAAGTGCTTAATATTTGTCAAATGAAAGAGTCAATAAAGAAATGAATGAAGAACAATGCAAAAGGAACACGGCAGAGTCTCTGTCAATACAAATATACTCTATAGAAAAATAAACATAATTAGAACTTAACTAAAATTGTCCTCAAGGAATAAAAGGACAGAAAGCTATGTTAGGAAGGAAAAACTTCCAAGTGGAGAGTCTGGAAGTTAACTTAGATAAGTGTTGCCAATCTCAGTATTTAGCTAAGGCCCACCTTCCTTTGTAAGAAACTGTTTACATCAGTGTACCAGGAGAAAAACACACCCCATCCACACACACATATGCAGTGACAACAAATGCACCTTTTTTTAAATAGAGAAAATAGAAATTCTGTTTACGGAAAAAGCAGTGTGACTAAAACTTCTCCATAGATTAAGAGTGACTAGAAATCAACCCAAAGGCATCTATTTTGTTCAATCATCCTTGTTATAATAATGTCATTTGCATCAGTGCCTTTAAGAACCATAACAAGCAGTTTCCATTGGATTAGGAGACTCTGGGGTATTGAGTCCTCTTAGAAAGTGGAAGTGACAGTATTGCTCGAGGGATCAAGGATTGAACTCAAAGACAGGAAAAGGATCTGCAACCAGAACTCAGAGTTTAAGGGTACACGTTTAGAGCAGTGATCAGGCTTAATATGGGGAATTCAGGGGCCAGTATCAGCGCTGCAAAGAAGCTCTGATCCACACTGAAGGAAAAACTTATGTTGAGGACATTCATTAAACATGGCCTACTTATTAAGTTGGATGGGGAATGTGGCTTAAATTCACCAAATTGGCTATTTTCTCCTAGATGGTTTTATGTTTCCTATCTAGCTCAGAATCGGAAAAATCAATAACTTGACTTTTGTTCCAAGATGGCCGAATAGGAACAGCTCCAGTCTACAGCTCCCAGCATGAGCGACACAGAAGACAGGTAATTTCTACATTTCCAACTGAGGTACCGGGTTCATCTCATTAGGACTGGTTGGACAGTGGGTGCAGCCCATGAAGTGTGAGCTGAAGCACAGTGGGGCATCATCTCACCCGGGAAGTACAAGGGGTTGGGGAATTCCCTTACCTAGCCAAGGGAAGCCATGACAGCTGGTACCTGGAAAACCAGGATATTCCCACCCTAATACTGCACTTTTCCAATGGTCTTAGCAAACAGCACACCAGGAGATTATATCCTGTGGATGGCTTGGTGGGTCCAATGCCCACGGGGCCTTGCTCACTGCTAGCACAGCAGTCTGAGATCAAAATGTGAGTCAGCAGTGAGGCTGGGGGATGGGCATCTGCCATTACTGAGGCTTGACTAGGTAAACAAAGCAGCCAGGAAGCTCAAAATGGGTGGAGCCCACTGCAGCTCAATGACACCTGCCTGCCTCTGTAGACTCCACCTCTGGGGGCAGGGCATAGCTGAACAAAAGGCAGCAGAAACTTCTGCAGACTTAAACGTCCCTGTCTGACATGTTTAAGAGAGCAGTGGTTCTCCCAGCATGGTGGTTGAGCTCTGACTATGGACAGAGTGCCTCCTCAAGTAGGTCACTGACCCACAAGTAGCCTGACTGGGAGACACCTCCCAATAGGGGCCAACTGACACCTCATACAGCCGGGTGCCCCTCTGAGACAAAGCTTCTAGAGGAAGATCAGGCAGCAACATTTGCTGTTCTGCAGTATTTGCTGTTCTGCAGCCTCCGCTGGTGATACCCAGGCAAATAGGGCCCGGAGTGGACCTCCAGCAAATTCCAACAGACCTGCAGATAATGGTCCTGACTGTTAGAAGGAAAACTAACAAACAGAAAGGAATAGCATCAACAACAACAAAAAGGACATCCACACCAAAACCCCATCTGTAGGTTACCATTGTCAAAGACCAAAGGTAGATAAAACCACAAAGATGGGGAGAAACCAGAGCAGAAAAGTTGAAAATTCTAAAAACCAGAGCACCTCTTCTCCTCCAAAGGATCGCAGCTCCTCGCCAGAAACAGAACAAAGCAGGATGGAGAACGACTTTGACAAGTTGACAGAAGGCGCCTTCAGAAGAACGTTAATAACGAACTTCTCTGAGCTAAGGGAGGATGTTTGAACCCATCGCAAGAAAGCTAAAAACCTTGAAAAAAGATTAGACGAATGGCTAACAAGAATAGAGAGCATAGAGAAGACCTTAAATGACCTGATGGAGCTGAAAACCATGGCACGAGAACTACGTGATGCATGCACAAGCTTCAGTAGCCGATTCAATCAAGTGGAAAAAAGGGTATCAGTGATTGAAGATCAAATGAATGAAATGAAGTGAGAAGAGAAATTTAGAGGAAAAAGAGTAAAAAGAAATGAACAAAGCCTCCAAGAAACATGGGACTATGTGAAAAGACCAAATCTACGTTTGATTGGTGTACCTGAAAGGGACGGGGAGAATGGAACCAAGTTGGAAAACACTCTGCAGGATATCATCCAGGAGAACTTCCCCAACCTAGCAAGGCAGGCCAACATTCAAATTCAGGAAATACAGAGAATGCCACAAAGATACTCCTCGAGGAGAGCAACCCCAAGACATGTAATTGTCAGATTCACCAAGGTTGAAATGAAGGAAAAAAGTTTAAGGGCAGCCAGAGAGAAAGGTCGGGTTACCCACAAAGGGAAGCCCATCGGACTAGCAGCTGATCTCTCAGCAGAAACTCTACAAGCCAAAAAAGAGTGGGGGCCAATATTCAATATTCATAAAGAAAATAATTTTCAACCCAGAATTTCATATCCAGCCAAACTAAGTAAGCTTCATAAGTGAAGGAGATATGAAATCCTTTACAGACAAAAAAATGCTGAGCGATTTTGTCACCACCAGGCATGCCCTATAAGAGCTCTTGAAGGAAGCACTAAACATGGAAAGGAACAACTGGTACCAGCCACTGCAAAAACATGACAAATTGTAAAGACCATCGATGCTAGGAAGACACTGCATCAACTACCGAGCAAAATAACCAGCTTACATCATCATGACAGAATCAAATTCACATATAACAATATTAACCTTAAATGTAAATGGGCTAAATGCCTCAATTAAAAGACACAGACTGGCAAATTGGATAAAGAATCAAGACCCATCAGTGTGCTGTATTCAGGAAACCCATCTCACATGCAGAGACACACATAGGCTCAAAATAAAGGGATAGAGGAAGATCTACCAAGCAAATGGAAAACAAAAAAAGGCAGGGGTTGCAAATCCTAGTCTCTGATAAAACAGACCTTAAACCAACAAAGATCAAAGGAGGCAAAGAAGGCCATTACATAATGGTAAAAAGGATCAATTCAACAAGTGCTAACTATCCTAAATATATATGCACCCAATACAGGAACACCCAGATTCATAAAGCAAGTCCTTAGAGACCTACAGAGAGACTTAGACTCCCACACAATAATAATGGGAGACTTTAACAACCCACTGTCAACATTAAACAGATCAACGAGACAGAAGGTTAACAAGGATATCCAGGACTTGAACTCAGCTCTATACCAAGTGGACCTAAGAGACATCTACAAAACTCTCCACCCCAAATCAACAGAATATACATACCTCTCAGCACCACATTGCACTTATTCTAAAATTGATCACACAGTTGGAAGTGAAGCACTCCTCAGCAAATGTAAAAGAAAGGAAATCATAACAAACTGTGCCTCAGACCACAGTGCAATCAAATTGGAACTCAGGATTAAAAAACTCACTCAAAACTGCACAAATGCATGGAAACTGAACAACCTGCTCCTGAATGACTACTGGGTACATAACAAAATTAAGGCAGAAATAAAGAGGTTCTCTCAAACCAATGAGAACAAAGACACAACATACCACAATCTCTGGGACACATTTAAAGCAGTGTGTAGAGGGAAATTCATAGCACTAAATGCCCACAAGAGAAAGCAGGAAAGATCTAAAATTGACACCCTAACATCACAATTAAAAGAACTGGAGAAGCAAGAGCAAACACATTCAAAAGCTAGCAGAAGGCAAGAAAAAACTATGATCAGAGCAGAACTGAAGGAGATAGGGTCACAAAAAACACTTAAAAAAAAAATCAATGAATCCAGGAGCTGGTTTTTTGAAAAGCTCAACAAAATAGACTGCTAGCAAGACTAGTAAAGAAGTAAAGAAAGAAGAATCAAATAGACACAATAAAAAATAATAAAGGGGATATCACCACCAATCCCACAGAAATACAAACTACCATCAGAGAATACTATAAACACCTCTATGCAAATAAACTAGAAAATCTAGAAGAAATGGATAAATTCCTGGACACATGCACCCTCCAAAGACTAAACCAGGAAGAAGTTGAATCCCTGAATAGACTAGTAACAGGCTCTGAAATTCAGACAGTAATTAATAGCCTACCAACCAAAAAAAATCCAGGCCCAGACGGATTCACAGCCAAATTCTACCAGAGGTACAAAAAGGAGCTGCTACCATTCCTTCTGAAACTATTCCAATCAATAGAAAAAGAGGGAATCCTCCCTAATTCATTTTATGAGGCCAGCATCATCCTGATACCAAAGCCTGGCAGAGACAACTAAAAAAGGAATTTTAGACCAATACTCCTGATGAACATTGACGCAAAAATCCTCAAAATACTGGCAAACCGAATCCAACAGCACATCAAAAAGTTTATCCACCATGGTCAAGTTGGCTTCATCCCTGGGATGCAAGGCTAGTTCAACATATGAAAATCAATAAACGTAATCCATCATATAAACAGAACCAAAGACAAAAACCACATGATTATCTCAATAGATGTAGAAAAGGCCTTTGACAAAATTCAACAGCCCTTCATGCTAAAAACTCTCATTAAACTAGGTATTGATGGGACGTATTTCAAAATAATAAGAGCTATCTATGACAAACCCACAGCCAATATCATACTGAATGGGCAAAAACTGGAAGCATTCCCTTTGAAAACTGGCACAAGACAGTGATGCCGTCTCCCACCACTCCTATTCAACACAGTGTTGGAAGTTCTGGCCAGGGCCATCAGACAGGAGAAAGAAATAAAGGATATTCAATTAGAAAAAGAGGAAGTCAAATAGTCCCTGTTTGCAGATGACATGATTGTATATCTAGAAAACCACATCGTCTCAGCCCAAAATCTCCTTAAGCTGATAAGCAACTTCAGCAAAGTCTCAGGATACAAAATCAATGTGCAAAAATCACAAGCATTCCTATACACCAATAATTGACAAAGAGAGCCAAAACTTGAGTGAACTCCCGTTCACAATTGCTTCAAAGAGAATAAAATACCTAGGAATCCAACTTACAAGGGATGTGAAGGACCTCTTCAAGGAGAACTACAAACCACTGCTCAACAAAATAAAAGATGACACAAACAAATGAACATTCCATGCTCATGGATAGGAAGAATCAATATCACGAAAATGGCCATACTGCCCAAGGTAATTTATAGATTCAATGCCATCCCCATCAAGCTACCAGTGACTTTCTTCACAGAATTGGAAAAAACTACTTTGAATTTCATATGGAACCAAAAAAGAGCCTGCATTGCCAAGACAATACTAAGCAAAAAGAACAAAGCCGGAGGCATCATGCTACCTGACTTCAAACTATACTACAAGGCTACAGTAACCAAAACAGCATGGTACTGGTACCAGAACAGAGACATAGACCAACGGAACAGAACAGAGCCCTCAGAAATACCACCACACATCTACAACCATCTGATCTTTGACAAATCTGATGAAAACAAGAAATGGGGAAAGGATTACCTATTCAATAAAAGGTGCTGGGAAAACAGGCTAGCCATATGTAGAAAGCTGAAACTGGATCCCTTCCTTACACCTTATGCAAAAATTAATTCAAGATGGATTAAAGACTTAAATGTTAGACCTAAAACCATAAAAACCCTAGAAGAAAACCTAGGCAATACCATTCAGGACATAGGAATGGGCAAGGACTTCATGACTAAAACACCAAAAGCAATGGCAACAAAAGCCAAAATTGACAAATGGGATCTAATTAAACTAAAGAGCTTCTGCACAGCAAAAGAAACTACCATCAGAATGAACAGGCAACCTACAGAATGGGAAAAATTTTTTGCAACCTACCCACCTGACAAAGGGCTAATATCCAGAATCTACAAAGAACTTAAACAAATTTACAGGAAAAAAAATCAAACAACCTCATCAAGAAGTGGGCAAAGGATATGAACACACACTTCTCAAAAGATGACATTTATGCAGCCAACAGACACATGAAAAAATGCTCATCATCACTGGCCAGAGAAATGCAAATCAAAACCACAATGAGATACCATCTCACACCAGTTAGAATGGCAATCATTAAAAAGTCAGGAAACAACAGGTGCTGGAGAGGATGTGGAGAAATAGGAACACTTTTACACTGTTTGTGGAGATGTAAACTAGTTCAACCACTGGGGAAGACAGTGTGGTGATTCCTCAAGGATCTAGAACTAGAAATACCATTTGACCCAGCCATCCCATTACTGGGTATATACCCAAAGGATTATAAAGCATGCTACTATAAAGACACATACACACGTATGTTTATTGTGGCACTATTCACAATAGCAAAGACATGGAACCAACCCAAATGTCCATCAATGATAGACTGGATTAAGAAAATGTGGCACATATACACCATGGAATACTATGCAGCCATAAAAAAGGATGAGTTCATGTCCTTTGTAGGGACATGGATGAAGCTGGAAACCATCATTCTGAGCAAACTATCACAAGGACAGAAAACCAAACACCGCATGTTCTCACTCATAGGTGGGAATTGAACAATGAGAACACTTGGACACAGGGTGGGGAACATCACACACTGGGGCCTTTCGTGGGGTTGGGGGAGGGGGACGGATAGCATCAGGAGAAATACCTAATGTAAGTGACGAGTTAATGGGTGCAGCACACCAACATGCCACATGTATACATATGTAACAAACCTGCATGTTGTGTACATATACCCTAGAACTTAAAGTATAACAAAAAAATAAAATTAAAAAATTTATAACTCATATTTATTGAGTATTTAGCATGAGGAAGTCCTAAGTGCTTTATATACCTCATCTAATTTTACCTTCAAAATTATAATATCGAAAGTGTCTATTATTCTTTTTATAGGTGAGAAGAAAACAGACTTTGTTAGTTGAAATTAAGTGACTCCCAAAGTCATAAGATTAGTAACTAATGGCAATAGGATTTGTACACAGGCAGTTAAGCGCCCAAAACTATACCTTTAACAAGTCTCATAATACTGTAGTTTCTTTATATTTGTTCAATGAATAGTGCTTACTGAATACTATGGTCTGAATGTGTCCCCCAAAATTCATGTATTAGAAACTTAATTCCCACTGCAACAGTGTTGGGAGGTATTTAGGTCAAGAGAGCTCCACCCTCACTAATGGATTAATGCCCTTATTTAAAAGGGCTTGTGGAAGTAGTTCCCCTTCTGCCATGTGAGGTCATGGCACTCTTTCCTTCCAGAAGACTTAGCATTCAAGGTGCCATTTTGGAAGCTGAGAGACTGGGCCCTAACCTGCCAGATGCTTTAATATTGGATTTCCCAGCCTCCAGGATTATGAAAAATACATTTCTCTTTTTTTTTTTTTTAAACTACCCAGTCTCAGGTATTCTGTTACAGTCACATAAAACAAACTAAGACTCTGAGCATGTTTATCTCCTCACTGGTTTATACCACAGTTATTGACATTAATCTAAAAATGGCTTCCCAAGCATGACTCTTTGCTTTGTAATATTCACAAGGCTAAATGAAACCATAACCTTTTAACTGCTATGTAAAAACAAAATTTAATTTATACCATTGTATCGCACTTATTGTAGTGCCATTCTTCATAATGCTTATGGCAGCTATAACCTTTCTCTCTCACAAGCTGCATGTCCTGTGGTCTACAAAGCTAAAAGATACTATTAAGATGAAGAAAGATTATACCATTTGAGGGCAGAAGCCAGTATCTAAGAGAGACCATGGAAATAAAATTTTAATAGGATGGATTTTATTTCTGCTACATCAATACCTTATTACAAGAATCAGTTCATCATAACAATAATAGGTTGTCATAATTCGATGTTGTGAAACAGACTTTATATCACCACTCTCTTAAGAGCTTATTCATTGATTACCTTTTTCCTTCCTTTCACAAAGGAAAAAATAGATGTGATAGAGAACTAATATGAACAAAATGAAATGCCATTATTCTCTTGAACAGATCCATTAAAATCATTAAGATCTATTCTGCCAGATGGCCTGTATACAGTAATCACATGTGGGTCAAAAAAATGTAACATGTAATAGACACAGTGGTTAACAATAGGACTGAATATTATAAGTTGGACTGTCAGGGAAATTCTCAGGTACATGACATATGGTATAAAATACACATAGATCTTGTGTTCAAAATCTCTACTAGCTTACTGGAGAGGCATGATACTAACTCATGAAGCAGAGAAATCCCAAGATTCGTATGATTATTGTGAATTACAACACACACAGTCTTATGCAACATACTCAGTCTTTTTGACTAAATATTTTAAATTAAAAATGTGTAGGAAAGACCATATGTGCTTTGAGGTGACAGGAAAAGAGCAATAAATTAAAGTAGCAGGCTTCATTTTTTTAGGTCATTGTAACAGCCTGCATCATGGCCCTTAAAGATATGAGGTTATAATCTCGAACCTGTAAACATTATCTTACTTGAAAAAATATTTTTGCAGATATGATTGAGTTAAGGATCTTGAGATGGGAAGATTTTCCTGGATTATCTGAGTGGGCTGTAAAAGCAGTCACAATTATCATTGTAAGAGAGAAGCAGAAAGAAATTTGACCATCCAGAAGAGAAGGCAATGACCATGGAGGCAGAGAGTGGAGTGATGCGGCTACAAGCCAAAGAATGCTGATAGCCCAAGAGAAGCTGGAAAAGACAAGGAACAGATTCTCTCCTGGACAGTGTGTGGCCCTCCTGACACCTTGATTTCTGCCTGTGAGACTAATCTCTGACTTTTGACCTCTGTAACTGTGGGAGAATAAACTTCTGTTGTCTTAAGCTACTCAGTTTGTGGTTGTTGTATTAGCCACATGAAAACAATACTGTCATGATTAGATGTAAATATGGTAGACCTAAATATTGTCTATTTATTAATATCATTCTTTAAATACATATATTTTTCTATTTATCTAGATCTGATAAAAATAACCTAAAGAGAACAACTTTTTTTCATACATCATAAATAAAAGCAGTACGCTGGGTGACACTAAGATATACTTTTAAGGAAATAAATCACCTAGTAAGTTTTAGAAGTATAAGAAAATTACAAGCAGACTTTGATAAATTATAAATCTCAGCTGCTGTATATGACCATTATATCCTTAACACGGAAAACTGACTAATTCCCACTTATAAAATGTTTCACCTACCTTCTATTGCTGACTCAATGGAACAGTTTTCTATACTCAGCCCCCTGGATGAGCATTTAAGAGACTCTTAGTGTGGTCTCCATTTCTAAAAGTTTCTCTAGATTTATCTCTAGATTTATGGTACAAAGATTTTTATAAAATATAAAACACTAAGAATAAAATAGTACTAGAAAAAAAATGTGAGAAGATTATTTCCAAAAACACTCACCCTAAAACTGTATTACAAGAATGGATGATAGAAAAATATTGAATTTCTACTATTGCCTGAGGCGTTGAGAAAACACATTTTAAAAGTAATCTTGTTATAATATTCCAATTTTTTTTTTTTTTTTACTTTCCATTAGTTGACAGTGAGGCTCAGATTTGCCCTTCTCAATAAATGAATATTTAATAGCATTGTATTTCACAAAGAAAAAAGACCTGGTAGTTTAACCTATAGTATCGAAGCATCATTTGGGATTTGGCACCTGTTAAAAGTTGTAAATCAGTGGAGAAGATTTAGTAATATAAATCAGAATAGGTACTTAAGAGAACAGAGAAAAGTTAATCAATACGTTAGTATGTTTTTCCTTACAAATTTTATAAAATATACAATCCAATGTTGAATGAAATATTTTAAATTACAATTACTTTTATATTTAATAAACTAGTTTGGATTGGTCGGCAATTTATCACCATCTAAAATGATAGTTTTTGCTGTTTTAATGTTTTTCCCAAACTAATAGCACAAACTGCTTAAAGATATGAAGGCTAATTATTGTTCCATAATTAAAATAAGATATTGTTTGCCATAAGTAGAAAATATAGCTGGTTTCCTGGATAATGTTTCCATCTTGTATCATTGTTGATGAAAAGGAATTATGTTTAAAATTGCCAAAAAGCACTATATTTTAAAAAACATAACCAGTAAAATGCCTTATGTTTTCATTTTAGGTACAATCACATTAACATATGACTTACAAAATAAGATTTTTAAGGGACACTATTCACCTAAATTTATGTCAACCTTCCTGAGGTATAATTTACATACAGTAAGATGTGCCCATTTAAATGTATATTTCAATGAGTTATGACAAAACTACCACCATAAGATACAGAAAGTTTTTATAACCCCAGGAAGTTTCCTTTTACTTCTTCCCAATTTAAGGGGAGCCCTAGGTAATAAGTCATCTATCTGTCCCTCTAAATTAGACTGGTCTTTTCTGGCATTTCATATAAATAGAATCATACAATATGTACTATTCTGTGTCTGGTTTCTTTACTCAGCATATTTTTAAGATTTAACCATGTAGTTACATGTATCAATAGTTCATTCTTTTTTATTGCTGAATATTTCATTGTAGAGATATATCACAATTCATTTGTTTATCTATTAATGGACATTGGGTTGTCTCCAGTTTGGGGTTCTTACTAATAAAGCTGCTAAGAACATTTATGTGACAGTCCGTGTGGTCATATATTTTCACTGGGATCACAGGGCCAAATGGTATATGCACGTTAAACTTTATGAGAAACTGTTTTCTAAAGCATTCTGAAATGTTTGTACCTGTTTATATTCTCATTAATAACACATGTGAGTTTCAATTGTTCCACATCCTTGCCAACACCAGCAGTGTCAATCATTAATTTTAGCCAATCTAATGGGTGTATAGTGATATCTCATTATGGTTTTAACTTGAATTTCCCTGATAAACGAATGGTATTGAGCATCTCTTTATGTGCTTATTGACTAGCTACATATCCTTTATTATGAAGTTACTGTTCAAATCTTTGAGAACAGTGACTATTTTGTTGAAAGGCACATGCACATACGCTAGCACAATGCCTGCCCCAACAGCAACTGAATGAGTAACTGGTCTTCCAAAATATTATCTCATAATCCTATTAAATTACTGCACTAATTTAAATTAGTAAATAAAAATTCATCCAGAAAGAATTAATGGAAACATATCTGAGAAAGGTATGAAATAAGTGCCAAGAAAATGGAAATACTACAGAGCACACCATTCTGGGTTCTTTTATTATTTCACATAGACTTCTAAACTAGAAATACTCTTTCTAATAAAATGACTTCATAAAATAGAAGATGACATGATTATTCCAAAAGCCAAACATCAAATAACTGTATATCCATCTTTATCTGTTCTCTCTTAAAACAAATGATTTGCCTGTACTTGATATATCATTCTTATTTGTCATGTTCTGTCACTCGCAAAACACCTGATGGAAATAAATTTTTTTAAGTTGATGATTTTTTAAGTTTCTAAAAAGACTAAAAACCTTTCTTTGGTGAGAAGGACATGAAAAATATAAAAAGGGACAGGAATAAATATTTGAGAAATTGAAAATCATTTTTTTAAAGGATGAGTGAATTGTTGCTTTTAATTTAGCTTCAATAGTGTGCTTTAAAATAATAATAATAATAGTCAGCAGCATGATGAAACATAATGAGTCCTGGAATATCTGGGTCCAAGTA
Organism: Homo sapiens; assembly: GCF_000001405.40. Classification (NCBI taxonomy): domain Eukaryota; kingdom Metazoa; phylum Chordata; class Mammalia; order Primates; family Hominidae; genus Homo; species Homo sapiens. The sequence goes on from NC_000009.12 coordinate 71,418,171, forward strand.
CCAACTTCCACCACACTGGCAATGGGAATCTCCTTGTGCTGGTTTTGGGGTGGCAAGCAACAGAAACAGATTCTGGCAAACACAAACCAAAGGGAATTTATTAAGAGGATATCAGGGACTCACAGAATCTCCAGGAGGTTCAAGAACCTGGAAAAGACAGGAACCAAGGCAGCTCTGGATTAAGGGAACTGGAAGTTCAGTAGTTCTCTCAATACAAATGGTCTCATCAGGATACGCCTCTGTTGAGATGAAGCAGAACTGGACCTATGGCAGCCTGATTGTTCACATTCCAAAAGGGAGCCTCTAATTGCCTATGCTCTGGTCTCATCCTTGCCCACATGACCAGGGATTGGTGGGTACCTCATTGCAGTCCTAGCAGATCCCATCAATGGGGAGGGGATATTAGTGTATTATGAGGAAATGGGAAAGGTCCTGAGCAGTCAGGAAATAATCAATCATCACTAGTGATATCAGAAAAGTTAAATATCTCAATCTATGAAACTCAACTGAGGATGCCCCTTTGTCTCAACTTAAAAGGATTCCTAAAAGGCTCAAAGGATACTATATATATATATATCCTTTGAGATACTATATATATACTATATATAGAGTATATACATCCTTTGAGATACTATATATATACTATATATATATATATCCTTTGAGATACTATATAGTATCCTTTGTATATATATGTATATATGTGTATATATATACACACATATATATGTGTGTGTGTATATATATGTGTGTGTGTGTATATATATATATGTATTATATATACATGTAAGTGCTTTGAAAACCATAAGGCAACCAACAAATGTTGTTTCATTACTGTGCCATGAACTTCAAGAGGAACTGTGAAAGTCTACAGTAGGGAATGCAAACCTGAGGAAAATAAAACTAAAAAGCTATCAAAAAAATGTAAAATATTGGAGCTCTTATAGGTTTTGCTCAGCCCACTACTGTGTCTACTTACTAGGGCAATTTTTCTTCCAAAATAATTTATAGGACTAGTAAACAGAAAAGGCCTTATTGTTAGGATTTAATGCAGTACAGTAATTATCATAGTAGCAATATGTAGAAAATATTTGTTTATTCTGAAAGCCCTATTTTTTGGGGCATTTAAAAAAAGCCTATTTCCCCCAAAGGATGAAGAAAACAAATGGCTGTTCAGATGTTTCAAGACTGAGAAATTTATTCAAATGCGCAGAAGATACCACATTTTCTAGTGGCATTTCTGTTTGTTTACAAATTATTAGGTATCTTTTTCCCTGAGGAATAAAGTTCTGAGATAATTTGCTCCTAAAGAAATTGAAAAATCAGTCAGGTATCTAGTCAATTAATTTCTTTTAGCCATAAATCTTGAATTATCTTACTTTAACTTTCATAATGGGGTAATAGCAAAAGAGAAAAAACAAAATTTGCAATAAAAGTTTGTAACCAAAGATACATATCACAATCCATATGTTTCCTTAGAAGTTCTGATACAATAATGTGAATGTACTTAATACAACTTAACTGTACACTTAAAATGGATAAAATGTTAAATCTTATGTTATGCACATTTTACCACAATTAAAACAGTTGAAATACACTATAAAAAGGGTTCTGACATAAATCATCTCAATTTGGCTTATTTCCTTCTCATAATATATCAGACTAATAATTTCTGCTCTATCATAAAAGTCAGAATAATAACTGTGATCTTACCTTGGTTCAGATACATATCTCAGGTATAATTCTGACATTCTGAACATTTAAACTCCTAAGATTTGTTCAATAAAATACAACATAACTATTCTTTTAAATCAAATAATGAATTACATTATTAATAATCAACTAGTCACAGTCCAATTATACATTCAGATTTAAAGTTTTCTGTTATACCTCATTTTAAATAATATCTTTCGTCATTTTCCCATTTTAAACCTTCTTAAACATTAGCTACTGTCTTTGTGTCCTGTTATTCTTCATAAGGGGAGGAGAATGGGGATCTGAGATATCATGAGGTGCATGGTGGGGATGGAAAGTCTGTTATGAGGGAGACAGGAAAAGAAGAGAATTAGGGGATGACCAAAGGGAAATCTGAGGCTGGGGATGCTACATGGATTTTCTCTGTTGACCACTTCCCTCTCAAAGAGTCCTTAACCATGACGGATTTGTCTTATATAAATCCCTCCCTTCATGATAATGTTTGGGGGAAATGTGAAAAGGGAATAATAAAGAGAAAGCTAGCAGAATATGCCACCCTAAAATATGCCACTTTGGCATAAGGATTATTTTGAGCCGAAGGCAAGGAGAAACAGATACCAGAAGAAGCTTTCTCGCAGCAACAAAGAAAGAAAAAGAGAAAGAGAAAGAAAGAAAGAAAAAGAGAAAGAAAGAGAAAGAAAAAGAGAAGAGAAAGAGAAAGAAAAAGAGAAAGAGAAGAGAAAGAAAGAAAGACAGAAAAAGAAAAAGAAAAAGAGAGAGAAAGAGAAAGAAAAAGAGAAAGAAAGAGAGAAAGAAAGAGAAAGGGAAAGAGAAAGAGAGAGAAAGAAAGAGAGAAAGAGAGAGAGAGAGAAAGAGAGAGAAAGAGAGAGAAAGAGAGAGAAAGAGAGAGAAAGAGAGAGAAAGAGAGAGAAAGAAAGAGAGAAAGAAAGAGAGAAAGAGAGGGAAAGAAAGAGAGAGGAAGAGAGAGAGAAAGAGAGAGAGGGAGAGAAAAGGAGGGAGAGAAAAAGGGAGAGAAAAAGGGAGAGAAAAAGGGAGAGAAAAAGGGAGAGAAAAAGGGAGAGAAAAAGGGAGAGAAAAAGGGAGAGAAAAAGAGAGAGAAAAAGAGAGAGAAAAAGAGAGAAAAAGAGAGAAAAAGAGAGAAAAAGAAAAAGAGAACGAACTCACGTCCTTTGCAGCAACATGGACACAGCTGGAGGCCATTATCCTAAGCAAATTAATACAGAAATAGAAAACCAAATATCACATGTTCTCACTTGTAAGTGGGAGCTAAATATTGGATAAACATGGACATAAAGATAGGAAAAATAGGCACTGGGGACTACTAGAGGTGGGAAGGAAGGAAGGGGGTGTGGGTTTAAAAACTATGGGTGCTATGCTTATTACCTGGATGACAAGATCAATTGTACCCCAAACTTCACCATCAGGCAGTATACCCACGTAACAAACCACCAATCTACTCCCTGTATCTAAAATAAAAGTTGAAATTTAAAAAAAAAGGAAGAAAAGCTTTCTTCCCTCCCTCTATTGGCCTAAAGGCAGAACATAAATTTACAAAGGTGTCCCTCCTCCTTTCTCTACCAGGAAAGAAAATGTTCCTGCCTAGAGATGACTTTAGACCCTTATCAGCCTGCAGACATCATCAGAGGAATCCACACAACAAACCATACCAACTAGCCTTTATCTACCTACCATTAGTTTCCCATATACAGTCATATGTCACTTAATAAGAAATGCATCATTTTGTCCTAGTGCAGACATCATAGGGTATACTCACATAAACCTAGCTGGGATAGCCTGCTATATACCTAGGCCATAAGGTACAGCCTATTGCTCCTAGGCTACAGACCTGTACATCATGGGACTGTGCCGAGTGCTGTTAGCAATTGTCACACAATGTTAAGTATTTGTGCTTCTAAACATAGCAAAACGTAGAAAAGGAATAATAAAATTACACCATTAAAATCTTATGGGACCAGTGTCAAATGTGTGGTTTGTCGTTGACCACATCATTATACACACATGACTAAGTTTATCTTCCCACAATTTGCCACCCCTGGAGACTCAACGTCCCTTTTTTTGTATTGTCACTTCTCAAAAATGTTGTTTTTTTTGAAGATGCTACATAAGTCAGAGTTCTAAGCCAGCTCTTTGAGATTTCCTCTTTCCCTGTGTTTTCTCCCCTGAATATATGAAATATACATGTTAATAAACTTCTGTTTGGTTTTCTCTTGTTAACTTGTTACAGGGGTCTCAGATGAGAATTTAGAAGGGTAGAAGGAAAATTATTTTTCTTTCCCTGCAGTGGTCAATATCACAAAGATACAATAACATGAGTACCAACTTATGAAGAAGGCATGATTATTCTGACATCATACTGAAAGAAGAATATGAAAAAGAAAATAGTGTCTTAGACACTGAAGGAAAATGTGACACATTATCTATACAATTATAAACAGATACAGCAAGCAATGCCACTTGCATGTGTCATTTAGGACAATAGTTTTCTCCTTTGCCTTGGAGGGACCTTTCCACATTTGAGACCCCTCGATCTTTATTCATTACTGAGTTAGGCCTAGTGGCAAAGAGTGATGCCCCCTTGACCACATGCCTAATTTCCCAAGGAGTCTCAAGAGACATTTTATGAAAAGCTGAGGTTTTACGAAATGTAGTTTGAAAATCACTACTTTATACTTAATAAATGATATAACTTGATGGATCTTTCTAGTAGTATATATACAAAAACTTGTGAATGAATGAAAAACGTTTCCAGGATTGCTAAATTAAAAAAGAAAACTCCAAAGGAGACACATTTGACTAAACTCCTGTCATATCGTTATGCTTGGTTTCTTACAGTTACCCTTTGAAAATTAGTCAGCTGATAAAACACACATATTATTTGATATTTTCCAGTATCTCTGGACCTTTAAGACAACTATATATTATAGCAACTTAGATACCTTTCTGCTCAGTGGAGATTTAAGAATTATTTCTAAACTTTTGACCTTATCAGCTCCCTACACAGACCCAGTAAGAGGTGAACTTTACAAGCCCCACACACTCATATCACCACATCAAGATGCAATATTGACAATGCAAAACCTTCTCTAGGTCTCAGCCCAGTAAACTGACAAATGTGTTCTACGACAATCCCCTATATAGCTGATTATTAAGAGTTTTGCTTCATTTCCAGCATTTCCATTTCAGTCTATCACTGGTTGCTCATCAAAGAAAAATTCTGGAGTTTTTCTTTTCACTGCATTTCCTGCTGTGAGCAAGTTGCTTTCATTAACAGTAAGTTCACTTTTTATGTTTGTAGCAGATTTTCACTTTTTGACAGATAACTTTAGACTGAAAACATTATAAGAAATAGGAAAGATCCACTAAAAGTTAGAAATTCCTTAAATAATTGTTTTTTAAAGAACTACCCTCTAAAAACCAATCAAAATTTGCAATTTTTGTTTTCAAGTTTCATCTTCTTTGCAACTATTTTGTAATGTGATCTGCATATGGGAGAAGCAAACATCTCATCTAAGCAATGAAGAAAGCTGGCATTTTCTGAGTAACCATTCCTTTGTTTACTGAGAATAATTTGCTGTCACCATTCTCTACAATACAGTCTTCCCAAACTGAAGCCTGGCACCATGAAAGCAGTTTAAGTTTGTTTTCTCTCAATATTTTATGCTTATTACTGAAACTTGTGGATGGAAAACAATATCTATATTCTTCTAGAAAAACAAGAAAACAAAGTGCATTATGCCTTTTTGGAACTATGAAATTTAAGATGGATATATATACAAACACACGTATATATGTAGGTATACACACACACACATAAAGCTTTCTGCCCTCCTATTTGCCTGAAAGCAGAACATAAATTTACAAACCTTTCCCTTCTCCCTTCTCTACCAGGAAGGTCAAAAGTTCCTCCCCGGAGATGACTTTGGACCCTTATGAGCCTGGAGACAACACCAGAGTAATCCACATTACAAACTCTACCAACTAACCTATTTTTTTCATCTGCTTTTCTTCCAAATCCAGTAACGTATCCACCTTGTTAAGGACAAGTTGACAAAAATGGCTGAATGATGTCAGGCTGGCTGAGCTTCTAGACCTTGACTGCTCCCAACTGTCGCAAGCACCGCTCAATAGTTTTTCAACATTCTAGGGTGCCTTTGAGCTCCACCCAAAGCTCAAATCATTTGAATTCTTAAAGATGCCTTATAGACTACCTTCACCATTACAATGTCATAAGGTTCTTTCCAGATAATTCAGCACAGAGTTGGCCTTCCATTAAGACCATTTCTTCACTTCATTGTATCCAAATTCAGCAATCCTAGGTTTTAAATTTGCATTTTTGTTTACATATAGGTCAGGAACTGCCATTTATTACCTTGTGGCAAGCCATTTTGCGGCACTTTTTCTACCAACTTTTAAAAACAGATTGGGGTTCAGATTTCCATTTTTTTTCCACTAAAACGTTTCAAGAAACTCCTTGACCACACATATGGCCAAGGCAGTGTGCTAGGTGTCAGGAATTCTATGCATATAAATGAGACATGTTCTCCTCTGGCAAGTCAAGGAGAGAAACAAATATACAAGACAGGTTAAATGATGTAAACATAAGCAATATCATAAGACAGATCTAGTCAGTTGCAAATATTACTGACAATGTTAGGTTTACTCTGGTTTCCTCTTATTCTGAATGAGTCCCTTTGCTTTTGTGTATAATTTTATTTTATAGAGGACCTATCTTCTCTGGCCTTCTCTCAGTTTGTATTTTATAGGTGTTTCCCTGTCTTTCACCATCATTCTCTCCCTGTAGATGGTATCATTTCTTTCAGTTCAGAAACATGCCCTGGTATTTTTCATATTAATAGGAAAAGTACCTTGACAGCATAGGACCTCCCAGTTGCCTGTCTCATTTCTCCTGCTCCCTTGTACTTTATAGTTCTCAAAAGATTCAATGTACACACTGTCTCCATGACCTCACTTGTCATTCATTCCTCAGCCTACTCCAGTCTGGCTTCTTGTCCCTATTACTATAGCAAAACTGCTCTTGACAAATTCACATAGAATTCATATTGCCAGATGAAATGGGCTATTTAATATTCTCACCTTTCTGGACCTCTCTAAGAGGATTCAACCCTCTTAATCACTTTTTTCCTGAAAGACCTTCCACTCTTGGCCTCTGTAATATCATTACCTACATATGTCTCTGGTTTTTCTTTTTCTATTTCCCTGGATAGCTCTTCTACTAAATAAATCCACAAGGCTCTTTCCTAGACCCCCTTATTTTCTATGTACTATCATCCTAATTAACATCATGTGTTCATGGGCTTTAATATCACCCATAAACTGATAATACCCAGGTTAGCTCTAACTGGGACATCTTTTTGGGTTCTAGTCACATGTATTGAACTCACCAATTTGTTGCCACCATCTCAAAATCAGCATGTTCAAAACTTGGCCTTTGGCTTTCTTCCAAAGCCTATTTCTCCCCATGTGTTCAGGATTTCTATAAATATTACCATCCACCCAGCTGCTTAAGTCAGAAACATAGGACCCATTCTTGATTCATGTGCCTCTCTTAACACCCACATGCATATTAATCGCAAATTCAATTGCACCCACCACGAAAATACATTAGAAGATCAGTCCATTTCTTCCCATCTCCACTGCCACCAACCTGGTCCAGGCCATCATGATTTCTCACCAGGTTTTCCCCCACAATAACCTCTCACTTCTTTTCTTTTGCCTTTTCCAACTCTTCCCCTCACAACGCATTTGCAGAGACTTTAGCAATATTCATCAGCTCACATCATTTTCCTATTTAAAACTCTTCAATGGTTCCCATCATGCATAGAATAAAGTCTAGCCATTGACCCATAAGGGGGTACTATACAATCTGGCCCCATGTTTCTCCCTAAATTCATCCCGTAGCACTCTTTGCCTCCTTCTCTGGCTCCAGCCTATTAATCTCTTAGTTCCTCAAACATGCCAAGTTCTTTACTGTTGAAGAGAGTTTGCACATGTTGCTCCCTCTACCTGGAATGCACTTCCTATACTAGATCTTTCTCCACCCTTAGATTATAACAGCCTCAATGTAACCTCTTCAGAGAAGATTTCCCTGACCTCCCTCTAATATTATACCCCTTGTGCCAGTTATTTTATGCCACTGCACTTTTTGTATTTCACAATTAGGTTTCATCTACTTGTTTATTGGCTGTGTCTCCCACTAGACTGTGATCTGCACAAGGACAGCAGTAAGCCCAGCGCCTAGGACAATGCCTAACACATTATAGGCAATCAACAAACATTTAAATAATTAATCAGCTTTATAAGAATTTGCAAAATGACATCCATACTGGGAAAATAAATAATCTCTTCAGCCCCAGCAACTCTTTTTTTTTTTAATTTAGGGTTTTTTGAGGTTTTTTTAATGGTCTGCATATACCACACACTACCACTGGCACTTTTACATATTACCTAACTTGTTTTTCTCAATAAATTTTCAAGATAAGGATTATTCTCCAAACTGTACTTATCAAGAAGCTCACAAGCAATGAGATAAGGTAGGTCACTCATAATGATACAGAGTGTCAGGGATAGAACCCAAATCTAACTCCAATCTTCTGAAACTCTCTTGATTATACCCAGGGCTGGCTTCGGGGACATGAGATTGGTTTAATTGCACATGGCCCCATGCTGTAATGTTCTGCTGTTGCCATTTAAAATTATTAATTTCTGAATATGGGGACTTGCATATTTATTTTCCACTGGACCCCATAAATTATACAGATGCTTCACAGGTTTTGCTGTGAAAAGCTTCCTTGACTTTATTCCTATTAGCTCGGCATCTCAGAAGAATTTAGGATCTAAGAACACTGATTTACACTGTGCTAAAAGTTGTAAAGTACTTACTAAGGCGTTAAGACCAAAAAAAAAAAATTCAGACCTAATCCCAGAGGTAATTCTCGATTTTTTTCCTCTGTCTTCAGAAACGCCTGCTTATCTCCTTTTTATGTCTGCCATTTTATGATTTCATCCTTGAATAAAAGATTACTTCCCCAATTTTACTCTTTCTAATCCCATGAAACTAGATTTTAGACATTGGTAGTCAGCTAAGAAATGGCTTTGTATAATGCAGTATTGCTCCTGGTTAGTGCATTATTCACAAATTCACTAAAACCACAAACAACTGAATTGATTAATTATACCTTAGAACAATAATGCCTTACGGTATTTTTTTTCTTCAGTGGTCAATGATTCCATCTTGTACCATGGAGTCCAGGTTGTTGTTGATAGACTCAAAGTGGTGATACACATCTCTCCTTAAACCCTCCTCAGTCTTACTCTAAAGTTTTTATAACTGAGGGGTTCTCAAACTGTCATGCCCAGACCATCAGAAGCAGAAGCAACACCTGGAAACTTGTTAAAAATGCAAATTCTCACACCACACTTCAGCTGTATTTATTTAGAAAATCCAGAGGATGGGACCCAGTAAGCTGTGGTTTAACAAGCCCTCCAGGTGATTCTGATATATGCTAACATCGAGAACCACCATCATAGATAATGGTCACTAAAATAGTGTTATCCTCACTAGCAAAGACATGGAATCAACCTAGGTGCCCATCAACAGTGGACTGCATAAAGAAAATGTGGTACATAAATATCATGGAATACTATGCAGGCATAAAAAAGAACAAAATCATGTCATTTGCAGCAACTTGGATGCAGGTGGAGGCCATTATCGTATGCAAACTAACACAAAAACAGAAAACCAAATACTGTATGTTCTCACCAAGTGCGAGCTAAACATTGGGTACAAATGGACATAAAGATGGAAACAGTAGATGCTGGGGACTAGTAGAGGGAGGAGGAGGCAGGGGGCCAGGGTTGAAAAACTACCTCCTGAGTACTATGCTCACTTCACTATCTGGATGATGGATTCAACTGAACTCTCAACCTCAGCATCACACAAAATACCTTTGTAACAAACCTGCACACGTACCCCCTGGATCTGAAATAAAAGTTGAAAAAATAAAATATAAAATAAAATAAAATGTGTTGTCATAATTTGGGTTATCAACTAAATCACCTGAGGACCTTTTCAAGCTATAGTTTTCCTAACACTGCTACAGAGATAGAAAGTTCACAGGCATGGTATAGTCCATCCAGTAGCCTGTTTTTTTGTTGTTGTTGTTTGTTTTTTGGTTTTTTTTGAGACAGAGTTTCATTCTTGTTGCCCAGGCTGCAGTGCAATGGTGCAATCTCAGCTCATTGCAACCTCCACCTCCTGGGTTCAAACAATTCTCCTGCCTCAACCTCCCAAGTGGCTGGGATTACAGGCGCCCGCCACCATGCCCGGCTTTTTTTTTTTTTTTTTTTTAGTTGAGATGGGGTTTCACCAAGTTGGCCAGGCTGGTCTCAAACTCCTGACCTCAGATGATCTGCCCTCCTCAGCCTCCGAAAGTTCTGGGATTACAGGCGTGAGCCACCACGCCAGTCAGCCTGTTTTTTTTAAACAGCTTTCCAGGTGATTCAGATGGCCATCAAGTTTGGGAACCCTTCTCCCATGGAGTGGCTGTTTAAAATCAGTTACATATTTGGATGAACAGTTTTACATTTCATCATTGAGTTTCTTCAGAATTTCTGGACATGTGCTTTTTGTTATTGTTCTTAGGAACTGTGAGTGTGTATGTGTGACTGTTTATATCATTGATGAATCTCTACCAAGCTTGACAAATGTAATCTAAAACTACTAATTCTGATGCTTCTGGCATGCTTCAGCAGCCAATTTGCAAGTGATACTAATCTAAAAGACTTGCCTAATGAAAAACATATAACACACAGACAAATTTTTAAAATATCAAGAGCAACAACGAAAATGGATTTATACTTTCTCATGGCTCCTTTTAATCCTTGAGTAGGTACTGAATGAATACCTTATAATCATCAAGTTGACCCAGATTTCAAGAATTTGCTTCTTAATTTAAAAGCAAGAACTTCATGATTGCACCGCACTCCAACCTGGGCAACAAAGTGGGACCCTGTTTCAAAGGAAAAAAAAAAAAAAAAAAAGGAAACAGGCTTTTTATCTAGATATAAAGAGCATTTTATTGAGGACCTCATCTTTGCACAATACTGTATCTCATTGGTTAATCTCATTTTTGTCCTGGTCATCAGCCAGAGGGAAACTGGAATGAGAAAATACTTTGACTAAAAGTGGATCTTCACTGTTCTCCTTAACTCATTTCTCCCAACTACCTTTCATATTCTTCAGAGGGATAAGAGTAAATGTTTTTTCTGGTAGCTCACCTGTCAATCTTTGCTCCATATTTCAGAAAAGTAATGGGTTAAAAAATAATAATAAAAGAATAAAAGAAGAATTGCCCTACATTTTTTTCTATTTCCTCCACTTTTCAAGACTATAGAATGTAGAGCCAGGCACGCTGATTTCAAACCTAAACTTCATAACATTGGGCAAGTTATTTAATATCTCTGTGCCTTAGTTCCCTTATCTGTAAAATGAGTACAATGAGGTTGTCATAAGAAATAAATGATTCAATATATGTAGATCTCACAGAACAGTTTCTGGAACATGGAGTCCAACATGGGTAACTATCACTAACATTCTCATGTCACTGCAGTTGAATCTGCCCTGTGTAGTTGGAATCTGCAAATACACAGCTTCCAGTATCCTAAAGGCCAAACTACATCATCCTGCTTTCAATAAAACATTTTACGGTTCTGTTTGTGATTTCCTACATTACTCACAGTGTATACTGCAAAGCCTAGGGTTGTTTTGAATCCCCTAATCTTTCCCTAAGTGTTACACAGTCCCCCAATTCATAGATTGAGGGGAGCATTTGTGCACATAGGTTTGGAGTCAGACCTGGGTTCGAATCTCTCTCTCCTACCCCTCTTTTCCATGCTGACTGCTCTAGCCTCTTTGGCTGCCTTCTTGTTCCTCAAACACATCAGGCATGCCCCTGCCTCGGGACACTTGTACTTGCAGTTCACTCTGCATGGAATGTCCTTTCCCTCATTTAGTATCTCCATGGCTTGCTCCCTCACTTCCTTCTGACATCTACCTAACAGCAACAATCAGATAGCCTTTCTCCTTAGCTCAAATGGTGCCCCCTCTCATTCTCTATCTCCCTGTCTTGCTTTATTTTTCCTCACAGCACTTACAATCACTAGATATTTTATTACATATTTATTTGCTTGCCAGCGTATCTTCTGCTGGCCTTCATTAGAATATAAGCTCCAGGAGGGCTGGAACTTGATAAAATGAAAATGTTACCCACATAATCAGATTGTTGTACAAATTGAATGAGATAACACATATGAAATATTAAACTTTTATAAACAAAAAAAAGCTTAACAAAATGCTAAGCATACATCAAATATTCATTTTCCCTCCTCTTCTCATAACAAAGGAAGAGGGTCAGCACATTTTGCTTCTCTTATATCCCTACCAGATGGGAAAGAATGGATGGAAATTCTTCAATTCTATGGTCACTACTTAGATTAGCAGCAAAAGGCAACATGTCCTAATTAGATTTTAAATATACTTGGCTTTAAAGCTGTAGTCTTATAGTTTTTATAAGCATACAGAGTGAGATTAAATAAGAATGCTGGTGGCTGGGTACAGTGGCTCACACCTGTAATCCCAGCACTTTGGGAGGCTGAGGCGGGTGGATCACAAGGTCAAGAGTTCGAGACCAGCCTGGCCAATATGGTGAAACCCCGTCTCTATTAAAAATACAAAAATTAGCTGGGCATGGTGGCGTGCACCTGTAATCCCAGCTGCTGGGAGGCTGGAGCAGGAGAATCGCTTGAACTCAAGAGGCGGAGGTTGCAGTGAGCCGAGATCATGCCACTGCACTCCAACCTGGGTGAGAGAGCGAGACTCCATTTTAAAAAAAAAAGAATGCTTGTGAAAGGGGTATTTTTGATTAAATGATTTTCCAGTTAATCATCAACTCTTCTTTCGCCCATTGATTCTGAACATTTCTCTTTCTGATCTGAATGCAGTTTCTTGCCATAATAAGTAGGAAGCATAAAACATAAATCCATCCTCTTATGACTGAGTACAGTGTCTTGATTGAGGGTCATTGTGATGGACATCAATACTTATTTGATACAATTGAAAATATTGAAGATATAGCATATTGGCTTGACTCTATTCTAACCTTGAGATAAACCAAGGTAATAACTTCCCCAAATTAAACTCCTAATGAAGACACTTATTTGTCTCTTGTCATATTTTTAATAGTAGATATCTCACACACACACACACAGAGAGAGAGAGAGCCCACTTAACAAGTGTTCCGTAAGTTTCACTTGATGAATTTAAAGTTTTCTAGATCTGGTTTTGATTGACATCACATAAAGAAATAACCAGGGCTTATCTAAAACTTGAAAGGATAAGTAAATGTTTCAGCACATTAAAAAGATACTGGAAATAAAGTCTTCAGGTCATGTAAATACAATTATATTGCCCTATTTTTAATTTTTTTCATTCAATAATTCTCCTCAAACTAAGCTTGTTTGCAGGCCTGCAGACAATATAGTTTCATTATCAAGTACTGCCTTGACTTAGTCTCAACATCCATAGTGACCTTTAAGCCAACTTCAAGAAGAAATCATCTTTGTGAGGGAAAAGACACACATTAACGTTGCTTACACTCTTTTTATCATCTTACCTCTGACTCACGAGTCAGTAGCATATTGACAAAAAATTAAAGGGTAGTTATATTTGAATTCTTTCTCTACCTTTTCCCAGCTGACCTTGGTTAAAATAGACTTCACTTCTCTGAAATTTTATTTCATCTTCCATAACTTGTGCATCAAAATAAAACCCACAGTGGAATGATGATGAAAGATTACATAAGAGATCATTGAAACAGCCTGGTATTAATAAATGCCAAAATTATGCTCATTTTTCTCTCTTACTTCATCTTCTCTCTGTCCAGGATATGAAACACCAAAGTCTACAGGATTTTCATTATGCTCTTTCACTTACTTCACACACAATTACTGAGTTTCTACAACATGCCAGCCACTCAGCAAGATTTGGGAATACACTGATGAATAAAATACAGTCGTTGCCCTGAAGGAGATCCTAAACCAAAGGACCCGATTATACTCTATGTACATATAAGGATTTTACCCAGGAAGAAGCAATAACATCCAGCCTTCTAGAGGTCTTACAATGTGTATGATTCATAAACTATGCAGTAATACAATATCCTGTGAATTACCTCACTGCTCACATTAATACAGGACCATGATGTTATCATACCAGCCTAACAGTCTGTCTCCATCGGTGGACCCAAAGGCCTCCAGTTATACAAGATACAGTATGATTGAAAAAATAATGTTTTCTGTCCCCCAACTGTATTCAATGGGTAATGAGACAAAAGTAGGACTTTTTTTTTTTTTTTTTTTTTTTTGGCTTATCTCTGGTTCCTTCTGCATACATTTTCATGGCCTATTCATTTGGGATGTTTGGTCTTAATAATATGAATTAAGCTCTTGTTTTAGTTACTGTTACCAGTGCATTCTATAGTTACATTCAATAACTTGATGAACCTTCAAAGCAATGAGCTCTTTTTGTAGCTGTAAACCAGATCATTCTCATTTTGTCCTAGGCCTTGGTAATTTGAATCATTATTGTTTATCTTTTAAGGAAAATTTAATTTCATTTAGTGTGGGAGTATCTAATGCTTTTAAATGCATAAAAACTCATTTCTTTGTCACAAAATGGCTGTCGATAATTTAGAACATGGAAAACAATTTTAAAGTTTATCTTTTTGTTCAAAATGTGTGTTTAGAGGGATGACTTTGTGATATGAAGCCAAAAAATGGGACTAGATCCTATTCTGAAACTGGTACCCACTCTGGGCAATGTGTTGGTGACAGCAAATGTCAGGTCCAATTATACAACTTCCTCTCAATAAATCTTGAAGGGCTTCTTTTATTAGAGAATTTATAAAGACAACAACAACAAAAAGACATATAATGAATACTCACCAATTACCTTAAACTTAATTATACACACAAGTTGGAATAGTAATACTAATAATATATAGTATAACTACAGTAAAATCCTTAGTTAGGAAAGATAAAGGGAAAAGCGTCTAAGAGTGAAGATCCAAGTCTTTTTGCCTTTGTCTTCATTTCTATGCTGTGCTATGAATATAATCTTCAGCTTTCTTTACTTTTTGTTTCATGCTTCACTGGTACTTCTTTGCAGCCATGAATGACCAATTGCAGAATTTCTAAGCCTTCATCTCTGATATGGTTTTGCTATGTCCCCACCCAAATCCCATCTTGAATTGTAGTTCCCATAATCCCCATATCATGGGAGGGACCCAGTGGGAGGTAATTGAATCATGTGGGCAGTTACCCCCGTGCTGTTCTTGTGACAGTGAGTGAGTTCTCACAAGATCTGATGGTCTTATAATGGGCTTTCCTCCTTCGTTTGGCATGTCTCTTTCCTGCCACCGTGTGAAGAAGGACATGTTTGCTTCCTCTTCTGCCATGATTGTAAGTTTCCAGAGGCCTCCCCAGTCATGCTGAACTGTGAGTCAATTAAACCTCTTTCCTTTATAAATTACCCACTCTCGGGTATGTCTTTATTTGCAGCATGAAAACAAATACAATATCCAACCATCAGAGTCTCCATCAGCTGTGTATCTACAAACATGGTTGTTAATTTTTCTCTAATTCTGAACAAGTGCTGCAATTTTAAGCTCAAAACTTTCCCACAGATACAAATGAGTGTTGTAGACACATAACCCAAGATTACCTGCTACACATGCTATAGGCAAATTGGCTTTATATCTCTCTGACTTTTGACAGGAAGATAGCAGCTCTAGGTCGGATGCTTCACATCCCCTAGCTCTTTGTGCTTCTAACACATAGAAGCTTTATGCACTTTGGAAATTTCCTGAATTATCATAGAATGTCATCCTGAGGCTGGGCACGGTGACTCACATCTGTAATCCCAGCACTTTGGAAGGCCAAGGTGGGCAGATCACATGAGGTCAGGAGTTCAAGGCCAGCCTGGCCAACATGGAGAAACCCCATCTCTACTAAAAATACGAAAAAAATTAGCCAGGCGTGGTGGCGCGCACCTGTAGTCCCAGCTACTCAGGAGGCTCAGGCAGGAGAATCACTTGAGCCCAGGAGGTGGAGGCTGCAGTGAGCCGAGATCATTCCATTGCACTCCAGCCTGGGTGACAGAGCAAGACTCTGTCTCAAAAAATATAAATAAATAAATAAAGTCATCCTGTTGTGTGCTAAATGTTTGTGTCCCCCCCAAAATTCATATGTTTAAACTTAGTTCCCAAGGTGATGATATTAGGAGGTGGGGTCTTTGGGAGATGACAAGGTCATGAAAGTGGAGCCCTCAAGAATGGGATTGGTGCCCTTATAAAAAAGTTCCACTACGTAAGAACACAGCAAAAGACAGCCACCTAGGAAGCAGGCCTTCACCCTCACCAATCATCAAATCTGCCAGAACCTTGATCTTGGACTTTGCAGCCTTCAATATGATAAGAAATAATTTTCTGATGTTTATAAACCACCCAGGCTATGGTATTTTACTAGAGCAGCCTAAATGGACTAAAACACATCCTCTGTGACAGATATTCTAGGGAAAACTATCTATTTATTGTTTCCATGAAGTTTTATAGTTTAATTGTTCAAGGCCCAATGTGGTATGACTTCAGTTGTACTTGCAGTAATTTGGTTTTTCAGCTCAGAATTTTCTAGACTTCTTCACAAAGCCATACTTCCCTAAAATAGGCCCATTTTTGAAAAGAAAGGGAGACCCAACTTCTCACCTTATTTGATGTTAACATTTTGAAGACTGTGTTAAATTTTTCACCTTTCTTTCTTGCCTATTAACAGTGATGTATAATAATTATCTATTACTATAATCTTTATTTATGGAGCAAAGGAGACACTTTTATCAAAAATCAGATGTCCTCAAATAACAGGAAAAAATGGTAACAGCTCCATTTTAAAACTAATTATAATGCAAACTTTCAACTTAAGTGTTGTTCTCATTCATTGAGAAGAAAAAAATAATAAAATATTTACAAACTATTAATAATTGCATTTTGCAATATCCATGGAGAAAATATTAAATAAGAATATTCAAAAAATTATTTTACCTGTACAGCTTCGATTTAATTAATCAATAACTCAAATTTACACTATCTGTTCATGAGTACAATCCATTGGTTTTCTCACTCATTTGACCCATCTTATTAAACTTTTTAGCAGACTAATAATATAATTAAGACAAGTTTAGTGTACTTATAATGTGAATAATATATAAAATATGTATAATTACTATCTAATAGTCTTACAAGATATCATGTTATATGCCAAATTCTAGTTTCATTTCTCCCCTCTGTAGCAAGAAAGTCTCTCAGAAGTCTTTTTCACATTTCTTTCTTCTATAGCATTTGAGTCTTTATCTTGTAGGGAGTGGGTGCTCTTTAAAACAAAACATTCACATACCCAAATTTACTGAATATCCACTAGTAAGATAGGCAATTTCCTCTTCTACTGCCAGCACTATAAATTCAACACTCAGAAACCCAAAGTGTGCAAGGAACCTCATCTATTCTGTTCCTTTGTCTACCAGCAGAACCTCATTCCAAATACATGAGTATTTATCATGGATTTAAAGACACCTTAGAGAGAATCATTCAACACCATCTCCATAACATTTTCTAGTGAAGCGTTAACAAATCAAAAAGTAATATCTCAATGCCTATGGAAGGCAGAATAATAACCTCCCAAGGAGGTTCACATCCTAATTTCCAGAACCTGTGAATATGCTACTTTACATGTCAATGGGGAATAAGGTAGCTAATCATTTGACCTTAAAATAAAGAGATGGTTTTCAATTACCCAGGTGGGCCCAATGTAATCATAAGGTTCCCTAAATGCAGAAGAGAGAGGCAGAAGAGGAGAATCAGAAAAAGCAATGTGATAGCAGAAAGGCCAAAAAGATGTAACTTTACTGCCTTTGAAAATGGAGAAAGGGACTGATATGGCTTGGCTGTGTCCCCACCCAAATCTCAACTTGAATTGTATCTCCCAGAATTCCCACATGTTGTGGGAGGGATCCAGCGGGAGATAATTGAATCATGGGGGTCAGTCTTCCCCATGCTAGTCTCGTGATAGTGAATAAGCCTCACAAAATCTGATGGGTTTATCAGGGGTTTCTGCTTTTGCTTCTTCCTCATTTTCTCTTGCTGTCACCATGTAAGAAGTGCCTTTCGCATCCTGCCTTGATTCTGAGGCCTCCCGCCTTGATTCTGAGGCCTCCTCAGCCATGTGGAACTGTAGGTCCGATTAAACCTCTCTTTTTTTTTTCTTTCTTTTTTTTTTTTTTTTTTTTTTGAGATGGCATCTTGCTTTGTCACACAGTCTGGAGTGCAGTGGCTTGATCTCGGCTCACTGCAATCTCTGCCTCCTGGGTTCGAGCGATTCCCCTGCCTCAGCCTCCAGAGTAGCTGGGATTACAGGCACGCACCACCATGCCTGGCTAATTTTTTGTATTTTAGTAGAGACGGGGGGTTTCACCATGTTGGCCAGGATGGTCTCAATCTCCTGACCTCTTGATCTGCCCACCTCGGCCTCCCAAAGTGCTGGGATTACAGGCGTGAGCCACCACTCCCGGCCTAAACCTCTTTTTCTTCCCAGTCTTGAGTATGTCTTTATCAGCAGTATGAAAACAAACTAAGACAGGGACCATGAGCCAAGGAATGTGGGTGGCTTCTAGAAGCTGGAAAAGGCAAGCAAATAGATTTTCATCTAGATATTACAGAAACACAGCCCTGCTGACATCTTGATGTGTAGTCCAGTGAAACCCATGTCATACTTCCGTACTACAGAACTGAGATAATAAATACATGTTACTTTCAGCCACTAAGTTTGTAGTAATTTCTTATGGCAGCATTGGAAACTTAACACGATGCCCAACACTTTTTTAAATTCTGAAAGCAGAATCTTTAATACAGAAATAGTTTGACAATATATTTTTACAAGTTATATTTCTTAATAATACTTTAATTGGCCTCCACAATTAATGGGTCAAATATTTTCTTCTAGTTAACTGAATACAATGCCCCAATTAAAATCTAAGGCCTGACAGTACACTAACAAATTAATGCCATCACACAGCTCCTATTATTATTAGCTCAACTTTTTAAAAACTGTCTCAAACATTTATCTTGACTATTACATGAATTATAACTCAGAATGAGAAAATAGTTGATGAAGGAAGTTTCTGCTTATAAAATTATTTCAGCTAATAAATGAAAAAGGAAAGACAGAATCATAATATCACTATTTTGCAATGCCCAAATAAAATAATGGATCTTGGCAAACTCCAAATAAAGGCCAGATCCATTCCATTATCAGTTTTTCTTAGCCTGTAAGCTAAGAATAATTTTTGCATTTTTAAATGGTTAAAATATCAAAAGAATAATATTTCATAAGGTAAAAATTATATGAAATTCCTATTTTAGTGTTTATAAATGATGTTTTGTTGGAACACAGCCATGACCATTTATTTACATAATGCTTATGGCTGCTTTTGAAAGAACTGTAACAGCAAGAATTGAATGATTATAAGAGACCTTATAGCCTGCAAAACCTAAAACACCAGCCGGGCGTGGGGGCTCATGCCTGTCCTAGCAGTTTGGGAGGCTATGGTGGGCGGATCACCTGAGGTCAGGAGTTTGAGACCAGCCTGGCCAACATGGTGAAACCCTGTCTCTACTAAAAATACAAAAATTAGCCGGGAGTGGTGGCAGGCACCTGTAATCCCAGCTACTAGGGAGGCTGAGGCAGGAGACTCACTTGAACCCAGGGGGCGGGGGTTGCAGTGAGCAGAGATGGCACCACTTCACTCCAGCCCGGGCAAAAGAGCGAAACTCCGGAAAAAAAAAAAAAAAAGAAAAAAAAACCCTAAAACATTTACTATTTGGCTCTTTGAAGAAAAATTTGCCAGCCCCTTCTCTAAGCAATCATCCCCAGTGGTGGCTAATACCCAAAAATGAGAGACAGCCAGAACACATATGAAGTATTGTTGCCAAAAACTCAAATTAAAACTGATCTAGGCACCTGGTCAAATCACTAGTTCATAGGAAATACAATGGACAGAGAAACATCTGAGATGACACCATTGGGATGTATTCAGCAAAATACAGAATGTAGAAAACTGTGCAGGATAAGTACATTTCTCTGACAAATAATTGTTGAGAGGAAAAGAAAAGAGATCAGGAGAGGGAAAACCATAGACTAAAAAGGAAAATTATAATGTGTCCACTACAGTTGGATTCTAATTCAAACAGAATTATGAGATAATCAAGTAAATACAGTTCTAACTTAATATCTGTGGGTATTAAGAAGTTTTTTTTAAAATTTGATAATAGTGTTACAGTTTTGTTTTAATAGAGTCCTGGGTGGTTGCAGTGGCTCATGCCTGTAATCCCAGCACTTTGAAAGGCTGAGGTGGAAGGATCACTTGAGCCCAGGAGTTTGAGACCAGCCTGGGCAATGTGGCAAAACCCCTTCTCTACAAAAAAAAATATAAAAATTAGCAGGGTGTGGTGGCGCATGCATGTAGTCCCAGCTACTTGGAAGGCTGAGGTGGAAGAATCACCTGAGCCCGGGAGGCTGAGGCTGCCGTAAGCAGTGATTGTGCCACTGCACCCCAGCCTGGGCGATAGAGTGAGACTCTGCCTCAAAAATAAACAAATAAATAAATCTTTCTCTTCCAGATATTTTTTAGAGGAAGTGATGTAATACCTAAGACTTGCTTACAAATAATCTAGTGGGAGAGAGAAGAAATAGAAAATAGGGATATAGATGAAGCAAGATTGATTTGTCATGATTTGATCATTATTAAAGCTGGGTTACAGGTTTATTACACCATTGCCTCTACTTTTGTATATGTTTGTAATATCCCACAATAAAAGAAAGTTTTAAAAACATTCCTTCCCAAAGTCCTTGAGCTTCATGAAGAGATTAATTTTATAACTACAATCTATTTCAATACATAAAGAATCCAGTAATAAAAATGCCAAAAGCAAAAAGTATCATATTTCAATATAGTATGGATTTTATATTTTAGCCCCAAGAATGTCAATAAACTACCTTTGGTAAAAACATAGAAGAATGGACATTTCAAGGACCAGGATCTGCTATAGGAAATAATCATCTTGGAAAAGACAAGCTGATTTTATTTTCTAAAGCATTTTCAAAACCAGCCCAATACAATTAACAGTCATTACATCATGGATATGATCAACAACATTCTAATTTCAGAAAAATTAAAGACCATAAACAACATCTCCTGTCAAACAAAAGCAACTTCTGCTTTTTACATGCATTGTAACAAGTCTAGTCAACACCAATATTTAGATAACTGTTTCCATTCAGTGAATAGCTCTGACCAGACACTGAATTAACTATACACATCAATACACTTAATGTTCATAAGTCATCCTGGGGGGCAGGTATTTTCATCTTCATTTTATCATGATGGAAGACAATAAGATTCAGTTGCAAAACCAGCGAATGACCTGAACCAGGCTGGAAATCAAGTCTGTCTAATTTGAATGTTAATACAGTCTTAGATCGGAAGGCCAGCACTACTCCCCTGCTGCCCCATGCAAAATTTTGGCTCAGGTCAGAGACTGGGATCCAGACAATCAAGGAAATGGCATGGGGATATTTTAGCTTATTTTAAGACATTTTATTTATTTCAAAAAAATATGAAGAAAAGATGGCAAATTGTTCATCTCTAATGTGTATTATGATTATGTGGATTATTTTTGTCATGTTCTCTACTATTTTTGTATATTTGAGACTAAGTTTTAAAAAAATAAATACAATAAATACTTTTCTTAGGCTGGGCGCAGTGGCTCACACCTGTAATCCCAGCACTTTCGGAGGCCAAGGCAGGCAGATCACGAGGTCAGGAGATCGAGACCATCTCTGGCTAACACGGTGAAACCCTGTCGCTACTAAAAATATTAAAAAAATTAGCCGGGCATGGTGGCGGGCACCTGTAGTCCCAGCTACTCGGGAGGCTGAGGCTGGAGAATGGCGTGAACCCAGGAGGCGAAGCTTGCAGTGAGCCGAGATTGAGCCACTGCACTCCAGCCTGGGTGACACAATGAGACTCCATCTCAAAAAATAAATAAATAAATAAATACTTTTCTTTATTAACAAAACACTGAAGTGAATCTTAAACTCACTAGGAAAGGAAGAAGGATTATCCTAGCAGAACTGGGGAGAAAAGAGTCATAGAAATATAATTCACCCAAGGCTACACAGCTAATAATGGACAGACCAGGATTCCAATCTAGATCTGCTCAGTTCCAGAGCCACCATACTGTACCATACAAATATTTGCACTTGCTGTCATTGTTGTTATTTCTTTTTCTCATCTAACTTGTCTCCCATTCACTGCACTGGTATCTATCCTCATGACTCATTTAAAATGACTCTCAGAAAGGTATTATTGCCCTCTTTCCAAATTGCAAAATCCAAGTGACTGTTTTTCTTCCTCATCTTTTGAGAAGCAGGCATAAATGTCTCAGAAGCTTTTTCTCCAAATCTCCCACCACCACACTTAAAGAGGCATTGACTACTTTAACCTTTGCTCCAATGTACTCTGACTATAAAGCTAGACTTTGTATATCTCTGTGTTGTCACTTTGCATATTTCTTGTGTTAAACTATCAGCTCTATTAGAGAGGCTGTCCAGTACTTACCATGGTGCCTAACACTTCTTAAGTGTTCAACAAAAGTTAGATGAATGTTTCTTTAAACGTTGTTCTCTATAATCCTTTCATTTTTGCTTTACCAGCCCTCGTTTGGCTTTGCAAATGAAAGAAATAAAAAGTAAAAGCAACACATGGAAGACCATCACAGCTGGTCTAACAAAATGAAAGAAATATTTTCTTACTATTTATAAGTTATTTTTAATGATTCCATTGTTTTTAAAGATCTAGTAATTAATCGCAGGAGAAGCTGTTCTAATATCTTTGGGAATAATGAAAACAGACTTAAAATCATCACAATGCAAAGATATTTTACTCCTCCAAACTTAAAGTATTTGAATTAGGCATTTTCTAACATATTCGTGGTCCTCAAATTAAAGCTGAAACTAAATTAAAATTTTTAATTCACTGTGATGAGGAGGAGGAGCTTGTTGGTTGTTATATTAATTACTAGAGAAAGATATTATTTCAGAAATGCTTCAACAAAATGGACCATTATCAGAAAATGGTCTTTTTTTTTTCACACACAAAAAAAATCACAATAACCAGAAAATACAACTGTATTCCTGAGCAATACAACATTGTCCCTTTTTTATTTTTTTAACAGAGTGAGTAAAAGGCAGTAGACAAAAATCAACCTGTCAAGAAATGGTTTATACAGTAATGGGCTAGCACTGCAGGAGATTCGCTCTGCTTTCATCAGGAGAGCCCTTTGTGTAACAAGAACAAACTACTAAAGGTTTAATGACATTGCAGTAGCATATTAGACACTGAAAAAGGAAACAACAATTCTTTTCACCCAGTTGCCATTGCTTCTACGATAGCCACAAAGGACCTACTAGCCACGTAATCCTTAAATGGGCAATTGGTTGGGAGATGAGTTTTTCTGACTTTAGTTTTGCCTTTGACTCGGCTTTTTTTTTTTTTTTTTTTCTGAGACGGAGTTTTACTCTGTTGCCAAACTGGAGTGCAAAGGCATGATCTCGGCTCACTGCAACCTCTGCCTCCAGGGTTCAAGTGATTCTCTTGCCTCAGCCTCCTGAGTAGCTGGGACTACAGTCGCGCACTACCACCCCCAGCCAATTTTTGTATTTTTAGTAGAGATGGGGTTTCACCATGTTGGCTAGGATGGCTGCTATCTCCTGACCTCGTGATCCACCCGCCTCGGCCTCCCAAAATGCTGGGATTACAGGCATGAGCCACTGTGCCCGGCCTTCTTCATTTATTTTAAGACCTTAAAGAATTCGCTTTTAGCAGGGAAAACTGGAAATTACCTAGTAGGCTCAAAGAGGGCAAGTCAACAACAGAAACGAATGGTAGGTTTGTTTGTGGATCCCTCCTGCACGCACAGCATCTCAAACAGCTGTGAGAAGAGTAGCTTTGGTAACCAGCTGAAATGGACTTGCTTACTTGGCAGCACTGTGCTTTCTACATACTCACTGCTGTTTCCATACACTCTCTCAGTTGCCCACTTGTCTGCACAAGGTGTGATAATCTGTGGTTGGTACCTGCTGATAAGGGTAATTATAGCATTAGTGGAAGCAAGAGTGCTGTCTAAGGTTGAAAAACAACTCTAATTACACCTCCATCATTTTACTCCCTCAGCACAGTTTCTTTTTTTCCTTTTACAGAGTTTACTCAGAGACTAAATTAAATCTGCATCTATTTGAAAACAAGCTTTTAAATAGCTGTGGGGGTAGAAAGAGAAATCTCCTTTTAAAATTAAAAATACATACATGCTAAGTGCAAGGGAAAGGGGGGATATGGAGGAGAAAAAAGAATATAAATCCATTTATTACCACTAAACTATACACTGAAAAATGGCAAATATGGTAAATTGTACATGTATATTTTACCTAAATAAAAATAAATAAGTAAAGATAAATGTGTGGTTAAATTTAAATTAAGGTTAAAAAGGAGAGCATATAATTTGGGAGAGGATAAATATACTTAATTGAAATCTAAATTATTTTTCTCTTTTTCCCAAAATAATGCTGGATTTTTTTCTTTATATTCTGATTAAAAAATTTGAGATGAAATAAAAATACACACATGCTGTGGTGAGCAGCTGACATTTGTAATGCGAGACAGCACTTGCTGAATCACCTTTCAATAGATTTCCATGCATTTCTGCACAGATAGAATCAAAACAAATAGCAGGAATAACAAGAACAATAATTCACAAAGAAATATGAAATCCAAATCTTATAGAATGGAGACAAAGAAGTCTTAAATTACTTTTATACCTATTGACCAATTCAACACAGACAGTATTTAAAACATTAATATCCAGAAACTTAATTTGATATCTGAATTTCAAATGTATAACTTTCATAATAATAAAACTATGAAATTAATATACAACATCTTTACATTTACTAAAAAACAGTTTAGATTTGAAAAATGACCTATGACGCAATCTCAGAAAGGAACAATTTCCAAGGAATGAATATAATTAAATACCACTTTACCGTATCGGAATTTTATGATTTGGGGTGTAATTTAATATTGTAGATTAATGGATTATAGCAAAGCAACATGAATTCATAAAGCTTCCATTGTAAACCATGAAGCCTTAAAATATGGGAGAGAAGATGTTTCCTGAATTACAAAAATGGAAAAAAAAAAAAGTCTTTTCAAATCAACAAGGATTGATTTGTTAGACACACCCACTATTGTGGTCCAGAACTTGAGAACATGCATTTTAAATGCCACTATTAGGACACAGAACAGCTGCCCCTTCCTTCAGCTATTGCACAGGGCAGCACTGCTTCTGCCTGTCACCAGAACAGAAGCAGATCCAAGTGGGCAGTGGCAGGGATAGCACACATTTTCTACTGTAGGCCTGCCATACTCCATAAGAGCATCAAGACTTCATTTACTCCAAAGAGACTTCCAGAAATGCAACTTTTGGGTTTCTAAGATTAGCGTCAAAATCATGGAGTTACCCAACCTCTAAGAAAACCCCTACATATTTAGTGATAAGTAGGTAGGAAATCTAACTGTCAAAGTCAAGTCAAGCCGACCTCCCCTACACTTTACATACCAAAAGAGCATGCCTCAGATCATGAATAAAGTCTTTCTGGATACCAGGAGTATAGCAGAACTCTCCTTACTAAAGAAAATATCTTCTATTAATTATGATGTATGCAATGCTTTGTTGCTAGTGAAAATGAAAACTAGGTCAGGCACGGTGGCTCATACCTGTAATCCCAGCACTTCGGGAGGCCAAGGCGGGCAGATCACGAGGTCAGGAGATCGAGACCATCCTGGCCAACATGGTGAAACCCCATCTCTACCAAAAATACAAAAATTAGCTGGGTGTGGTGGTGCGTGCCTATAATCCCAGCTACTCAGGAGGCTGAGGCAGGAGAATCACTTGAACCAGGGAGGCGGAAGTTGCAGTGAGCCAAGATTGTGCCACTGCACTCCAGCCTGGCGACAGAGCAAGAATACATCTCAAAAAAAAAAAAAAAAAAACTAATACAATCATTCCCCTTGAGGACAGAGTCATGGACTATATCATTCCCTCGGAATAACTTTAACTGGAAGTGATTTCAAGAATCCAACTAAAGCAGAGAAGAGAGTAACAAATGTCACATTAAAAAAACAATTATTTTATATTCTCAAAAGAAAAAAGATTTATGAAAGCCCCCATGTTTTACTATTAATCAAATTTTTCCACATTTTTCTATTTTGTCTTCAAAAGACAGAGTGAACCCCTCATATTTTCTTTGTCAGGATGGATACCACAATATTTTGGGGACAACACATAATGAATAAGATTCACAGCTACATTATGGAATATCTTATTTATTCATAAGAATAAATAAAGAACAGCATTAATCATATTAACTGCTTTAATCTTTACAGGTTAGGCTATTTTTTAACAGCTCACTTTAAGGGAGAGAAAAAATCTTACATTAAAGATTAAAAACTTTTATAAGCATGTCTGCTATAAGCATTATGATTTCCTTCCTCCTGTTTGCATAGATAAGTTGGGTGTCTCACTTACAAATGAAGTCAAAACTCTTTGTTAACAACTATAGAATCAAACCTTGGTTCAAAACCACCATCTTAGCTCTAAGATTTACAAAACCTCACTATCTTTGTTTAAAACACTGATAATTAAAAATTATAGCTAGAAGCACTTATTATTAGGGTTTTAGAAGAAAATCAATATCAAACTTGCCATGCAATGTGAGAATAAGCACAGGCTTTTGCCTTAACTGGTTTTTAACTGAATTACTAATGTTTCAATTAACAAGTACTACAGAGAACTACAGCACCATCATCACCCTTAGCAAACAGGAGGACATAGTTACTTTTCCAGATGTCTCTGGTTGTCATGGTACCCTCTTAGGCTCTTTTCCCACATTTTTATTCTAGGTAACAAACCTGCAATCATTTACTCTAACTTATAACATAGTTATATGAAGATTTTATATGTTCCTGATATAGACTGTGCACACACCTGTTGAACAGAATAAAAAATGCAGCATAAGAAGTTCCTTAGATTAACACTTAGACTTCCTATTAAAAAGAGGATTGAATTTTTAGTTCACATACTTGATAAAAAACAGATGTCATGAATTTTATATTTTCCACATAATTTATTTCAGAAAAACCTATCTTCAGATTAATATTCTTTTGTAAAAAATATTTTCGAGTACACATTTCTAAACAATATTTCTACACCTGAAGTAAAATCACTTGCCTTTTTAGCGGTGCTATACCCATATTTAGATGAAAAAACCTGCTCACAAAAAACATTAAGTATTTGAGAAAAATACCTGAAATTTCATAACATTTTTGTAAACAAGCAACCAAAATAAACACACCAAAAATTTCAAATGTTTATATTACATTCTGTGGAAGTAATGTTTAAACATCTTACTTTTCAGGGATTAATTTTTATCCTTCAATGACGACTTCCCAAAAACAGAGCAGGGTAACATTAATCACGCTGTGGGATCAATGCTTATGTACCATTCTCTCTTTTAATTAAATCAAAGTCTCTTCAATATACAACATCTGCTGTCAAGCCCTTTGGATGTAAAACAAATACACACACACAAACACACACACAGGCTGGTATTCTTAATGATGTTTGGGAAGTTAAAAGTGGTGTATCCTCCTTCCCCAGGAGCAACAGGAGGACTTTGCACTCTCTTCTAGAACAGCGTTCTCTCCCTCTGGGATAAAGGAAAACATAATATTCACATACTCAAAATGCAAATGCAGCTAAAGTTTTTTATCAACTGCACTTCTCTACACACATATGATGCCTATATTAATTTCACTGGAGTGCTTTTATTGCACTAATTAGACAGTGAAGAGGAGCTGACACATGGGAAAACTTGTCTGAACGCTGTATATGTTAAGCAGTAGGATTACAAGCACCTGGGATATTCTTGCTATTCTCTGTATGCAAATGACATCCTGCAAACAATTAAACGCTCCCATTAAAATGGTGGGGGTGTGGGATGGAAAGAGCAAGTGCTAAGAGAGTAAAAATATGGCATGCCCTTTCTATTCCGCCCTCATTCAGCGGAGGCCGAGTACCTTCGACATGCTGCACAGACAGACCCTTGGGAACGTACACAGGAGTCACAATACACTCGACAACGTCTCACACGCTCTGTTAACTGCAAAACTCTTATGATCTAACAGCGAGCCCCCTCGCCTCTCGAACATGTTTTCAATTTTTGCAGAGCCGCCAGAGACGTCAGGAGACCCTCCCCTGCTGAAGGGAGGGAAGACGTTCCTTCTCGCCCTTCCTCACAGCCCCCAGCACTCTATTTCATTAGAAGCGGCGCCACAAGTTCCCTGGCTCTCACCCTTAGGGAGGCAAGTTCAGCACCATGGAAAGGGCTCAAGTCGCGTGCGAAGGGAGAAAAGAAAGCAAAGACTGGGGCTCTCCCCCGGCCACTCACCGGCGTCTGCTGCGACGGGAGTCCCGAGCGTTTGGTGGACCCCTGCTTGGAACTTAACCTTTTCCACGACTCGGCAAACCTGCCCCGGCTGGCGCTCCGGCTGCGTCTGCGGCTCTCCGCGTTGTCCTCGCGGTCGGAGCAGCCCCGCTCCATTTCCGCCGCATCCCTCCACTTCTTCCCCATGAGAAGTTCGCCTCCCTCGGCCGGGAAACAGCCCAGCGCCGAGCGCTCTCGCTGGCTCCTCGCCGCGGGTCTCCCTCCAGCCTGCGCGCGGCTCTCGGTTGGCGCTGCCTTTGCCTCCGCCGGCTCCTGCCAGAGCCCCGCGCTCCGTTACCGCCGCCGCCACCAGGCTGCGCTTGCGCCCGCGATTGGCTCAACTGTGGGCTGGGGCTGCGAGCGCCACCTGCGCCCGAGCCAGCTTTCTTTTGCGTCCCCAAATTGCTCTCCACCCGGCAGCCGCCGCCTTCTCTGGAGAGTGCAGGGCCCACGCCTGAGGCTGTTGATGCGCCGCAGGGTAGCGCTCCCAGCGGTCACCTCACCCTGCCCAGGACCCCAGACCAGGGGACCCACTTCCCCCCACCCCGAGCTGCGTGTGGAAGCCTAGGTTACCCGCACTGGATGGGTGGAGACTGCAGTTGACTTAGAAAAAGACAGGAAGGGGCAACTTTGTTCTTCCTGCTCCCTTTCTTCCCCTCTCTCTGCAACAACAACTCGCTCCTAAGTATCCTTGGGGAGAGTGGAGCTTCATCCCCTTGTCAGATGCCGCACTTATTTCTTCTCCAGCTTGCTCAGACTAGCCCACTGGGTCTCAGACTTGGCTGCACACTGGAGTTACCTGGATCTTTTTTCTCTTTCTCTTTTTTAAATGGTGATATTCCCCAGAGTCTAATTTAATTGGCCTGGCTGTGGCCTGGGAATCAGGATATTTAAAAGCTCCCAAGGTGATTCTAGCTGCTCCATCCCCATCAGCAATTAAGGGCCTTCAAGGGCCTGTACTGTGGCGGTAAGGCAGAGGAGGATTCTTGGGAAGGGAAGGCTGTTACTTCTCCTTACCTCAACTCATTTCTCTTTCCGGGGTAGGAATGGGGTATTCAGTTTCCCCTCTCACCCTGGGCGGTTAAGCAGCGAGGAGGACATGAGACGGATTCGTGGTGGAGCTCCTGTGTGTTGTGTATTCTGTGACCCCTGCACCTTGTTGTTCTTTCATGTTTTTGCCTTCTGCTCATTAGGACAGCCGGCTGGCCCTCATGAGTTTTGTGTCAGTTATTTTACCAGACTGAGCTGTCCACATGTCCTTGATCAAATGAGAGAGGGCAGTTGGGGGCATCACAAATTAACAAAACCTGAAAACAATGGCTTTACTCACCATTAAAGGGAGTGATGCCTAAAATCTCTCCCGGTTGAAAAGGGCCGTCTGGTTGCTTATCTGTTGCAATGGCAACAGATGTATTTTCATTTCTTTCTGAAATCAAGCATTCTCTGTCCTATTTGAATATTGCCAGATCTTCCCAGGAGGCAAAGGTGAAGAA
Organism: Homo sapiens; assembly: GCF_000001405.40. Taxonomy (NCBI): domain Eukaryota; kingdom Metazoa; phylum Chordata; class Mammalia; order Primates; family Hominidae; genus Homo; species Homo sapiens. The sequence goes on from NC_000009.12 coordinate 71,448,182, forward strand.
GGATTAAGAGGGAAGGGGAGAGGGTGAGAAATGCTGTGGGAAAATTGGTGTTGTGGCACTAGCTGTAAAAATCATAATCTGAGTTGCAGTGGTCAGTGTGATTAAGCAGAGGTTCTGAAACTGGCTAGTTTACGGGAATGGAATACAGAGCTCTAAAATCCCACAGCTGTGCCCCTGTGTGTAGTGTTACATGAATATTAATCCTGCCATTTTAAGTAAAAGAGACTCACAGGGCATACATCCTATCTTTTTAAACAACCCTCTGTGTCTAGAAATCACACACCCATATTAAACAAAATAAGACTCTAAACAATGTTTGCAGCACACAACGCCATTTAATGAGAAAACCACAGGCTCCATTTCACATTTTCTCACTCCCTATCTAAGTTCATGGATTTGAAATTATTAGTGACATTTCATGGAAATACCGTAATTTAGTCCAGATTCCTCCCCCTCGCAAAAACAAATCAAAATGATTATGCTTAGTTTACAAAATTACACAGGTATGAAAACCAAATACCAACTAGGGGGTAGAATAAAAGTCAGCATATTATTCCTTAAAGTAAACATTTACTTTTTCCTTTAGTTGCTTACAAAGGGGTATATCGGTATGACTATATAAATTCCCTAAGAGATGAAAAGCCTGTGTTTTAACCTGGATGCCTTGAAAGTTCACTCTTTAGGTATATCAAGATATACCTAAACAGATATATCAAGGCACATCATCCAAGAACATTCACTGTGCAGGGCCAAGAGACCCTGGTTCACCCACATCCACCCATGAAGGGGAAAATGACCCTGCCATAAAGGGTATCTGTCATGAAAGACTGTTCCAGCACATCAGTGCATACTCAGAGCAACTGATGAGATTTTTAGATGTACTTAGAAAAATGTAATGATGAGTAGTGACTGCATGTGTCATATTTTTTAGCTGTTCAGTCTAAAAATGAGCTTTCAATTGCCCTTCTCTTAAAGCACTGTTTTTAAAGGCTTGTTTGAAGATGATCTCTGCATTTCTTTTTTGCACTTGACAGGTACCAAAAATGTCTTGGAACTGCATATGAGGCTAAATTAGATGTGATTGTAGGCAACCAGAAAACTGACCCTTTCCTCTTCTGATATTCATTTGTCTTTCCAAAGTTCCTAATAGCCAGAAACTGGAAGAATAAAGTGAAAGTCTATCATATTTTTTACAAAATTAATGGAGAATCACAGCACCAAAGCTAAGAACACATTGAAAATCACCAGCATTCAAATTCTGGAATACACGTTAGAAGCCATTTCTAGAGCAACTTAGCTTTACTAGAGAAGAGTCACTGCAATTACAAAAGGTGGATGTTAATAAATTTCAAAAGGTAAATGGGAAGTAGGGCATAAACCTTTTTTTCTTCATAGTCTCTAGGCATTAAATAATGTGCAAATTAATGTGGTAAGATTAAAGCAAAAATTACCATACTGTTAAATAATAGCTATTCTTTGTAAAATGAAAAGCAAATATATAAATTTTATTTGTATATCAATCAAAATATAACATTTTGAAATATTCTGAAAAGTAAACTTTAAATAGTATTCTAAAAACCACAAAAAAAGATCTCAACACACTGTCAAATGTCAACAGTCCTCTGTTAGCCCTAGGTACTCTTTGATCTGAAGTTTACATGGTTCTACTAGTCTGTGAATGAATTAATAATCAGAAGAAACTCTTGAAACCCCATTTGCTCTAGGTATGCAGTCATGTGCTTCACTGCAAAAGAGTTTATAGGAAATATATATTCCTTTGGTTATCTCTAGGACATGAAAACCCAAAGGTATACCCGGGAACTAACTTAACCCAGCAAAGTGTGAAAGGGGAGGGCAAACAGAGAAAATAATCAAAGCTGCAAATTAATGTTGATCCAAAAATTTCTCCTTGTGAAATAAGAGAATATAAACCATATTTCATCAACTTTAACACCTTCAATTTTTCAGAGAGGGTAAACCTCTCTGAAATCAGGATGCATTTTATCATAGATGGTATCTCAGATTCAGTGTAATGCAGCATATTGATTCATAGAGTCTCGGAGTGAAATAGACATTAATAGATCTGACTTTAAAAATCCAACAAGCTACCATTAACTCTCTTCCTACACAATCAGCCTTTGGCATTAGATATCCTCTTTCTCATAAGCAGAGCATTTCCTTGTAAAACAGCTTTAAGCATTAGAAAGCCCATTCTTATAAACTAAGCTGAACCCCAAGCCTTCTACCTTTATTTTAAATTCTGGTGGGGGGTTGGAGTCACACTATTTAAACAAGTGTTCCTCATGATAATCATCAAGTAATTGAGACAGTCTTTAAAGTCCCCTAAAATTTCTCTTTTATTAAGCTAAACAATGTGTGGCTTTTTCTGTCAAGTCCTTACACACATTGGGGAACAAAGTAAGAGTCAGCACCCTCACATAGTAAGATAAATTGGAAAATGGTGGGTGTTCAATGAATCTGGAGCAACTACTTTGTGAATTCACTAAAAGCTTAATCACTATGACTAGACTCACTGTGAAGTGGGATTAGTCAATACCTACAAAGCAGGAGATAGGATGCAGAATTTGTGTTTAGTCATAATTAAATTCTCTTCTGCAGACCTGAGGGCTGAGACCCACAGAAACCAAAAAGCATGAGAGTTGAAACAGTTATTCCTGTAACTCAAGCAAAAAAATCTCCCAAAGCCCATGACTATTAATCAAGAAAAGGAATAATGGGGTTATCTTGGTTTAAGTAAATTGGCCATCTATGTGGATGAAATTATCTGGGTATAGCTATGGGAAAATTATACTCCCTTTTAGGAAAAAAACAATCTCATATATTCCCTGCGGCATCTGTTGACAAGTCTTCAATGGTTACACATCCTGTCAAGTCCTCCCAGCAGAAGTCACTGCAGGCCAGAGAACCTGGCTACACAAGTTCACTCTTTTCTTTTCCTCTTCCTCCATTTTTTCCCTCCTTCCTTCCCTCTCATTTTTTCTTCCTTTCTTCCTGCCTTCCTTTCTCTCTTTCTCTCCCTTCCTCCCTTTTCCTTCCTTCACCTTTTTTCCTTCCCCCTTTCTCTCAGCATAGAACAAACCAAATTCCCCCAGCAAAATCCTCCAATTCTCCAGCCTTCCTACTAATATTATGATTTGTAGGAGTTTTTAGTATAAGCTTTCCTTTATTGTTCATTGATGCATTTGCATAAATTCATATTTATATAAAGTTTATTTCCCTTTCTAAATCTATAGGTAAATAGTTTTCTAAAATCTTATTTCAGGGTTAAGAGATAATGATTCAAGTGAATGGTAGAAAGTTATAAAGGTAAATAACAATAGAATCAAAAATAATATAACCATTAAAATTAGGGAGAAAAGGAGAGAGAGAATAGAAAAGAGAAGAAAGACAGGTATAAATTAGCTAAATGTCCACCTATTACTAAATAATTTCTAAAATAAGTGAATAAATATATGCTGACATAAAATCCCCATAAGAATGACTAAATTTCTGCAGACAGAAAATTTAAGCAAACAGAAAAACACTAAATGTTGTCAAAGCTGTGGAGCAACTAGAACTCCCACACACTGCTGGTGAGAATGTATGCTGGTACAACCACTTTAGAAAACCATTTAGCACTATCTACTAAAGTTAATCATATGGATACTCTATGACCCAGCAATTCTACTCCAAGGTATATACCCAACAGAAATGAATGCTTATAATTAATGAAAGACTGTAATATGTGCATAGCAGCACTATTTGTAAAACTCCCAATCTAGAAACTACACAAATGTTCATCAACAGCAAAATGAATAAATTATGGTATATTGAGACAGTGGAATCTGTACACTGATGAGAATGAATGAATTACTATTACACGCAAAACCATGGGTGATGCAACAACAATACTGAGCAAGAGAAGATATACACAAAAGAATACATATTGTGAAATTCCATTAATATAAAGTTTGAAATTAGACAAAAACAACCTATACTACTAGAAGTCAGGACAGTGATTACCACAGGAGGATGCATTCTAGAGGATGCATTCTATAGCAATCAAAGGACAAATGAGGAGGGTCCCTGGAGTGCTAATAATGTGCTCTTTTTTGATCTGGTGGTAGTAACAAGGGTGTACTCATCTTGGAAAATTTATAGAGCAGCACAATTATAAATAATGTACTTTTTCATATGTGTCTTACCTCAATAAAATGTTTACTAGGAAGGAAGAAACAAACAAACAAAAGGAGGGATGGAGAGAGGGAGGGTGAGAGAGAACCTATCTAAACGTGTTTTCTGATGCTAGTATCATTTCACATAATATTACTTTTTACATTCTTATATAACCATTTATATATTATACAACCATGCATGTCTCATATAACTGTGACATTTTCAATTGTCAAGATAATTTCATGCATTACTTAAGGTAGATATTATTATCTGTATTTTCAGGAAGGGAAACAGACTGAGCATAGTTACCTGACTGATCCAAGTTCTCCCAACTAATAATTGGAAGTTCGAGCCTTGAACCTCAGATTTTTAGCCCTCAATTCCAAGTTCTCTTTTGATTATATTATAGTCATCTCTATATATTTCTATACATTTTAAATTTATATAATTTACATGAAATTACATAATATATAAATATACAATATATACTTATATATGAATAATATATATGAAGTCTAATGTCTGTGTTAAAAAAAAAGTTGCTTAAACCAAAATGTAGATATTTTAAGCAGCATGTACTGGCATTGTTTCTTCCTAGAATTTAGAAATATTTGGGAAAAATTTGAAAATATTGAGAAACCTCCTCTGAGATTAGGAAAAAGAGCCCATTTGGAAAACTGCCATAGAAAACTCCATTACTAAAATCCAGATGAGCTAAGACAATGGCTTTTACAGACAGAAGAAAGCCTTTTAACTAACCTCCATTTAACATACATGAAGAATGGATCTCTTTTTCCTAATACTCTGAAAGCTAATAACGAATCTGCTGTTCTTTACCACACAACTTTCTGGTCTTCCCATTTGAGTTATATATTTCTCAGGGGTCTACTGTGTTTCTTTCCAAGCCCATTTTTGTACGTTGTATTGGTGATCATTATGCAATTTCATTAAATGTTATGAACAATGATGCAAAATGAGAACAAAAGAAGGTGGCATTTCTGTGAAAACCAAATAAAATGTTTTGGAAAGAAAAAAGACAAAAAAAAAATCACCCCTCGATTTGTTTTTATATATACTGGTATAACATGATGTGGACAAGAAAACTGTTTAAACAAACAAAAAATAATAATAATAGACTAGAAAAAATACAGAAGCCAGCTTCCCTCGGATTCCTCTGCAGTTGTCATTAAGATATCTCTCTATTTAAAACGAAAAGGAAACTGTGGATCCTACATGATGGATATGGTTTATGCAAAAAGATAAACCAGAAGTTCAATTGCTAGTAACATACTCAAAGAAAATACTTTATCCTTAGATCAAGAAATGAATACATATAACCTGTTTTAAGTTAAAACAAGATGTTTAAGCTTAACCAACTTTTGAACCAGTGAGAAGATTCAACTATCCCCATGAGGAACTGATCTTGTTAACAGTCAAATGAATTGGATGCTACCTCTCTAAAAGGGCCAAATTTTTCCTCAAACTGTTTTTCCGGCATCATAGACACCAGAATTTCTAATTCTACAATTCATCACTTTTGCTTCTTAAAAAAAAATGCCACTCCTGCGATGAGCAATATTTTAAGTTTTATCACTCATTACCACTTCTCTGAGGCCTGGAGTTTTCAGGCTTGAGGCAAGAACTCTAGGAGATAGATAGAGAAGGATGCACAACACAGATGTGGCAAGGAGAGGTGCAGAGCCCAGAGCCTGGGAATTTCTAAAGATAAACTATTGTTTCCTTTTTGCTCTGGAGTTACAGCATTAGAACATGAGGCAATCATTTGTGCTGAAGCCCAATTATTTCTATTTTATACTACAAACTGCAGAAAAACATTAAAGGTCATCTTGGAAAAAATAACAGTATTAGGAGCATAGCAGAAGTCGTTACTTTTTCTTCCTTTTTATTTTTAAGGAATTATGAATTTCTCAAAGCATCACACAGGTCAGGGAACATATTCAGTGATGTCTTCAACAGTTAGGTTCAGTGCTTGGTTTTGTTTCCTAAAGGTAAGTACATTAAATGGTCTTATAAAACTAAAATTTTAAACTGCCCATTTGCATAACTATTTTGTTCAGAAAGACAAACAGGAATGTCATTTGGTCTACTGCAAAACAGAATGAAAAGGGAACATGGAAGTTACCATGCAAAACTCCCATATTTCTTCATCACAATTTTTATTCACACTAAAAAGAACTATCTAAATACCATTGAATCTGAGCATATTAAACAGAACACTCTTAAATATTTTTCACTGTTCAAAACAGAACAAATTTGTACATTCTCCCCCTCCAAAGTAAAAAAGTGAATGAAGTGAAAGCAATTAGTTAAACAAAAAGTAGCAGCTTAGTTACCTTTTCATCTCTGATGTACTATCAAAATTCATTTCCTCCAACTCAAACAAAATCATTATTGGAACCTGAATAGAGTCTGGAAGCAGAGGCTCAATGAACTAACCAAAATTCCCAAATGCTTCACATGTATCCTTTGACTTCTACAAAAGAAACAAAATCAACAATATGCTAAAACTGAGACAAGCTATTATCATGAACACAATGTATTTCATTGAAACTGTCTTTGCCTGGTGAATGGACTCTTGGGTCATTCAATAGAGCTTCCAGTACCTACTGTGAAACTTGGTATCAACAAATGGTTTGTATTAAACTAGGCTTTAAAGTAAATACATTGTACCAGATTATATAGAGTTCTTCCAGTTATTCAGTGGAAAAGGTCATCTGATTGGCTGAAATGTATATGCTCTATGCTATAATAATATTAAAGGAGGTTAACAGCATTTTACATCCAGGTTGATGACATGGAAACAAAACTCATCAGGGTGTTCAATGTGCAAGAAGATGAAAGGTGATGCCAAGTTTGTTAAAATAAAAGCGTATCTAAAACGAGAAAGGCAAATGGAAAAGCCATAATCCTTTAAACTCCTGTTTTTTCAAGAAAGCTTTATAGATAAATACTTCTTTTATCTAAAGGGGAATGATAAAGCAATTTTTAAATTACCTGCCAAAGTGATCCTTCAGTATTTGTTGATTGGTGAGTTAGCTTCACTTCTTATTTTCTACCAGTGTTTTTCAACCAGATCTCCACGACAAGCACATATGGCATAGTCCTATTCATTACTTCCATCACACCCATTGATAAAGATTCTATGTATGCTATGAGCTGTTCACCTGTGTGAACAAATTTGCAATCTGGGTGAACGTTTCTAGCCAGCTCTGATATACCTTGGTCAGCTGGATTTCAAATGGTACAAATTTCTTCAATTTTGAAGAATATTCTTAGAATCTCAATCTCTACCATGTCTGTGATAAACTTAACTTGAACATGATAGGTAATTTGAAAACTCCATGTGTCTGTTATAACCACACCCTTTGCAAATTGCATCTGTTACGATATCAAATAAACACAGTGGTCAAAATCATAGCATTTATTTTGGTTCCAAGTGTCATCAATCTCTCCTCATATGATTCATGAGTGCCCTGGAAGTACATGAGATATGTTGAAAAGAATCCAAAAGAGAACGAAACCACTAAAAGTATGAAAGGAAGAATAAAATATGAAAAATGAAAAACTAACAACAATGCTATTAAAAGTGCTAACATGTATTAAGCACTTATTATGTGCTAGGCACCATCTCACTACATGAATTAATTTGTTTAGTTCTCACAATAACTCCATTTAACTACTGAGGAAACTGAGGCAAGAAGAGGCTAAATAAAATGGCTGAAGTTTATATAGATAGAGAGCAGCAGAACCAAGACTTGAACCCCGGAAGTCTGGCTCCAGAGGCCATGCACCTTCCCACTGTGTCACTCTATCTAGGAAACAATAACAACTGCCTGACACAGACTGCTTCTTCTATGAAAAGCACTGTGCTAAGTATCTTGAATGAGATCACTAGTCTTTTCAAGAGCTCTTTGAAATGAAAATTATTGTCATTTTGCAGATAAGAAAAACAGGCACACAGGGTAACAATATACCCAAATGATTCAACTTTTAAGTTGCAGCATTGAGATTCAACCTCCAGCCTGTCTGACTTCATAATAATGACAGCAAGAATAATAATAAACAACTAATAGTTACTGAATATTTATGATGTAACTAAGTCCACCACTAAATGCATATTTATCTCAATTTATCCTCTCGTCCGTATTGAAGATTATGAAAGTGTACTTTAGAGAGCCTAAGCAACTCTCCCAGATCACACTGGTAGTCATTGATGGAGTCCGGATTTCAGTTCAGGTGTGTCTGACTCTTGAGCCTAGGAATATAAGCACTGCACCCCATTTTTAGTGTATTCAATCATTTTTAGCATTATAGTACTAATATTATATTATTAGCAGTATACTACTATATTATTAGTATGTTATATTAAACTAGAATAATTCTATTCTAATTTTATTACTAATTACTCATTTATATATTAATCTATTACTAATTACTAATTTTATACTAATTTAGTTTAATGGGGTTTTTTCATTTCTATTTATTTATTTATTTATTTATCTATTGATTTTTGAGACAGGGTCTCACTCTGTCACCCAGACTGGAGTGCAGTGGTGTGAACATGGCTCACTGCAGTCTCAAACTCCTGGGTTCAAACTCCTGGGTGTCAAACTAGCCTCACAAGTAGCTAGAACCACAGGTGTGTACCACCACACCTGTCTAAATTATTTATTTATTTGTTTGTTTGTTTATTTTTGTGGAGATGGGGTTCTCACCATGTTGCCCAGGCTGGTCTCAAACTCCTACATTCAAGTGATCCTCCTGCCTCAGCCTCCCAAAATGCTGGGATTATAGGCATGAGCAATCGCTACTGTTAAAATAATGGACTGTCATTGTTGATTTAGGAATTAAAGTCAAAGGAAATGATTGTGAGATTTTCCATTTTATCAGGTATTCTCTTAGCCAATATTAACTTCCTCACAGGGGAGTTGTAAGAATCTAGTGAGAAAATATGGCTGAAACATTTCTCTCAGTGCCTGGCCCATTTTTGTTCTCTTCCCTTCCCTCTAAGGATAGGTGCCTTATTGAAAAATTATTTAGTTTTCTTAAATCTGTGTAATATGTAGAATTGTACATTGTAGGCCAGCACTAGCTAGTAGAAATATAATTCAAAAATCACTTGTAATATTGTTTTCTAGTATTCACAGGTAAAATTAATTTTAATATTATACTGAACTTAATATAACCAAAATGATCATTTCAACATGTAATCCCTATGAAAATCCATATAATGAGATATTTTACCATTTTTGTGCTGTCTTTGAAATTGCTACGTATTTTACATATACAGCATAATTCAATTCAGATTAGCCATTTTTCAAGTACTCAGTAACCATATATGGCTAGTGGCTACCATATTGAATAATACAGTTCTAAATTTATGCATAATCCGAAAACACTATTTGAATCATTGTAATTGACTTCAAAAAACAACAAATAAAAATTTCCAAGTAGGTTTTTAAGTATGGCAGTGGTGGTGGGGAACAGTTAAGAGACTGCAAGTCTTTGGGAAGCTCTGGGCCCTGCCCCCAAAGAAAAGCACTGCTGTACACAGTCCCAGGTGTGTGCATACAATTTTAGGAGATGCAAGACCCCAGGCTAAAGAAACTGCTGTAAGTGATTTGTTTGTGAGATGATTCAATCTTGAACAATGGAGAAAGTTTTTGCCCACATCCTGCAAGGTAATCCCTGGCTTTGCACAATGTCATTTGGAACAGGGGCAGCAATTGTGGCCTTTTGCCTTTTGAATCTCATTCTTATACCCAGTTGGCTGTATGGAATTCAGCCAGTGTGCCAGTATTAAAAGACTCATCATAGAGGCCTACACTGTTGCTGAGAGAGAAATTGCAAGGAGACCCAGAAGAACAAAGGGGCTTTTCTACATTGTTTTGTTTTTGTTTTTGTTTTTGCATTAAACCAAGTGGCCCCACAACAAGTATTGCGTTCTTCTTCATCTCCTAAGAAGCTTTATCTCGATATCATCATCCTCTAAAAACATAAGAAAGTTTACCTATTTTATTATTCTATTTTATTTGAGGCAGAAGGGCCTACATCTAAGTTTTAACCTTAAAGCATTCTAAATTCTTCCTAAATGTCAACAGAATTCATAAATGACTTGATTAGGCATCCAAATGTTTGGCTCAGTGAATGTTTTATGGAAGAGTCATAGAATCTGACCCTAACTTTGTATTCCTGTTTTCTTCCTTTCCAAGTATAACATGATTTGATCTCATTCACCATTTTGAAATGAAATAATTCAAAAATTCTGAATACTCTACTTATTTTATGCATCTGCTTATTTTTGTAAAAAAAAGATAGGTACATAAAATGCTATTTAATTCTATTTTTCAAACTAGCTATCAAATATTTACTTATTATTTTTCAGTAGCATCTGTCCTCCATCAATTTCTTATTTATCTGACAGAGTAAATGATTATTTCTAAGTGTAGAGGCACCTTTGAGACTACCCTTGTTTACAAAGGACTTGTTCTAAATGTGATGGTGCATTTTTCAGTGACTTAATGAGAATATAAATCAGGCACAATATTTATTACCTTGGAGGAAAAAAGAAAATTATTTAAGCCTCCTTGTCTATTCTTTTCTATTTTAGTTTATTAAACCTGTGGTTTTTTGTGTCAGAGAGATAGAGAAAAAATGGGAAGAACTTCTTTTCCATTTGTAATATTTCTATATAGCACCCCAACCAGAGTCTTTGGCTTTCTTTAAAAAATTATAAAATTTCCTTTAAAAAAAATCATTTCCTTCACTATTTCCCATAAGTTTTTCCAGATATATTTAATTCCCTGTACTCTAGGATGTCTCCTAGCTATAGGAGTTTGCAACTGAACCTTTATGTAAAACTCTAAAAACAAGAACAGTGATCTTACTAACAAAGAGAAACATTCTTTCCTCTTGGAAAGAATCATGAAGGAGTGTGTGTGTGAGTGTGTGTGTGTGAGTGTGTGTGTGTTCCAACCTCAAGGGCAGGCAATGAATGGAATGTTTTATTTAGGCTGATATTTTGGACATCATACCTCACCCCTTTTCAGTTCACTTCTAGTCTCTTAAAGACAAATTATGTTTCAAGACAAACTGTGAGATTTGAGGTCAGACTAAAACAATTGTTGGGGAAGCTGGAGCCAAGGAAGCCCTGGGAATTCCTGACTTTTCAGATATATTATAGGTTTTACCAGACGAGAACAATCACCTCAGATCCTTCTCTGAACTAGCCTGAGAAGCCATAAAACCTTTCAGTTCTGCTTTGAGTACCTCCCTGTCTGGACTGCCAACTTAGGAATGCTCCAGAATTTGCTATCTTTGGAGAGGGTAGTAATTTGAGGGTCACACATGCTGATGAATTGGAGGAGGCTGTCAAGCTCTTTTCTCAATATGACTGGCTCCGTGATCCAATGACATGAATTCCGATTTAATAGCCAGTGCTATTTTCTGGATGATAAAACACTATACCACTTTTCACAACAGACATGCCATATGGTACTCGTTACTTCTCTCCTAGATAAAATGCCTAGAATCATAAAGCTTTTTCTTCTAGCTGCAAAAGATAATGGAGAGTAGTTTTACCTTTTTTCAAGAATAAAATATTATGACAATTCCCATTGACAATGGTATATTTACAATCTTCTCTTAAATTCAGGAAGTTTACAGGGAAAATGCTCCTACCACAATAATAGCCCTAAGTGATTTGGCATTGAACTTGATGAAGTTTTTCTTGACTAGCTTTCTTTCTGGAAATGAAAAAAGTTTTCTTTATGATCTTTACCTTGACTATCACATTGTTTTCAAGAAGGACATGCTTTACTGGTAGCTAAATCTTGCACTCAAGAGAGACCAAAAATGGTTTGACCTTTATATTCATCTTATCTTTGAAAATAAAAGGAAATGCTATATCTATGCTGGGGAAAAATGATTAAGTGTAAAGAACATAATTTGGAGGTCAGACAAAATCTGGATTCAAACTCCTACTCTTACTAGCTATATTAGTCCATTCTCATGCTGCTAATAAAGACATACTCAAGACTGGGTAATTTATAAAGGAAAGAGGTTTAATTAACTCACAGTTCATAATGGCTAGGGAAGCCTCTGGAAACTTACAATCATGGTAGAAGGGGAAGCAAACACGTCCTTCTTCACATGGTGGCAGCAAGGAGAAGTGCCAAGCAAAAGGGAAAAAACTCCTTCATAAAACCATTGGCTCTTGTAAGAACTCACTATCACGAGAATAGCATCAGGGTAACCGCCCCTTATTAAATTACCTCCCACTGGATTTCTCTCATGACACGTGGGGATTATGTGAACTACAGTTCAAGATGAGATTTGGGTGGGGACACAGCCAAACCATATCACTAGCTATGTAATTTGGGGTAAATAACTTTAACCCACAGTATCCTTGGTGTGCAGCATGTTGTAATATGGGCAGAACAGAACCTCTATCCAGCAGAAGTGTTGTGGCAATTATAAAACATACAGTTCCATGCCTAGAGGTAAAAGGTGGTTCAATTATACCGTTGTTTCCCATTTTATAATAATTACTTATTATAAGTATACTATTTTCAAGGTTTTATATGTAGATTTTTTTAAATTTGTTTGGAACTGACTCTTAATCATCTCATTGGAATTATTTTTCTCTGCTGCAAAAACAAACTCCTCTCCCCTTAAAAAGATTTCTTTTATCTTAGCAAGAAAAATGTGTTTGCTTTTTATCTGTGGCCTGAAAAATTTATAGAATCAGAATACGTACGATCTAAAACATATTTTTCTACATTAAGAAGTCACAATACAATAGGAACCACAATGGCTTGATGGTCACAAAATTGCTTTTTGCACACTGCTTCAATAAAACGGTTTTGTGATGATGCTGGTTGTATCACAACATTGTCACTGCAAAAAGAAAGTGAAGGCAATAATACAGATTGGAGCTACACCAAGCACAGGCACACACACACACACACACACACACCCCACTAATAACAAATGAAAAGGAGTTAGACATTTTTAGAAAACCACAGAAATCCAAAACATCAAAGAGCTATAACATAAAGTTTGGCAGACAGAAAAATCATTAAAAGTTTGACACATGATTTCAACAGTGTTGGTAGATTTAGATAGAAGCTTTAAATAACATATGTTTTGAGGTTCTCTCAAAAGAAAGAATTTAGAACTCCTATTTGTTTAACTTTGAGGAGAAGGAAATGTTGACCAAAAATAACTGTAGCACAAACGAGCGGTCACAACATTGTACATTAGGAAATGTCAAGTAATGATCTGGCAAAATCACTCCCCTTGTCATTGTTTGCCTCTTTCTTTTCCTCACAGGTTAAAACATACAAGCCCTGAGGGTTGCCTTGCACATATGTACATGAAGATGAAAAAAATAGTGCCCTAATTCCTCACTGGAAGGACCCAAGCTCTACTCAGTAGGACTTCCAGCTTTCTGCTTCAGGGAAGAGGACAATGGAATGGAATCACAGTGACGCCATTAAAAGACAAATGTCCATGTCTCCAAGGGTTATTTATTTACCTACCTCTGGTTTTTAACACTTAGACCTCACTCTTTGGGGAAAGGTTATCTTGGCTAACCATTATGCAAACTCTTAGTTAAATTATAGTATTCCATGACACATTCTTATTTTTTGAACAGAGATTCCTGAGTGAACTCATTTTGTTTAGCAATGATTTCACTTTAGTATCTTAGCCTACAAAGGATGAGTTTATGCCACACTAAACACGAAAGAAGCTTCACATAAACTAAATGACAGAACAAAACAATAACCTCAGTGACTTCCTCCAATAAAGATAACCTTGTCCAATTGAAAACTTTGTTTTTAAATATATTCTTCTACCCAGAGGAGACACCTCCTAACAGTGAAACATGTAACAAATAATAACTAATATTTTTGAGATTTACTGTGGATTAGGAATTACTCTCAACCCTTTAATGACTATACCATATAAAAATATTAAATAAAGATAATTATGACAGCTAACGCTTACAGAGCAGTTATTATGTGCCAGGCACTGTTCCATGTGTGACTTCTATTAGCTTATTTACACTTCACAACAACACTGTGCTGTAGGTATAACTATTATCCCCATATCACAGAAGAGGAAATGGAGGCACAAGAAGTCAAGTAAGATGCCCTTGGTCATACATCAAGTAACTGGCAGAGCTAGGATTCAAACCCCAAGCAATCTGATTCCAATAGCTCACTTAAAGCCATTACCCCACATTTTCTTTCTATTTAGTGAGTACCTACTTCTCACTGTTTCAAAGTGGTATTCAACGTTCTTCTTTGGAAGTATATATCATAGAGACAATCAAGGAAATAAATGACAGATGGCCCAGGAATGCCAGATTATGACCTTCGTGAGAGGAGGACCATCTGTTTTGATCATCACTATATTCCTATTACTTTCCAGAATACTAACCCCACTTAGAAACAGTATATAGCAGAAACTCTCCTAATGGGGCCAAGCTGAACCATCATTAGAAAGATTTAAGAATTGTTTTAATATGAATCTAGAATTTCAGCTGAATCTGAGTTTTACTTTAATTAAATCTCAAGTCTTAACTATCTAGAGACTTTGGGTATTCAGAAGTCTCTTTCTAAAGCAAGAGTTTGATGAAAAGTTTCATCCAATCATGAAAATTAATCAGTCAAAGGAAAAGGGTGATTTCAAATAATCGGTATTTCTTTCAATGTGGTCTTTCTTGCCCTGTTTCCATATTTAGTCAACAAATAAGTACCAAGGTCCTACCATATGCAAGACACTGTTCCAGGTACTGGAGGTTCAGAGGCAAACAAGTTCATACGAGATTTCCATCTTATATAGGAGGAGCAGGGCAGGGGTAGATAAGTAAAACTCCAAGGCAAGCATAAATCTCAGTCTGTATACTTTAGGGCAGAAGCGTGTTTGTTCTGTGCTTTTCTTAAATTAACTTCATCAGACGAACAGCCATTCATGAAGAAATTCTGTTGTGACTTCCTTCACCTCTCTAGATCGCACTAATATCTGAGATATGTCATGTCTCTTGAAGTTCTTTGTTTTGTTGCTTTCCTGTCATATACCCATTCTGCCCAGGCTTGAAGTCCTGGGCTTTGGATTTAGGCTCTCTTGCTTCCTTATGCATTCCTTTCCCAGTAGGCTTGCACCCACCTGGGGCTCTGCCACAGCTTAATGTTCAGGTCCCCACTGTTCCAGAACCCCATGACTTTGAGTTGTGTCCTCTCCATTTTTTCTTCTCTCCTTCTGCTGCCTTACAAACTACTCACACCTCCCCTGTCCCTCTGGGACACACACCACCTTTTTCTCAATGAGCTTTGGCTCTTCCAACAAAGTGGAAAAGGCTTTGACTACAAGTGGTTTCTGCTCTAGGCTATACAAAATTCCAAAAAAAAAAAAGAAAGAAAGAAAGAAATGTCAAAATGTCAGTCTTCTCCTTGAAACAGAAGCAAGAGTGAAACACAAATGAGCATTGTGCAAAAAATATTCTGTAGACCCAAAAAGAGCTGTTCATTAAATTCTCTGAGATACTGGGTACAAGGAGATATGGGACAATACTAAAAAAAAAGAATAATAGAAGAGCTTCCTCTGAAGTAGTGATTTGAAAGTCTTAGGATTCTTTAATGTCTTAGGGTTCTTTGTAAGTGCCAAAGAAGTTGGGGCAAGGGAAGAGGAAAAGCCTCAGAATTCTCCCCCCCCAATAAATAATCTCATTTTTATATTTTCATAAATTGGATTTCATGTATCATTGCTTTTATTACTCATGTCTTTGTTCAGCTGACTTGCCATAGGCTGATATATACTGCCACTCTATATCCATGTACACAAACACGTGAACACATTTTTTTCAGGGTCATTTCAACATGACAGTTCAACAAATAAAAATTTTCAGGAGGAAAATTGGAAAAAAAAGTGTCTTCCATCATTTACATCCATTTTCATATATATATGTATATATATACAAAACATATTTTCTATATTTGGTTTAGTCAAACCATATAAAAATCTATGATTAAAATCCTTATTACAGAGTCTCATGTTGATAGAACAGTTGACTATCTTGAGTGTGGTGGTGGTTATGCAAGGAACATGTGTGATAAACTTGCATAGAGCTATACACACACACACCCCACATACACACTCATGAGTTGCATGTATAACTGGTGAAATCTGAATAAATGCTATTGATTGTTCTGATGCAATTTCTTGCTTTTCATGCTGTACTATAGCTGTACACGATGTTAACAATGAGGAAGCTTGGGGAAAGTGCAAAGGACTTCCCTGCACACTTCTTTGCAACCTACTGAGAACCTATAATTATTTCAAAAGAAAAAGTTTTTAAAAATCCTATCACCGTCTATCTAAACAATTCAATCTATGTTTTGTGAAAACATGATGTTTCATTCTTTTCAACATAACTAGCCTCAATGATAGCAAAATAACTCATTGAACAAGTTCAATATGTGAGCATGCTGCTCCACCTGAAAGTGAAAACTGAATTTATTATTCCTTTCAGAAATAAGGTTATCTTATTAAAAGTAGCTTTTAAAATCCCTATTCTTAATTTATCAATATATAGTACTTAGACTTGTTTTGTTTTAATAAGGATTACCTTTTAAAGGGAAGCATGGAAAAATCATAATCTTTTTGTACCTCAAAATCTGAGCTACTCAAGGCACTCAAAAATGCCATCACTGATAGTGATAAAATATGCATTTGTCAGTATGAACAAACTGAAATAAATGTGACAAAGGCATATTTTAAAATAATATAGATGTTTGGCACTTGCATATTGTTTCCCTTTTTACTTATACAATCAATTTTAGATTCTCTCAATAGCCTTGTAAGAACGGAGAGGCAAATAATATTAATAGATAAAATTATACATATTTAAACTGCTCTGTGGCAAAGGCTGTTTATTTATTTGGTCTTTAATGGAGAAAGGCCACCCAGTTCTTGATGTCAATCTCCAGTATGATGGGGGTGATGGTGCTGATGATTATGAATGACAAGGATGATGCATTTATTTGCAGAAGTTTCTACTACTTGCAAAATATGGTAACACTGTTTGGTTTGGTTTTGGCTGAACCCGAGATGATGTCATCAAGCATTTTAGCGCTACAGGAAACACTTCCCACCAGCCAGATTTCTAGCCCAACTTTTCAGCTAACAACTGAACACCACATAAGGTCTATCACCCAGACTCCCCCGTTTCTGCTCCCCAGGGCTGATGGGGAATGGGCAGTGAGTCATGGAGGCAGTTGGTGGGGAGGTGGCAGCTCTACACACCAATGATTATTTTTTAAAATAACTGAAAGCTCTTATTATACCTCAACCCACAATTTTCTTGCCTCCACCATAGCCAAGCTAATGTGGTGGGGTCCATCGTTCATTTTTGACTTCATTTTAAAATTTATGTTAGCTGGATTTTTTTCAACATTCTGATATTAAAATAGAAGGGAAAGAAGAATATTCAGGATAATTGGACCTGGTTCTTTATCTCCCTGGCAAATGTCAAGACCCCTATATTGTACTACTTTATGTGCCTGATAATCCTAAAACACATCATTATATTCTTTTAGGTGAAGGCAAAGTACAACAAATATTGCTTATATGCTAGCTAGGTTAAAATCCAAGAGCAAGTTGAACTTTAACTTTGTTGGCTCGTCCTTGAAAAATGAAAATGTAAAAAGCTGGAGCTCCTTTCATACTCATCTTTTTGGGGTTGGGAACATGCATTAGGCACCTCTCTCTTGTATATACTCCTGGACTTCTTGATAAACCATTCAGTCTGGTTATGAGGTTCAGTTCCCCCTCTACATCCAAGTTTTTTCTACTTATTAAAAGAAATGCAATGCAAATCCCTGACACTTACTATTTTTTAATCTTCACGCCTGCTTGCTCCCCCTCAGATGTATCAATCTGCCACATTTCTGGAAGATGCAGAACTCTAGGAAGCATTTATCATTCATTGCAACAGGTGGATAATTATTGAATAGAATGAACTTTACAGGTTAATACGTTTCTCATATATCCTGCCTTCTTCTAGGGAAATAAAGATTAACTTCAATTTTTGTCAACTTTTTTGTGAGGGAGGGGATGCTTATTTATGAGTGGATTTGTTTTTCATTTCAACTCTTCCCACTATCCTAATCACTGCTTTTATCTTTCTTTTTTGTCAGCAACAGATCCCACCTTCTGTTTGATTTAATTATAATTAGCTTCTCTGTTTGGTAAGGTTATTGTATTATATATTTCTAGTTTAATCTCTTCTAACTGTTTAAAGTTGCTGCAAATAAAGCTTAAAAATATATGACACAACATTCATTATCCATTTATTTTCTCAAGTATCCTATTTAGTCTTCTAATCTCCAAAATTAACTCTACTTTGCACATTGATTGTACTTAGCAAATGTATGCTTACTTTTTAAAGTCTGCCTTTTTATGGATAAAATCATGAAGAATGCAGGTAAACACCAAAGACACACTTGAGTAGGAAACAAAGCCACAAGACTGGAGCATGCATTCTGACTCTGGGGGAGGATGGACAAAGGTGCCATCCTCAAAACAAAATAGGATCCAAATAATTATTTTGATTTATATTACAATTATGGCTTCAGAAATTAGATTGTGGGAGTTCTCAGAAGATGACAGGATAAAAAATAAGAGAAATTTATTGTGGAAAAATAATATCCTACAGCAAAATATGAGAACTACCATCAGCCAGGCTGATGAGTAGGTTAAATTTGCATTTTATATCTGCCCACTCTCCAATTCAGCATGTTTCTATTCAACACATATACACTTCTCTTGCTCTCTCTCCCTCTCCCTCTCTCTCCCACCACCCAGACATATACACACGGACACGTGCACTTGTGCCCTAGGTGTTTCTCTAGTCATTGAGTCATCATTCCCTTTTTTAAAATTATTTTTAAATCATTGTAGATTTATAGGAAGTTGCAAACATAGTACAGAATGGTCCCATGTACCCTTCACCCAGTTTTCCCCAAGAGTTACATCTGTGTAACTATAGTATAATATCAAAGTCAGGAAACGTGCATTGAAAAGTGTATGTGTAACATTCTATGCCATTTCACTAATGTGTCAATTCCTGTAACCACCATGAAAATCCGGATACAGAACTATTCCAGCACCACAAAGATCTATTGGTGTTGATACTTTACGAGACTGAAAAATTACCTCCTTGTAAGTCCATTTTTGATCTTTCCTTTGTAATATAATTGTCTTAAATACTTCCTTTAAGAAATATTTGCTTAGGCCATAAAACATAATTTGGAAAACTCATGAGGAAAAAGAAAGTTTATTGTGTTCATCCATGTTTTGGCTTTTCCTGCTATTTGTTCTTCCTTTCTAATGTTCCAAGATATCCCTTCTCTATCAAAAACTTTCTTTGCCATTTGTTTTTTAGGATAGTTCTGCTAGTGAACATTTTTAAACTTTTCCTTTGTCTCGTGATGTCTTCATTTCTACCTCACTCAAAAAAGAAAAGTGTTCAGGACATAGAGTTTGCGGGGGATGTTTCTTTGCTTTCAGCACTTGAAGACTGTCATGCCTCTCCTCTGGCTTCCATGATTCTGATGATAAATCTAATGCCATCTGAATTGTCTTTTGAAGGGTGGTGTTTTTTTCCTCTCACTGTTTTCAAGATTTTTCTGTAGTTTTCCAAAGTTTAATTATGACATGAATTTCTTTGGATTTATCCTGTTTGGGGATTCACTCAACTTTTTTTTAATTTAACAGCTTTACTGAGATATAATTCACATACTATAAAAATTCACCAATTTAAAGTCTACAATCAATGATTTTTAGTATATTCATAGACTTGTGCAACCATCACCATAATCAATTTTAGAATACCTACACCCATTAGCTGTCACTTCTCCATCCTGCTTCCCCTCTCCCAGGCCTGGCAAACACTAATCTGCGGTCCATCTCTATAGATTTGTCTTTTCTGGACATTTTATATAAATAAAGTTATGTAATTTGTGATCTTTTATACCTGGCTCCTTTCACTTAGCATAATGGTTTCAAGCTTCATCCACATTGCAGCATATATCAATATCTTATTTCTTCTTATTGCCAAATAATATTCCATTGTGTAGATATACTACATATTATTTATCTATTCAACAGTTGATGAACATTTGGTGTGGTACCATTTGGGGGGTTATTCTGAGTAAGGCTGCTATGAACATCTGCATGCAAATTTGCACATGCATGCGTGTTTTCGTTGCTCTTGAAATGCCACCTAGAAGAATTATTTCTGGGTCATATATTAACTCTATGTTTAACATTCTGGGGAAATGGCAGACAGTTTTGAAAAGCACCTGTCCCATTTTCACATTACCACCGGCAATTTATGAAGACTCCAATTTTGCTACATCTCCATCAAAACTTTTTATTATATCTTTGTTATCACAGCCCTCCTAGTGAGAGTAAAGTAATATTTCATTGTGGTTTTAAATTGCACTTCTTTGATGACTAATAATGTTGAGCATCTCTATATGTGGTTTTTGGCCATTTGTATATCTTCCTTGGAGAAATGTCTGTTCAGATCTTTTGCCCACTTTAATTGATTTTATGTCTTTTTATAATATATAATTATAAAAATGTTATTTATAAATGTTAGATACAGTTCTCTTATCAGATACATGATTTACAAATATTTTCTCAAATTGTATGGACTATCTTTTCAATTTTTTGATGATACTCTTTGAAGCAAAAAGTTTTAATTATAAAGTCCAATGTATATATTTTTCTTTGTTTGCCTGTATTTTTTGGGTCATATCTAAAAACAGATTGCCTAATCCAAGGTCATGATGATTGCCCCTATGTTTTCATCTAAGAGTTTTATTGATTTTGATTTTACATTTCAGTTGATGATGCATTTTTAGTGCATTTTGTGTAGAATGTGACAAGGGGTCCAACTTCATTACTATGCATGTGAATATACAGTTGTACCAGCATCATTTGTTGAAATGACTATTCTTCCCTCCACTAAATTTTTTCAGTAATCTTTTAAAAAATCAATTGATTGCAAGTGTTCTATCTATTCCGTGCTAGTATCAGACTTGACTACTGCCATTTTGTAATGAGGTTTAGAGTCAGAAAATATGAGTCCTCCAACTTTATTCTTTTTCTTTTCTTTTTTTTTTTTTTTTTTTGAGACGGAGTCTCGCTCTGTCGCCCAGGCTGGAGTGCAGTGGCGGGATCTCGGCTCACTGCAAGCTCCGCCTCCCGGGTTCACGCCATTCTCCTGCCTCAGCCTCCCAAGTAGCTGGGACTACAGGTGCCTGCCACCACGCTCGGCTAATTTTTTTTGTATTTTTAGTAGAGACAGGGTTTCACTGTGTTAGCCAGGATGGTCTCAATCTCCTGACCTTGTGATCCGCCTGCCAAGCCTCCCAAAGTGCTGGGATTACAGGCCACCGCGCCCGGCCCTGCTAGTATTTTGTTGAGGATTTTTGCACCCATATTCATAAAAGATATTAATTTGTAGTTTTCTGTCCTCCTGATATCTATATTTGGTTTTGGCATCAGAGTAATATTGGCCTTACAGAATGAGTTAGGAAGTATTATCTCCTCTTCTATTTTTTGAAAGAGTTTCAAAGAACTAATATTAAAGCTTCTTTAAATGTATGGTAGAATTCACCAGTGACGCCATCTGAGCCTGGATTTTTCTTTGAAGGAACTTTTTAAATTATTAAGTTAATTGCTTTACCTGTTACAGCTATATTCATATGTTCTGTTTCTTCATGATTCAATTTCAGTAGTTTTGTCTTTCTGAGTTAATTCATTTTTATTTAACTTGTCTAATTTTTTAATGTAGTTGTTCATAATATTCCCTTATAATTCTTACTTCTGTAAGCTCGATAGTGAATCCCTTCTTTCATTCCTGATTCTAATGATATGAGTCTTCTCTCTTTTTTTTCTTGGTTAGTGTAACTAAAGTTTTGCTAATTTTGTTTATCTTTCCAAGAGACAACTTTTGATTCCATTGATTTTCTTCATTGCTTTTCTATTTCATTAACTGCTTCTCTAATAGTTATTCTTTTCTTCCTTCTTCTTGCTTTAGGTTTTGCTTCTGCTTTTCCTATTCCAATGTCTTAGGTAAAATATTAGGTTATTGATTTGGCTATTTTTTATATGGGTTTTACAGCCATCATTTTTTCTCCAGCAATTTCTGAAAATTGCTTTATTTTCATCCCATAATTTTGTATTGTGTTATTCATCTCTAAGTATTTTTTTTTTTTTTTGAGACGGAGTCTAGCTCTGTTGCCCAGGCTGGAGTGCAGAGGCACAATCTTGGCTCACTGAAACCTCCGCCTCCCAGGTTCACATGATTCTCCTGCCTCAGCCTCCTGAGTAGCTGGGATTACAGGCGTGTGCCACCACGCCTGGCTAATTTTTTTTTTTTTTTTTTTTTAGTAGAGACGGGCTTTCACCATGTTGGTCAGGCTGTCTCAAACTCCTGACCTCGTGATCCACCCACTTCGGCCTCCCAAAGTGCTGGGATTACAGGCATGAGCCACCGCGCCTGGCCCCCTCTAAGTATTTTCTAAGTTCACTTGTAACTTTTTCTTTGACTTCATGGTAATTTAAGACTTTGCTATTTAATTTGCAAATATTTGTGAAGTTCCAACATTTCTTTCTGTTATTAATTTTTGATTTCATTTTACTGTGGTCAAAGAAAATACTTTGTATTATTTGAATTCTTTTAAATCTGTTGTCTTGTTCTATGGTCTTTCCTATTGTCTTTTCTGGAGAATGTTCTATGTGTACTTGAAAAAATAATATATCTGCTGATGTTGGAACGAAGTGATCTATAGATGTCTATTAGATCTAGTTGGTTTCTAATGCTGTTCAAGGATTCTGTTTCATTGTTGAACTTCTACTCGTTGTTCTTTTCATTATTTAAGGTGAAGCGTTGAAGTCTCCATTTACCATTGTTGCCTTTATGGATGCTTTTTATTATGTGAATTTGAATTATTGTCTGGGCTCATTTGCTTTCAGCCTTTAATATTTCTTTTAAGGACGGCTGCTTGCAACAAACTCTCTGTTTTTGTTAACCTGGGAATGTTCTTATTTCACCTTCACTTTTGAAAGACAGTTTTCGGGACTTAAGTTTCTTTGTTAACAGAGGTTTCTTGGTTCTGAAGGATTTTTTTTGGTTTTGGGAGTTTTTTGGGGGGTTTTTTTGTTTTGGAGCACTTTCATGTTACCTCCCTGTCTCTGGCCTTCACTGTTTCTGATGAGAAATCAGGTGTTAATCATGTTGTGTATAGTCATTTTTCTCTTGTTGCTTTCAAGATGTTCTCTTTGCTTTTCTATATTTTTACTATGCTGTTTCTGGGCCATCTAACTTTTAGTATGTGTAGATTAAAGTTTTTAAATTAAATTTGTAAACTTTTTAGTCAATATTTCTTCAAATATGTTTTCCTCTTCTTTCTGAGTTTTGTTCTTCTGGTAGTTCCACTGTATCTATATTGGTGTGCTAATAATTTCCTACATGTCTTTGAGGATTTGCTTATTTTCTTTATTTTATTCTGTTTTTCTTCAGATTGTATAATTTCAATTAATCTATATTCAAGTTCTCTGCTTCTTTCTTGTACCAGCTCAAATCTACTATTGAGCCTCTTTAGTGAGTTTTTTATTTAATTTAGTGTATTATTAAACTCCAGGATTTTCATTTAGTTCTTCATATCATTTGTCTTTATCAGTATTCCCTTTTTAATGACATTGTTATACTATTACTTCTTTAAGCATGGTTTCCTTTCATTTCTTTAGTTCTTTGAGCATATACATATGCTCATAGCTGTTTTGAAGTGTTTGTCTACTAAGTCTGATACCTATCAAAGGTAGTTTCTGTTGCCTGCTTTTCTTTAATGTGTACGAGTCACACTTGCCTATTTTTTTGCATGTCTCATAAAGCTTTTCTGAAAACTACTTATTTTAGATAATATATTGTAGCAACTCTAATATCAACTGAAGCGAGATTTAAGGAAGCAGAGAGACAGTGCAGAAGGGTGTTTATTTTAAGGTGTACCCTGGCCCAGCAGACATGTGTCCTACAGGCTGAGCCCAGAACAAACAAAATGAGTCCTTTTTAAGCATTTTGAGGTGGGAACTACATGAAGCAGGCTTACAGAAGCGAGAACAAAAGGCTGCTGTGACACTTCTGCTACATGTCTTACATCTCTGTGAGAACTCGGTTTGCAGCTTATGCTTATCTGTCTTGTGACCTTGCAGCTATGCAGGGAAGAAAGAAACAGGAGTTTACAGAGCCTACAAAATATGCAGAGGATAGATATGGTTAATGTTTCTTGGGACAGACAGTTAATACTCTCTTCTAACTTTAACTTCAAGGGGGGCTACTTAAATTCTTTTCAGCCTTGGTTAATACAGCAATTCATCCTATGAGCTATTGTTATTTCTCTATTATTACTTATGCTATTATTCTGTTATTTTCTCAATTTCCCACTTCACAGCTACCCCTATCAAGTCCATATTTTGGCTAATTTTTCAGTGACTTGGCTGGACTACTTAATGAAATCTATTCCCCCACAACGTGCAGTCTCTGATGCTATTCCTCAGAGGATGCCACCTTGGAGCATGAGCACATTCAGCCTGAGATGATAGGGTTTCTAGCAGGGCTGTTTTTGTCTCTTCTCTTGATCTCTATGTTAATCTGTTGATATCCATTGGTATCATTAGTATCACACCCAGCTGTTAGCCTCCACTATTTGCTGTTTGATTGCACTATTATTTTACCAAATGCCCCAGGGCATAAATTACTCTACAATTTGATTCGATTAAATCTTTGTCCCTTTGTTGCAGTCATCTTTGAGGTCAGGCTTTGAGGGGTTTTCTGACTCCAGGAGTGTTCTCAGCTATCTCTTTACCTGGTTCGCTCTAATAAACTTCTAAATGTTTTACAGTTTAGTTTATTGCTCTCATAGAGCTACCAGCACTCTCTTAGTTACTGCCACAGTCTACATTTTTTTTTCACACTCTGTTCCAAATAAAGTCAATTCACCTGGGGAGGTGCTTAAGCTCTCTGTTCTTATGGCTTGCCCTTGCCCCTGGGCAAAACCCCTACATTACTGCTCCAGAGCTAGGGAGAAATATAGTAGTGTACTTCTCTGGGAGTGAGACCAGAGAAGTAGGCTACTATATCTTTCAAGAACAGAGTGCTTGTTTTCATACTACTATAATGAACTGCCCAAGACTGGGGAATTTATAAAGGAAAGAGGTTTAATTCGCTCGCAGTTCAACATGGCTAGGGGGGCCTCAAGAAACTTACAGTCATGGAAGGCAAAGAAGAAGCAGGAACCTTCTTCACAAGGCAAGACGACGGAGTGAGTGCAAGCAGAGGAAATCCCAGATACCTATAAAAACATCAGATTTCATGAGACTCACTCACTCTCACAAGAACAGCAGGGGAGAAACTGCCCCCAAGACCCAATTACCTCCACCTGGTCCCACTCTTGACAAGTGGGCATTATGGGGATTCAAGATGAGATTTACGGTGAGGACACAGCCAAAGCATATCAGTGCTGGACTGGGGTGGAAGCCTCTAGTGCTTTCAGGTTACTCCTCCTGGCCTGAAAACTTTGCCCCATTTTATTCAGCTTCTTGAATTTTTGGACTTAGGCCCTTTGCCAGATTTAAGAGATTTTCCACCATTATGTATTTGAATACTTTTTCATCTCCACCTTCTTTCTCCTCTCTTTCTGGAACTCTGACCATATGAATGTTAGATCCTTTGTTATTCACTGAGTGTCTATTCACTTCAGCCTCCTTTACCTCTGTTGTTCACATTGGGTAATTTATTTTCTTGCTATTTTTAAGTTTACTCATTATTTTGTCTGACCTTTCCATTTTGCTATTGAGTGTATCCAGTGAGTTTTTTATTTTGGCTATTGTCTTCATGAGTTCTAAAATTTTCATGTGGTTCTTGTTTATACCTTCTATTTATTTGCTGAAACTTTTTATTTTTTCATTTGTTTCGAGCATGTTCATAATTGCTCATGAAGCATTTTTGCAATGGCTTGTTTTTAACACTAGTCAGATAATTCCAACATCTGTGTCATATTGAAGTTGCTGTCAATTGCCTTTTCTCATTCAAGTTAAGATTTTCCTTTTTCTTTTTATGATGTGAGATTTTTCAGTTCTGTCCTGGACATCTCATGTTATGACATTCTGAATCTTACATAAAGCTTCTGTTTTAGCAGGGCTTCTCTGACACCACACAGGTTGGGGGAGAAGGGACTCTGCCTCACTACTGCCAAATGGGAGTAAAAGTCCAGGTGCCTTACTAAGTCTTCTCTATGCAGGGATTAAAATCCTAATCCCAATTAGTCTTCTGTGGATGGAGGTAACAAGGGGAGCCTCATTACAGCTGGGCAAGATTGGAGGTCTTGGCTTCTCATTCAGCTTTTGATGACATAAGTGGAAGTGGGTTATTATGGTTTTCTCCCATAGCGTTTGGCTGAAGTAAAGGGGTCATTGACTGAATGTTTTCCGTCTTGCTAGGCTGCTCCTTTCCTATTCCTCTGGCTAGAGACAGCAAGATTTTTTCTTTGGGAATTTTTTTTTCTGTATGTTCACATTCACATTTTTGGGTTACCTGCTTCTCCAGCATCCAGCTCAGGACACATGAGGCAAAAAGAAAACCCATGTCAACATGTTGTTCCTCAGTTCCTACAGGCCGTCCCCAGCCTGCCTTCTTCCCTTCACCTTTCAGAGTCTTCTTATGTTTGTTTTATATTTAAGTTTGAAGAGTTTTAGCTGTACTTATCAGGATAAATAAGGAAAAGTAGATCTATTCCATATTTTTCCAGAACTGGAAACCTGTTGTTATTTCTTGAGCTTTACATTCAGCTAGCTGTTCACTAATAGAGTAAAAATTATCTTCATCTGGATAACTTACTGTTTTAGCTCCTATTAGTCCAATAAAAAATAATAGTTTCAAATGTTCTCTACTTTGGGCATCTGCATTTTTATAAAGAACTCTCAAAGACTGAAAATAAAGCAGTACCCAAGTGAATTCCTCCTGAAAGTATAATTTTAGCTGATTTCTCCAGCCAATAGAGAAGATAACTTGTTTACACTAACAGACAGCAATCACTGTAACTCATTCTAAATTCAGTTCTCAGTCTTGGCATATAGAAATTAAAATACAGTTTCATGATCTGATTCAGCTGTGGATTAAATTTTTACAGCAAGATGGGAAAAGTCTCTGAAAGGACCCCAGTAAGAGGCGAAAGGAAAGCTATAATTGGTCAGTCATTTTGACAAGGTAATTCATTGCTTCTAAGACCATGAGGAATTAATGATAATATTCATTTCACATCTTCCTGAACCTTCTCTATTAAAAAGAACCCATTTTAATCTATGTCTGTAATATATAATTTATACCAGGGACTCTGGAAAATGGCTAAACCTCTCACTGTGTGTACCACGTCTGCTGGTGACTAGCCCAAACTCTTACCTCTGTGTTTATGAATACAGGTTATTGCCCCAGAGATAAAGACATAAGAAGAGCAATATAAAAGGCAGGATGAGGATATGGTCACCAACCTAATTAAAATGAAGACAAGTGGTTTATCTGAGAATCTTACTATAAGGGAAAACAAATAAAGGAAATTTCATTTTTATGCATACTCTGAGGACATAATCAACTTTATGAGGTGAAATGTAATATCTTCCCAACCTCAAAAGCGTACACAATCCCCCAGCAGACTGCAAGCACACAACCCTACCCTTTTCCAGTATCTAAGAAGATGAGAAATATATGAAGGGAAAGTGAAAGGACATAAATATATCCACAAAAAAAGGATTAATTATGGATCTGTTCTTTAAAAATAAATGGTCTGGTTTATATCTGACCCTATTCTCCTTCATCTATGCAGGTTATTTTTCCTAAAAAAGAGATAGGCATCATTTAATTCCAAAAGTATATCTTGTGAATTCTGCAAATAATTGTTACCATGGATCTCTAAGTATCCCATAAAGCTAATATGTTCTTGGGGCCAATGTTGTTTTGGCATTTAATGTGCTTGCTACTTCAGTAGAGAAATCTAGAAGGAGAAAAACTGCCTCCATTCCTAATTATTTCCTCCTAAACGTATTGGTGTTCCTACTTGTTTTTGCAAAACTATGTTAAGAGAAGGCCTATAGATGAGAAAAATATTAAGAAATAATTTCTTTTTTAAAGTCTTCATTTAGATGTATGCTGTGTGAATCTGAGTGTGGTAACATAAAAAAGACATATAACTAAAGAGATAAGTAGCAAGTTGAAAGAAATTTCCATTGTGCAATTTGTTGTTGAACATCCAAAGAAAAGAAACAATGCAACAGAACATGCTGTTATTAAACTGCCTATAACACCTTTCCTCTGAATCTTTTCAAGCATGTTACAAATTTATCTATCCCATAAATAATTATGGGTAGGAGGAGGAAAAAAAAAGAAAAATAGATGTAGATCCTGGACAATTCCCTTTTTCAACAATATTATCATTTCTTAGATGATACAGCAGTCATCTGATCAGCCTCGAAGGGAAACAAAAAGATTGTCATGTTAAAGTATAAAAGATTCCTAGAGCTACTTTGTAATGAGAACTTTATTGGGGGGACATATGATTTCTTAAAAGGTTATTAGAAAGTGAGCTACTCAATAAAACCTCTCTGTACTTTTATTATTCTTATTGTTTTGATGATTTTGTTTTAAATATTTATACCTTGCTCCATAATTCAGAAAGAATTTTCAAATATATTCTTACTTAACCCTAAGAACAATCATACATGACACGTAGGCAGGGATTATTTTCTCTGGATGGATGGAGAAACTGGAGTTTAAAGTGTTACTTGCCTAGATGCATATACCTAATAGTAAGAGAGAAAGTAGAATTTAAACCTAGACAATAGAATGTAATTGTTGTGTGCATAGGTTTGGGAGCCAGGCTGCTTAAGTTCAGATCTCAAGTCCGCCATTTGCTGTGTGAGTCAACTTGGGCAAGTTACTGAATGTTCCTGTGCCTCAGTTTTCTCATAAATAAAATGGGTAAAATAATGCTACCTACTCTTGTTATAAAAGTTAAATTTTTATAGCACTAAAAAAATTTAAAGTGTATAGAGTAGTATGTAGTATATGGCAAATATTCAAAGATGCTAGCCCTTTTTATATCCTGACAACTCATTGTTGGTCTAAATTTTCAGTCTTGATGCCTACAATGTCCCAAATTCCTTCTAAAGAAAACAGTCTTACCCAAGGCCCAGCTTGGGGCAGCCATCCATAGATGATAGATTAGACCAAGAAATAGGCAACTGACATAGCCAATCCACTGTGAAAAGGTGAGCTGAGTAAGTCTTACTGTCATGGTATTTGTACTCTAGAAATGGAGAACAAGCAAAGAAGTTTGCAGACAGGTCAAAATCAAAAGGATGTGATGAAGAAGAGAAGTGGCCCTCAGGAGAAGTAGGTGTGGAGTTCAGAGAGAACAAAAGTGTATATGGGCTTGGTGTTTCCTTGGTTCCTAGCTTCTCACCTCCACTCCATTTAGAGCCTTAAAATGTACTTCAGTATGTGTTTCCATATTTGGAATTTCGAGTATGGAATTTCGTATACTATTCCATACTCAGGTATGGCCCCAGTCTCAGTCCTTTCAAGATGTTAGAGGTCAGCGGCTCTCCCAAGGAGTGTCTGCTCCCTGAGGCCATCCCATGCATGTCTCTTACCTATCAACTTCCCTGTTTCCCTTTTATTTACTATATACCTTTTACCTCTGACTTGTAATTCTGTCCAAGAACTTTGTAGGTCATATTAACCATTCAATTGTTGAAAGATTCATGAATGTTTACTCAGAGCAACGTGATCTTGTGCACTCCAAAGGGAGTGTTTGCATGATCTGATTATAGGGATATTAAGAAGAGTCTTCTAATGCCCCTCACCCAAATTCTAAAAGATAGAATATCTTCCTCACTTTACACAGGTTTTTTTTTTTTTTTTTTCCCACAATGAGAACTAACCCTTACAATGTAAGAGCCACTGGGCTTCTACCAAGTTGTAGATCCTTTTCTGAGAGCAGAATTTGAAAAGTTAAAGGCATTAGAGACCCAAAGAAGAAGGTACAGTTGGGGAGAAGGCAAAAGAGAAAAGATAAACTGTAGCGGGTTAATGATTATGTTCCACTGGGCACTCCTCCAATCCCTCTTCTGTTCAAATCAAACCCAGCCAGGCATGGTGGTTCACACCTGTAATCCCAGTGCTTTGGGAGGCTGAGGTGGAAGGGTCACTTGAGCCAAGGATTCAATAATAGCCTGGGCAATATAACAAGACCTCACCTCTAAAAAAGATTTAAAAATTAGCTAGCTGTGGTTGTGCACACTTGCAGTCCCAGCTATTTGGGAGGCTGAGGCTGGAGGATCACTTGAGCCTGGGAGGTCGAGGCTGCAGTGAGCTATGATCTTGCCACTGTACTCCAGCCTGGGTGACAGAGTAAAACCCTATCTCAAAAAAAAATCAAACCTATGATATTTAATGTGTAATTTGAGTGATAAAATAATCTCTGAGCTTCAGCCTGATGATGTATAAATATTCATACTTATTGTAAGGATTAAATAAGATGTATTTTATAGAGAAAAATCCTTCTCCAGGTGTTTCCTTTTGCATGGAAAATGGATCTTTTAAGTGCAGAAGTCTCTAAAGGGAATCAGAGAAGTCAGGCAGTTTGGATTATAAGTCATTTATTTATTATTTATTCCTCATTCATATATTTATTTATTGAATACCTACTATATGCAGGTCAACCTGCTAGTTGCTCAATTACCAGGCATGGCGCGAAGAGAACATCTCTGCTGCCAGAATATAAACTTCTTGAGGCCAGGGCCTGTATATTGTATCCTAGTACTTAGCTCAGTGCCTGGTACAGTTGGAATTGTTTTATATATTTTCTGAAAAGAGGTAGGCATGTAATAATACCAGACTGCATTCCTGAAAAAGGATATAGACAACATAGTCCATCTGTTTACTCAAAAAGGTAGAATAGTATCTTACCAACTTCATTTCATTGCTGAGACAAATTTTCCCATGAGCCATATCTTGTCCTGGCATCCCGGTCCCCCCATCAGAGTGCAGAGGTAGCCTATGAGCCCTGGCTGCCCATCGTTCTCAGCTCAGTGAGCCTTGCCATTTTATCAATTACTGCCCCGATTGGAGATTTTGAAGGCTCATTTTCTACATTGGTCCTTTCAAGTATAATGTTTAGATTTCTCATTTCAAAAGAGTAACATTTGCAAGTCCAGAATTGGACTTTTTCTGCAGATGCGATGAGCCACTTGGATGAATAGTATACGAGAATTCAGCCAAGTGTCTGAAGCATATTACTCCCTGAAGAATCAAGCTAAATTAAAGTTCCATCCATCCTTCATATATATGAGCCACATATGGCTTTTTCTTGCCTCTATTTACTTTTAAAGTCTTTACAGCTGAACAATTCCCAGATCACCACATTTCTAAAACAACGAATTCTCAGGTGCAGTTAGCAGCTCCTATTGTACTATAGCTGATAAACACTTTGTTTAAATAATGAGCTCATTCTTTACCTTAGAGAAATGAAATAACAAAGTCATAATGATGGATATTGTAAAGGTTTTAAAATAATTTTTATACAATAAAATTTATTTTATTTATAAATGGTTTAAAATGCTCTCCCTATGTGAGAATCGGCTGAATAAATGAGGCCTCTACTCACCAACTAAGTAAACAGACAAGCTACCAATTAATGGTCTAGAAAACTACAAATGGGTTATAAAAATTAGGCCATTATTACTGTTTAAATCTACGTGGTTTCTTGCCAAAGCATTATAATGAACATAAATTTGACGAAAGATTAATTGCCTGATTTCCATTCTGTTTTTACTATCGTATGTCTCTTGTCTATTTCAACAGCTCTCTGATTACATCTATACACACACACACACTTGCACACACATGCACATATACATCCAAACATGCACACTTTCTATCCAGTCTTATTTCAGTAATTGACTCTACCATAACTCATTTGCACAAGTCATCTTTGACCCCCTGCAACACTCACCACTTTTCTCCATTCCACATGTTGTCAATTCCCAAGTTTTGACTATCTCATTCATCTACCTTAATCCATCTCTCCCAGCTGGATTATTGCAATAGCCTCTAAACAGTTTTCCTTACTTCCAACCTTGGTGCCTTCCAATCCATTCTGTTCACTGCAGTAAGATTAAAGCTTCTAAAATGCAAATCTGATCATATAATTTCCCTGCTTGAAACCCATGATGATATCCCTTTTCCCCTATAATAAAGTTTAAACTATTAATATGCCTATAAGGTACTTCAGGAGCTAACTTCCTCCCACTCCTTTCTACTCTATATTTTCATTCTGCACCCCAGCTACACTGAACTTCTTCTGGGCCTGGAGAGCTCAGTGGAAGGTCTTGGCCACTTCTGGATTTACACACGTCACTCCCTACAACCCCCTTCTCCTTCCTGTTTGCTTTGTAATGTCTACATATTCCTCAAGCCTCAGCTAACATGTCACTTTCTTGGCAAATCTTCTCCATTATCTTCCCTGCCCCCAGAGTAGGCGATTCTCTCTTCCCCTGCACTCCATGTCTCCTTTCTTGTACATATTTCACTGGATTATATCTGCTTGTTTAATCACTGCCATCCCTGCCAGATTTCCAGCTCTAAAGCACCTTGTAGGGTAATATATTTTTCTGTATGTCTGTCTTCTCTAACAGATGAGAACCTTGGAGAGAAAACTACACCTAGAATAATGCCTAGGACATTGTAATATGGGTAGTTAGAAGGCAGAAAGTGAAGGCATTTCAAGGTTACGTAAATTTGAATCATGTTCTACCCCATTTCCAATTAAATATTTGACCTTGATCATATTACTTTAAATTGGTTAACCATTTGTTTTCTCATTTGTAAATGGGGATTAAGGGCTGCTGTGAGTTACATGAAGTACTATTTCTCAATGCTTTCTCATTCAATAAATATTGAGCATTCCTGTGTATCAAGCATTAATTTATTTAACAAATATTAATGGAGCACCTACCCTGTGGCAGGCACCATGCTGGGCATTTGCGATGTAAGTGAACAAAATAGACAAAGATACCCACACTTGCAAAGCTTACATTCTAGCGAAGGAAGAGATAATGAAATAGTAAGCTTCACAGTATGTTAGATGGTGATAAATTCAATAGGAAAAAATAGCACAGGAATGGGGAGGGAAGAAGTTCAGAAAAGCTAGAGGTGGGTGGGAGGTGGGGTCATTCATTACAATGTTAAATGGGGCAGCCAAGACAGATTTTACTGAGAAGGTAACTAAGACAAATTTGTGCAAAGATTCAAAGAGGTGAAGAACAGGAAGGAATGAGCTACATGGTCACATGTGGAAAGAGTGTTCCAGTCAAAGTGAACAGCAATATAAAGGCCTAAGGGCAAACATGTCAAATATATTTCTGGAAGAGCCAGGAGACCCTTGGGGACATGGCAAAGTAAGTAAGGAGCGCAGCAAGAAATGGGGTCAGGGCAGCAGTCTGAAGTCTCTTGTTACAGGGCTTACTGATTCATTGTGAGCACTTTTGCTCTTACTCTGAAAAATATGGTGAAATCAGGAGGTGTCAAACCAGGGAGTCCCATCATCTGATGTATATTTTAACAGGTTTTCTCTGTCTGCTATGCTGAACATAGACTGGAGGGGACAGGGGTGTAGACCAAATAGGAGGCAGTTGGCTGTAGCCAAAGCAAGATGATGGTGGCTTGCATTGGGTGGCAAGAATGGTGGTGCACAGATTCTGGATAAGGTTTAAAGATACAGGTAACAGGCTTTCCTAACAGATTGGATGAGAGGTGTGAGAGAAAGAAAGGAGTCAAAGATTCCCCAAGTTCGTTTTTTTTTTTTTAAAAACTATTGGAGGGATGTGGTGTTTGCCATGAGTTGAGGTGGACAATACTGAAAGTAGTGTAGGTTTAGGGAAATTGAGAAGTTCCATTTCAACGTGTTGAGTTTGAGCTGTTTACTAGATGTCTGTTTGGAGGTGTTGGGTGGGTGTATGCTCCTAGAGTTAGGAGAAGTTGTCTGGATTCGAGATACAGATTTGGAGTTTGGGGCATATAGATAGTATTTACAGCCACGAGACTGAATTGTCTGATGGTGAATAAAAAACTCAGAGGTCCTGCTGGCAGGGAGCTTATAGTCTAGGAGCATGACTCATGACGTATGTGTCCTTCCCGAAGCAGTGCTACTTGGTGCATGCTTTGTACGGCACCAGCATTACTGTCACTTGGGGATGATTATTAAAAGTATAAATTTCTGGGCCTCATTCCTAATCCAATGAATTAGGAATTTCAGGGGTGAGGGCCTGAAACCTGCAATTTTTTTGAGGCAAGGTTTCTATTTGTCACCCAGGCTGGAGTGTAGGGGTGTGATCATAGCTCACTGCAGCCTCCATCTCTCAGACTCAAGCAATCCTACTACCTCAGCCTCCCGAGTAGCTGGGGTAGTAGGTGTGCACCACCACACCTGGCTAATTTTTTTACTTTTTAGAAGAGACAAGGTCTCCCTATGTTACCCATGCTGGTCTTGAACTCCTGGGCTCAAGTGATCCTCTCACCTCAGCCTCCCAAAATGTTGGGATTATAGGCATGAGCCACCACATCTGAAACCTGCATTTTTAATAAGGCTTTCAGGTGATTCTGCTATTTGGTATTTGAGAGCCACCCTAATAGGAGCTTAATGAATGTTTATTGAACTCATTCGCATTTTTAGGTTTTAATTTCTATTTAATAACAATGTGACACTCAGAAGTTCAACTTAGTTTCATTTCTATTCATAATGGTGAAGCTGAACTTCAATCTATATCTTACCAATTAGGGTAATGTTTCCAATCTGCTGAGTATCACACTGTGAGACTTCAAATGACAGAGGGCAGAAGAAAAACCCAACCGACTCTCTGATCTTAATTTCCTCTCTAACATGGGGAGGAAGCCCTGGAATTATACAGCGTGTCAGCAACAGGGAAGAGAATCAGGAATTTGGTTTTCTTCTTGTTTTCTCTGTCCTGGGCTCTCCACGGGCTGAGGCCACATGACTTCTCAGAGGTCCTCACAGTCCTATTATTCTATGATTTCCTCCCCTGAGGTTTCTACAAAGAACACTGTGAAAAGCATCACCCCTGACTACAGGGGCCACCCACACAAGGGCACATTTCTGATTTCCAGCCCAGTGCTCTCAGACACAGTCTGTAGATGACTGGGCAATCCCAGGGGCTTCGTGCAGCTGCCACAAATACGATTGGCATGGCCATAGCCTGTTTCTGGCCTTAAAAAGAAAATGCTAAAACAAATTGGAAAGAATTTTC
Organism: Homo sapiens; assembly: GCF_000001405.40. Classification (NCBI taxonomy): domain Eukaryota; kingdom Metazoa; phylum Chordata; class Mammalia; order Primates; family Hominidae; genus Homo; species Homo sapiens. Next base: position 71,483,834 of record NC_000009.12, read on the forward strand.
CAAGACACCTGTGAATCCATCAGCCAGGAGCACAGGGCAGCAGGCCCATGGAGTGGAGGATCAGGGATGTTTTGAATTCAAGCTAATCAGATTTTGCCAAAGAGCTCTTATTAGTCTAACTAGCATGTCTGTCCCTGCCTTGCCATGCTCTCTTCACCTGGAAGCATGAAGATTTTTCATCTTCAGCATCAGTTCCACCTAATTGCAGAGCCTATTCATGCCTAGTAGGGGTAAGTTTGGCTCCTGCAGGAAGTGGTTACCTACACACCCACAGAAATGTGGGTTTCTTTTTGTTGTTGTTGTTGTTGTTGTTGTTGTTTGTTTGTTTTTGAGATGGAGTCTCACTTCTGTCACCCAGGCTGTAATGCAGTGGTGCGATCTCGGCTCACTGCAACCTCCGCCTCCTGGGTTCAAGTGATTCTCCTGCCTCAGCCTCCTGAGCAGCTGGGATTACAGGTGCCCGCCACCATGCCCGGCTAATTTTTTGTATTTTTAGTACAGACGGGGTTTCACTGCGTTAGCCAGGATGGTCTCGATCTGCTGACCTTGTGATCCACCCACCTTGGCCTCCCAAAGTGCTGGAATTACAGGCGTGAGCCACCGCGCCCGGCCAGGTTTCTCTTATTTTCTGCTTCTCTTGCCCAAATGTAAGACAGGATTCACTGTGGCTAGCATTTGTCTTCCTCAAGGGACTAGCACCCTGTCCTCAGGACCAGTTGGGCTGGGATGGAGAAAGAAAGGATAGAGTGGAGCCTGCCACCCTGCCTAGCTTTTGCCCCAGCTTCCTTTCCTGGAGAGCTAGATCTCATCCCCAGTACCTGTGGCTTGTTGGATGGAAGCCTTTGCTAGGTTTGCCAATCCACTGCAGCCACAGAGGATGCTATCACTCATCGGTTTTGAGCAACACTTTCTTGCTGAAAACAACTACAATGTCCCACTGGAGCAGTGGTTCTCACTCTTGAGCGTGCGTCAGAATCACCTGGAGGGCTAGCAAAAACATAGACTGCTGGACCCCACCCCCACGGCTTCTGATTCAGTAGATCTGAGTAGGGCTTGAGGATGTGCATTCCTTACAAGATACCAATGATGTTGGTCTGAGGATTATACTTTGAGACCCCTAAGTAGTGGACTGGACCACTTAAATGTAGAAGAAAGCCTATGTGAGGAGAGAGATAGATAGACATAAAATAAATAAAGAATACCTCATGTTTACTGAGAGCATTGTGCTAAACACTTGACATTTCTTGCTTAAGCTTCACCACCACCCTATGATGTATGTATCATTAACATCCTCACATTCCCCTTGGAAATTTTGTTGTAGTGGGTTCGCACAAGACATGGCAAAGCTGGTTCCGACTCTTTAAACTTCAGTTTTTTGTAACAACTGCAATATGTTTCCCTATTTATTGCACCTCTGCTATTCCCTGTTGGTTGAAGCAGGTCCCCCAGCCCTGCTCACGTGCCAGTTCCTTCCCTCCTCCACCATCAGTGCTGTCAAGACCACAGTATGCCTCAAAGACCAACCCAAGATATGACAATCTCTACTCTTCAGGACTTCCGATCAACAAGTATTCCCACAATGAAAATCATGTAATTTGTTAACCATAAAGTAAACAACTGAATGAACCACTATAATTCAATATTAACCAGAGCTGTAGGTCATGGATATTGTCATTGCTTCCACTGACAGACCTCTGGCATGCTGCCTGTCTTTGGGGCATGTGTAGTTCAACAGCTAGAAGGGTGGAGATTCTTGGTCCTGAATGCGCAGTTCCCTTGAGTGTTGAACACCCAGCCCCTATCATTTTAAGATGCACATGTTTAAACTTACCAGAGATAACAGCAAATCAAATTAAAGAACAGAGTCTCCTGAGAGACACTCAAGATGAGATGATGGATAGTCAGGGCAAGTGAAAATGGGATGGGAGCAGGAGGCAACAGTGTCATCATTCAAAGGAACCTATCATAATACAACTGTGTGTTAAGGATCTGGGGTGAAATTATTACAGTTAGAGCACATAGATTTAAATATGATGGTATTGTCAACCCTTATTTCCTTGAGGGCAGAATCTGTGTCTGAGTCATCTCCTCGGCCTTCAATCTTGAATGTTGTTTACACATTTTAGGGGCAAATAAAAATCTAGTGATAACTGGTAGGAAAGGAAAGAAATGGAAACGAAGAAGAAAGGAAGGAAAAGAAGAAAGAAGGAAAAAAAGAAAATGGAACAGAGGAAGAAAATTGTGGCCATTGGCAAGATTTTCATTAAATCACAAAACTAGAAAACATGCTGCCTCTTCTAAACCAGCATGTCTCCTTTTTGCCTCCACTGACCAATTATATGTTCGTTTTCAATATGTGTATTAGAAACTTGTTTTTCTTTCCTCTGATATACCTAACCAACTTCTCTTTTTGTCAGTTCGCCTAAAGTTGTACATGCACAATCTTTTTAAACTATTTTTTAACTTAAAAAATAGTTAACACTCATCTCCAGATATGCTGTAAAGAAATTTTTTAACCTCTCAATCTCTCTGCAGCCCACCCCTGCTCTCTACCTTTCTATCATTGCAATCTCTGAAAAATTGTTCATTGCAAACAATACCAGGTGCAGGTCAATGTTCTCCAGGAAGAGAAGCAAAGAAAAGCAACCGTACTTCTTACTAAATGCTTGTTAGTGTGAAAACACAATAGATTTGATTTTTTTTCTTTTTATAAAACTAGCCTTCAGGTCAGGTCAGCCCACACTGGATGTAAACTTGTTTTCTGACCAAGTAATGAGTCATTCTGAATAGGAGCATTAATTTATTTGCACCTCTTGGGGTAAGAGTGTGGGGATAAGTGTATCACCCAGAAGCAATCATTGAGAGTAATCGGTATGACAAGGTTAATACAGGCAACCCTTCCCTTATAACTTTGTCAAAGATTAAAACTCAAAAATTTTTTGTTAAATGTGAAGGGAGAAAAATGTACTATAACGTATCTCTCTTCTGGTTTTATGTGTATCTAACACAACAAACGGCTTCCTGTGTGATAGTGGACCAGAGCAGCAGTATCACCCAGGAACTTGTTAGAAATGCAGATTCTCAGACCCCACCCCAGACCTACTGGATCAGAAACACTGGGGATAGGACTCCGGGGATTTCACAAGCCCTCCAAGGAATCCTAATGCATGCTACAGCCTAGAAGTCATTGCTCTACGAGTTCCACTTTTATAAAGAATGGAGTATCAACCTTAACATGAGTTAATGAGGTCTGTGCACCTTATCGGTTTGGCTAGTGTTACAGGATCTGTGACTCTTGATAAAAGATAAGCCGAATGCTGACCAACAGGAGGTGATCTAGCCAGAGCTCTGTGATAGAGCCATGGCCACTGAGCTTAACAATCTGACCGGCCACCAGATGGCTGTTTTAGCCTTCCGACTTTCATCTGACATCATCTACACCCCAGGATTGAGGAACTCTAAGAAACATCACGTGTGGACTGCCTGCCAGCCACCTGGTTTTGATTTTGCCGTGGAATAAAAATGAAGCAATTAGCTTCCTGTTGCTAAATGGACTTCTCCTGATGCTTCTTACATGAATATGTTTTCCTGTTGAGTTTTGCTGTGATGAATTTGGGGCTTTATTGTCCCATCCAACATTCCACACTCCTAATAAATACAAAGGTTGGCTCTGTTTTAAGGATCTGAAGCTACTAACATCACCCCACCCTGTATCTGGCCAATATGGAGCTGTCCATACCTAATATGACAGCTGCAAAACTCACAAAAATAAATCTAAGTTATTTTCCACTTACTAATTTAGCTACTTCTCCCAGATACTAATTCTTTCTGATCCATATTATTTATGTTACAATAAACAAATCAGTTTTACTGAAGAAAAGATTGATATTTACTTTATTTCTCCAATAAATAGGATAAGTAGAGTAGAGTAGGGTAGAGTTGGGAGAATGTAGACTGAGCTTTTTTTCTCCTTCATATGTATATTTTTACTTCTATCTGTACATGCAGAGATATAAATATTATCTATATATCATTTTGGAAATAGCTGGTAAAAATATTAATTTCACAAAATATTACATTTGGTTCTCAAATATGCATTAACTTCACCTACCTCTGGAATTTTTAACAAATCTCTTTTTTCACAACTTCCTTATTTTCTCAGATTCTGGTCCTAACTGCCTTTGCAGCATCTCTGTGCAAAATCATAATATGTTTTATGTTTTACTGTAAAATTATTTTCAGTACTTCAAAGTTACAATTCCTTGATAACACACATCTATGTTTCTGTACAGCAACAGAAGACATGTTTCTACCAGTCTCTATGGGATTCCCCCAAACTCTGTGTGAGTGTGTGTGTGTGTGTGTGTGTGTTTGAGAGAGAGAGAGCAAGAGAGAGAGAGAAAATGCTTGCGCAAACAGACAACCTTAAGATGTCCTTAATTCAAGTAATTTTTACAAGTACTAAAAGTCATAATAACATAGTCTTAGCCTTCTACTCTTGGAGAAGTCATGTCATGGGCACATTCATGTATAAGGGGATTCTTTCCTGAGAACATTGGGTAGCTAATTTCTCAGGAATGTGGTGCTGAGAATCATCTACAATCAATGATAAATGTTTGTATGATTAAACAAAAGTCTAGATGAATGAATTAAGAATGTATGAGGCTTGGCATGGTAGCTCATGTCTGTAATCCCAGCACTTTGGGAGGCTGTGGCAGGAGGATCACTTGAGCCCAGGAGCTCAAGATCAGCCTAGGCAGCACAGGAAGGCTCCAGCTCTACAAAAGAAAAAAAATAACGGGGCATGGTGATGTGAGCCTGTAGTCCCAGCTAATCAGGAAGCTGAAGTGAGAGGATCATGAGATCCCAGGAGTTTAAGGCTGCAGTGAGCTATGATCACACCACTGTACTCCAGCCTGGGCAACAAAGCAAGATGCTGTTGAAAGAAAGAAGGAAAGGAAAGGAGGGAGGGAGGGAAGGAGGGAGGGAGGGATAAATGAAGGAAGGAAAAAAAGGAAGGAAAGATAAATGGAATACTAGCAGCTAAATTTGTTGCTGTGGCTAGAGGCCACCCTGGACAATATATTTAAATAATGTGTGTGTTTTCTTGCACTTTTCCTAACAGTTCTTTCCTGCTTCATGATACCCACCCATGGGGCTCTCAGGGATGAATGCTCAGAGCCCTCACTTTCTCCTATGCCCCCATCCCCTGCTGCAGTGCCTTTCCATGGCCAGCCTTCCAGAAGCGGACACAAGCATAAGATGACATAGACTGCTCAAAACCCGCCATGAAAGCTAAACCCAGAGCAAAGCTGACTCCCGTCTCTGAGCCACAGGATGCCAAGGACAAGCCAGGTATAAATCACTTCTTCCCTAGGGCATTCAGGAAAATATTACCAGCAAAGAAATAATTTCCATCACCTTAGGCATTGGGTGGAAAATGGAAACAGGGTTGGGAGGAAGTGAAGGCAGGAAATAAAGCTGCCTTCATCCTGCCATGGGGCAGAGAGATCAAAAAGATGAAAGAAAAAAGCTTGAAAATGAATTCCTTAACCTTGGAGGACTAAAAGAAAGAGCCTACAGGGAAGACACTCAGAATGTGGATACAGAAAACCAAATAAAGCAATATTAAAATAGATTTCCCTAAAAATCTGCTGGTTTCATTTTTGTTATTGGTGTATAAGCCAGTGTTTACATGTGATACAAATGCTGGCATTACAAGGTTCAAAATTATCAGTTCCTGAAAACAGAAGAAACAATTATCTTGTGAGTTTAAAACAATACCGTAAAAATCTAGCAGATCACCACAAATATGCTATCAATATCAAATGTCATATTACTGACATATTCATTTGGAGATGCTGTTCCTTGTGAAATCACTCAGAAGAGAAAAACGACAAAAATCCAGACCAAAAGAGAAATTTTAAAATAAACATTTTAGTTTTAAGTAGCAGAGCTGACCCTGCAATCTCGACGGTGACCATTAACTCCAATAGATGATAATAATGTCCCATCACCTTTACCCCATTCCCATAGCTCCACTGAAGTCAGTGAGCAGAGAAACTAAGCAAAAAGTGCATGATAAATTAGCTGAGAGCATCGACTGTGACAGGTGTCTGTTTGGCACCCTCCATGGATTCTGGTCGTGGTGTTCAGCTAATCTTCACACAGGCCCAATAATCCCAAGAAGAGAGGCTTTAAACAAGCTCTGATTTTCAGAATTAATCTGCTTTGAGGCAGAGATGTTCCTGTAAAATATTATTACTACTTTCATTTCTGGTTCCTTGCAAAAATTAATGCAAGATAAAAAAAAATTAATGTTTTGATGGGCACAATGGCACACGCCTATAGTCCCAGCTACTTGGGAGGCTGAGGTGGGAGGATCACAACAGCCCAGGAGTTCAAGGCCAGCCTGAGCAACATAATGAGACCCCATCTTTAGCGTACTTTTTCAATTAAAAAATATATAAATAATTAAATGTTTGCTCTGCATTTTATTTGAAAGAAACGACATAGGAACTTGCACATACTTCAGTCTATAGCTTCTTCATACACACACATATGTGTTCCTACATAATGTGTGGACTTCATATAAAAGTAGAGAGAACACTATTGTTGGAAAGAGAAATTCTGGGTTTGAAGGCCAACTGTAAGGCTATTTGATGGGGTAAATCTTTTGAGCACTCTGAGCTCCAATTTTCTTATTTATAAGAATGCTTCTTTTCCCTTCCCACTTTACTTGGTGATTTTAAGACTCTGAGAGTGAAGGAAAGCCTGTGAAAATGCTTTATATCCTAAAGCATGTCTAGAAACAGCAGTATTTCTATGTTTACTTCTCACTTGTCTTCATGTTCTGTTAATGTAGGAATGCACTTTTTTGTAGTATATGGGTCTTTGACATATGTATTTTTGCTGTTGATCAAAACATTTCAGATTCGCTCATTAGAATATATTATTAATTAAACCCTTTGGTAAATCTTTTGTAAAGCATTGCTTGTCTTTAAATTTAGTCTTCCCTAGACTCTGCTTGCTTAATGCAGGACAGTCTACAATTTGTTTTTATAGCTCTAGAGCATGCTTTCTCAAGCTCAATGCTATTGTCATTTGAGGCTAGATAATTTTGGGGACAGTCCCGTGCATTGCATGGTGTTTAACAGCATCCTTGGCTTCTACCTCTAGATGTCAGTAGTACATCCCAACCCAGTTGTGAAGACCAAAAACATGTTCTCAGATATTGTCAAAGAGGATACCCCGGGTGTCAAAATTGCACCTAGTTGAGAACCAACTAGATACTGAGAGTATGTAGAGAAAGGAGGGAAAAAAGATTTGTTTTAAAAGCAGGGATCCTGGATTTCAATCAAGCCCCAGTCTTGCCTCTGAGTATGCAAGCTTGAACAAATTACTAACTTTTCTAGGCTGGGTTCCATATCTATATGAAGTAATTGGACAAGATAACCTTTAAGGACCCTCCCAGCTCTAACTTTCTACAGGTTTTGTACATTTGTTTACTGACTCCCTCCATGAAATGGATTTGTCTTTTCAAAAAGTGAAAACTTTATGTTCTTTGTGTTACAAAAGGAACAGCTTCAATATTATTAATGTGTAGAGTAGTACCTCCTTTATCTGTGGTTTCGTTGTCTGCAGTTTCAGTTACTCTGGGTCAACCATGGTACAAAAATATTAAATGGAAAATTCCATTTCTACATTTTAAACTGCATGTCACTCTATGAGTTGTGTGATGAAACCTCATAGTATCCTGCTTCCTCTTGCCTGGGGTGTGAAGCGACCCTTTGTCCAGCATACCCATGCTGTCTCCACTCCCTGCCCATTAGTGACCTAGTAGCCCTCTTGGTTATCAGGTCTACTGTAGTAGTATCACAGTGCTTGTATTCAAGTAACCCTTGTTTTACTTCATAATGACCCCAAAGTGCAAGAGTAGTGATGCTGGCATATTGTTACAATTGTTCTACTTTATTACTGGTTATTGTTGTTACTCTCTTACTTTGCCTAATATATAAACTAAACTTTATTATAGGTATGTACGCATAGGAAAAAAGCATAGTATATATAGGGTCTGGTATTATCCGTGGTTTCAGGCATCCACTGGGGATCTTGGAATGAACTCCTGCCAATAAGAGGGGACTACTTTACTTGATAAAGGGTATTTATTTGGTTGGTATAATGTTTTCACAATTTTATAATTATTATCCACAATTCCTACAGCTGGCACTTCTTACAATATACTGCATTTCCAGGAAAAGATGAACTCATATAGGTGGACTTGGGAGTGATCTCCTAGGTAACTACATACTTCTTGAGTTGTTATTAATTGTACTCCCTTTTATCTATAACATTCATTTGCTGTTGGCTGTGAGTCAAACTTCTAAAGATTATATTCTGTAATCACTTTGAAGCAATTCTTTCCTCCAAATTGATAAGCTACTAGAAGAAAATATCAAAATCAACTTTGTTGGTTGACTTCAGCGTCAATACAAAAGGTCTAACAATTTATTTCCCACTCAGTTAAAGATAATGCTCAAAAATGAGAAACAGGTAGTCTCCACCTTAAGGTCTTGAGAGCTATGAATTAGCCATAATGATCCTGCTCCAATGACAAAAGAACTCTTCCCAAGGACTGACCTTAGAATCTGCTGCTACTGGAGTCTCTGTCCTTTTACTCCTCCAAATGTGCCCCTCATTGCCATGTTCCTATTCTCTACAGCAAAACTGCCTCCAGAAGAATTAGAAGGCCAGGAAACCTTCAGCCCAAGGAGTCCTTAGGAAGTCAGAATTGAGAAGTTAGAGCTCTACATCATGCAGATTCAAGGACATGTGACAGAAACCACCTTAGAAAACAGCTCCAGAGTAGAAAAACTTGAACTGTGATTGACAAATTGCTAAAGTCTCAGTGTGGACAAACCTGAGAGTTAAGAATTCCAGAAGGACAGTCAGGTCGGGGTAGCCCACACTTTTGTGAGTTTTACCTCTGACGGCTAGCTCAACTAGGTTTTTACAGTAAATATCCAAGAAAAGTCCCATCATACTTCCAGCAGTGCGAAAGGAAAAGGAACCATTTTGAAACACACTGGAGCACTCCTTAACAAGGTTTGCTCTCATGAGACACTGCTTAACCAGTCTCTAACCTGCTGAAGTTTTATCGAACCCTAACTGACCTGGGTGAAGGGAAATACACATCAACTCTAGGCAGATCTAGCCTTCCCTGTGGCAGAAAGGAAATACCCCACTCCAGCCCACTCTACATTGTTTTCCCTAAGAAGAAGGGGATGGATTGAGAAGCACTTGCAAAATCCACAGTCCAGAGGCACAGAAAATACTAAGGCACTAAAAGGCACAGAGGCACTAAAAGACAGACCTAATCCTAGGACTATAGAATAAAGAGGAAAAGGAACAGAAAATATATTTTTTAAATTACTTGAGAAATTCTTCAAATTAGTGTCAAACACCAAACCACAGATCCAGGAAGCTCAGAAAAAGCTAAGCAGGATAAATGCCAAAAAGTACATCTAGGCATATCACTTTCAAACTACAGAAAACCAAAGACAAAGAAAAACTCCTGAAAGAAACCAGAGGCAAAAAAACACCTTACCTACAGAGGAACAAATATAAGATTACATCCAGCTTCCCCTTTGAAACCATGCACGCAAGAAAAGAGTGGAGTGAAATATTTAAAGTGTTTGAGAGGGGAAAAAAAAAAAAAAAACAACTCACCAACCTAAAATTCTTGCTTTACCCTGCAAGACTATTTTTCAAAAGTAAAGGAGAAATAAAGACTTTCTCAGAGAAAGATGGAGGAAACGTGTTGCCAGTAGTCCTGCCTTGCAAGAGATGTTAAAAGAAGTTATTTAGAAAGAGGTAAAATAGTATAGGTCAGAAACTCAGATTCTCATAAAGAGAGGAAGAACATTGAAGAAGAAATAAGTGAAGGTAACATAAATTTATTTTTCTTATTCTTGAGTAATTTAACAGATAACAATTTGTTTGAAATAATAATAGCAACAATGTATTCATTATGTATGCTTATACATAAATGGCATGAATGACAGCAATGACACAAAGGATAGGAGGGAGAAATTAGGATAATTTTGTTATAAGGTACTCACTTCTCATGAAATAGTATAGTGTTGTTTGAAAGTGGACTTATATTCATTGTAAATGTATATTGTAAATTCTAGGGCAACCACTAAAAAGAGTTTAAAAAGAAGTATAACTGATATGCTAAAAAAGGAGAAAAGTAAAATCATATAAACTAAAACAATGAAAGGCAGAAAATCAGTGTAAGAGAAAAATAGAAACAAAGAACAAGGACAAATAAATAGAAAATAGTAACAAATAGGGTAGATATTAATCCAACTACATTGTAATCACTTTTGACATAAGTAATCTAGTCACACTAATTAAAAGAAAGAGATTGTCAGAATGAATAAAAAGAAAAGACTCAACTATATCTTGTCTATAAGAAACCCACTTTAAATATAAAGATGCATATAGGTTAAAAGTAAACCTATATGCAAAAAGATGAAAAAAGACATACCAGCTAACACTAATCAAAAGAAACTGGGAACACCTATATTAACTTCAAACAGAACAAATGTTGAAGTAAGGAAAGTTTTCAGAAATAAAGAAATACACTGAGTAATGATAAAGAGGTCAGTACTCCAAGAAGACATGTCAATCCTTAACATGTATGCACCTAACAACACAGCATCAAGCTGCATGTGGGAAAAACTGATAGAACTCCAAGGAGAAATAGATGACCACTATTATTATTAGAAATCTCAAACCCTTCTATCAGAAATGAACCAATCCAGCAAAGATAAATCAGTAAGAACATAATTGAACTCAAAAAACCCATCAATCAACCGGACATAATTGACATCTATAGCCTACTTCATCCCACAACAGCAGATTACATATTCTTTTCAAACTCTCATGAAACATTAACCAAGATAAACCATGTTCTGAGCCATAAAACATGCCTTAACAAATTTAAAAGAATATAAATTATACAAGATCTGCTTTCAGGCCAATATGGAATTAAAGTAGAAATCAACAACAGAATGATAACTGGAAAATCCCAAAATACATGGATACTAAACAACATACCTCTAAATAACACAGAAGTCAATGAAGAAATCTCAAGAGAAATTTTAAAATATTTTGAACTGAATGAAAATAAAAACACAACTTATCAAAAGTGTGAGATGCAGTGAAAGCAGTGCATAAAGGGAAATTTATAGCATTGAATACATATATTTAAAAAGAACATCTAAAATGAATAATAATTTAATAAATTATAAAAAGAAGAGAAAAATTAAGGAAAAAAGAAGTGGAAATTTAAAAGAAATTAAAGGAGAAAGATCTAAAATTAATAATCTAATAAATGAATAATCTACTAAACAAGAAAAAGTGAGTAACTTAAATCCAAAGCAGAATAAATAATAAAATGGAGAGCAGAAACCGATAAAATTGAAAACAGAGAAAACAAAAACAAAAACTCATTCTTTGAAAAGATCAATGAAATTCATAAGCCCCTACCCAGGCCAACAGAAAATAAAGAGGAATTACACAAATGACTAATATCAGAAATAAAAGAAGGGCCATCATTACAAAGTCCAAAGAGATTAAAAAAATGAGAGAACACTATGTACCACTCTATGTCTACCAATTTGATAACCTAGATGAAATGGACCAATTCCATGAAAGACATAATCTTCAAAAAAAATTACACAAGAAGAAATAGACAATCTGAATAGGCCAATATCTATTAAAGATAGTGAATCAATGAATAATAATATACCAAAACAGAAAACACCAGATCCAGATGGATTTACCAGAGAATTCTACCACACATTTAAGGAAGAAATTATAACAATTCCCTATAGTCTCTTCCAGAAAACAGAAGCAAAGGAATAATTCCTAATTTATTTTGTGAGGCCAGTATTACCCTAATACCAAAACCAGACAAAGTCATTACAAGAAAAGAAAAATACACCATGACCAAGTAAAGGTTATCCCAGATATGCATATCTAGTTCAACATTCAAAACCACTTAACGGGAGAGTACCACGGACAATATTGCTGAATAGACATACCTGGTGCTCATCTTCCTCTCAAGAAAGACCCAAGGTAATGAATAAAAAACTGAAATTCAACTGGAGTATCTGAGGGAGGGCACTGACGTGCAATAAGGAAATACGGAGATCCCTGTGGAGCACAGAAGCCCAGAATGGCAGCATAGAAAGAAGAGTGGAGCCCCTGCTCCAGCCACCTCATCTCCCCTGCCTGGATTGGCTCAGAGTCAGGAGGGACTTTATTCTGAGAAAAAAAAAAAAGGAGACAATCCCCGTTAACCCCCATTTTCACCATAAATACCTGCAGTCCTTACTACAGGAGAATCCCGCAGTCCTCATAAGTCCTGAGCCCAATTTGAAGAGCTATCTGGAATTAGCACGATTGCATTACTCTGGATTAGAAGCACAACTTGTGCACTGCCCACCCCACCCCCTTTATAACCCAAGTTGCTGCAGCATAATGCCATCTTGAAACTAGAGCCACTGCCAGAAGACATCCTCCTCTGGGGCCCAATAGTCACGGCATCTCTCCAGCCATGGGGCTCTGCCATCGTTCCATGAAGTCCACTCAAGTGGCTGCAATGCCATGACCCCAGCTGCTCAGAGCCTGGGCCCAGGAATGGTTATGACTCTGGTCCTGAGGAAGCCAACCCTAGACCAGCTGTACTGCCATGTGCCCATGTCCCCAGTCAAAGAAATGGCCCTGCAGGATGACATGATTGTATATCTAGAAAACCGCATTGTCTCAGCCCAAAATCTCCTTAAGCTGATAAGCAACTTCAGCAAAGTCTCAGGATACAAAATCAATGTACAAAAATCACAAGCATTCTTATACAACAATAACAGACAAACAGAGACCCAAATCATGAGTGAACTCCCATTCACAATTGCTTCAAAGAGAATAAAATACCTAGGAATCCAACTTACAAGGGATGCGAAGGACCTCTTCAAGGAGAACTACAAACCACTGCTCAACAAAATAAAAGAGGACACAAACAAATGGAAGAACATTCCATGCTCATGGATAGGAAAAATCAATATCATGAAAATGGCCATACTGACCAAGGTAATTTATAGATTCAATGCCATCCCCATCAAGCTACCAATGACTTTCTTCACAGAATTGGAAAAAACTACTTTAAAGTTCATATGGAACCAAAAAAGAGCCCGCATCGCCAAGTCAATCCTAAGCCAAAAGAACAAAGCTGGAGGCATCACGCTACCTGACTTCAAACTATACTACAAGGCTACAGTAACCAAAACAGGATGGTACTGGTACCAAAACAGAGATATAGATCAATGGAACAGAACAGAGCCCTCAGAAATAACGCCGCATATCTACAACTATCTGATCTTTGACAAACCTGAGAAAAACAAGCAATGGGGAAAGGATTCCCTATTTAATAAATGGTGCTGGGAAAACTGGCTAGCCATAGGTAGAAAGCTGAAACTGGATCCCTTCCTTACACCTTATACAAAAATTAATTCAAGATGGATTAAAGACTTAAATGTTAGACCTAAAACCATAAAAACCCTAGAAGAAAACCTAGGCATTACCATTCAGGACATAGGCATGGGCAAGGACTTCATGTCTAAAACACCAAAAGCAATGGCAACAAAAGCCAAAATTGGCAAATGGGATCTAATTAAACTAAAGAGCTTCTGCACAGCAAAAGAAACTACCATCAGAGTGAACAGGCAACCTACAAAATGGGAGAAAATTTTCGCAACCTACTCATCTGACAAAGGGCTAATATCCAGAATCTACAATGAACTCAAACAAATTCACAAGAAAAAAACCAACAACCCCATCAAAAAGTGGGTGAAGGACATGAACAGACACTTCTCAAAAGAAGACATTCCATAACACATGAAAAAATGCTCATCACCACTGGCCATCAGAGAAATGCAAATCAAAACCACAATGAGATACCATCTCACACCAGTTAGAATGGCAATCATTAAAAAGTCAGGAAACAACAGCTGCTGGAGAGGATGTGGAGAAATAGGATCACTTTTACACTGTTGGTGGGACTGTAAACTAGTTCAACCCTTGTGGAAGTCAGTGTGGCGATTCCTCAGGGATCTAGAACTAGAAATACCATTTGACCCAGCCATCCCATTACTGGGTATATACCCAAAGGACTATAAATCATGCTGCTATAAAGACACATGCACACGTATGTTTCTTGCGGCACTATTCACAATAGCAAAGACTTGGAACCAACCCAAATGTCCAACAATGATAGACTGGATTAAGAAAATGTGGCACATATACACCATGGAATACTATGCAGCCATAAAAAATGATGAGTTCATGTCCTTTGTAGGGACATGGATGAAATTGGAAATCATCATTCTCAGTAAACTATCACAAGCACAAAAAACCAAACACTGCATATTCTCACTCATAGGTGGGAATTGAACAATGAGAACACAGGGACACAGGAAGGGGAACATCACACTCTGGGGACAGTTGTGGGGTGGGGGGAGGGGGGAGGGATAGCTTTAGGAGATATACCTAATACTAAATGACGAGTTAATGGGGGCAGCACACCAGCATGGCACATGTATACATATGTAACTAACATGCACATTGTGCACATGTACCCTAAAACTTAAAGTATAATAATAATAAAATAAAAAATAAAAAAAAGAAATGGCCCTGCAGAACTGCTCCAGGTGGACCTGCCCTTGAGCTGGCTGAGGAACAACATGCCTATAACCCTGGCCGTAGAAATAGCCCAGAAGACTTGCCCCTGGCAAGCATCCCTGGTGTCCCTGGATGGGGAAACAGCAAGGCAGACCTGTCTTTAAAGGATTTACCCCAAGATGCCTGAGTAGCTGTGCACCTGGCCTCTGGCTGGAGAAACAGCCCAGTGGCCCTGACCTCAGTGTGCCAGTCCCCAAGCCAGCAAATCTGCCACACACATCTGTGCCCCTATGCCCTGAGAAAGTCTGATTAGACCACCTCTGGGCAAAGCAATGCCACTGCTGCCACAAATTCCTGCGCCTAAGCTACTGAGATGCTTGCAAACATTGCTAATCTAGATTAGAGGTGAAGAAACTGCACAGAGACTGCACTACTACATTCCTGCAGCCTAAGCTACTGAGGTGCTTGCAAATATTGCTAATGTAGATTACAGGTGATGAAACTGCACAGAGACTGCACTACTACATTCACCCAGAACAAAAGCCAATGTACCCCATCCAATCAGCACCCCAAGATTTGTCTATAGGAATAAGTATTTTTCCATAAAAGCTACTTCATAAAATTGGAGAGGGCAACCGTTCTACCAGATGACAACTATGAATGTAGGGGTACAAGAAACATAAAAAAACAACAAAACACCTCCAAAGGAACACAGTAATTCTCTAGTAACAAACCCCAAAGAAAAGGAAACATTAAAATACCAGAAAAGGAATTCAAAATGATGATCTCAAGGAAATTTGGTGAATTCAACAATATCAGGAAAACAATTCATGATCTGAATGATAAATGCAACAATGAAATATATAATTTAAAAAAAAACAGGAATCTGGCCAGGCACAGTGGCTCGTGCCTGTAGTCTCAGCACTTTGGGAGGCAAAGGCAGGCAGATCACCTGAGGTCAGGAGTTCAAGATCAACCTGGCCAACATGGTGAAACCCCGTCTCTACTAAAAATATAAAATTGGCTGGGCATGGTCATACGTGCCTGTAATCTCAGCTACTTGGGAGGCTGAGGCAGGGAGAATCACTTAAACCCAGGAGGCAGAGGTTGCAGTGAGCCAAGATCATGCCATTGCGTTTCAGCTTGGGCGATAGAGCAAGACTCAGTCTCAAAAAAAAAAAAAACAAACAAACAAAAACAAAAACAGAAAACAAGAATTTTAAAGCTGAAGAATTCAATGAATGAAATAGAAATAAAAAATACAGTTGACAGCTTCAACAACAGACTAGACCAAGCAGAAGAATTTATTTTTTTTTAAGACGGAATCTCACTCCCGTCACCGAGGTTGGAGTGCAATGACGCAATCTTGGCTCACTGCAACCTCCGCCTCCCAGGTTCAAGTGATTCTTCGGCCTCAGCCCCTCGAGTAGCTGGGATTACAGGCTCCTGCTACCACACCCAGCTAATTTTTCTGTATTTTTAGTACAGACGGGGTTTCACCATGTTGGCCAGGCTGGTCCCAAGCTCCTGACCTCAGGTGATCTGCCCGCCTCAGCCTCCCAAAGTGTTGGGATTACAGGCGTGAGCCACCATGCCCAGCCAAGCAGAAGAATTTCTGAACTTGAAGACAGCCTTTTTGAAAAAAGATAGGCAGACCGAAAGAAAAGGAAGGAAAGAAGAAGGAAGGAAGGAAGGAAGGAAATAAATAAATGATCACCTACAGGACTTATGGGAAACTATTAAGAGAACAAAAATCCACATTATAGAAATTCCAGAAGGAAAAGAAATGAGCAGAGGTAAGAAAACATATTTAGTAAAATAACAGCTGAAAACTTTCCAAGTTGCTTTAATATATAGCAGCAATTAAAAGTGGAATTTGAAATTAAAAACACATTGCCATTTACATTAGCACACCAAAAAATGAAATACTTAGGCACAAATCTAAGAAAATATGTATAAGATCTATAAACTATTAGAAAAACTATAAAAGTCTGAATGAAAGAAATCAAAACACAACTAAATAAATGGAAATCTATTCATGTGCATAGAGTCAATATTGTCTAGATATTAGTTCTATCTAATATGATCTATACATTCAACTAAATCCCAATCAAAATAGCAGCATTTATTTTGTGGATATTGACAAACTGATTCAAAAGTTTACATAGAGAGATAAAAGACCCAGAATAGCCAACTCAATGCTAAATGAGAACAAAGTCAGAAAATTGACACTACCCAACTTAAAGACATAGTATAAAGGTATAGTAACCAAGACAGTGTAGTATTGGCACAAGAATAAACAAGAAAATCAAAGGATCAGAACAGAGAGCCCAGAAATAGGCACATAATATAGTTAACTGATCTTTGACAAAGGAATAAAGGCAATAAAATGGAGCAAAAATAGTCTTTTTAAATATGGGTGCTGGCCATGGAAAACTACGCAGCCATAAAAGGGAATGAGATCATATCCTTTGGAAGGACATGGATGGAGCTGGAGGCCATTACCCTTAGCAAACTAATACAGGAACAGAAAACCAAATACCATGTGTTCTCACTTGAAAGTGGGAGCTGAATGATGAGAACACATGGACACATGGAGGGGAACAAAACACATGAGACCTGTCAGATGATAGCGGGTGGGAGAAGGGACAGCATCAGAAAGAATAGCTAATAGTTGCTAGGCTTAATACCTGGGTGATGGGATGATCTGTGCAGCAAACCACCATGGAACATGTTTACCTATGTAATAAACCTGCACATCCTGCACATGTGCACATGTATCCCTGAACTTAAAAGTTGGAAATAAGAAAATTTTATATATATATATATATATATATATATATATATATATATATATATATATATACACACACACACATACATACACACACGGTGCTGAACAACTGGCCATTCATGTGCAGAAAAGTAAATATAAACACAGACTTTAAACCCTTCCCAATAATTAATTCAAAATGAATCATAGAGCTAAACATAAAATGCAACTGTAAAACTCCTAGAAAATAACAGAGAAGAAAATCTAGATGGCCTTGTGTATGATGACTTTTTAGATTAAAAAAACAGAAACATAATACATGACAGAAATAATTGATAATCTGGACTTCATTAAAATTAAAAACTTCCATTCTGTGAAAGATAATGTCCAAGAGAATGAGAAGACAAGAAACAGATGGGGAGAAATTATTTGCAAAACACATATCTAATAAAGGACTGTTATGCAAAAGATACCAAGGACTCTTAAAATTAAAATGAACAACCCAATCTAAAAAAACTGAGCAAAATACCTGAACAGACACTTCACTAAAGAAGATATACAAGTGGCAAATAAGCATATGAAAAGATGCTCCATATCATATGTCATCAGGAAAATGCAAATTAAAACAATGAGAAACCACTACATACTTACTAGAAAGACTGAAACACTGATGACACCAAATAATGGCAAAGATGTGGAGCAACAGGAGCTGTCATTCATTGCTGGGGGGAATGCAAAATGGTACTGCTACTTTGGAAGACCTTTTGGCAATTTCTCACAAAACTAAACATAATCTTGCCATGCAATTTACCTTGTTATTTACACAATTTTCCTTGTAATTTACATAAAAGAACTGATAATTTATGTCCACACAAAAACCTGCACATGTATGCTTACAGCAGCTTTATTCATAATTGCCAAAACTTGGTAGCAACCAAGATATCCTTTAGTAGGTGAATGGATAAACAAACTATGGAGCATGTGGACCATGGAATATTATTCAGTGCAAAAAAATGAGCTATTAAGCCATGAAAACACACAGAGGAACCTTAAATGCATATTACTAAAAGAAGCCAATCTGACAAGATGATATACTATATGATTCCAACTACATGACATTCTGGAAAATGCAAAACTATGAAGATAGTAAAAAGATGAAGAGTTATCAGAGATGCAGTTGTAGAGGAGGGATCAATAGGTGGAGCATAAAGGATTTTCATGGTAGTGAAACTGCTTCTCTGTATGATACTAAAATGTCCAAACTCATAGGATGTACAACACCAAGAATGGACCTCCATATAAACAATAGTCTCCAGGCGATAATTGATGGGTCAGTGTAGGTTCATCAGTTGTTAACAAATGTACCACTCTGGTGGGGAATATTGATAATGGAGGAGGCTATGCATGTGTGGGGGGCAGGATATATATAAGAAATATTACCTTCTTCTCAATTTTACTGTGAACCTGAAATGTCCCTGGAAAAATAAATTCTTTAAAATCTATGAAGATGGAAATGATCATGGAATTGATCAAATAATAATATAATATGCATTTTTTAAATTCATAATCAGGAAAATTGGGCTTTAGTCTACAAATAGGTTTTTGTTTGTTTGTTTGTTTGTTTTGGTTTATTTGTTTAGAGATTGAGTCTTGCTTCATCACCCAGACTGGAGTGCGGTAGCGTGATCATGGCTCACTGTAATCTTGAACTCTTGGGCTCAAGTGACAAATAGGTTTTGAGGATATTTGTATAAGCATAAACATCTTCTAGATAATTTCAAAATAGAACAGAAGTATATCAGTTCTTACCACAGTAAAATTTTTAAAAGATTTTAAGTATACCAATGTATATTAATAGGCAAAAAGGAACAAGAAAAAAAAGAGTACCTTCAACATCCCCTTCATGTAGTTAAGGTAATTTTCCTTTCTGATGTGCAGTTGACATGTTTAAAGACCAGTCATTTCGTTGGACAGTTTTCTTTTACAATTAGGACCTTTACTTAGGTTAATCTTGACAAAGCTTGGCTTATCTTCACATGCAATAACAATCACTGCTTACTATGCTTTCAAAATGTGCTTTATGAAACAAAGAGGCCATGGTAAATGTCCATTTTCAAATGGAATAACATTTCCATTTCACCCAAGTTTTGTCAGGGAATTTGTCAGGGAATTAAGCATTAGGTCTACCAAGAGCCATAACATAAATTTTGACATATTAAATAGGGACCAGTGACTAGGAGACACTCTAATAATGTCCCTTCCATGATACTTAGATAAAATCCACTCCAGATCTGCAACTTCTTTCAGAAGAATTTGGCCTCGCTATGCACTAATAATATAATGGTCATTTGGGGGCAAAATTTATTCAAGGTACTCATTTATACTACATGTGCCATGCAGTCCCGCATGCTCTTCTTCATGCTTCCGTTGTTAACTATGATCTCCTCTTGCCCTTTTTAAATATATCAGCACTACGCATGTAAATGTTCTGAAAGTATCCCTAATATTAAATGGTTTCTTTTTGTTTCCAGTTTACCTGCCTAACATTAATATGAGAAGATTACATGGTACCTTGCAGACAAAAAACCACTCTACACTAGTGTGGTAGGCAAGAATGGCCCTAGATAAAATCATGAAATAAATACCCTTATTCCTGCAACCCTTCTATACCAACATTCCTCTGTAATTCCTTGTGCCCCTAGAATCTCAGGGTTCTCAATTAATCCTGGTTACAAAGAATAGTGGACTGATTAATATTCTCACATTGAATCATCCTGTAACTTCCACAGAGTTGGAAGTTATAAACACAAAGGAATAAATTCCTAATGGTGGAATTTCAAACCTGAACTACATATTACTTAAGGAGTTATTTTGTGGTGTGGGGCTTTCTTTTTGCCCCTCCAAGCATACCATCTAAATGACTACTCATTTCACCCCCACATAAGAATAGCAATGGTTCCATTATGCAGGCAGGCTTTCCAGATAAGATCTAAAGCAGCTTTCTAGAATTCTTCTTATTCCATTAACTTCACTAGCAAGAAACAGTCAGGAGCAAAATTCAGTCCTGTTCTGCCCTTTCCAGGCCTGAAAGTTGCATGTAATCTAAGATTGATGGGCGAAGTGACATGATTCTGGCCCATATGTCAACTGCAAAGATTCCATACTATATCCCCCCTTGATGGAGTTAGGGTAATCCAGGAAACAACCATAATCTGGGTAGAGGGCATTCTGGAGAAGGTAGGACATGTGCAGGACTCTCATAGCTGAAAGAACATAATCCCAGGGCAGGAGAGTAGGCTTTTATAGGTAACTGTTCCCAGTGATGGGGACAGTGAAGAAAGATATGTATGTCAGAGGAAAATACCTTGGATGTTGATCTTCAGCTTCTAAGAAGAAGATCTGAGCTCTTAGGGGCCAGATGGCTATCTCCAGTATCCAGACTGACACTAAGGTACACCACATCCTCATGAGTAGGGAGTCAACAGCAGAGTGCTGAGTTAGAACATCGCTTTGTGGCAATGAAGAATGCCCTTGAAGACATGGTACGCCCCATTACTCAGTGCCTTACTATGCCAAAGCAATGGCAGGAAAAGCTTTGTTTCCTTGAAGGCATGGGTACTTTTCATTCATTTTGCCAATAATAACTGGCCAGAGAACTGACTGTACGTTCCTACTGTTTCAGCTGCCTGGAGACTTTGAACAAAGACTGTAGTTAAATTATTACAAAGAATTGAGGTTTTATAGTATACAAATTTGTTCTCATTTGTCTCAGTCTTGATTTCTTACTCAAATTGTGTTTTTGAAATCATTCTTTTCTTTTTATTGTTTCTTTGCTTGTAATATGTTATTTTTAAAGATACAGTTGTCTTAGGTCACTCCTATGTCAAATATTTTGCCTAATGAAGCAGAAGAGGTGGTAAGAGAAATATCTAGATACCACAATAATAAGACATGTCACCTCTTATCTCTCTCAGACAGTTCTACTTCTTAGCAGAAAGGTCCAATGAAGTGCACAGCAAAGTATGGGCTCATGACCACATTCAAAAAATCCCCTCAAGTGTTTATTTTAAATGCCTATTTTCAGGTTCATCCAACACACGCTGAACCAGGAACTTCGGGGTGAGTCCCAGGAATTTAAGGTTTCAATAAGCAATGCTTAATATACTAATTGCATTCAAGTTAGAGGACCAGTGGTCTAAGGAAAAGACCTCACACTCTCCTTGCATGTCCTAGACAAAAGCTAAAGCAACTTTAGTTTTAAGAATCTGAATTTGAACTTGGAGGATGGGTCTTGCCTTATACTGCTTTATCATCTAAATATCATGAGATTTCTTAATATAAGTTAGTCAGAACTTTAACTTCTAAAATTCTATCTTTCAATTAGTATTATGATAATCATACAAATGTAAGGCTTAGTTGAATACCAGCTTACAAAATCGAAATGACTCATGTTTTAACTTGGTGAAGAGCACCTATATGTTTACAAAAAATTCAAGAGACAGCAAAAGTCCTGGCATCACTTTTGCCATTGTTGGCAGCTATAGGTCATCTGCCAATGTTTTGCCTATCTCCAAAAGTATTTAGTGCTAGGGAACCATGACTGCATTTCATTTGCCTGATGCCACATCAAATTAGTTCCAATAATGATAATGGTTTGGTACTATTATGTGCAAACCAAATGGTTTTGTGTCACCTGTTTACCTGTTTTATAAGAACAATGGATCTCTGTAGTTAGACCTGAATATTTACACTAATTATGTTTTCATTTTCATTTGTGTTTAGGTAACAGGAGTGAGAAAAATGTTTATTAGCTCTCAAATAGAGGTAAAAACACTAATTAAAGAGGAAAAGGTGAAATGTTATTCCAGTCAAATGCTAATCTAATCTAATAACAATTAGAGCATTTGTAGCAAATGGAAACATCTCAGAGTAAGAATGCTATTATCATTTTAAAATCATATGGTACTCTTCTCTGCTAATCATTAATTAATCTTGCACTCTGTTATCACCAACTTGATGATCCCATTTGAAACCAGTTGAGCCTGTGCCTTGCACATTTTGCCAGAAAATTTGCTATGCTAAACTTATTCTTATACTGCTAGATCATAAGTCTGCTAAAAGTCAAACCTTAAATCAACTGGCAGATTATAGTTTACAACTTTATGAATGCCCTTTATAAGCTATCAAAGCCATTTGTAGACTTTTACGAAGCAACAGAGTGTAATGAAGTTATTTTGGGTGGAAGTCGATGTGCTAAATGGAATCAGCTGACCCACGATTTATCCAAGAGTTTGTTAAGTAAGCATGTCAGCCTCTACTTAGATGGTGAGAAATAACTGCAGTGTCTCTAAAGGTATTCTACTTGTAAAAAATTCTGTGTTCCTCTGTCTCTCTCTACCTCTAATTGTACATTTTCTATTCCCTCTCTCTAGTAACTCTACCATGTACTTAACAATTTAACTCTAGAAAATTCAGCATGCAAATTGGTCTCATGAAGAATGATTGTCATAATAACTAATATTTTGGCCAAGAATGAAGATAGACAGAGCTAAAAAGAGCCCAACACACAGTGAGGAGCCAAGTTCAATCAGACCTAGGACTTGAAGCGCAGTTGCTCAGCCAAGTGCAGCCTAGTTCATCTGACTCAGCTGACTCACACTCTACATGCAGGAAGAATAAAAATAAATGAATCACTGTGTTATAGGAGTAGTTTGTTGCACAACAATGGCTGACTGACACAGATCTTCTGTGAAGTAAGACAATTTGCCTAACAGTAGACTTTCCAACAGCAATGATGAAGCTAGAAGTCAATAAAATAATATTTCCAATGTGCTGAGATAAAATAATAGCCAACCTAGAATTCTATAACCCAAACAACTATTTCTAAATAGTTAGATGAACAAGAAAAAAGTGCATTTGCAATCAACAGACATTCACCAAAGAAACATCCAGAAGGAAATATATGGTCCCTAGAAGGAAAGTCTGAGAAAAGAATGGTGAGCAAAGAAGTTGGGAAATATGTAGTTATAATAAACAAACATGGGTGGCATAAAATATTTAGTCTGAATTACAAGGTTTTTACCTAAAAGATAGAATTAAAATACTAGGCAGTATCCTAATGAAACTAACATTTCTGGCATTCTTATAATACTCAAGAGAAGACTAAGGTAGTATCTGATACGGTTTGGCTGTGTCCCCACCCAAATCTCATCTTGAATTGTAGCTCCCATAATTCCCATGTGTTGTGGGAAGGACCCAGTGAGAGATAATTGAATCATGGGGGCACTTACCCTCATACTGTTCTCATGGTAGTGAACAAGTCTCATGAAATCTGATGGTTTTTTAAAGGGTTTCCCTTTTCATTTGGCTCTCATTCTCTCTTGCCTGCTGCCACGTAAGAAGTGCCTTTTGTCTTCTGCCATGATCGTGAGGCCTCCCCAGCCACGTGGAACTGTGAGTCCATTAAGCCTCTTTTTCTTTATAAATTACCCAGTCTTGGATATGTCTTTAACAGCAGCATGAGAATGGACAAATACAGTACCTATAGATTTTGTTAAGTTAAATGCATGTGGTAAAATCTAAAAGTAACCACAAAAAGAACAGAAGTAAACTGTATAACATCTAAACTGATAGAAGGCAGAAAATTAGATAAGAGAAGCTAAGCAAGCTAATAAAAACTTCAAATTTTTTTTAAAGTCAAGAAAAAAGCATAGTTTGATTGCTTCTAAGCTAGGAGAAATAATTTGAGTTATAGTATTGAATATGCAGGGTCCAAATATCAATACAAGACATATAAGCAAGAGAGGACTTAATAAAGGGGCTAACCAATTCCATAAAGAAGACTGGAATTCATTAAAGAGGGATTGTAGCCACCCAGGGCTGAAGCCGGCATTTTCACTGAGCCTGTTAATAAGTTTGATTTGATTTTTAAGTACTTGTAGATTTTCCTCTACTTTACCAGAGGTGTTAATCATTACTAAACCCAATAAAAAGTCCTAGCTGACTCAGTGATAGTAAAACTTTCATGCTTCCTTTTTGTCAGTAACTATTATCCCTGCTATAAGGATAATAATTAAGCTAAATACAACAGCAATGGAAACTCTGTCCAATACTACAGTTAGAAGGTGCTACTATGCATAAACCTATCGCAAATAGTATAGTGAATATAGCAATTTCCACAAGTGTGGTGTAGTAGATAATTTCCATCTAAAATTTTACTTGCCAAGATATAGAATTTTCCTTTGGTGATCTATGAAGCCTTGGTTTTATTTTCCCAAAGAAACCTCTGGGTTATGGGCATCCTACTCACTTTCATTACCTGACAGAATTTGCAGGATAATTGCCTAGAACTAGCACATTGATGCAGATTTTTACACTACCCATCCCTTTTTCTTTCTTCCAAACTGCAGGAGATTGCCACTTGATTCACAGGAATAAGCAGGGTTAGTCTAAAATGTAGGCAAAAAGCTTAAAAACAATTAGAGACTAGGATTTAATGAGAAAAGTATGATAAGCTTTGGAGAACAGTTTTTCTCTCCAGTCCTCATTTTTTATAAAAATAAATTATGATAGGACTGTGTGTGTTGTTCATAGAATAAACTTTAGTCCTATACATGGCCTGATTATTTGCATAAGGTGCAGCAAGAAAGGTTATTTCTACATAGGCCTTTTGGATTGGCTTTGATGAAACTATGTTCCACAAGGAGTCTCAGATAAGACCTTTTAAAGCCAAGCCCAGCCATGGGATTGTGTCCTCAAATACCAGTGAGTTGGGTGATCCTCTCCCCTTGAGGTCCCAAGATAAACTCAGAGCTCCCAGACCTGTTAGAAAGTGACATAGTGGTGCTGATGACTAACAAAAATAGTTCATTTTTACAAAGTGTATTTTTGTTGTTGTCCTGAATCATCACCTTGGTTACAGGAAGTAGAGCAAACTGACAGATACAAAGGGTTTTATAAAATACCTCTCTATTTAGGCAGATTCTCTGGAACATTCACCACCTCTAAGTCCAGTGGTGAGAAGTCATCTCTGCTCTGACTTATTGGCTCATTAGAAACCAGCAGCAATGCCTCCAGAATTGAATCCTTTTCATTCATTATTCAATACTGGCATATTTTGGTATAAAGCATCGTATGAATTCAAAACTTCTCTTTGAAATGAAAGTTCTTAGGCTTTACAAGTGTTTAGCCATCTTGTATTCAAATGTATGTCCTATTTAAAAGATCTAAAAATAGCAGTAGCACATGTGAATGAAAAATAATCTTTTGAGGTGTTTTTCTCTTGTTTAGGTTGTGCTTTATTAGCAAGATCCTTGGATACTGCATCTCTGTTACTGGTCTTTCGTATACCTTGTCTCAATTGGTTAGATGACTCAAAACAATTTCCTCTAACTTAAAAACCAACTGGTAAATTTGATCAAGGAAGTAGTATAATCTGGAAATGGTATTGCTACTATATTTTTCAATAGATTAAAATAGTACAGTAAGTTATGTCTGTGAGTCATTTAACATAAATGCCAGCATGTAAACACTGTTGTAGACCAAAATGGAAAAGTAGCAATCTAGTCTTGCCATCAACAAATAGATACTTGTTTTCATAAAAATCAGATTTATTCTTTAAATAATGTGCAAATTAAAAACTTTCATTCATTATCAGTAAGATATATAATCAAAATGTCAAAAGATAGATAATTTTGTACATCAAACAATCGTTTTGTAAATAAGCACAAAGGAAAAAATTTTTTAAAATCCAAGGAGCCAAGACTTGATTATTTATTATTTTTCTTCTTGGTGTTAAAAATTATAAATAATGATGAGATTCTATTTGATCATCTGAAAATGAACAGTACTCATGCCCAAGGAATAAAAAGGGCATAGTAAAATAATCAACAATAGAAATACATTAGCAAAACCCATTAGTCATCTTTAATGTGACTACAAGAAGGCAGATAGTGGGTGTATTAATCCACTTTCACACTGCTATAAAGAACTGCCCAAGACTAGGTAATTTATTAAGAAAAGAGGTTTAATTGACTCACAGTTCCACATGGCTGGGGAGGCCTCAGAAAACTTACAGTCTTTGCGGAAGGGGAAGCGGAAGCAAGTACCTTCATCACAAGAGGGCAGGAAAGACAGAAGAGTGAAGGAGGAACTTCCAAACACTTATAAAACCATCAGATCTCATGAGAACTCTCTAACTATCACAAAAACAGCATGGGGAAAACCACCCCCATGATCCAATCACCTCCCACCCTAGACAATGAGTATTACAGGTCCCTCCCTCAGCACATGGGGATTACAATCTGAGCTGAGATTTTGGTGGGGACACAGAGCCAAACCATATCACTGGGGTGGGGGTTGGGTGGACATTTGGAAGAAGAGAACAGCACTGGGTTTCCTGATTTTTGAAGGCCTTTAATTTAAAGACAGGCCCCTCCTATCACCTTCCTGACTGATGGAAACCTATGCTTTTACTGGCTTGATGAAGAGAACAGATTTCATGGTAACCACAGCAACTAGAAAGTGAGGAGAGAAGTCCCAAAAGAAGAGAACTGGAGAGTGATAGCCCCAAATTCTATGTGTATAAACAAACTATGTCCAAACCTCAGGTTGACATAAAATACTCATAAGCTGGGAAGATTCCATGTAGCTCAGCAAAGGCTAATAAAATTGAATGGAAATTTTGGCTTCTGCCCACACAGAAGAGGTTGAGTTAAAAGTTTGAATTCAGTCCATTTAACTGCATGATAGACAAAAAAAGAGGGAACTGGAAAAAAAAAACCTGCAGAGGAATGTAACGGGATGCAGAATCTCTGCAATGTATGCTCATAATGTACAGTATATAACCCATAATCACTAGAAATAAAGAATCAGAAAAATGTGACTCAGATTCGAGGAAAAAGGTAATCGTTAGAGACTGATCCTTAAATAACTCAGATATTAAAGTTAGGAGAAAGACTTTGAGGCAGATTTTATAACTGCCCTTTAACTAAATATTCAAAAATTATAAATCAAGCCAATTAAGTTTCAAATAAAACTTATTATATCTCCTGCCTTGAAGAAAATGCTTTCACAATGACCTGAAAGACCAGATCCAAATTCAGAGTTCCTGAAAGGGAATCCTTGTACGCTGTTGGTGGGAATGTCAATTACTACTCTAATTATAGAAAACATCAGGGAGGTTCCTCAAAAAATTAAAAACAAAACTACCAAATGATCCAGCAATTCCACTACTGAGTACATATCAAATGGTTATGAAATTGGTTGTTGAAAAGATATCTGCACTCCCCTGCTCCCTGAAGCAATTTTATAACAGCCAAGCAACAGAATCAACTTAAGTGTCCATCAACGGATAAATAGATAAAAAGAAAATGTAGTACCTATACACAATAAAACATTATTCACCTTAAAAAAGAAGGAACATCTGTCATTTGCAACAACATGGATGAACCTGAAGGATATTATGTTAAGTGAAATAAACCAGGTACGGAAAGACAAATACCATATAATCTCACTCATATGTGGAATCTAAAAAAGTCAAACTTGTAGAGGGTAGAATGGTGGTTACTAGGGGTTGGCTGAAGGTGGAAGAGAGAGGGATTAGTGAGATATTGGTAAAATGATAAAAAAAAATTCAGTTAGACAGGAGGAATGAGTTTGGAAGAATTTTTTTTGTATTTGCTAGCTTCCTTTTATTTATTTATTTATTTTTTTATACTTTAAGTTCTAGGGTACATGTGCACAACATTCAGATTTGTTACATAGGTATACACGTGCCATGCTGGTTTGCTGCACCCATCAACCTGTTACCATTAGGTATTTCTCCTAATGCTATCCCTCCCCCAGTCCCCCACCCCCCGATAAGCCCTGGTGTGTGATGTTCTCTGCCCTATGTCCATGTGTTCTCATTGTTCAGCTCCTACTTATGAGTGAGAACATGTGGTGTGTGGTTTTCTGTCCTTGTGAGAGTTTGCTCAGAATAATGGTTTCCAGCTTCATCCATGTCCCCATAAAGGACATGAACTCATCCTTTTTATGGCTGCATAGTATTCCATGTGTATATATGCCACTTTTTCTTAATGCAGTCTATCACTGATGGACATTTGGGTTGGTTCCAAGTCTTTCCTATTGTGAATAGTGCTGCAATAAACATACATGTACACGTGTCTTTATAGTAGCATGATTTATAATCCTTTGGGTATATACCCAGTAATGGGATCACTGGGTCAAATGGCATTTTTAGTTCTAGATCCTTGAGGAATTGCCACACTGTGGAAGAATTATTTTATGACTCAATGACATGTTACTATAGTTAATAACTATGTATTGTATGCTTGAAATTGCTAAGAGAGTTGATTTAAAGTGTTCTTATCACAAAAAAGTATATGAAGTAATGGATATGTACATTAGCTTAATTTAGCCATTTTATAATATATACATATATCAAAACATATTATATGCCATAAATATATAAAAATTTTGTCAACTAAAAAATTAATTAATTGAAAAATCAAAAACAAGGAATTCTTGAACTCCTTGAAGTTCTAGGCCAAAATTCAATGGCCCAAGGGAGTGTGGCAGCACCCTGGCTGCATTCATGCAAACTCCTGCCCTTATGCCCCCCATTTCATCCCACACCTCAAGGTGGTCCACATACCTACCTGTGGACATTCCAGCTCACAAGCCTACCTGGGCTGTGCACACCATGGATGGTTTATGCTCAGGAGGACACACTGGGCAGAAGTCTATACAAGTTTGGGGGACAGTCTGGGGACCTTCTGTGCAGAGAACACCAAGGATCTGAGTACCCTACTTGTGGTCCAGAAAGAGTCACCAGCTCTGAATGAACATGTTCACTTGGCTCCTTAGGCTCTTGCTGCTCGGGAAAGGATACAGCCAGGGGAGACTCAGAATAGATCCTTTTAAGTGTAGGATCCAGGGCAAGAGCTCTTTTGAGAAGGCTAAAGTGGTACAGGTCATAGAAGACATTGGGCTTTGGAAAAGTTTCCAGCCCTAGATCTTCTACTTACAAGTTATGTGACCTTGGGCAATTCACTTAACTTCTCTCTGCCTCAGTATCCACATCTATAAAGTGAGAATAATAATAGTCTCTAGTGTTTTGTAGAGATTAAATGAGATCATGCTCTCTGTGCACAAAATGCTCTCAATTTTTGCTGTTGTTATTTTAGTTTTGTGGTTATTGCTATTGCCAAACTTATTGTTTTCCACTGATCTGTAGGATTTCTATCTCTGAATGGTTTTAAAGTATAAGCTGTTAACTTTTAAGACCTATATAACAATATTAAAAAAAAATCACTGTACTATCTGAGTTGACAGTGAGCCTTTCAAATTTTTCTTAGCTTCCAGATACTGAATAATGCACAAGTTCTTGCAAACATCCATACTGAATGAGAGTGCTTACATTTATTGGGTGTCTATTAAATGCCAGGCTTTGGGCCTAAGATTCTATATGAAGTATTTCATTTAATGTCTTTAATAAAGCTGTGGATCAGGAACTTCCTCCATCTTACAGATGAGCAAACTGAGGTTCAGAGAGGTTAACATCCAGAAGATCACACTGTTACAAAGGTAGACAAATGGAGATTCAGATCAAGTGGCTTCCATGATTTTTGATTCAAGTAGTTTGAAAACTGCTACCTATTGTTAGAAATGCCCTTTATTGTGGATATAATTTAAGGAAAGCAATGCTATTCTGCTTTCAGATCCTTCCTGGTCATGATTCCCAGCTCACAGAACATGAATAAATAATTGCATCTTATACATGATGTAAAGGTCCTAATCACCTTTAAATGCACAGCATGGATCTATTTCTTCCTATCTACACAGGAAGATGCAAAAGCAAACTTCAGGAATTAGAAAATCATGAAGAAACTACCTGAGTAAAAGACAAAGAGATCTAAAAATGAGAGAGAGAGAGAGAGAAAGAGAAAGAAGGAGAGAGGTAGCTTTTATTATAGAGAGTGTCTTTGCAGCTGTAGCACATGTAATAATGGTGATCTTAAGCAGGGAAAGAAAATGACAATAAATGTAGTATCACTCCCAACCTTCCCGCTCCCTCCTTTCAATCTACAAGTATTATTTAATCATCAGCTGCTTGTCAACAATCTACTCCTGCAAAAATATTTGAAGAAATTACTAAAGAGCAACACAGTGAAGCAACAGTGAACAAGACCCAGAGCATTCCAGAGTTCTGACCATTCAGAAGGGCAGGCTACACTCAGAAGCTGTATTAAGTTCCCTTTTATTTATCTGTGTTACCTTTTGTCTCTAAAACTCAACAGGCACCATATTCCATCTAGTCTTCTTTATAACTTATCTGCTGCATACACTCTAACAATTTAACAGAGCTTGCCCTGCTTGTTTGGCTTTTGGTTTTGGTTTGCATACCTTGCTAGTCCTACTAGAAGGCAGGCCCCAACATGGCAGGTATTTTGCCTCAAGCCACCTTGTTTGCCATATGGTTTCTCAGTGTGCCCATGGAATAGTTGAGCTGATACTGAAAGAAGCCAAGTGAAAAAGGCTTTGGTTGAATAAGAAATCAAAAGGAACTGCATCCGATCTTCTTTTCCTGTCCTTCTTGGCTTTCAGATTTTCTCAGAATTCTACATTTACACACTACCTTGCTCACTGTTTATTGCCTTTGTCTCCCACTGGACTGTGAGTTCTAGGACAGAAGCAATCCAGGTTTGTTTTGTTCACCCTTGTTTTCTCAGAATACAACACAGTGGTCTGATTCATAGTGAGCACTTAGCACTGAGCACTTATTTGTTGAATCGAGTGAATGGATGGGTAGCTGGTTGGGTGGATAAAAGGAGTCAGATGGTCTCTTCTGTATGCAGATTTCTGAATTCCTTGAAGCCCTACAAGTGCAGCATAACAGAGGAACGCGATGTCTTCATTCTGCTGTGATCGTGGGTGGAGCAGATGGGAATTTTTCAAACAGAAGGATATTTAAGAACTGTTTTTAGGACTACAGGGAGTGAGAAAGAGTGGGCTGGTCTAATGACTGGACAGTTGGGCATCAGCATAGTCAATAGAGGCTTTAATTCAAACAGCTTCAAATTACATATTTACTAAATCCTGACTGTGCTGCTATTTGGGTCATGAGATCTTGAGTGAATTTTTTCTTCTCCCTGTATTTTTCTTAAAGTTGTTTAATGAGTTTGCTTTTTGAACTGGAAAAAGTCATATTCAGAGTATTTATTAAACACCTAATATATGCTTAATTTTGTGAGAGACAGAATTGAGGAGACACAGAGAAAGAAGGCAAGAGGCATGGTTCCTACCAAAAAGGAGCTTACAATTTAGGTTTAGACTTAGAAGAGTCAAAAGCTGTATTTAGTTGTATGTATTGCTAAGATCTCTGCATGAACTTCTCTTCTTATATCAGCATTAGTATCGAATTGGTGCAAACTCAGTGTGGTATTTTAGGAGCTGCAGAACACAGGCAAACAGCCAAGGAATCTCCCTCATGTTTGCAAAACTGAAAGGCAGACTATTCAGATTTGTAAAGAAAATCTGGGGCATATTATTTGCAGTTTCTGGGGGTGATGAGACTTCTTGAAAAGAGATTTTCATGATTAATGGTTTCTTAAAAGATGTGACTGCTTTTCTGGTTTTTCTAAACAAAGTTCTTTGAGAGATATTCTCATTTTTCCAGTGAAACTTACGTTAATTGATATTGAATTGGCAGTTTTAAAATCCATGGCACATTTGATAAGTTCTCTGTCTTAGACTAGCAGAAGCCCAAGGGTTTCTAGGGAGTGGCAGGATAATACGTTGGTACTTTGGGAGAAGGAAATACAATTGGAGAGAGAGCAGTGCAACCATACCAAGAATCTTTCTACATGGATGAAGCTGGAAACCATCATTCTCAGCAAACTAACACAAGAACAGAAAACCAAACACCGCATGTTCTCTCTCGTAAGTGGGAGTTGAACAATGAGAACACATGGACACAGGGAGGGGAACATCACACACCAGGGACTGTCGGGGGGTGGGGGGGCCTAGGGGACGGATAGCATTAGGAGAAATACCAAATGTAGGTGACGGGTTGATGGGTGTGGCAAACCACCATGGCACGTGTATACTTATGTAACAAACCTGCATGTTCTGCACATGTACCCCAGAACTTAAAGTATAATTTAAAAAAAATGAATTAATATGCCAGCAAGTCTCAAGCTATTGTGATTGCAGGGAACATTTCTGCGGTGGCAGCTGCTAACTAATGCTTCAGAAGGCTACGTTGAGTCAATTGGATAATATTTGCTAAAGATAGATGTGAAATATCATAGATCGCCACAAAAACAGCGACTGAAAATCCTAAAGAGTTGAGAAGTGATATTAACATAGCAGTCTACATCTTCCAAACTGATAAATAAGAGTCACAAACTTCTGTGAAAAAAAACTATCCATAAAGGGAGGAAATTCAGGCCTTTGTTTCCTTAGCAATAGAGTCTATTTATGCAATTCTGTCTCGGGTCTTCAAGGAAGCTGAGCAGAGGTAAGACTATGGTAGAGATGAAAAATAAAGGACACTGAGAAATGGAATATCTCTGACTCTATACATCTCATGGGACATGCTAAGTCAGTTTCTCCTTTTGTTATTGGGATCAATCATGACCATACTGTTCGAATCTAAATATTTACAGTTCTATTGACAGAAATGAGTAACTGAACTGAAATGCTTTCTCACAATAGAAAGCATAAGTGCATATGTGTCTAAAGAACATTTTCAATATATGATAGCAAGTCATGACAGCAAAATCATGCCTTCATCACAGAGGAGAAATCGTGTTTCTTGTTTGCTATGGCAATGGGACCCATCCGTGGGTCAAAAGGCAGAATCAGCCTTTTAGATACACTCATGGAACACCTTTACATCTGGCATGTGAAGATACTAGTCTATTTTGATTCTCTTAATGCTGTTAAAATGTATGTTTTCATAGCTAGGGTTTTAAACCACAATTTTTTGTTTGTTTGTTTTTAGGTTATATATGCTAGAAAAATAACGCCTCTAAAGGGAATTGTGTTTTCCTAACTTTAGTCTTATAAAATTAGAGGATAATAGTCAATAATAGCTGGTTTCACTTAAAACTTACTCACTCTACCTTGAAAATATTGGACCCAATTAGGGACAAGAAAGGATTGGTTTTTGTGTTGCTTTGTTGTTGCTGTTTAGCTGCTTAGTTGTTTTGATTTGGTTGAATTTGAAAAGAGGTTAAGAGGAAAATATGTGAACGTTTGGGGTTCCTAAAAACAAGTGAATCTTGCCCTGTTTGGTAGCCGAAGGGAGAATCTGATCCTTCTAATCCCAGGGACAAAGCTAGCACTTGTTACAAAAGAAATGGAGGCCTGAGGCTGGGCGTGGTGGCTCACGCCTGTAATCCCAGCACTTTGGGAGGCCGAGGCGGGCAGATCACAAGGTCAGGAGATCGAGACCATCCTGACTAACACGGTGAAACCCGTCTCTACTAAAAATACAAAAAATTAGCCAGGTGTGGCGGCGGGTGCCCGTAGTCCCAGCTACTCGGGAGTCTGAGGCACGAGAATGGCGTGAACCCGGGAGGCGGAGCTTGCAGTGAGCCCCGACTGCACCGCTGCACTCCAGCCTGGGCGACAGAGCGAGACTGCATCGAGAGAGAGAGAGCGAGACTGCATCGAGAGAGAGAGAGCGAGACTGCATCGAGAGAGAGAGAGAGAGAGAGAGAGAGAGAAATGGAGGCCTTGTGACCCCCCCAGAGTATTTGACAGCCTCCTTCAGCACTTCTTTCTAGAAAGGATGTACCTATCTTTGTGCCTCTAAAGAGAGCTTCAGTCCAAATAATTCAGATAATCAAATGTCAGCTCTTGGGGGACACAAAAAGGAGCAGTTTTCATTTTCAGTTTCTATTGCATGTTTTTTCCTCCACTCAATCTTTTTGAGATCAGTAGGCAGTCTGTAGGGTACACTCAGAAATGAAAACTCATCCAAAATTGAAGAAATGTATGCTGGATTAAGGAAGTAGCACAGGGAATATCAAATTCCTCAGCATTTAGTATGTGTAACTTTTTCAGCAGGGAATATGCACTAGGGAATGTGGAAGGCCAGAATTCTCCCCCTATAATCCCTCTGTTTATGTTTTCCTAAACCATACACAGAGCTCCCCTGGACTGACTCTAGAGGGGCTCCATGAGCAGAGGCCAAAACAGATCAATGTTGACTCCAAATGCTAACCCTAAGGATTGTCCAATATTTGCATTAATTCAGCCTCTCTTGAAATCTCTGGTTTTGGAAGGAAAAAAGAATTTCACAATCTGGTTAACATCTGGCTTGCTGGCATTAACTGAAAACTTTGCTGCGGTTCTGTTTTAAGACTCTGTGGAACTCCCTGTAGATAATGCCTGATCTTGGAAAGTTTAATGAAGCAGATGGCTCTCTTAAATAGAAAAATCTAACTACAGGAGGCAAGCACCCAAGAAGCTCCCTCAAAGGAGCAATTGTTCTCTTCCCCAGCACCCATTCTGCCAGCACCATAAGAAATCACTTTACTACTTGTTCCCGACTTTTAAAAAATGAAATAATATTTGAAAACCAGATTAGTTGATTGTGGCCTTTTATCTCATTTCCTGATCGCTTAGTTGATCAGCATTTTCTATAGCTCATTTTTAGAGAAATGCAGATTTCTTATCCATTCAGAATTTTTACCAAGATAGTTTGAAGTTGAAGATTTTATTTAGCTTTATTTTCCTTTAAAACAAGGGAACATCTTTTTAAATGTTAGTTTCTCAGAACCACCTTCTATACTCAGGTTTTTAATATTTTTTAAGCAAGTATTTTCTTTAATGCATCAACAAGTCCTCGTGGCATAGAAAGCATAGATTAGGAAGCAGCTAGTAATTAGATGCTTTGTAGTAAACAAAGGCCTCTGTTTACAGCTCTCTTTAGAGTTTCAAAAGAACAACTTAGCAACTGTAATTCACACCTCAAATCAATTACACATACCACAAGCATCACATTTTTCTCCTAAACAAAGGTGAGCAGGAAACATATTCCTTCCTACTTGGTACAAGAATGAAATTCCAGTATCTAAGGCATAAGCAAAACTATCTGTAGTCCTTGGAATGTTAGCTTCTGGGTCATTTCAGTATTTACTGAGAACCTCTTGTGTGGTAGGAACTGTGCCAGTTGCTGGGCACACAGCAGTGAATGAGGAAAACTTGAATCCTGCCTCACATAGCTAATAGTTCCATGATTTGTCAGTTTTTAAGTATATGCTGCCACAATGCACATGGTACATGAAGCATATATGTGTAACACACTCTCAGAGGTGACTTCAAAATGATAGACAATTCTTACCATACTATGCCAAACTCCATCTATTCTGTTACCATTAAAGGAAATATTGAAATGCAAATGAGTAACAGTGACATTAGTATACAAATAACTTTGAATGTATTCTTTATTTT
Organism: Homo sapiens; assembly: GCF_000001405.40. Taxonomy (NCBI): domain Eukaryota; kingdom Metazoa; phylum Chordata; class Mammalia; order Primates; family Hominidae; genus Homo; species Homo sapiens. Next base: position 71,519,820 of record NC_000009.12, read on the forward strand.
TTAAAAGTACTTCACAAATGTCAGATCTTTATGACTAGTAATAAATTACTGGCAATGAATTATTGTGATCATACTCTGGGTCATCTGTATTGGAGTTGAAAACCACAAGTCTAGTTACCTATCTTTGAAACTGCTTTTCGGGTTACAAATCAGATTTACTCCCAATATCTCATTCAACTTTTGTAACCACCTTGTAAGTTAAGTGGGGCAGGCTTATTAGCCCCATTTTAAGGATGAGGAAATCACGGCTCAAATCACTCAACTAGACAGTGGTTAATTCTCTTCCATGGTCTTCTTGCTCCAGACCATGTGCCCTTACCACTCACATGGGAGTTAGATACATGTATCTTCTGAGAGTCAAAAAACAAAAAGTCAAAAACAAAAACAAGCATGGTGAGGGCTTTGCAAGCATTAAAAACTACACTGAAAACATGAGTATCAGAGAAAAGGGTGAGCAGGACTCTGAGGAATTTGATAGTTCAGTCTACATACTGTATAAACTAGGTCTGGAGCATACATATGGTGTCCAACTTGGCACAGATTAATATATGTACAAAACAACTCAATCACTTTCTCTCTTTGCCAACTGTATTGTTAAATTGTTTTTATTAAAGATAAAACATTTGTATTGTCTTTTGTCATCTTTATTTTCTTCAACGAAGACCATTTTTATAATCTTTATTAAAAGTAATGTACCCACATCTTCCCTTCAGGTCATCAGCTAACCCGTTCCCTGCTGAATGGGAAACAAGCCCTTTTAAACATTGTTAATTGTACCAAGGTGGACACAGGACCCAATCCAGGCCAAGCGGATTTTCATCTGAAATTTGAGTGCAAGGTTTATAAGGATATGGAAAGTTAGTACTGAGATGGCCATATTCAAGTAGAAAAAAAACAACCTATAAAGAGTAAAAGAGAAAATAAAGTAGAAACACACACAAAAAGAGAAGAGAGGTTCCAGAGGGGAGAAAAGATAGGAAGAAAATAAATACTTTCACTCCTTGAGCTTTCAAATTGGAAGCACCAGTTCTCTGTGAGGCCCAATTGTACGCCTTGCTCTTGCCCTCTTGCCCTCCAAGAGTTCTTGGAGGCACTCTAGTATTCGTCCAGTAATTTTTCTTTCTTTTCTTTCTTTCTCCTTTTTTTTCTTTATCCAGTTGGAGAAGGTTTCTGCTTCTCATACCCAAGTAGTTAAGCCCATCTATAAATGCCCATTTTTCATACCAGCTAGTCTAGAACCCTTTCTTTTGTTCTAAACATTAGGAAGGAACAAAGTCATTTAGTTTCCATACTCACTCTTATGATTTAGAATAAATCTGCCTTCTCAGAAAATTCTGCCTCCTGACATAGAAAATTGCGTTGTTTCATATCCCACAACCCGAGACCTCTGTCTATTAGTCATACATTGTAGCTTTACAGCCTAGGTCAATCTTCTCATCAAACATTTATAAACCAACATCCTTTCCTCTTATAATTCATTGCTATCTCTTTGCCTTCTCAGTTTGCATACTCATCAGTTTTACTCACTAATTATTCCCTATTGCCAATTTCAGTCACAGATGTAGGGCAATGTTTACTCTGACACGAATCAGTATATTTCCCCTCATTGCATTGCACCAGCCTTCAGGATTGTGGGAAGCAATACTGACCTTTGGCTGACTTAAAGTAGAACTTGCCTAAAGCACAGGATATAGCTATGACCCTATGTTGGTCAAGACACTGATTGCAAGGAATAAAAATCTCATTCAAATCGCTTAAGGCATGTGGAATTTACTGGCTCAAAAGACTTAGAAAAAGACAAGAAAGCAAGTGCTACGAGGACTTTCTTATTTCTCATTTCTACTTCTTTCTGCCTGATGGCTTTATTTTCTCTTCTCACAAGTGGGTCTTCTTCACATGACAGGACACTTAACCACTAATAGCTCCTAAACTTCCACTACAGAGATAACTGAATTACCTTCTCCAACTCCACTCTGAAAACTTCCGGGGAGGACTCTTATTGGCCTAGCTTGGCCCAGATGTCCACCTGTCAGCCAATCAACTGTGACAAGAGGAGACACAGTGACTAGACTGACAGCCCTCACCAGAAACACATGGTTGGAACAGGGGTAGGAGCAGTACTCCTCTAAGAAGCAAAAGTACTCCAGCAATTCCACTTCTGGATGTATACCCAAAAGAACTGAAACTAGGGACTTGAAGAGATAGCTGTATACCTATGTTCATATCAGTAATATTTATGATAGCCCAAAGGTAAAAGTGACCCAGGTTAGCTGCTGACAGAAGAATGGATAAACAAAACGTGACATATGCATACAATGGAATAGTATTCAGCCTTGAAAAGGAAGAAAATATTGACACATGCTACAACATGAATGAATCTTAAGGACATTATGCTAAGTTAAATAAGTCAGTTACAAAAGAACTTTAAAATAAGGTGATAAATTTTATGTTATGTGTATTCTACTACAATTTTTTAGAGAACAATATTTTTTAACTAAAAAAAGAGGTAGTACTACTCCCAGAAGAAAGACAAGGTTATAGATAAAACAACTGATGAACGCTACAGTTACAGACAGGAAGGAAGATTATTCATCCTATTACTACTAATGATAAAAACCTTAGGGACGGTTGAGCAAAGGAACCATGATGGTCACACTGAAAAATAGAAGAATCCTTGGCCAGTCTAATTATGCATAATCAGAGCAGGCAGGAAAGATAAAAACACCAAATCTACCAACAACAGCTTCATGTATATATATATATATATATATATATATATATATATATATATGGCTTATAGCTATAAGTCAGGGCCATTGTTTTAGAATATGGCGGAAAAAACTCAGAAATTAACGTCAGGTTGAAATTCTATTCAAAAGTTTGATTTCCTTAATACACACTTTTTAAAAATTTAAATAAAAACCAAATTCAGAGGAGCAATGCCAAGAAGAGTTGAAGATGGCCATACTCTATGATTCAGTAATCTATGCCTAGATATATACTACAGAGAAACAGTTATTTGTATCCACCCCGAGACAAAGACCGGGAATCTCTCTAGCAACGATACTTACAATAGAAAAATATAGGGACTCACTCAAACTTCCCTTGACAAAAGAATGACTAAATAAATAGTAGGGGTTTTTCCCCCTACAATGGAATACTGTGCAGTAGCGAAAGTAAATAAACGTAGTTACATTAACATGGATAGATTTTGTAAGCATAATGTTAAGCAAAACAAACAGACTCTAATTCATCTATGTAAAGATCAAATCTTGTATAGTAAAAGCTACTTATGGAAACACACAGATAAAGTAAAGCTTTAAAGAAAATCAAGAGATGATCATAACTTTCGGCATAGTAGCTATCTCTGGGTAGACAAATAGGAACAGCATTAGGGGAGGGACACTCAAAGGGCTTAGAAGGTACTGACACTCTTCTGTTTCTTAAGCTGGTTTGTAAATACACCAGTGTTCAAGTCATTATTAAATTTCAGTTTATTCTATACATATATGTTATGCATATACATTATACAACTTTTACTGGATACATTTAATAGCAAAATATGTTTTTAGAAAGCTAAATAGAGAGAAGTCCTTTTCACATGTCTCACTGTGTTAATGCTGTAGAACCAAATTAGTGTTTGGAAGATGCTGGACTTTGGTGTGCAGCAGTGTGTTGGAAGTTAGCTACCCATTATTGAAATGTGCAATGCACAAGGGTAGATTTTCTTCTGCATTTATCTCTTCAATGCACTTGTGTTTTTATATTTTCTTCTGACACTTGGAAGACAAAGGAAGAAAAAAATAATGGAAACAATTACTTGGAAATAGAAGTTGACATTTGAATGCATTGCCCAATAGACATGTAGAGTTATACATTTACCCAATTTAAAATGAAGTTTTTACATGAGCAGCTGAAAGAGAAAAATAAATATGGACCTGGATATCTGATTAAAATATGTTCTCATTTTAATGCTTTATTGAGTGCAATGGGTGGTTCAAATCACAGTTCCTAGTGGGTTATGTAAAGCTTTACTCCTTGAGTGAAAATATTTCTGATTAGAACACTCCCCAGGTTACCCAATGTGTTCTGTTTATTCAGCTTATTTCAGACATTTGCAGGGGAGGGGGCACAAAATTTACACAGAGTAAAAGAGTGAAAGCTGTGATGTGGACTTCCGGTGTGACCTGGCAAATTGGAACATGTCCATGGATATAATACCTAGATATTAAAGTTCACAGATACTGAAATTGTCTTTGTCTTTCAACCAAGTAGTGGGCTAAATCATTGTTCGAATTTTTGACATATGGTCCTAGACTGGATGAACTTTGCTGGAACTTAGTGTGTGTTTGAAAAAGTCTCCACATAAGGGGATGAAAAAGTAAGTAAACTAGAGGCTTATATATGATATCTGGAGTGATGAGTATCTTTGGAAAACGTCCCTTAGCTTCTCGGAGCACCTGGAACAATTTACTGGACATTTCACTAAAAAAGGAGCATTTTGTCCTACAACAGAGGTGAGATACATTTAACGAATAGCTTCTGGTCATTAAAAAAAGGATTTCATACACAGAAAACTACCCTCTGTTTTTTTCTTTCAAAAGGAAAATATAAGTGGAAAAACACACAGGATACTCAGTTTATACAGCATCTCTTCCCTCTGAGTCTCTCTGAGGCCACAGAAAATTGTCCAGGAATATTGGACACCAAAAGGAAAATAAAACTGGTGGCCTTACAACAACCAAAAATAAAGACAGAACACATACAAAACAGTATCCGTAGGAAAAATTATTTTGAAGCCTCTGCTCTTTTTGGCAGGGCCACAGATGTGAACAATAGCACAGGAAAAAATTACTCAGAACCATATAAATGAATTTCACTGTATAGAGCTTTCAAAAGAAAAGGCCCAACAATTGCAAAACAAAACAAAAAGCAATCCAAAAATTGCCTGAGACCACAGTCCCCAATCATCAAGTCAGTCTAAAGAGAAAAAGCCAATATGGAAACATTATGTGGGTTGGATTCCAGGACTTTCCTCTTGGAATATCTCCTTAATGCCTATTTGACACTCAGTCAGCATTTATTAATTTCTCCAGAATATAGTTTTCCAAAGTTAAACTCTCTGAAGAGTTATCCTATCAAACCACCTGGAAATATAACTGTATACGGGTCACAGAGAGGACTTTTGAAATTAACAAAATGTATTTTTGTTATCTTTGTATGTCACATCTTACCCAAGAGAGTAAATTGAAAACAGATTCTACTTAACAGAATATTTCTTTGTATTAAACGAGCTTGTTCATTTGGAAACTCTGATCGAGAGTGAAAATAGGAAGTGATGCCCTTTAAAATATACTATAAATGATTATAAAGAATGGTAATCAGACATCGGCGAGTGCACAGCCTCAAGGTGGCTACGTGCCTTGTGTACTCATCACACTTGGCCCTGTGGAGCCTGGGTGGCTTCACCTGACCTTGTCTACTGGGCCAACTTACCCGCCAGATCCCCCAAAGCCAGGGTCTGTGGCGCCCCTTTCTCCCCTCTTGCTCCAGACAGCGAGGGGGCTTCTCCACAGTTGAGGGCAGGGAGCGCGGTCTTTGCCGAGCCCGCACACTGCTCCCAGGACAGCCGGCACAGGCAGACGCAGCCCTGGCACCGGGAGCAGGTGTGGGCTCCAGCTACAAGAAGGAGATCTCAGAAATGGGAAATACGGCCACTCTTGTCACCCAACTTCTTTTTGAAATATTGTTCTTTTCACAAAAATGTGTTGTGTTCAAATGCTATTGGTTTACTTTTGTTATATGGAAATGAATACTTTTCTAACTTCTCAGTTAAAAAAAAAAGAATGGTGATCAGAGAAGCTTAAAAAAGACATTTTCCTAATCAATAAGTAACTTGAGAAATCATGATCCCAAAAGGGTTCCAATGTAATATTTTTTTCCAGCAGAGAACATTCCTAGAGCCTGAAACTGTGATGGAATGGTAGAACCTAATGGAATGGATAGTTTTAATTCGTGTTTTTGTGCAACTCCTCAGCTCTCCTTTCTGTTGGAATTAGAGCATCCAGAGACACAATACATCTGGGCAGAGGCAGTTTAGAGGCAAATAATGAAGTCTATCATTGTCTCAACACTCACTGTATTACATTTCTCATTTAACACTCCATTCTTCTGCAACCAGGGAGACATCCTTTTTCCTCAAGGCCCTCCATTTACCAAAAGGTACATGTTCCAAACACCCACTACTAGATGATGCCCTCTGCTACATCCATTGTATAAACTACTCAATCTATGCACTGAGGACAAACTGATTTTATCCCAGGCAATAATCCTAATTGATTGGTAATACCTCCTGGGCATGTACTGGCAAGGAAGCTAAGGCCCTATTGAGACTTGGTGGCAAAGTGTGCCATAGTTGATTTGCAATGTCTGCCACAATGCAGGGGTGGAGGCTGAGAAACATCCATGTCTTGTATTGTCATCCTCACACCAACATGTTACTTTTCCCACACACGGCAGCTCTGTAGATTTCTACTAACATGGATTTATTGAGACCAGTTCTTTATCCAAAAGCATAATTCTAAAAGCAGAGTTCAGCCCCATAGCTACTTGATGCAGAAGATTATAGGGGGTGGACTCAGCTTTGCAGAGCTCTTCAATTTACTCCATATAGAAAGCAACCTCAATGAGTTAGCAAAAAAGTAAATAAGCATACTTCTTATAGTTGCATTTATATGTTGTTTTAAGTAATACTTCTCTGCTAATGATGTCCTGAAAGAAAACCAGCAGCAGTCTAGGCAGCATTGTAATGTGGCAAAAGACAACCCTTGTTGACCTCACATGTTCAGGAGGGGATGAAGGCTTGGAGCATGGGATATGGTCTGGTGCTCATTAAAACACATACATACAACTTCACTTCTCTTTAATATAAAAGTATTTTTAAAGATAAGATGATTTTGCCTTTTGTACATGGGGGGTCTCTCCAATAAAACAAAGATAAAGTCAAATTAAACGATTGCCATGTGTTTAGGAGCAAATGGGGTTAGACCAAAGGAAGAGTCCACTTACCACAGTGCCTAGCAACTGTGCAGTGCTTTCAGAAGGAAGATCGGCCAGCGACTCCCTCCATCCTCCTTCCCTCCCCCACTTCCTGTAATACACAGCATTTATGAAGAAAAGTGAAAATGTGGATTTGCTGCCTGATGTAAACTTTAAATATTTGCCCTTTGGTTCATCCTGAGTACGTTATAGAACACACTGAATGTCTAGCTCATTCCTCTCTAGTAGCTTCAAGCTTTTCTTTTGCCTGGAGGACTACTTTTAACCTCTGAATGTATATCCAGTCCTTCTTCCAGGTCAAAGGGTAAACCGTACACTCCTTCATGCCCCCATAACCAGTATTTCTCTCCTTCTAAATTATGTTGCCTCTAATACAATTTATGAATGAGGCTAAAATTACTCTTGTGCCCTTCATCCATCCTACTGGATATCTGAAGACCATCGGCATTCTTAGAGGCTAGAGAGCTGCTTCCAGAGTTGAGTGGTATAGAAGGCTCACAGACTTGAGAAGCACCTTACTTTCCTCTTGCCTGATCTCTTTCTCTTAAACTTCATAAAAACCTACACGGAATCTGATAGGTAAAGCCCTTCTAGTGTATTATTAAGCTAGGATGTATTTTTCCTAGGTGTCTTGTGGCCTTATTGTTTCTATGTTTCTAAATATGTTATATGTTTCTATATTCATATAACATATGTTATGTTTCTAAAATGCATACCCATCCTCATTCTAGAAGATCCTTAAGAAATCATTCTAATCATGATCTCAGGCCTAAGATTGAGACAATGTTTTTGGTTAGGTGGTCCTTTCTATTAATACAACATTAGATTACTTCAAAAGGTAGATATCTTCTCCTCTTCTCTAAGACCAGCCCACTGCTAAATATCTTCAGAACTTCACAGTTGTCTACACTGAAGAGTAGGTAGAAGAGAGTAGGCCTCAGTGGAGTCAGAAAATTCAGGAGGAGCTAATTGAGGAAGAGGGAATTTCTTGAAATTCATTCAAGAAGTAGGACTCAGCACATTTTTTTTAAAGACAGCCATGCAGAGACAAAAATTTAAATGTTCTGATGAATTGAAGCCTGTATATTTGGCACACAGTAGCAGTGACAGGTAAAATTCAATTGTCATTTACCAAAATCCTTGAAAGAAATAAAGGTAAAAGGAAAAGTTGTTCAAGTTGGGAAGATCAGATGGTTAGCTTTTTTAGGAAAAAGATCAAACACCCATATATGACTTAGAAGTGTCCCCCACCCCCACCCCGTTATCATGCCACCCTCTACCTTGGTTTTCTTATCTACTAACAGTCTCCCATATGCGTCACACATATTGCCCTATATTGGACTAATTCCATTCTCTCATTACTCTGAGCCCTTGCAGATTCTGTGCCCTTTACTTGGACAGTTCCTGTTTTTCTCCCCATCAAACCAGTACACACCCAAGAATCAACGACCGCATTCACAGACAAATTTTCCTAACTCTCTTTTCCTTCCAGGACTGGCCTTTGTATATGCATCCCTAGCACTCTCTAATAATTTGGAGATTTCTTAACTGTCTTTTCCTACTAAACTCAAATCCTTGAGAGTAGTAACCATTCATCTTTTTTTCTCCAGCCCTAACTCAGAACTGAGTATCTAATAGATCCACACTAATATTTACTATGAAAAAAAAGTAATATTATGTAATGGATGAAAGAGTGAGTAGACGAATGGTTAAAGCCAAAGGACAAGATAATGGAAAGAGTTCCTACTGTGAGATGGACAGCAACACAGAGGGAAATGATCAGAAAACCAGTATAGGGACCTCATTCTGCAGTAAGAAGAGTTTGCAGAAAGAACATCTAGTCTCTGACAGAACTGGGCTAAAACACAGGGGTTCAGTCAAAAAAAAAATGACATGGACAAAACTCAGTAACTGGAGAAGGGGAGTGAAAGGAACCTGGTCACGAAGTTACAAGTGGTCAGGTTGGCACCACCCTAGGGAATGGAACAAGGTTTCAGTCACAAGTGAATCCAATAATAAGCAGTCATAGCTGGAAGCCAGTAAGTGGAGAACAGGGCTAGCAAGTTTGGAGTGAGGGCAAGAGCAAAGACTCACTTGATGCTGTGTTGGTAAATTACCAACCTTGAGCTCCCTAAGTGACCCTCACCTTTCTAAGATTAAGACCAGGTCTACCATCTAGAAGCTGAAGTGGGACTGCACTTAGAAATATGTGCCACAGTTGCCCAACCTCCTGAGCCTGATTCAAGAACACAGAGTCAAGAAGACCATTAAAGCTTTATCATTGTTTTTTGTATTCATAAGTAGCCCAGAATACAATTAGCATTTTTATTTCTTTTCTAGTGGGCATTTATTATTATTTTCCCATTTTGGAAACTGCTCCTCATCTATGCCACAGAGCCTTGCTTAGACCATAATAAGAGGGAACAAGTGACCTAGACTGAATAACCAGATTACTTCTCCTTTCCTGTAGGCAAAGTTGTTGCTCAAGGATGGACGCGACCAGGTGTGGTGGCTCACGCCTGTAATCCTAGCACTTTGGGAGGCTGAGGTGGGTAGATTACCTGAGGTCAGGAGTTCAAGACCAGACTGGCCAACACAGTGAAACACTGTTTCTACTAAAAATACAAAAAAAAAAAAATCAGCCGGGTGCAGTGGCACACGCTTGTAATCTCAGCTACTTGGGAGACTGAGGCAGGAGAATCTCTTGAACCTGGGAGGCAGAAGTTGCGGTGAGCTGAGATCATGCCACTGCACTCCAGCCGGGGTGACAGAGCAAGACTTCATCTCAAAAAAAAAAAAAAAAGGATAAACGCAAGATCCAGGTATGGCTGATCACAGTTCCCCCACTAGAATTTGCTGAAATTCGTAGTAGAAAATAAGCCTAGGCTACATCAACCAGTGGTCAGCTTTGCATCATCATGGAAAGATTCTTCTTGAAGATGAAGCCAATACAGAGGAGAGCAGAGCTAAGAGAGACCAATTCTCACTAATGTCAATTGCACTCCTGAATCCAGTTGTGCCTCAGTCTTGGATTTTCCCTTAAACAGTAAAATACATTTCATTTTTGCATAAACAAAGGTGTTTTGAGTTCTCATTACCTGCTACTAAAGAAAAATTCTATTGAACATTATTTAATAAAACAACATGCAAAAACATCTAGCAAAATGTCTTCTCCAGGATGTCTGGGCCTTATATTTGTTCCTTTTTCCCTCAGCCACACTAACCTGATGTCTACTTTTCTTCTGTCAACCTAAGGATACCAATTTATCAACAATATATCTGTGTTCAGAACTCTCTTGTGCATGCAGCAAAAGAAAGGCTTTGAAAAGGGAATTCCAGTCATCTCCAGGAATTTGTATCTTTTTAGATCACGAAGATCTTCATCCTCAGAATTTATCCCAGGTACTTAGATTACGTTAGAAAAATATAAGCCAAATCACACAAGAAGCCAATTATTTGTTGTTGACCAAAATACTCCAACATTTTTATGGCTACAATCCATATGTTTTCCTCCAAACTTTCAAATTTTCAAAGTATTTGTTTGAGCTAAAAAGGATCATCTTCTGGATCAGGTTGTTTCCGTAGTGGCTGTCTGAAGCAGTTGCATCAGACAAGAGCTTCAAAATGTCATCTTAGCTTCAGGATCCAGAGTTTAGTAACAATCAATAGACTCAGGTACAAAAGATTTTACAAACTTACTCCACAGTCTAGTCTCCATTTTTAAGATGAGTTTATTATTCATAAGTAAATAGTCATGCAATCACCAGAAAAATTTGGATTCATTTATATCACTGAGTAAAAAAATATAAGAACATAAAAAGAATAAGGCTAAATCACAATAGCAGAGTAAGGCTAAATCACAACAGCAGCATAAGGCTTAGTCACAATTTGGAACTTCACTACAACACAGACTTTTCACTTTCTGTAATATGACCCTGTTAGAAATAAGAATAACATTAAGGCAAATTTCTTCTAACAGTAAATTCCTATATATATATATGATATATATATTTTATTTTATATATATATATATTTAAAGGCAAGAGCAAAATTAGAGCAGGACAAAAAGCTTGGTATCATAGAAATATAAAGAAATATATGAGCAGCTTAAAAATAATAACCAAAGAGGCATATAATACTGGATACGTACAATGAGAAATGTCCCATGATGCTTTAAAACTATACCATAGAAAAACAGTGTGAAGATTTCTCAAAAAAAAAAAAACTAAACTAAAAATAGAATTACCATATGATCCTGCATTCTCGCTACAATGTATTTATCCAAAGGAAAAGAAATCATGAAGAAATACTTGCAGCACCATTCACAATAGCTAAGATATGGAATCAACCTAAATGTCCATCAACAGAGTGATGGATAAAGAAAATATGTTATATACACAAGGGAATACTATTCAGCCATATAAAAGAATGACACCTTGTCATCCATGGCAACATGGATGAGCCTGGCGAACATCATGTTAAGTGAAATAAGTCAGGCACAGAAAGATAAATACCACATGTCCTCACATATCTGGAAGCTAAAAAACATTGAGTTCGTAGTAGTTAGGGAGTAGAATTTTGATTATCAGAGGCTGAGAGGGGTAGAGGGGTAGATAGGAAAGAAGAGGTTGGTTAACAGATACACAATTATAGCTAAATAGAAAGAGTAGGTTCTATTGTTTTATAACACTGTAGGGTAAATAAGGTTAACAATAATTTATTATATATTTTCAATTGAGGTGATGGATATGCTAACTACCCTGCTTTGATTATTCTATATCATATATATGGACTGAGATACTACCCTGTATCTTATAAATATGTACAATTACTAGGTGTCAACTAAAAATAAAAGTGGGGAAAGTAAACCATATTATCATAAACTAGTAATATTATTAATACAGTACTTACATGACAGGTACAGTTTTGAGTGCTTTATATCAATATATTCATTAAATCCTCACAGTAACTCTATGAGACTGATACTATAATTAATCCCCATTTTACAGATGAGAAAACTGAGATGCAGAGAATTTAAGCAACTTTCCCAAGGTCAAACAGCTAACTTGTGGCAGAACTGGTATTTTAACATATAGAACAAGTGTGAACTATAAGTTCAGAGAAAGGAGAAATCTCCATTGGTTTGAATGGCTTAGGAAGACATCATTGACAGAGAGCACATGAGCTAGTCCTCAAAAGAAGGGTAGAATCCAGCAAGAAGGGAATAGAAAATGCATGGGAAAGGGAAAGTGATTTGACCGTGTTTCCTGGAGCACATCACACCATCACAAGACCATAAGCAATGAGTTGGCGGGGACCAACCATTCCTTACAAATGTATGTATCCTGGTACAAGGTAGGTGCTTACTAAATATTTTAGAATGAATAAATGAATGCTATTAAATACGGAAAAGTAATTTGCATTACAGCATAGAAGTAAATTAGGGTCAGATTTTGGAATCTTTTTGGAGGAAGTCTACTCTAGCAATGAAATTCATAGTCTTTGGAATCAGGTAGATCAAGTTCAAATCCCAGCTCTACCACTTATGAGCTGTGTGATCTTGACACTATTACTCAAACTTTCTGAGCTTCTTTTTCTTTATCCATAAAAGAAGGACAAAGATATCTACCTCACAGATTTATTATGAGGATTAAATAGGATAACATAGATATATATAGCTCCTAGTATCTGGTAAAATACTGAATAAATGGTAACTACTTTTTATTGGCAGACTAAGTAGTTTATATATCCACTATTGGTAGAATGACCTATTGATCCTGTAAATGATTAAGGAGGCACTCAAGGAAAATTAATCTAAGAAGGAGGAATGAAACGAAGGGAGGAGACACAAGGGAGGAGAGGCAGCTTAACAAGCTATTACAGTTGCCCTGACATGAGCTAAGTGTCTGAATCTGGTCACTGGCAGCAGAAATAGGAAGAAAAACTGGAACAAGATTCATGGTTAAAACAATCTTAAATGATTTTCCCTCTTTCGTATTGGGCTTTTATTCCAGTCTATAAGAACTTGCATGAGAAATATATGTTAAAGCCTCATTCTAACCATTCATATAAACTGTTAAATTGCTAGCAATCAAAAAAGATAGGTAAAAAATCCACAACTAAGAAGACACCTTACACAAATATTAATATGCAATGTGCCAACGCATCTCTTTCATTTGCAGGCTCATCTATTTCAAGCAAATTACACTATTTACAAACAAATCTCTACCTTGACAGTAAACACAATTGTGGCAATTTGTATGTTTTAACTTGAACTTATTGTACCAATTGCCTTCTAGTTGTATATTATTTTAGAAGGTTTTATGAACTTTTGAGAAAAATTACTAGTTTGAGAGCAGAAAAAAAAAATCTTTGAAGCCTGAAGCTGTGAGTTAAATCTGTGCAAGAGGAGTACATTATAATTATAATGCAGTTAGTTTTGGGTTACCTACAGTAGCAGTGTTGGCATGATGAGCTCTGTCAAATGTTAAAAAACAATTTTGTAAATTATTCATTTAATTGTTTTCATCTTGGCTATAGAGACATTCTTTAATTAGGCATGAGTCAACTATTCACAGGCTAACTTGAGTAGTTTATCCAAGAGGCATAGCAAAACCCTGAAAGATGCTTTTTATAAAACTTACAGCCTTGCAAGAGTGCTTGGGTGTTGAATTCCTCAGCACAAGCACTGTTTCCATGTGTGGCAAGCCACTCTTGTCAAAGTCAAACAGAATAAAATATGGTAGGATGCCATTTTCTAACTAAGAATCCATAAAAATATAAGCCACTTATTGTAAATCTTCCTATCAAATGCCACAAGTATATTAATATAGCTGACCTATTCAGAGAGAACTGGTTTTTTCAGAACCATCCAGAGACCTCAACTAAGAATTAGAACAGAAGTATCTACCCACCAATGAACCTGCCTCCACATTGTGTAATTCCACTGTTTGTAATTGCCCTTTGCACAGGTGAGCAAGCTGCCATATTATGCAGTCCCATTTGGCCCTCCTTGCTCTTTCCTGTTTCTAAACAGCAGGCCCTTTTCCTCAACCTATTCTTTTGTATTCCCTCGCCTTCCTGCCTTCCGAACTGGAAAAACTCACTAGTCTTATTTTAGCAAGTGAAGGTTAAAGCTTTATAAAGAAGGTAATGGGGTCATTTCATCATTTTCTTTCCTGTATAAACATGATTTTACTTCCCTTTCAGGAACCCTTCTCCCATAACTGCCTCACACCCTAGGCATTGGCCAGTAAGACTGATGTCCAATTTCCTCAAGAAATTTTTCAATCATCTTCTTTTTGGTTCCATCTCTATCATTGTATTAAGATTCATTGAAGAAAAAATAAGAAAAATGAGTATCTGCTAGGAACAAGGAAAAATTTGCCAATCTAATAAATAAAGACCTAACTAGATTGACCTCTGACAGGCTCGGTCACAAATGAAGTGTCCAGGCCACGACATCTGAGTTGCCTGGCTGGACAAGATGACAGGGGCTTCCTTTCAGGAACCTTTTCCAGCACAAGATTCACCCATTTGAGGAGTTACTGAGCCCATGGTGGTTCCGTGTGTGTGTGTGTGTGTGTGTGTGTGTGTGTGTGTGTGTGTGTGTGTGGAGGGGTGGTGGAATTTGGAAGTGTATGGGAGCAGTGGAGATAGTCACAGTGACCCTGAGGCCAGTGGCAAGGACAGTAAACATCACAACTGCTTCAATGCAAATGCTTCAAATCGTCTTCAAACATTTTTGCTAAATCTCATTACTGAGTATATGTTCAAAAGAAAATAATTTTTCCAAAAAGACACATGCATTTGCATGTTTATTACAGCACTGCTCACTATAGCAAAGACATGGACTCAACCAAAGTACCCATCAGTGGTGAACTGGATAAAGAAAATGTGGCACATATGCACCATGGAATACTATACATCCATAAAAAAAGAACAAAATCATGACCTTTGCAGCAACACAGATGGAGCTGGAGGCCAATATCCTAACCAAATTAACGCATATCCTAACCAAATTAACACGGGAACAGAAAACCAAACACTGCAAGTTCTCACTTAAAAATGGGAACTAACATTGGGCTTCATGGATATAAAGATGGGAACTAATAGAAAGGTGAGGAAGAAAAGGGGGCAATGGTTGAAAAACTAACTTTGGGTACTATGCTTACTATCTGGGTGATGGGATATTCATATCCCAAACCTCAGCATCACACAATATATCCAGCTAACAAAACTGAACATGTGCCCCCTCTATCTAAAATAAAATTTAAAATTATAAAAAATATTGCTAAAATAATTGGAAAAAGTTATGTACCACTTATGTATGTTTATGTCAACATTTTTCAATAGTAATATGTTTAAAAGTTGCTACAGTTATAATTTAAAATGCACATGAGCTTAAAAACTTTTTTTTTCAAAATCCTAGAGCTGAAGATTTCACTCATTTGATTTAAGGAAAGTGTAATATCTGTCACATAACCCAATTTGTAACACTGGTCCTCTTTGCCAAGCTCATCAGACAAATCAGATTTATTTTCCATCCCAAAAAGTCTGCTTTCATTTTTCGTTTTAAATAAATGTATTAACACACATCCCTGTGACAATCATCTCACCTCAGAATTTCAATTCTAAGATAGAAAGGGAGAGGGAGAAGCCACAGGAGCTTACCAGTTTATCGCATGGTTGACGTGAGGTGCAATCCCTTCACTATTTCTTACTGAAATCTTTTTTGCTTTGCTCTTACTAGCTATTCCTTAAGGAGGCTTGCATGCTCCATTGTCTCTTTGTTTGGCATCTGGAAGTTTACCCAGCCTAGACTCATTCACTATAGTAAGATTTAGGCAGGAGAAGATGTTTGCCTTCCTCTTGTAAAATAGGAAAGGGTAAGGTGACTATGCAATGCAGTTTTGTCCAAAGTAGTCTCGGTTCACACCTGATGCCTTGGCATAATTATTAACAGTGCCCTCATTCACTCTCAAAAGCACTGCAGTTGGAAATAAATAATAGGGTAACCCTAGCCAGGCGCGGTGGCTCATGCCTGTAATCCTAGCACTCTAGGAGGCCAAGATGGGAGGATCACTTGAGTTCAAGAGTTTGAGACCAGCCTCGTCAATTTAGTGAGACCACATCTCTATAAAAAAATATAATAATAGGCCGGGCGCAGTGGCTCATGCCTGTAATCCCAGCACTTTGGGAGGCTGAGGCAGGCAGATCACCTGAGGTCAGGAGTTCAAGACCAGCCTGACCAATATGATGAAACCTTGCCTCTACTAAAAATACAAAAATTAGCTGGGCGTGGTGGCATGTGCCTGTAATCCCAGCTACTCGGAAGGCTGAGACAGGAGAATCGCTTGAACCCAGGAGGTGGAGGTTGCAATGAGCAGAGATCATGCCATTGCACTCCAACCTAGGCAACAAGAGCGAAACTCCATCTCAAAAAATATATATATACACACACATACACATATATTATATATATATGTATATACATTATATATGTTTATATATATTTTTACACATATACATGCTTGTGTGTGTGTATATATATGCATATAATAACAGGGTAACCCCAGGGAAAGGCAATCATAGAGGTGGGAACACATAAATTTTAGGAAAAAGCATGTATGAATTAAGAATGTGATGTCTTCATGTACCCCAGTGTTTGTATGAACACAAATGTGAAGACAACTGTCTTGGAACATTATTTCACCTGACCAGAACTTTGCTCTGAAATTTTTCTATACAGGGCCTAAAATTATAGACAAGGCACAAATATAAACTAAATCAACACTAAAGCCAATTATTTTTTTAGAATCACTAAGAAGTCACCTGAAAAACTTAGTTCTCATCCCCGAGATGAAATCATACCCAAAGTCTTTTGCCAAAATCCAAGGATGATGGGATCTTTCAAGACCCTAATAACACTCATCCAGCAGCGCTAGCTGATTACTAAATAGGCATTCCCTACACATTTGTTTTTCTACTATTTCTAGGCAGAGTCCACTGCTAAAACCCACATGGATCCACCTCCCTAAAGATCAAGGCTAATAACGAGCACACTATGCAGGATAAGACCCCTCCCCCTGTGCGGAGAGGACATTGAGCATCCCCAGCATTCCCAAGTACTGGTGCCAAAACAGAGGCCAGCAGAAAAGAAAGGCTGGGAAGTCTAAGCCAAAGCTGGCATCTCTTGGTCTGGAGTGTCTTCATTTTTGCCACAAAGCAAAATGGTCCCCCAGATGAGATAATGACAATAAAAGGCAACTTCAGACACAGATCAGTTTTACATTACCCCATAAGTCAGCACAGCTTGTACACACATTGCCACGGGCCACACGCTCAGGCTCAGCCCAGAACACCTATCCTGCCCATGATCACAGAGTGACCAACAGATCAGGACACATATGCTCTCTCCCCAACCCCCACACACACACATACTGTATAGAGAGGGGCTATAGTGTTGAGGAAAAACAAAACATTATTAAGCTGGAATCCCAGGAAACTAGAAATGCATTCTGGCCATCCCAGTTGCTGACTGTGTGTCTTTGGGAGACCGAACCTCACTGACTGCCAGTTTTCATCATCAGTAACATGAACACATTCGTGCCCACTTCATGGGGTACTGGGTGGCTTCCACAAAATGGTGTGTAGGCAAGTATTCTGCAGCCTGAGCGGGAGACAGAACTCCAAAGAGTTTTCTTAATCATGCATGTAACTTCCTTTTGGCTTCATGGAAAAAAAGCATGCCCTCCTGCCTTAAATAAGTGGATAGTCTCCATTCAGTGACCTCTGTGTTAGATGGAATATGGTTCTGGGTTTTGGAACAGCTCTAACTCAAATAAGATAAACTCAAGAACACTGTCCAATGGAGTAATTTACAAAGCCACCCTGAGGACTTTCACTACATGTGCAGATGTAATGACCCTGTGAGAAGTTCCTGGGATAGCCCCAATCCACCAGCTTGGCTTTGGTTACAGGCTTTGGTAGTGGTGAAGCTGTGTGGGAGATGCTCTGCTAGAGCAATGTGTTATGGTCAAGAAATTTCACATCATAAGAAATATGATACCCCAGAGCAGGTTTTTAAAAATTCCCAGGCCCTACCTTAGAACTTTTTATCCAACGATCATGAAATAGGCACTAGTCATTTGTATTTTTTACAGATGCCCCCTGATATTTCTAACACAAGGCTAATTGCAGATATACTGCTCTAGGGTATGGCAATTTAAAATAGTCACCCAGAAACAGGGACTTCAGGTGGAGCTGAAATTGGTTAACGTAAGACGACAGCACAGAAAGGAGAAAGTCAAGCCACAAACTAGTTCCCACTGAAAGGTCTAAGGTCATCTAACCTAGTAAACCAGGGATGAGATAGTGAAATATTGGGGATGGTTGTCCACTTACAGCTTCCTCTAACAGCAACTGCACATGTCACTCTGGCTTAGTATTGAATGATTTTTAAAACTTCATATATATGCTGACTATACCCATATTTCAAGAACTTTATGGCTTGGGAGAGTAGGTCACACATATGCAGGACCCCAGGTATAGTTGTCCAGGTAATGCACTGCACAATTCTAGGGACTGACATACACTTTCATAATGATAGTGCTCCCCAAGAGTTATATGATACAAAATCTGTACAAGCTTACACAAGAACCCTGCATGGAGTGGGAGAGTAGCAGGAAAAACATGCAATTCTAGAAAGACAAAAGTGGCACTCTGAATTTGTACTTACTAACTTTTATGAAGAATATTTGACACATCATTTTAAAATAGTCTTTCAAAGCTATGGAATATCAATAGAAGAAAGTAAAAGTTGGAAATGTCTCCAGCAATGTACCTGCTTTATTTGAATAATGAACCAAATAAAATTTAGAATCTGAGTTACTTAGAGACTGCCCTAGTTACACAAAGGTGTCTAGATATCTATCAAATAGGAGAGTTATAGATAGAAGAATCTGTGGTCATATCTGGCATACAGTGGATTTATACTGATTTATTCATTCAGACGCTTATAGTCTCAATAAGTGATTTTTGAGCATATAATTTGTACTCCTGGCTTTCCTCCCCAATACATTTTGGCTCCTCATCCCAGGTATGAAACACACAGAGAATACCTGTAGCCTTGACTCAAACCTGTAGGCCTCTTTCCTTTCCTCTTCTATTTTCAGCTTTATGAGCAGCCTTCCTGTCCGTCTGAGTTTCATGGGCAGGACCCTAAATAGGATGCTATGGAAAGAGACTTGAAGCGTAAGACAAATAAAGATAGCCTCTAAGTAAGAAATGTTAGCTACATTATAAACTACACATGTGCAGCCATGAGAAGCAGAAGTCTATGAAATTTTAGGAGGTCGATTGTTCACACCTATTTGCAAGACTTCATTGTAATATTATAGCACCTTCTTCCATCTGCTCTTAGCTTCGTAGTGTGAAAGCTTACAGAACACAAGGCATGGTCCCTAACTATAATCAAAGCTGTATCTGAGCTCTAAGAAAAAGGCCATAGTAACTGATTTTGCATTAAAAAGTAGTAATAAGTGAAAATTGTCTGCTGATAATTCTTAGCAGACTCTGACTTTGTGCATGCATTTATACAATTACACTGATTATCAATGAAAAATGTATTTTACATGAAAATACTATTATGCCTTGTAAAGGTTGGTTTAAAATGGTGATTCTCCTTGGGATTAAACAAATATTTCAAAACTTTGTATTTCAAAATGTCTTTAACTCAACATAGCTTATTAATTGAACTACTAAAGCTTGATTCCATGAGATTTCTTCAATATTTACATTAGGAAATTGACTGCATTTTGAAATCAGAAAAAAACAGTCTGTCATTAACACTTGGAACACAACTAGCATACAGAGAGCAGTGTAAAGACAGGCATATATGTAAGATGGAGGCTGAGGACAACGAAAGGAAGACCGGGAATGACCAAGAAATAGAAGACAGAATTCCCGACAAAAAAAAAGACGTGAAATCTAGCTGTGGACTCAGAACACAAAGTCATGAAGCAAACACATTCATAATACAACCATACTACAGTGCTCATTATTCATGTTATATACAAGGGAGGTGTGGGTCACAGGCATGAACGGTAACAACATGCAGCATCAGGTAGTGTTTGCATATGGTGACTGACATCATCTTAACCCGTAGTATAGAGATGAGGAAACCAAAGCTTAGAAAGTCAAGTATTGATATGTCAACTGTTGAGTTTGAATCTTAACCAAGTCTGCCTGACTTCATAGCCTGTGCCCAGTCCACTAGACAGTACTACCTACCCAGAGGCAAGCAAATTTTAACCATGTACCAAAAGAATTAAGAAACATCATGAGCCAACAGGAGGCAGAAGAATGAACATAACATGGAAGGACTGACTTACGTGTTACAGTAGCTGAATGTGTGCATCTTTGGGGGTAAGAAGGCAGTAGCAGCTCACTGACTGGACTTATTGCTACAAACACCCAGAACACACCATGTGAGTAATAGTAACCACAGACCTGCCTATCACATACAAGTCTGGGTTGAACCTCCCATAAAGTCTATCCATGGCCTTACTCAGCATAATACCCACATCCTTGGCTATACACTTGGAATCACTTGGAAAGCTTTTAAAAACTATAAATGCCTGAGCAAAACATCTAAGAATTCTTAATAAATCCATCTGGGGTGGGTCCCAGGTACCGATAGGATTTTTAAAAATTGCTCAAATGATTCTAATATATACCTAGGGCTGAGACACACTGCACCCTAACATATTGTTTTTCAAACCATGGTTCAAAACACTGGTGGTATTCACAAGAACAGATGAAATAGCTTTCAACCTAAACAATATTTTTCTAACTTTCAAAGAAAAACAATGGGTTAATGATCAAAATATTTACTAAGTCAATCTCCTAACAATTTTTTTCAACCTTCCGTTGCTGTTATCACTTGATTATAAGATAATCTAGTGTGAGATAATGTGTGATTGCATTCCAAATATATATTTCATAATTTCAAACTTGTTTTATCATTACTTGCTGTGCCACAAAGAACTCCCTAATGTTCAGGTTCTCAGCTATCTAAACAAATTTGGAAATCATGGTTGCAGTGTCTCCAGGCAGCACACGGTAGGGTGTACTTTTTCTGTGAAGAGGTGAAATTGTGGGAATGGAGAGAGGGATTGGTTTTATGTGAAACACAAATAAGAAGGACCCAAAGTTAGACTGGCATACTTTATTAGTCTCAAGTGATCTCTAATAACATATCAAAAGTTCAGGATGGCAGTTGGTTGCTCATCCCTCAAAAGACATTTTTCTACAAGATGCTTCAGTAGTTCAATTCAATCCATCAAATACTGTCAGCTCTTCCATAAGGAATTCTCATAATGTGGCGAGTCAGAAAGACAATTGGATTGTGTTATTTTATGGCTCGATTGCTAAAATACTTGAAGATTTATGTGTAGAACCACCCTTAAAAGGATATATTTTGCCCTTGCTCTTACTATCTTAAAGTCAATCATAATTAATTCACTTTCGGTAAGCATAATGCCAAAGTAATTTATCTTAGATTCTGAAGGTACATCTAGCTGATTAGAAATTTTATTCTTAATGCTAAAAATAATTTACATGAGAAAAGCGTACTAAAAGCAGAAATAGCCATAAAAAGCCAAGCAAAGAAATAGAGAACAATCACAGAGCTACACATTTCTTGCAAATCACTAGACCTTTTTTGCCTTGAGAAGGTCAGCCTTCTCCTTGTGGTTCTGTGTGATGCATATCCTTGATAAATATAGAAAGCATTGCTCCAATGACTGACAGACAGTGATCATCAGTCTTTCCTCTGAAGCTTGATAAGTGTCACATGCAATGCTTTGACTGCGTTCTACTCAATTAATTTTCAAGAGAGACATTTTATTTTTTCTTGATGTTCAGTGTTCTATATGTAAGAAAGATCCCATCAGTAATGCAAGAGATGATAACAATTAAATGGTTATATTCTAGTTCCTGCTTTCCAGAGGCTTCTAAGGTATTTTTAACCATATACCTTGTACAGTAATTTTTAAAGAAAAGTAAACTTGCGATATCTCCTGTCATTCCTCTACTATGTTTTTCAAATATTTAACATTTTTTTCTTTCTTACTCCAACTTCAGCTGAAATTAGACTTGCAATTTTAATATAACAACATTAGGTGGCAAGGCTGTCTCAGTCATACAATTCAAATTACATGGTAAGTGCCCTACCACAAATGCAAATGACTCTAGTCTGATCTACCTCAGAAAAGTATAGATTTTTCTACTTGTTAAAATGTGAAATTTGAGAAACTAAAACAAAAGTATTTATTAAATGAGCATCATTTTTAAAGTTTTTGTTAGAAAGCAAACTTCTTTAACTTTAACTTTAAAGAAGTTAAATATAGGCTGGGCGCGGTGGCTTACGCCTATAATCCCAGCACTTTGGGAGGCCAAGGGAGGCAGATCACGAAGTCAGGAGTTCAAGACCAGTCTGACCAACACGGTGAAACCCCGTCTCTACTAAAAAAAATACAAAAATTAGCAGGGTATGGTGGCATGCGCCTGTAATCCCAGCTACTCAGGAGGCAGGAGAGTCACTTGAACCCGGGAGGCAGAGGTTGCAGTGAGCCAAGATCACCCCACTGAACTCCAGCCTGGCCGACAGAGTGAGACTCCGTCTGAAAAAAAAAAAAAAAAAGGAAGAAGTTAAATATGTTTCCCATTAATACATAAGGTTTCCTTTCATAACTCTACCCAAACTTTCCTTAATTTTAAGGGGAAATGCTTTCCCAGAAGTCTGCCCTAAACTTTTAGTATGATTTAACATCAAATTGGCTTCAAGCCCCTTCCTATTTTCAGCCAGTTTTCTCTTCAATTAGCAATTAAAAGTTTAAACACCTCACCTAGCTTATTCACTTTAAATGTGAGATCTTACTTATCTTTTTTCTGTTTGTGAACTCTGTTTTTCTAACTACAGAAGAAATGTCCATGAAGGAAATAATTAAATACAACCAACCAGCCAGCTCCATCAATATCACTAGCCTTCCTCAATAGAAAGATACCCAGTATTGTTAGCAGCCATACCCGCTGTGTAGCCCATGCATTTTTCAGTATATGTGCTGCCAAAGCAAGCACTATCCCACATTTTCTTAAATCTCAAACTATTATTTGAAGTACCTCTATGACATCCTTTCCCATGTACAAGAGCTTCACCTCAACACCACTCAACATCATTTCCAAGGCTATTTGCTTAAAGAATCTCTAGAACTTAAACAGAGTATAGTGAACAGCATCATTGGAGGCATTTGATCAAAGCCCCAATGGGTTTCACTAAATCTATAGGATTTACATACAAAAACAGTTAGAAAACCAAGATATCCAAAACCACACACTAAAGCCAAATTCAACCAAGTGAGAAAATCATCTGAAACACACCTGATTCGCAAATCAGTTATCATAAGGATTAACAACAATGACACTATGTTAACATTTCTTGAACACATATTATCTAGAACCAGATCAAGAGTCCTTAGTTCTGACTAATCTTCTAGAACCTCATCACACAAAGTTGAGAACTCTGTCTTCCTTCTCTTTTAACATGATTTGCATGCCTAAAATGGCATTTTTCATATAGCATTGTAATTGTAGGGTTATTTGTAGTTAGGTAGGAGCTACTGGACTTAGGATCCCCAAGATCACCAAAATTTGCTTTTATCTGTCCTCCTGGAACCAATTAAACACTGTTACCTTCACAGACCCACTCACTTCTTCATATGCATATGCTTTAAATCATATATTTAATTGTATTGATAAATGTATGTATTTTTTAAATGTTCCAACCCTGCAGATTTTGTAGTTTATGCTTCTCCTTCTTGTGATTACTCACCTCATTTTATTATCTTCAGTATCATATTAAGATGAGGGATGTTATACTTACTTTTTGGATGAATATATAAACTATCCTTTTAATTTGTGAAGATTCTCTCTGGCCAACAGTTAAATGACCAAAACTTCAGTTGAAAATCATTAACACAACACAAGATCAGTCAAGATCTCCCCGACATTGTGGAAACCATTTAGACCACCTAACTCAACTTCAAAAGCACAATGCGGCCGGGCACAGTAGTTCACTCCTATAATCCCAACACTTTGGGAGGCTGAGGCAGAAGGTTTGCCTGAGCACAAGAATTTGAGGCCAGCCTGGGCAACAAAGTGAAACCCCATCTGTACAAAAAAAAAAAAAAAACAAACTTAAAAATTAGCTCAGCATGGTGGTGCACACCTGTGGTCCCAGATATTCAGGATGGCTTGAGCGTGGGAGGTCAAAGCTGCAGTCAGCCATGCTCATGCCTCTGCATTACAGACTATGACTGAGCAAGACCCTGTTTCAAAAATAAATAAATAAAAGCACAATGTTTTAAATTGCCATTGCTAATCATGATAATAATGACAGTGATTGACAATCTTGAAGGACTGACCTCTTTTTTTTGAAACTAAGGAAATATCCTGAAGATTGTTTTCCTCTATAACCATCATGCCTATATAATAATCATTATAGGAGTATTAAACAAGTTATACTACACGTCAGCTCTGCATGAGCCTGTGGTAGCATTAAGCAAACTAGATTTCTAGACAATCCACATTGAGCCATCCAGGTTAATTTCTTCCACATGAAAACTTTTGTCAAAATTATTTGTGTGTAAGAGAGTAAAGAATGGGAGGAAGGTATGTTTCACTTCCTTTCACAGCATCTGAAACAGGAAGTGATGACTCCTGAAACACCTAAAACCTAAAGGACTCTTAAAGTTTACCTAATACTTAAATGACGATTGAAGTTTACCTGGCCGGGCACAGTGGCTCATGCCCATAATCTCAGCACTTTGGGAGGCTGAGTCAAGTGGATCACATGAGCTCAGGAGTCTGAGACCAGCCTGGGCAACATGCTGAAATCCCGTCCCTACAAAAAATATAAAAATTAGCCGGGCACGGTGGCACATGCCTGTAGTCCCAGCTACTTGGGTGGGAGGTGGAAGGATCACTTGAGCCCAGCAGGTGGAGGTGGCAGTGAGCCCAGATCGTGCCACTGCACTTCAGCCTAGGTGATAAAGAGTGTGATTCTGTCTAAAAACAAACAAACAAACAAAAGTTTACCTGTTAATGTCTATTGTAAAGGCAGATCCCAGGGTCCCACTTCCAGCAATTACGATTTTGCTCCTACTTTGATAGACAATGAAAGAGACTGCAACATGAAATTTGAGCAGGAGGACGCCTACATAAATCACAAATTAAAATCAGTCCAAATGGCCACTTTACAAAAAAAAAAAAAAAGGTGAAAGTGTGTTCCAATCTTATATTCAATTTTAAAGTTTTATTCAGCCTAAATTCTGTAAGAGGACAGTCATGACTGACCAACAGTGAAAAATGAAAGGTTGGCATGGAGAAATCAGGAGCCATAGTTTGGTAGATTATGCTATACTCATCCAAAATTTTTGCTGTAAATTAACAATTTCAAAGGCTTTTTCTCTTCAAACCCCACCAGATCAAATGGCACCCAGAAAATAGTTTGCCTGTGGCCTGTTAGCTTCTCTACAACAATAATAATCCCCACATTTGCCAAATTTTCAATTTAGAACTGGCAAGGTCTTCGAATGTTTACAGAGAAAGGTTTTGCTAGTGAATCATAACACACATCTACTGTAACCAAAGAGGCTGACAGAAATGGAATTAATCAACAAAGAATACAGAGAATGATAAAATAAATAGCCATCTCCTTTAAATTTCCAACTCAAATCTGTACATAATCTGGGGTTTTACACAATTCAAATCCTTTCAACTCTGCAAGTTGGGAAGTTTTCTCTAGGACTTTGGAGGCTTACTTAAAAGAAAAAGATATCTTTGGCTTGTGTTTTATTTTCCTGTACTAAAACCAAACTACACTGTTATTTTAGCAACTGTATTCAGATTGAAACAATTTAAAACAGTTCCTATTCTATTAGCTTCCTGAATCATCATCACTTGCAAATATCTGTTCTTTGGATAGCTACGCATCTGCAAATTTTCCTTTTAAAGGGATGCTTCTGGACTTCAAGGTAAAGAAACAGCACACCTGGACTCGTGTGTGTAAGGAGTGAATACAGCAATCAAAACAATTGTGTGATAGCACCCAAGCTGCAAAGATCCCTAGCTTTTCTACACTTACTCCAGGCCACCACACTTACTCCAGGCCACTGTCAACAAATTGTTCTCCCACTGAGAATAGCTTAAAACAATTAAACCAGCTACTCACACCAGGCTTAAATAGTTATGGTATTTAGCCAAAGATACTCATCCTATTTGCTATGTTTGTATGATTTTAACTTCATATAAAAGTCTTAATTAAGAACAAAGCCTCTATGGTAGTAGCCATGCCCTAAAAATTTGAAATAGGCTTATATTATTTATTTTGTTTTAGAGATTATGGAATTTTTAGTAGGATGGATTTCATGGCAAGCTGCAGAGCACCTGTTGTAAATTGCCTGTGGTTTATTAGAGTGCACCTTTTAAACATATTATTTAGTAACTCCCATAAATTCTCATCTTGTATGTGAGTACGAATTTGTCCCATGAGCTGATCCGAGGCAAGGACCACATCTCCTAGTCCACACTCAACACAATTAATGTTGTACATTCTGGATGACAGATTTAACGTGAAATCAATTTCCCAAACAAGGTTTTGTTTCTCAAACACCTACTGCCCCTGAATATTATGAATTCCTTTGTTTTCTTCTAAATTTTAAGGAGAGTTTAAGGATTTTTAAAACAAAAATTTCTAAGGGACTATTTTAATCTAAAGAGAAGCTTCAAATTAATACAAAATCAAAAAGCAGTTAGCTGGACATGGTGGTGCATGCCTGTAGTCCTAGCTACTCGGGAGGCTGAGGCAGGAGAATCACTTGAGCCTAGGAGGTGGTGGTCACAGTGAGCCAAGATCATGCCACTGCACTCCAGCCTGGGAGACAGAGTGAGACTTCATCTCAAAAAAAAAAAAAAAAAAAAAAAAAAGCAGCAAAACCCTAGGTTTTCAAGATATGTTTCACATAATTAAATATAGAAGAAATAGCCTTTATATTCACCAACAGCAAAACCAAAATTGCCTATGTTTCACATAATTAAATATAGAAGAAATAGCCTTTATATTCACCAACAGCAAAACCAAAATTGCATAGATAGGGTGTAGAATCTTAGTAAGCAAAGTTAATTCCTTAGTTGTAAGTCTTAAGAACTAGTCATTGAACCAAGAGTACCAAGATGAACTTAGTCAATTTGCAAGCCCAATGTGTGTGCATCTTTACTGATCTAAGTTTTGAAAGTTATTTACTTTCAAAAATATCCTCCCCCTCAAATTTATTTTTATTTACAGACTCTAAAAGCCATTTCAAATACTATGTATTTCTACTTTATAGGCTCTCAAGCAAGTAATCTAACAACTTTCAGAAATTACCACATGATTAAATTCCCTGATTCAATATTTTTAAATTTCCCAACAACTTGTGTATTTATTTTAACAGTTAATGTTTGTTTTATTAATTTCTATATAATTGCTCTATTACATATACCTTTCACAGTTATCGTTTAAACAAAGCTTTTGTATTCTTTGACCTTTTAAAAATGCACATACACACATACAAAAGCATGCAGAAATTTTTATGCACTATGAGAAAATATTGGGTGTGTGATAAAATACTTCCTAGAGTCATAGTTATCCATAATATGACTTTTCATGTATCTTTTCCTGATCCTTTTCTAAAAAATATAATAGATGAGGTCACAAATGACAAGTAGAGAACAGAGCTACACAGAAAAGCCTTTAAAACTGAAATCTATTTCAAACAACTAGGAAAGGCATAATGATGTAGAGAATGCCTTCAGCCCATCTTCCAATGACTTAAAACCTGCTGATGCCTCAAAGAAATATTTAGAACAATATTGTGCTTGGAGGGGGTTTTATTTTATTTTTCATTTTGTACTGCATTCATCTGGAACAAATCTCCCTGGGTGTGTTACATCTTAAAAACACAATTAAAAACATTAATCGGATCTGGCCCACCAGATCACATAACCTTGATTGCCCGGCACACTATGACATTCTCTCATCAGAGCAAGAGGGAAATGATTGAGATTAAGAGTTGTTTCAGGTGTGGCTTCTGGTGCCACTACTCCAGGAAGGGAGAAAATCTGGTTGACCAAGCAATCCTTCTCTCCTCACCACCATACCTAGCCAACTTGTGCGTGACAAGCCAAAATACAGCGGTCACCGAGACGAGACTTCAAAAGGAACATAGAACTGTTGGCATCTCTTATCAGACACCCTCACAAATTCGGAAAAAGTAACAGAGAGGCAGGAAAGATTTCTACTACATAGTTAGTGCACAAATAAATATAAAACTTATTTTTGTTATTTTTCTTTTCTTACTTAAGGATAACCTTTACGTTTCTGATTATGAAAATATGTGCAGATTATTTTTTAAATAAAAAAGTAAAATCAAAATTACTCATAATCCCACAATTATACTATCCAGAGAATAGCCAGATTCTCTTCCCTCCAGTATTCTTAAAATATGTGTTATTTAGTGGAATTGTACTCAGTCTCAATAAAAAGAGTTTAGCCAGGTGTTTGCCAACAGACAAGGAGGTATTAAGAATTTCTCTTGGCCTCACTCTTGGTCTAGTTGGGTGCTGGACACATCCCCTTCTCAGATCTGCTGCTGGGATGTAGACTGATTTGCACAGCCCTGGCACCAATTTCTAGGTCTAGCAGTATGTGCCCCCGTGGTTCTGCTGGCCTTGGTGAGTATTACTTGCAACTACATGGTCTGAGTTTCCCGTGCCCTAAAAGACAAGGCCACCACTAGCACATACAGGAGCTTTGTGTGAGGCACGCGCGCGCACACACACACACACAAACACGCGCGCGCGCGCACACACATACAAATTTCAAAAAGGAGCTTATTTTTGGATGAGCCGCATCTGCCCTGTTTGTCTGAGGCAGAGCACAAACTGGACAGCCCTAACTCAGGTAGCCCTGGCTGAAGAAACGGAATACATTAAATCCCTTAATCCCATATGCACTGCTCTTAAGTTCTTCTATCTCTATGCCTGCCTGCAGAGCCTACAAAGGGGTGTGGGACACTGTCACCTTTGTTTATCTTCCATCCTCTTTCCCTGCAATTGTCTTCCATCTGTGATGGTTTTAGAAAGAGAAATACTAGTATTTAGGGGAAGCACGTATAGAAAGTACTTTGGCTTCCTCAAAAGCGGCACCAGGTTAAGGGGTGAAGAATCAGTTCCTTTTTTTATATAGACTGTGAGGTTGTAAATTAGGAGTTAATAACAAGAAAGGTACAAAGTGCATTTTTTTTTCTACTTTCTGATCACATTGAAACTTAAATCACTGCTATGTTCTAGTCCAGGGAAATTTCTCCCAGATACTAGCAATTGTTCAACTATCAGTGTTTGTCTTTGAAAATATTATAAATTCATTTTTTAAAACACATTCCTAAGAGTTTAGTGGAAAGTGGGGAACTGTTGAGTTAAGGACTGCTAGCCAGATGCTATTTTAAGCTAGTAGCTGATAATTAGTTTTTAAAAATCCATTGCCCCCTACTAATTTTATAATCCATCTGAAACCATAGTCCTCAGTTGACATTACTACTGTTATATTAGAGGTAGTAGTAGTAGTATCAAAAGTACTTTGAGAATTTTAATAAAGCCAAATATCCTATTTGCTTGCAAATATACTAGTGTAATGGTACTCTTCAGGGAGAAAAATGTTCTAAATGATTTTGAAAGGAGAATCTTTACAAGGTGTTCCCTTGATGTATTAATGGCCTATCAAGTCTTTTTAAATGAATCTTGTAGAACTCAGTCAACATTAGCCATAATAAAAGATGTTTGCAATGCTTATTGTTCAAATTAAAAGGAAGGAGTAGAAATCACTTTAAGAGCCTCTCTTATCCATTTCCATAATGAAGTATTCCATTTTGGGGAATTGAAAATATCCAGATTTGGAGAATATAAAAGAGCCAATGTTTTGAATATCTAAAACACATTGTACCAAGAAATCGGGTTGTATCCTCTTAATAGAAAATGAACTTTTAAATATCAACAAAGGAATTTTTTAAGTTGTGGTTTATCTGAACACAAAAAGGGGAAAATAGACACCACTTGAGAATGGAGGAGGGCGAGAGTCAAAAAACTACCTATTGGGTACTATGCTCGCTACCTGGGTGATGAAATCATTTGTACATCAAACCCCAGTGACACACAATTTACCCATGTAACAAACCTGCACATATACCCCCAAACCTAAAAGTTGAAAAAGAAAAACTAAATGAATAAAATAAAATGAAATTATGGTTTATCCACTTTGTAGAATATTATATAGTTACTAAAAATAGTCCAGAATGCTTTAAAATAGTTAATATTTTATTGGGAAAAAAAGCAGAATAGAGTTTGTATACAGTATGATTCCAATTTAAAAAATATATATGTATTTTATACTAGCAAATATACCATGATATTTAATAGTTGTTTGTGCCTGTTGAGACTGGGTGGTTTTTATAAACATTTCTGTATTTTTCTGTATCTTCTCATTTCTCTACAATAAACACATTTCATGTTTAAGATTTTTTTCAAAAGTCACATGTTTTGCTTTGAATTTAAAAGCAACTATCTGATAAAGTTTTCAACCCTCATGCCCATGTTCCTTGTGAAAAATAAACCTCAGTCAAATGTCTAGTGAAATTATTTTTAAATATTAGAGGCTTTATTTTAGAAATCGAATGGCTTTATTCTAAAATATATAAATTAGAAAATAAAAACTTTAATTATGCCAAATTAATAGAAATGGAGGAATTTAATACAGAAGGCAGAAGATGGACAATCATACTCCTTTCCAACAGTCAAAACATATTCCAATCACCAAATGAAAGTGTTTGTAAATCAATCTTCATATTTGAGGGTTAAGAAAAATGGCTTTTTTGGTGAATGACTATAAACTGTTTTTAAAGTTTTATTTCCAGAGATTCTACACACATCACTTAAAAATTAGATAGATACAAGTAATCAATTGCCTTCCACTTGAGAACCAATCAATGCCACATCTCAGTAATTTGACAAGACAGGGTACCCAACCAGCACCTCATTTGGAATTCTTCTGGTAAGCTGCCTGGTATGAAGCTGAAATAAAAACCTACCTTTGGGGGATCCTGTCCTCAAACCTACCTTTTATGGAGCTAACATCCCAGAGGCTAAGAAAATGAAAATCAGGTCAACAGAAGAAGAAAATATGACAAGGAGGTTAAGATTTATTGGAGAAAGAGATCAATGTTCATAGTCAGCTGCAATTTAGAATTATTATGATGACAGTCATGAGTGTTTGATGTTTAACCTTTATACATTTTTAATTCAAGAGCCTCTTCCACACTCAGTTTCTCTTTCCCCCTCCTAAGCCCCTTAAATGCTGTCAAAATAAGATTCAAACTTGACTAAATAACTAAGTATTAAACAGTTCTCAAAGTTGTGGATTAAAACAATCCCAGATGAAAAATAATTTTTTAGATACATTATTGTAGCCAGGACAAAAAAAAAGGAGTTAGCTGAAAGCAACTAATTGAATCTGGAGAACAAATAGGGGGAAAAAAATCTCAGAATAACCAAAATAGATTTTATCACAAATACAAAAATTATAAACAACAATACAACAAAAATATATTAGTGAGCACATTTGCTTTAGTTCTATTTACATAGCGTTTTAAACTTTTCTGCTACTAAGTAGAGGAGTGAGATGGATCAAAGTCATTTAAAACATGTTCAAAGTAAAGAAGATGACTATAAAGTACACACCATTTACAAACCAGCGTATTAACCAATTCTGACCAAAATAAAACTGAAATTGTGACTTTAAATATATGTTTAAGATTTTTATGTTCAGAAAATTTTAATATTAAAACACTATTTTTTATTGTAACCCACAATGAAAATTAATTTTACTAGTAAAATGCTAAGAAAATTAACAACTGCTAAGGCACCAATAGAAAATAATAAATACACATTTTGTTTGCCCCGATTATTTGAAGTGTAAGCTATTTAAAATATTGCAATGTACACTGAAAATAATATGCCAGTTATTTTAGCTACATAATGCCTTGATGTTTTTAAGAGACAACTTCAAACTTGGGAGCTAAGGTTAAATTTCATTTTACTCAAAGTACTGAAATTATTGAATGCTTCAGAATATATTTCTTTCTCTCTAATAGACAATTTATAGGCAATAGTCATAGTGCCTTATTTCTGTATTAAAGAAATGTTTTTCTACTTTGCACTTGAGTCCAATCACCCAAAACACAACCTCTGGGCTCACTACACTATCACATTCTCCACAGAAATCTGCAATGAACACACAATGAGCTTTACAAAGAACTTTCCACAGCTCAGACAAGTTTAATACACCTAATCCTCTTTTGTAACTTCCTTCTAAAGTTTGCTAACAAATCTCCACCAAGGATCAAACCAGCAAGAACACTTTGGTGTCTTGAATTTAAAAGGCTCCTTTGATCTCCTACACAACTTAGCAGCTGCATTTCTGTACACTTAAAAGAAACACGAAACTCACCAGATTTGTTTGTTTGTTTTTCATTTGGGCAACCTTCAAACAGATGAACTATAATGACTCCAGCTGTCTCCTCACTTCATTCTGCCAAAACCAGGAGGTGCGACAGGTGCGGGGAAAGCT
Organism: Homo sapiens; assembly: GCF_000001405.40. Lineage (NCBI taxonomy): Eukaryota > Metazoa > Chordata > Mammalia > Primates > Hominidae > Homo > Homo sapiens. The sequence continues at coordinate 71,552,659 of NC_000009.12, forward strand.
CCAGCCAGCCACGTCGCTGTGCAGGATTGAGGGGGAGGGGTCTCACTCCAAGGGCAGTGGGAGAGCCTGGGCAGGGAAGCCTGCCACAGGTTGCAGTGGTTGGCTTTGGCAGCCCCGTCTTCTAGCTTTGCTTCCAGTAGGTGGTGAGTTTGCAAATGACAGCTAACCCCTGTGCTCCAAGGACTGACTCTTAGAGTAAGCGCCAGTGCCTGTGTCAACTGTGGAGCTAAATCAGTGCAAGGGGGAGAAATTAAATTAATAAAGAACCCTCCATCCGGTCACACCAACTGCCACCGAAAGCAAAGGAAATCACCTCTTGGTTTCCTCAGGATTTCATTGATTTTCCTAACTGGATAATAATTACCCCAACCCTTACCTTATACTGTCTGTGTAGTGCATTGATTATTAATACTTGCAGAAAATGTTTCCTGACCCAGCTCCTATTTATAGCCAAAGTCTCCTTTGTTGACAGCGCCTTGCGGGATCAGGAGGGAATATACCATTTACCCTGCACAGCATGGAGCTTTGCCTCACCAAGGCTCATTACTTGCACTAAAAATGAAATATGATGGTTCATAATAATGACAAAACACAATAAAACAGCTGGTGGCTTCATCATTGTTCACTTCACTTGTTTATGCATAAGTAAGTGCACACCGTTAAGGTGAATCAGCTGAACCCCCAGCATCCTGATGGTGATGAGAAGGTGCTGCCTTCTGACGTAAAAATCTTACCTTGGGAGTGTGCTCAGTTCTCTCCAGAGATGCCAAGAGTTTGCTCGTTTCCCTCCATTATGTAATGCTCCAGAAATAGGGGAAGGAATCCCATCTAACTCGTCTTTCACATTTCTAAGAAAATAAAATTCCCATCTTTTTTTTTTTTTTTTTAAACAGAGTTTCACTCTATCTTGCCCAGGCTGGAGTGCAATGACGTGATCTTGGCTCACTGCAGCCTCTGCCTCCCGGGTTCAAGCAAAGTGATTGTCCTGCCTCAGCCTCCCGAGTAGCTGGGATTACAGGCACCCACCACCATGCCAGGCTACTTTTTGTATTTTTAGTAGAGACAGGGTTTCACCATGTTGGCCAGGTTTGTCTTCAACTGCTGACCTCAGGTGATCCGCCCTCCTCGGCCTCCCAAACTGCTGGGATTACAGCCATGAGCCACCTCGCCTGGCCAGATCACCACACAATTTTTCTTAAGCACCTTCTGAACTGATCCTTAGACCTCTTCCTGCCTTCTCAAATCAAAATCCAAGAAGGCTGATTTTAATGAACTATTTTTAAACTTGGAACGTTGGGAGAACGATGACAAAAAATCAAGAGTAGACCAGATTAAAGCATATGGCAATAATATGCAGTATATTTGGTATGGCTAACAATCCTATAGCAATTCATTTCAACATTAGTCAAATGATTGTAGTAGCAAGACCATAAAGAGATCTTTAAAAGGCCCACATTTCACATACCAGGTCACCGAATCTCCCAAAGGCTGAGGGACTTGCTTGATGCTCCATAGCAAGTCACTGGGACAAAAGGAGTGAACCTATGTCTCCTATGTTCCAGAACTGTGTTCTTCCTATGACCTCATGCTTTGTGCTTACTAAATATTATGCTTCTTTTATAATAAACTTAGTGGCTTAAAAGATAAGTGGCTTATCTCACAGTTTCCATGGGTCAAGAGGCCAGGCATGGCCTACCTGGACCCTCTGCTTAGAGTCTCACAAGGCTGCAATCAAGGTATTGGTCAGACAGCATTCCTTTCTGGAACTCAAGGTCTTCTCCAAACCCCTTGTGGCTGTTGGCAGAATTTAGATCCTTGAGATTGTACGACTGATGTCATTTTTCTTGCTGGCTGTCAGCAGGTAACATTCTCAGTTCCTAGAGGCCACCCATATATCCTTGCTGTGTGACCCTCTCACTACATGGCAGCTTATTTCCTATAGAACAGAGAATCTCTCTCTCTCTCCAGTCTGCTAAAAAAAAAGTCATATATCATAATTGAGTCATGGGTGTGACTATCTCTTACCTTTACCATATTCCAATGACTAGAAGCAAGTCAGAATTTTTGCTCGGATTCAAGGGGATGGGATTATTCAAGTCCATCACTCATTGGAGGTCATCTTAGAATTGTCTACCACAAATATTATTTAAGAAAACAAAAAACCACAGACATATATGTGCAATAGTCCTACCACTTCTTAAAAGCCAAAGCTAAAAGACTAGTTGTGTCAATTATTTCTGTTCAGCGGTTGCACCTTATATTTTGGTTCTTTTTCTGTTTTTGTTTGTTTTCATTGTAGTAGCCTTCTTATTCATGTAGGGCCCTTCTATTCATCCTGGGTTGTTGTTGTTGTTGTTGTTTTTAGTACTCAGGTCAAGAAAACCTTGGCCATGGTCTAGCTTAAGGATCAGGCTATTTTGCTTGAAACAGAAGGGACAAGTCTTTTTTTGATGCCATGCTGAGGAACCCAAATGCTTTCAGAAACGGGTAGGATTTAGCCACACAGAGAGGAGAGGGCATCAGAGATGGAAAAAATGGCAAATAAAGGAAAATTTCACTGTGTGACCTGAGCAGCTTTATGCCCATCCATGCTCACCCATGGGTGAGTGTTGGGTTTTGGAAGTAGATAAGAAAACACCTGTTTAGCAGCACTTGTGATAAAAACCTGAAATTTGAGATCTGGGTTTAGCTTTATGAACTTTGGCAGTCAATGAAGCCTTCTGATTCCCTCTTTCATATACGTAAATAAGGGATTAATAACTTCTCAGGCTGCTGGTGAGAAGTAGAGGAAGAAGTTAATGGCATCTTAGCTATCACTCAGCATAAAGAAAGTACATTTCACTTTGGGACAAAGTCAGAGTCTGGCTTAGGTAATGTTGGCCATAGCCACCAGGGTTGGTATATTATTTGATTGAATCAACATGTTTGTGGAGTATGGAAGTTATACATACATAAGGTAGTATCACTTAAATTCATTTGTTGTATTATAAATTACAAAGTTAACACAAGTTTAGCGTAACAAATAAAACAATGCATAACGAAAACAAAGATCTCATCCTGTGCTTGCTATACATTCCCACTGCCTAAAGTATGCGACATTAAGTCTAGCATATATTTTTCCATACCCTTGCACATATGTGTGTGCATCAATATATACATATGTATGTAGAAATGTATAGACACACATATCGGTGATTCTTTTCTTAATAAAGTTAAAATTATACTGCACAAACCACTCTATAAACTGAAACTTGACAAAACATCATAGGCCATTCACATAGGTTTGTACATATAGAGCTAGATTTATCTTTTCCACCTAGTTTGTGTTGAGTGTGTGTATTTGGGGATCGTACATTTGTTTTTTATTCCAGATATTTTTTACTTGCTTTCCATCCATCAACTTTCCTTTGCCCTCATCCTCATCACCACCACCCCCACCCCCCTGCCCACGTAACCCATGTTAAAACCTAATATGTATCTCTCTAGTCACATACACACACCTACACACAGGCACTTCCATGGGAGAGTTGATATTATTTTATAAAAACTGGATCTTATTATACACATTTCTCCAAATCTTTGCACAGTCAATAGTATTTCATGGAAATCTCTCCCAGCTAAGACTAATAGAGCTCTAATTCATTCCTTTTAATAGATGTATAAGTTTCCATGCTATGAATGTGTCATAATTTATTTAACTATCACGAACAATGTGGTAATAACCATCCTTGTATATATTTCCATTTGTAGTTAACTCTTTATTTCTATGGAACATATTTCTATAAGTGAACTTGCTAGGCCAACAAATATGTGTATTTACTTTTAATTTTAATAGATATTGCCACCTCTCTTTCTAAACATTGTAACAAACTCTATCATGGGGACATGAATGTACTCTTTTAGGTGTTTGTCCCATAAGACAGGCCTTTACATTGTGTGTCTGTTTAATTTTGCCAGTCTAATGTCAGTAAATTGACATATCATGTCAGCTTTTCATGTGTTTATTGAACATATATATTTTTTATATTTCTAGTGACTTGTCCTTTTCAAGTTTTAATTGCCCTATGTATGGGTATGTTTATAAATCCTTTGTCATTTGTATTACCAACACTTTTTCCAAACCCATCACCTGTTTTTTACTTTGTTCATATTACATATTATAATTATTTTTAACTTTTAATAAATACATCTCTATTTTTCTTCTATATGTTCTCAGTTTCTAGTCCTGATTATAAAGCTCTCTTCTACCTCTATATATTTTCTAGATTTTCCTGCAATTTTTTATTTGTGTATTTATTTGCATTTCCATCTTTAATCATGATGCAGAAACATATATAGCTTTAAGTTCTAAGCTCATTCTAGCTTCATATTTATAAACTCATTCCAATTACTAGAGTGAATTCCTAAAGCCATTCAAATATTCAGTGTTGGACTGACTCCTTTTTCCTCCTAACTACTAGCCTTATAGGAATATTACAACTCTGATTAAATCTGATATTTTATGCTCATTTTAAAGGTTATCAACATATTCATTCCTAAAACTCTTTCATTAAACTTAGGTAAAATAGTAAAAAGTAATTCAAAATATTTTATTGTTTCATTTTATTATGGCATAATTATAATAACCGCTCCCATTTATTCAATGCATAGCAAGATAATTTATTGAGATGTTAAGGTATGTTTTGATTTTGCTGCAGCAGGCCTTTGCTTAAACACAAGAGGCATTCCGCAGAAAGTAGAAAGTTGCCAACATCAATCTTCCTTTCTGGTTTTTGTTTCCAGAGTGTGATCTCCTACAGGAGATTATGTTGGGTTGGCCCAGAGGAGAAGGGAGGGAGTGTTTTTGGGTGGGGCGACAGAGACATGAGAGATATCTGTACAGCTGCAGGTTTAGGGAAGATTGGAACTGCTCCCTCCTCCCTGCCTCTCACATAGGAAAGCTGGGCTAGAAATTCTGAGGTTCCCAGCATTGGCCAATGAAGTCCCAAAGCCCTGCCTAGCCTAGAGGCAGCACAGGGTCATGTAGAATGACCATAGAGAGAAAGACACACATGAACTGATAAATATTTTAGCAATTAAAGACCTCCATATTCTTTACTCAACTCTAGACAAAGGGAAGGAAATCCAAGACTGAGGTTGGAGCTTAAACAACCTAATAGAAGGCAGGCTCCAAAGAGATTAATACTGCTTAGAAAACTATAGTGTGGCTTACGTATATGCTTCTATTTCTTGAAGTAAAAGTCATGCCAATTATAAATAATGTGTACCAGGCATTATGCTAAGTTCCTTATATAGATGAAGTTTTATTTAACACTGATTACAGCCTTATGAGTATGGTACTGTTATTATGTCCTTTTATCTGCATGTTACAGATAAAGAGAGTTAAATTAGCTCATCCAACATCACATCACTGGTGAGCGGCTGAACCATGATCACTTTTAATCATTATTCTATACTGCTTCAAGATGACATAAACAAAAGCCCTTTGTCTACTATGAAGCTTTATAGAACATAAATGCCATGTAAGTTATTGCTGCAAATGGAATAGGATAATATTTGGGGCTATTAAACTTTCTTCCTTGCCTGCCCTCACCCACCTGTCTTTTTTGAACTTGTTATCCTTTCCACCAGTAAAGCTGAGCCATGAACAGGAGGCTCAGTTCCCTAGATAAGGAGAGGGCAGATACCTCCTTTAACAAAGAAGTCATTACTTGGCTTTGAGTTTCAAATAAAATGTTTTTATACCCAGAGGAAAAATAATTCTCCAAAAGCCAAAACACTTTTGACTATTCAGAGCTAGGCACTAAGGTGAAAAAGAGTTATATTTTAAATTGAAAAAAAAATTTAAGAAAAACTTAGAAGACTGAGCTCAGAGAGCTTATAAAATTAAGTCATAAAGTATAGAAGAAAGAGAAGGGTTTAGAAGATGCAAGACCAGGGTTAACATGCTATGTAGGTCACTAAGACAGTTTCCAATACCCCATTTCACTGGGTCTTGGCTGTGGGGAGTCTAAAATAATAGGACCCCCAAGGAGGATTAGTGGAATAACAGAGAAAGTCAGTTGGGCCTGGCTTTCCAGGGAATATCTTGGAAAGAGTGTAAACTGCCTCAAGGGAGCCTGGCCTTCAGCCTGGCAATGTAAAAACATGGTGCTTATGTGATAAAAATAGCACGTGTGCATGGACCCATGGGAGCCTGAGAGACATGCACACTCAGAGATGGTGCAGAGAAGGCAGCTGAGGTTTCTTGGTTTCTTGGGCTTTCTTTTTCCTTCCTTTTTCTTTTTCTTTTTTTCTTTTTTTTTTTTATGGAGTTTTGCTCTTGTTGCCCAGGCTGAAGTGCAATGGTGCAATCTCAGCTCACCACAACCTCCACCTCCCAGGTTTAAGCAATTCTCCTGCCTCAGCCTCCCGAGTAGCTGGGATTACAGGCAGACACCACCACATCTGGCTAATTTTGTATTTTTAGTAGAGATGGGGTTTCTCCATGTTGGTCAGACTAGTCTCAAACTCCCGACCTCAGGTGATCCACTTGCCTCTGCTTCTCAAAGTGCTGGGATTACAGGCGTGAGCCACCGCGCCCAGCTCTTGGGCTTTCTAGAGGCTAAGAGATCTTGTGAACCAGAAAAGATATAAATTTGAGATGACTGAGATGCAAAATATAAGGCCCTCAGGATCATAGGCATGTCAGGACCCGGACACAATCAGGGATGCCAGCTGATGGCCAGTAACCAGGCAGTACCCGTACAGGATGCCCAGTGGCCAAGCAGGACAAACAGCACCATAGCCAGGAGCCAAGGGTCAGAAGATGACCGCAGAGCATGCCATTAGATGCTCCCCTTCTAATGGCAAAGGCACTTAAACCACTCCAACTGAGTGAACTGCCCACTCCCTGCAAAAGAACAGTTTTTCCTTCCCCAAAGAGATTGAGCTAAAATGGAAGAGATGAAGTCATAAACTGGAAATTGCTGAGTGACCATGAAAAGACAAGTAAGGGCACCAGAGTCCGCTATACATAAAGTTTCACTTATGCATATTTTAGTCATAACATCAATATGTAGATCTTATTAAACAGGATTTCCTATTGAAGTACTAGGTCCTGTTTTAGTGTCTGAGGACTATAACCGAAGATATTTTGTCACTGATGGAAGCATCTGCTTCAGACTCATTGGAGTGAAAGCTGTAGCCTCTCTTTTTTAATCTGATTCCAAATAATGCTTTAAATAGTTATCGAGCGCCTGTGTTTTGGGCTCTGTAGTAGGTACTGAAGATCAAGTGGCGACATGACAGAAATGAATCCTTCCCTCATGGAGCTTACCTACCAGTGAGGAAGAGAGACATAGAGATGCTTTGTGGCCCAGCATGGGAATTATAATAATGAGAGGGCACCAGCAGCTATGGAAGAACACAGAAGGACCACTGAAGCAGTCTTAGAGACAAAGGAAACCTTCCTGGAGTACGTGAGCTCTTGGCTAAACCCTAAAGGGAAAATCAGCCCTTTGGTAGAGATGGACAGGTGGAGAGAGGAGAAAGACTGCTCTGGCAGTAAGAACAGCAGGTGCAAAGGCTGGGATTGCACATGGAGCTTGCCATGTGTAAGCAGTTGAGAGTTTCAGTTTGGCTGAAGCATTCAGTTTGGCTACTGCATACATACATATATACTCCTCCAGATTTCTCCTCCTTTCAAACAGCAGCCTTCACAAATGAATCACTAAAATCTGAAAGCACCGCTCTCCAGGATCCACAAATGTTATTTTGAGTTTCTTAGGAAAGATTTCTCCTATTCTCTTTGCATCCTCCCCACTGCCCAATTCTCATAGCCCAACCTTGAGTTCAGTAATTCTCAGGTAAAAATGCAATGATGGTGGGCAGGAAGTTAGCTGCCAAGACACTGAAGAATTAACCTCCCTAGGTATTCTCTATATATAAAACCACAGTGGGTAATAATATCAATAAAGCTTAATGTTAGAGGTTCTCAAACTTTCTCAGTTCACTTAGTGTCTTAGAAATTTTTTTCACAGCTCCTCTAGACATAAATATACCCAACATTTACTAAAGTGGTTAGGTCACAGCAACTGCAAGACATCAAAAAGGAATGTAACACATCTAATGTTAAATCTGTAAACTACCTCAAGCTAGTATTTCTTGTGGTAGCCAACTGATTTTTTTTTTTTTTTGAGACGGAGTCTCGCTATGTTGCCCAGGCTGGAGTGCAGTGGCGCGATCTCGGCTCACTGCAAGCTCCGCCTCCCGGGTTCAGGCCATTCTCCTGCCTCAGCCTCCCAAATAGCTGGGACTACAGGCACCCACCACCACGCCAGGCTAATTTTTTTTTTTTTTTATTTTTAGTAGAGACGGGGTTTCACCGTGTTAGCCAGGATGGTCTCCATCTCCTGAGCTCGTGATCTGCCCACCTCAGCCTCCCAAAGTGCTGGGATTATGGGTGTGAGCCACTGTGCCCGGCTGTATCCAACTGATATTAAGTATCACTGCATTAACCTCAAAAAATGGAAAATCTCCTGTGGCATCTCTGTGAGCTCACTGCAGCACCCTGGGACCCCTCGCTGCAGATCTTATGCAATACATATTAATATACACCAGTCCTGGGGGACTGCTTGCCCTCAAATCCATTGCTTGCTTTTCTCCCACTCTGCTCAGTCTTGTAGGAGGGCTGACTCTTACAGGCTCCCTTGTCAACTGACTTCCAGCAAGAGAAATTGGACTGTCTACTTTGGCGTAGGGCAAGGTGGGGAGGAAACCAGGTTTTTCTCCCATTTTCTTTCTGCTCATGTAGCATTTCTGGCAGCAAGTAAGCCTTTCCATGGCGGCTCTAGCCCCTGCCAGACAGCCTACCATGGACCAGCTTCCGTCAGTCACCTCATTCACTAGGCTCTTTAACATCGTCTCCTCTCATTGTCTTCCAGACTAATGGTGTATGGGAGTCAGCCTCGAAGACGGCCTCTAATGATGTGCATAGTTCTAAATTGTGTCCCCCACAAAAAAAGAAAAAGAAAGTTATACTGAAGTCCTAACCCTCAGTCCTGTGAATGTGACCTTACTTGAAAATAGGGTCTTTTCAGATGTAGTCAAGATGAGGTCACCAGAGTGGGCCCTAATCCAATATGACGTCCATCCTTATAAAAAGGGGAAATTTGGACACAGAGACAAACGCACCCACAGGGAAAGTGCCATGTGAAGATGAAGGCAGAGAACAGGGCAATGCATCTGCGAGCCAAGGAAGGCCAAAAATCACCAGCAAATCACCAGAAGCTCAGAGAGAGGCATGAAATAGATTTTCCCTCACACCCCAGGGAGGGAGCCAACCCTGCCAACACCCTGATCTTACTTCTAGCCTCCAGAATGGAGACAATAACTTTCTGTTACACCACCCAGTGAGTGACACTTTGTAACAGCAGCCGTAGCAAGCTAATATTCCCACCTGTGGAATCCAGTCTGTGTGGACTGGACTTAGGGACTGACTTATAACAAATAAAAAATGAAGTGAGGGGATATTGCTTCAGATATTAAAATATGAGAATCTGTCTTGAGCGTCTCCCTCACTCTCTTAAACTAGTTGTTTTGGGAAGCCAATTACCATGACATCAGCCTACCCTGTGGAGAGGCTCACATTGCAAGGGACCAAAGCTTACCAACCATCACCTGAGTGAGCTTGGAAGCGGATCCCTCGCCCAGTCAAGCACCAGTAGGTGAGGCTGCAGCCCCAGTCAATAGCTTGATTACAACTTCATAAGAAACTTGGAGCCACAGAAACCCACCTAATCTACACCCAGATTCTTGACCCTCAGAACCTTTGTGAGATAATATTTTGTTGTTTTAAGCCAGTAAGTTTCGGGTCATTTATTACACAGCAATAGATAACTAATATAAGGTAGCAACGGCTTCCTGCTGTTATCAACCTTTAGATTGATAAGGATTTTGTTTCTCAGTTTTCCTGTCACCTGTGTAGTCAATCTGGCGTTAAATTTCCTCTGTTTTAAACTCACAGTAGTTTCTATTTGGAGCTTGGCTGATATTTACATGCAATTATCATCTACTCTAAAGTGTAGGAATAATATAGCTGCTAAATTGCATCCATACCTATTTTATATATACAAAGGCAAGCCTCTTCCGATAATTTTAATAAACCCTCCAAATAATCAGAATATAGCATTCCTACCTTTCTTTTCTTATAGCCAAGAAAAAATGTCATGAACTTGGTGTCTTAGTAAGTGAACTTAGTGGCATGAACTTAGTGTCCCATAGGAGCAATGTTGATTTCCACTTTGATTGGTCAGAATCTTCAAATAACTGCGAATGAGAGCCAATATTTCTAAGATCATTTCAGCATCTCAGGCTTTTAGATATAAAATGAAGCAAACATTAATTATTTATGTACTGTCACAGTTACGTATGGTCATAAACAATAGCTGACATTCCACAAGGTCTTTTCCGAATTCCAAAGAGCTCTATGAAAAGGTGACATCTTCGTGCCAACTCTAATGTCTTTGTTTTTTTAGACCGGTAGTTCCTATCTAGCCAGCTTCACACCGATTTGAAATGAAGAAGGAAGAAATTGTTTTGTTTTTATTATTTCTCTAAAAAGGTGTTTGGGGACATTTATCTCCTCTTTGAATTCCTTATAGCTGGGAGTTTGCAAAGGGACTTGGGGACTGCATGTCAATGTACTACTTTCTGAGATATTTCTGTAGGCTATTCATCTGCCCATAATCACTCTTTTTCATTTTTCCAGGCCTCAAACCAGTGCACTTCAATTTCTGGGGAGCTGATTACCAATCTGAACATTGCATTTCACATGCAGGAGCCACATTTTAGATTTTTCCTCATTTTTTTCTTCTTCTCACAGAATTCTTCAGCTTCTGCTATTTTTCCAATGATTCCCTTTTCTTAGGTACCTTGTTTTGCAACCCCATTTCACGGGCATGGCAGTCTGAAAAAAATTATACTTTGCCTGAAAGGTAACAACAGCGTTCAAAGCATTGAGACAAGATTTTTGCATTAGGACTGAATTTTTCCATTATATTCTGTTTGCATTTCATTATTAGAAGTCTTCAGACTAGATTCTTGATTCTATAGGTCAATATATCGTAGTTCATTAAAACTGCATGTTTTGGAGGGCAGTTAGAAATGAAGGGTTCTGAAGACTAGGTGGTGGTTGTGATGGTGATTTTTTATCAAGATAATTAATACATCCTAGAAAGTTGAGATTATCTCTAGATGTGGGGTATTTGTGGGCAAACCTCAGAAGCAAAGAATCTTCTGCTAGTTTCTTCTTTACATAAACATCATCCTTTCTCACTGAACCACACATACAAAGTGGTGCTCTGAAATGTTCAAAACCACCTAAGAATGAAATAAACTAGAGGTAAAATAGATGCTGGTGAAGAAATTAACATGAGTCAAGCCTCAGAAAATCCAACAAGGAAAAAGAAGCTGTTCCCATACCTTTATTTTTGCTCCTTTTTCACTGAGAATGGCTTCTGGTGCTATTTGTGTTCCTTTGGTCCCCTGGGATTCAAAATCACCCTCCACACTCTGGAAAGCCCACATCCAGCAGCAGCACCTTGACAAAGGTGAAGACCACTAGTTTATGTGGCTTGTTCATGAGATCTTTTCACCTCTTTTGTGATCATCAAAGAGATTAAAATGATTTGATTTTGAATCATTCTCAAAAGGTAAATATTAACATTCTCAGGCCATTTGGCCATGTGTCATCCCAGACCAGCTCCCAAGAGAGGCCAGGGGACATCCTGCACACTCTTCACAAGTACTCTGAAACAAAAAGATGGTGAATTTTAACAAAAAGGAGGCTCTCATAGATCTGAGGTGTCACTCAAATACAAGTGGTTTCCAAGTACAGAACTCCAGGGTGTTTTCTTTAAGGAGAAGTCATATGTTGGAAATAAATAAATGTAACTCAAGGGTTATGTATAATATCTTTGTTTATCACAAAACTTTTTACTAGTGGCAAAAGTTATGATTGCTTTTACATGGCTCATGCCATCATTACGTATTGTGTACGTTATAAAGGAAATCAAGAACATATTGAATTTGGAGCACAATTCTGGTTAATGTATCAGGGTTAAAAGTTGTAAATTTTAATAATGCTAATTTTAAAATCTTTGATGTTCACCTGAGCTTCTGCAATACTTTGAAGGCAAAAGGAAGATGACCTGTACTTAAGTGAATGTAAAGCAATTGTGCTTATGAATTTTGTTTCTCAAGTAAAGCAAGAGCTAACAGTATGTAAAAGCAATTACCACTCTGCCCCAGCAAAGTTGTTAGGCCAGCAAGGTAGAAGAGGTTAGAATTGCTATATGTGGACTCTTTTTATCAGTCTCAGGAGTAATGATCCAAGTTCCACAGGAAGGGAGAATAAGGAAATGAAAAAGTCTCACCTCTAAAATTTATATTACTCCCAGTTGGAAAGAATACTATGGATTTCCAGATCACATGGCCACATACCATAAGAACAAGATCTTGGAAGTCAGGCCAACTGGGTTTCTAATCTGCATTGTATCAATTTGTTCTTGTCTGTTTTTCAGCAATTTCTCTCAGCCACAGTTTCTTCGTCTGTAAAATGGTGATGATATGATTCCAAGAAAATTTCCAAAACTAAATTAAATAATACATACACAATGTTTAATTGTGGTACCTAAAAACCTTGTTTGTCTGACAAATAAGTTTATTTTCCAGTAGAAATACAAAACAAAAAGTGCAACAGCATATATTATTTTTATATTACTCAATATTTGGCTATTATTACACTTTTTCTCATCTCCATTAATATTGATAATTAACAGTTAACTTTAAAATATGAGAGCCTTAGAGATTTTGCCATTTTAAAATCCTCTTTGGATTCAAAATGAGTCCAATTGTTTACTTTCTTTTTGAAATAAGGAACTTGGTGTGCATCCCACTGATCAATATTTTTATGGATGTAATAACCAAGTCACACCAGCTACATAAATAGTCTCACAGTTAGCATGATACAGGTCATTCATATGAAATAAGAAAAAAGTCAAATTAAATCCATAGGTTAGTGAAAGGAAAATAAAACGGAACACCAATTCACTGTGCCAAAAAGAAAAAAAATTAAGCTGAAAGCTGAGTCATGCAAGAAACTGCCTTTCCCTTTGTTCCTAAGCAGATAACTACAGATAAAAGATTAAATATCTCCACAGATAGCCACTTTACGTTCACCTTGCCTTATGTGAAGTGCTGATTTACTGAGCACAAGACAAACACATAATTGACTATTCCCCTACCCCTTCTCTCTTGCAACATGTGGATTCAGTAATGTGACCATACCCTCCCTCTTTCCTCTCTAGCCTGCTTTTCCCCTTTAAATACTGAAGCCCTCAAAATCATCTCTGGAGAAAAACACAGTCCGCAGGACTGTTTCTGTGATTTTGTATTCCTTTCTTCCAGGCATGTCCTTAACCTTGGCAAAACAAACTTCTAAGTTGATTGAGACCTGTCTCAGGTATTTTTTGGTTTACATGTTACTGCCATTTAAAAATAGATTATATTGTATATCATCAAAGTGTTACTTCTGATGTGATACTTCTGAAAACAGGGAAATATAGGCCTGGGAAAGCAGGTCCTTTTTCCTCTAGCCATAAACTGGATTTGTAAATAAAACGCCTGCGTCTTTCAAGCTACAAAAATATATAATCAGCTATGGGGGGATACAGAGGTCAAAATTCCTCTCCCCACTCCACCCACCATCCCAAATAAAGCAAGATTAAAACTGGAAAAAAATTATTCAAAACAATTACTTTGGGGTTCTGGCAATCAGTCAAAGACAGACAACAAATTGGGAAGCATTTATTCATTGAAATCTGCTTAACTTTGGGTAAGAACAGTAGAATTCCATGATCTTTTTGTCTAGGGCTGCTCCTATAACACCTCCCAGCCACTACCCCCCACCACCCCCCTAAACACACACACACTTTATCCATGAAGTTGTTTTACAAGAGCTGAGTTGGCCAAGAAAACCAGCAGCTTTCTTCGAAAGGAGAAAGACTTGATTTGGGGCAGGAGGTGAAAAGCCACACCAAGTGAGCCAAAATCATCTTTGGAGAAAAACGTGCCAGTAAAAGAGCCAAACTCAGCAGAAAATAAATGAGGCAAATCCATAGTTCTGCTAGCTTAAGATTGAAGTTAGAGCAAATGGTAAGCTAACAAGAGAGATAACAGGAAGAGCCTGGAAATGAGAGAGACATACAACGGCTAGATAAGCAAGCTACACATCCCCATATGACTGGTAACCTAAATATGCATGTGAGGGAAATTTGAAGTGGCCTGGTAGAAAGTAAAAGCTAAAGCAAAAGAATTACCTGAACTTTGGATATACTCTCAAGACCACTAACAGATCTACCAGCAGTAGGTGGGAGATTATGGGTGCGAGGTTTTTGAATACAACTTAAGCTCAAATCACTGGTGGCAACTAAAGTATATAGGCACAGGAACAACCATTAGGAAGCCAGACAAGAAATAAAAATAAGAGTTTACAAACTGAGTGGAAACATTTGTGACCATATACTGCAGGATAAATTCTGCAGATCAAGTTCAAGAAAGTTTCAAAATATAAAATAAAGCCCTCAAAGGGAAAAATGAAAATTCAGGAGTACTATGATACACCATCTAAAATGTCAAATTTTCAATAAAAATTACAAGACATGAGAAGAAACAGGTACATGTGACTCATACCCAAGGGGGTCAGGGGAGGACAGGAAAAAATAAATACTAACTAACTTTGAGTCAGTACACATGTTGGATTTAGCTGACTATAATTTCAAAGCAGCTAATAAAATTATGTTTGAAGAACTGAAGAAACCACGTTTGAAGAATTAAAGGAAAATATGAGAATGAATCAACAAATTAGAAATCTCAATGGAGAAACAGAAATAAGAAAAAAGAAACAAATAGACACTTTAGACTTGAACAATGATCAAAATGAAACATTTAGTAGATAGGCTGAATGGCATATTTGAGATGTCAGGAGAAAAAAATTAATGAACTTGACAATAGGTCAATAGAAATTATCTAATCTAAACAAATTATCTAATCTAAAGAATAGAAAGAAAAATTTAAAGAAAAATGACCAGAATCTCAGAGACTTATGGGACAACACCAACTGTAGCCAACATATGTGTAAGGGACGTTACGAATGAGAAGACAGAAAGAATGAGTAGAAAAACTATTTGAAAAAAATGGGTAAAAACTTCCTAAATTTGATTTTAAAATAACATTAATCTAACAATTCAAGAAACTCAACAAACACTAATTACTATAGACACAGAGATTCACACATAGACATCTCACAGTTAAAAACCTGAAAGTCAAAGACAAATGTCAAAATCTCAAAAACAGTAAGAGAAAAATGACTCATCACATACAAGAGACAGCAATACAATTAATGGCTGACTTCATGTCAGAAACAATAAAATCCACAGGGCAATAGAATGACATATGCATAATACTGAAAAAATAAACCCTGTCAACCAAGAAATCTATATTTAGCAAAACCCTCCTTCAAAAATAAATAGGAAATAAAGATATTCCAGGATAAATTAAGACAGAAAAATCATTACTAGTAGATCTGCCTCATAAATACTAAAGAAAATCCTTCATGTTGAAAGAAAATGATACCAGAGTTAACTCAGATACACAGAAAGAAATGAAGAGTACTAGAGTTGGTAAATATGCATGTAGGAATAAAAGGCTGTATAAGTATACATTTTTTTCTTTTCCTTTCTTGACTTATTTTAAAAACATAAGATTATATAAAGCAGTAATTGTAACACTGGATTATAAGGGGTTTATATATATCATATAATATATATATGATAATAATAATACAAAGGAGTGGGGAGAAAAAGGAGCTATGATGGAATAAAGTTACTATTTTGCACCTGAATTGAGCCAGTATTAACCTGAGTGATGAATTAAAAGTTCCTTCTGCCTGGCAGCCATGGCTGTGTCACCCCAGACCCAACTGTTTGAACCAGGGGTGGACAACTGTATTAGAGGTGACTTAAAGTTTTGCACAGAAAAAAGAAGATCTGGCCCATTTAGATCCTCTTTCAGGTATTTGAATTGGGAAATAGAAATGTTGTGATCAACTGCAGAAGTTGAAGAAGAGAATAAAGGAGGGTAAATAGGAGCTGAGTTGGCATCATTCAAGCCCAAATTATGAACAAGATAATGTTATGGTGCGTGAGGGTGACAGAATTCTGAGTAAGCAGAGCAAGCCAACTGGAGGAAAGTGAGAAGGAGAAAAATGGAATGGGAATGCTGTGAGAAGCAAGCGTGAGACATCAAGTGTTGTGGGTTGAATGCTGTACATCAAAAACACACGTTCAAATCCTAGCCCCCAGTACCCCTGAATGTGACCTTATTTGGAAATAGGGTCTTTGCAGATGTAATCAAATTAAGATGAGATCGAACTGGATTACAGTGGGTCCTAATCCATAATCCAATGACGGGTGTCCTTAAAGGAAGAGGTAAATGTGGACACAGAGAAACACAGACAGGAAGGCCATGCAAAAGCAGAGACAGAGATTGCCACAAGCCAAGGGACACCAAGGATGGCCAGCAACCACCAGAAACTAGAAGAAGCAAGGAAAGATTCTTCTTGGAGCCTTCAGGGGAGCATGGCCCTGCTGACACTTTGACTTCAGACTTTTAAGTCTCCAGAACTGTGAGAAAATAAATTTCTATGTTTTTAAGCCACCAAGTTTGTGATACTTGGTTATAGCAACCCTAGGAACCTAATACACCAGGTAATGTTTGAATGAAGAAGAGAACAGCTTCTATTCTTGAATCCAGCTCCCAGGTAACCTGGCTGAGGCTACTTACCCTTAGAATCTCATGAGAGCTCCCTGAATCCTAAACATAGGCTTGTCATGTGAATATGAGTGGGCCTCTGCTTGCATCAAAAAGAGCCAAAAGAGAACATGGATGGCAACACAAGAAAAAATAAGCTTCTATTTCCAAGTCCAGCAGTACCAGTGATCGTGCTTTTCACAGTTTATAATTAATCTAAAATATAAAGTAGTTAAGGGGATAGAAATGGCCCTAGAAAAGGTATAGAAAGAAAGAAATCTACTTACAGCAAGTAAGCTGGCAGTCTCAAATATTGCCCAACTATATATTTTCATTGCTGAGGGAAAATCTATAAGAAACAGGACATTAAGACATCAGCTAAGAAGTGTTCTCTCTGTTTTTCATGCTTCTCTAGCAAATTGGTTACTGATAATAAATTGAGACTGGGTTTATGGTCTGCTAATGGATGACTCAATAATCCACTCTTGCGCAGGGATAATATAAATGTGTGAATTCACATTTATTAGGCACTGTTGTTTATGTGTATAAATTTTTCTGGGCCACAGTACCTAGATATTTGATCAAACATTTTTCTGGGCATTTCTGTGAGGGTACTTTTAGATGAGATTTACATTTAAATCCATGGACTTTGAATAAATTAGATTGCCCTCCATAATGTTGGTAAACCTCATCCAATCAGTTGATGGCCTGAGGAGAATAAAAGACTGACCTCCCCCAAGCAAGAGTGAATTCTGCCAGTGTGACAGGAACTCAGACTCAAACTGTAACACTGGCTATTCTCTAGGCCTTTAGCCTACTGGCCTGCCCTACAAATTTTGGACTTGCTATCCTCCAGAATTATGTAAATCAATTCTTTATCTTTCTCTCTCTCATACAGATAGATAGATACATACATACATATAATATATATGTAATATATGTGCATATATATATACACACATTATACAAATGTGTATATGTGCACACACACACACAAACACACACACACACACACACATCCTATTGGTTCCATTTCCCTGAAAAACCCTGACTAATATAGGCACTTTCTATGTGTAAGTCGCTTTTACTTAAAAATTCACTAATTCAAATTTTAACAAATGTTAGCTAAGCATTTACTAGACACTGTACTAGGAGCTGAAAATATAAGAAAGAAAAAATAAAGTTCAGAGAAGAAAAAAAAGAAAAGAAAAGAAAAAGAAAAAGAAAAAAGTCCCTGACCTCAAGAAACATGATCTCACCAAAATCTCACAATTGCTCTGTTATTATCCTTATTTCATGTAACAACACTTAGCTTTGGAGAGCATAATAACATGGCAGTCACTAAGTGCCCAAGCTAGGCTTTCAAAGCCAGCACTGTAACTCCAAACCTTGGACTCTTTTAATTACTCTCCATTGCTTCCCTTGGATAAATTGAATAAATAAATAAATCCACAGACCCATTGCTAGATTCAATTCCAACTTAACTATTCCTGTGATTGAACTTTTAAAAATTTTGATAACAACATTCACTCTCCTTGGCCTTATTTGTGATGAAAATGCTAGGGTAGAGAGGAAAGGTGAAATAACATAAAATTATACAAGATACCAGTCTCCTCTTACCGGGTTCATCGGCCCCTAGGAAATTGTGCGTGATGAGGAGGACTCTCTTAGTCAATTTAGGTTGCTATAACGAAATACTATAGACTGGGTGACTTAGAAAACAAACCTTTTTTTTCATAGTTCTAAAGGCTGTGAGGACCACGATCAAGATGCTGGCAGATTCAGTTATTGGCGTGGGACCTCTTCTTGGCTTGCAAACAGCTGCCTTCTCACTGTATCCTCACATGGCAGAGAGAGGGAGCACATTCTGGTGTCTCTTCCTCTCCTTATGAGGAAATTAAGCCAACCACAAGGGCTCCACCCTCAAAACTTCATCTTAACCTAAATACCTCCCAAAGATCCCATCTCCAAATGCCATCATGCTGGGGGTTATGGCTTCAACATAAATGTTCGTATGTTGAAAATAACAAATACCCTCTACTGCTGTTTATTCAAAAAGAGAAAGTCAAGCCTTATCAAGAACTATTACAAACTCACAATTAATTTACACTTTCCAGTCTTATTAATTCTTCCTGTGCCACATTTATTTACTTCATTGCCCTTGGCTCAACGCAAACATAACTATAAAAACCATGACCAGAGAATTTAACTAGTTGTGGAGTAGGTTTGTTTGTTTGTTTGTTTGTTTATTTGTCATTTCGTGCAGTTTACCACAGAGATAAATTTTTCTTTTCAGTCAAAAATCAACTCACCTGATAGATTAAAGAACTCTACCCAATGGAAAGCTGTTCAAGCAAATACAAGAAACATTTCACCCTGAGTTTCATCCTGGTGGTATTCCAAGAAATTTTATCCCACAAATCTTATCAATGAAATTGGTAAGAGTATCTTAAGCCTCCAAGGAAGTGCTCAGAAACTTCTGAAATCCCTTTCTTCTATGAAGCCTTTCCTGCACACAAATCTGCTCCTGTCTTGGACAGACATAATTAAAACATGCCACAGGGCATAGTACACACTAACAGGTAACATAAAATGGCAACTAATGTATTAGACATGCCTTTTCTCACTGATTTCATTTTCTAAACTTTTGTTGATTACTTTACTTCATGTTTTTTGAAACATCTCTTCCACTGTCTATCTCCTGATGATCTGCCCACAGAAATGAGCTCTGCCCTAGATTACACACTCCTAAAATGTCAATCACAGCACCAACAAAGAAAGACATTGGCTATCCACATTCTATGCATTTTTCAAAGTCTAGCTCAAATCCTACATCTTCACAGACTCTTCCTCTGACAACTCACCTGTAACCATTTATTCTCTTTGAACACCTATCTATAACTTCTGTCACTCTGTGACTCACTCCAGCTATTAAACATATTTTTTTTTGCAGTGGCTCACACCTGTAATCCCAGCACTTTGGGAGGTCGAGGTGAGCAGATGGCTTGAGCTCACAAGTTTGGTACCAGTCTGGGCAACATGGCAAATCCCCGTCTCTACCAGAAAATACAAAAATAAGCCGGGCTTGGTGGTGCATGCCTGTAGTCCCAACTACTTGGGAGGATGAGGTGGGAGAACAGCTTAAGCCTGGGAGGCAGAGGTTGCAGTGGGCTGAGATCACATCACTTCACTCCAGCCTGGGCAATAGAGTCAGGCCCCTTGTCTTATATATATATATATATTATATATATATTATATATATAATATATATAATATATATATAATATATATGTATGTATGTATGTATATACACACACACACAAATACACACATATTAACGTATATACACACACACGTATACAAATATGTGTGTATATATATTTGTTTTTGGAGAGAGCCTCGGAATGGAAGACCAAGCTGAGAATGGCCATCACATATGAAATTTGCCATTTGAGAGATCTTAGGGAAAAGAATTCATGTTAAAAGAAGGAGAATTGAGGTGGTACGGTTGGTTCAAGGTCACTGGGTTCTTCCTGAGGGGAGGGATGATTATATGTTTGTGTCTAACTCTCAAATTATTCACAGTACAGTTTTCAAGGTTCAGTTCCTGAGTCCTGGGGTGAGAAATGGGCTGCAATAAACATTACATTAAAATGAAAGAACTGTATCATCTATTTGATAAGAAACTTTGGAGATTGAACTGCTTTTCTGCAGAGGGTAAAAATGAAGCAACAGACATTTTCAGCATACCAGTAACATGATATTCAGGATTTTCCCTTAGAAACAACAGAGGATAAGGCCAGGCATGGTAGCTCACGCCTATAACTTCAGAGACTCAGGAGAATCACTTAAAACCAGAAGTTTGAGACCAGCCTAGGCAACATAACAAGACCTCATCTCTGCAAAAAATAGGAAAATTATAATACCTGGGTGTGGTGGTGTGTACCTCTAGTCCCAGCTACTCAGGAGACTGAGGTGGGAGGATCCCTTGAGCCCCGGAGGTCAAGGCTGCAGTGAGCTATGATTGTACCACTGCACTCCAGCCTGGACAACAGAGCAAGACCCTGTCTCCAAATAATAATAATAGTAATAAATTAAATTAAAAAGAAATAACAGAAGATACACAATCAGACACTCCCAGGCTCAGGATATTGTCCACACCCAGAAGTCAGGCTAGCAGGAGTCTCCAGTGTTATGACCTCAGACAAGCTAAACAAGCTGTAGCAAAAATGTCATGGTGTTAAAGATGGAACTACAAAAGGGAGCATGTGTGAGAAATTCTTTAGCAGCCTAGGGGGTTAGGAAGAACTTCAGAGAAGCTGAAGCTTTTTAAATGATACAGCCCTGGAGGGAAAAAAATAAAGAAGGCATATGGGATATTTTTGTCTACCAATTCTGTTACCCTTTTGGACAGGTTAGGTGGCATATTTACTGCTTTTTATTTTTATTTAAATATATTTGGGAGTATTCTTTAATTGCAAATTCTCTGAGGGTATATACTTTATTGCACAGTCCTCCCTCAGTATCCAGGGATCAGTTCCAGGACCCCCATGGATGCAAAATCTGTAGATATTCAAGTCTCTAGTATAAAATAGCATGGTATTTGCATGTAACTTGCTGACATATAACTTACCCCCATACACTTTTAATCACCTCCAGATTACTTAGGATACTCAACACAATGTAAGTCCTATGTAAATAGTTGTTACACTGTATCAGCTTTTTATTTATATTATTTTTATTGTTGTATTGTTACTTTTATTTTGTTTTTCTGAATGTTTTTGATCTGTGGTTGGCTGGTGTGCAGATGCACAACCTGTGGATACAGAGGGCCAACTGTACAGGCTTTTAGTACCTCCCATTCAACACAGTGCTGGCTATTGAAAAGCACATGCACACACATTCATTATTGGTTAAACTGAATTAAGAAATGCTTTTTTATTATGATAGTGAGAATGCTGAGTTCTTCTGCTTGTCTACTTCAAATATAATCTACTGGTCTTGCTTTTGCATATACAGGATGTATAAGATTTGTAAGAAAATAAGCAAGTGGCAGAAAATTAATAGAGCAGACAAAGCTAAGGGAAATTAGTTGGGCAGCTTATGCAAAGCCTGTATTTTGGCTGATGTTCAACCTCATTTATTTATTATTTTTTCTTTTATTCATCTGGGGCTAAAATGTGTGTTCTCTCATTTCAAGAGTAAGAAAGCAAAAACAGAGGGACTGTTGGAGTCACAGCAAATATATTTTCCAAAGAAGATTATATATGTCACTTACAAGTTAGATTTGAAGTGAATAGTGAAGGGAAAGGATTAGGAATTACGTTACAAAACTATGAAGAGAAAAGATGAATTAAATAACGTGGAGGACAGCAGTGAATATTGAATCTATAAACTCTGACCAGTCTTATCCACATTTTACATTCTTGACTCTATAAATTGAAGATATTGCCACTTGTGTGGGGAAGAGGTATGAAAGGTTAGACCATGATATTTTAAAACAAAGCAGAGATGCAGCAGAGGCTGTGATTTGCCTCATGAAAATTTATTGAATCCTAGTTAGTTTGGAAGCTATGAGAGAAAGAAAGAGCTAGGACACTTTAAAGCAGCGTTGGTAAACTATAGCCCATGGCTCAAATCCAGTCTACTGCCTGATTTTGTTCAGCCCATAAACTAGGAATCATTCTTACGTTTTTAAATAGCTGAAAAGAAAATCAAAAGACAAATAATATGTGTGACACATGAAATTATAAGCAATTTAAATTCCAGATTCCATAAACAGAATGTCATAGGAACATAGGCATACTTGTTTGTTTCTACGGGTGCTTTTGAACTATAATGGCAGACTTGAGCAGTTGTGCTAGAGACCACAGTATGTGCCAAGCCCTAACTATTCACTCTCTGGTTCTTTACGGAAAGTTGAATGACTCTCGCTTTAGAGAATTCAGTTGGATAGCAAGTTTGCTTGATTTTAACCTTCACAACTTAACGAGGGCTTTATCCATCAGTACTTTTGTCAAATTAGAGTGGTTGCAGGAGGATCTTATTCCAGTAAACCAATCTGCCTGTTTCTATATGAGTATTTGCCCTTTTGAGGAAAACTCAGTCCTCCTAAAGACCAAAGTGGTTATTTATAGTGATTTCTCTTCATCCTACTAAGTATAAAGAGCATGATTTATTTTGATACCTCTCACCTACAACCATGTTGTCAAACAAAATTGTCCCTGTTCTATAACATAATTATGTCATTACTTTTCACATAGAACTATAACATCTTTCTGGGATGCAAGAGACCTTCAGAACAAGAGAGTCGATGTGGATGGTCGATGTGGATGTAGTTCATAACATAAATTAGTAAAATGGGTGATGATAGAGTAGATTGTTGATATTCTTTAACTCTTTGCCCATGTTTAAACTTCTGCATTTTACTTCCAAGGTCCAAATAAATCCAAATATTTTACCACATTTAATATACCAACGTCAAACTTTTTAAATCTGGCAGTATATAATTAAGAAAATCTTTCTACTACTCTTGCCTCTCAATATGATGAGGTTTTTATATAATATCCCTTCTTGCTTGTATCTTGCTTCTTACAGACTCCTTTTATTGCCTATCAACTTTGATATTTCCCATGAGTATTTTTCTCCTCCTCCAAAGCTCAAATAACAGTAAACATTAAAGATAATTGTTGCTCCTGACACCACTTACTAATTCAGAGCAAATACCCAGTTGTACTTGTTAAAATTCAGGTTTCCAAACAAAAACTCCAAAGGAGTTTCAGAATTCTTTATTAAATTTAAAACACTTACATTTTTCTCTCGGGATGGGTGCTGTAATTTTGGGCTAAATATCCAGTCTCCCTACACTTGAATCCCAAATATTCAAATTATTAAATTATAGAAACACAAAGCTATATATGGCTTTTATCAGTTATTTATTTAGCTCCAACTGAGAGAGATTTATCTTAAATTACCATGAGCTCTGCTCCTTAATATAAGGAATAAAACTAACTTCAATAGAGTTTGGTACAGTACCTAGCATAAAATAGATATACAGTATATATACAAGTTATTTTTTCAAATGAGCAAAAGTAATTGCAGTGAATAATTATGTAGTGCTGTTTTAACTTTCCAAAGCATTTTTCCATTTTTATACTTCACTGTCTCAGACATACGAAGATACGTGTTCTCAAAGGCTATGCCTGCCTGACCTTTGACCCTTTGTCAAAGCCTCAAAGGGTTGTTTCATTAGGCACAGTTTGGTGAATATTAGGAGTTACAATTTCAGATGTCCAGCTAAGGAGGCGGCTCAGATTTGTTCATTATCTAAGCAAGAGAAGGAATTGAACCTTCTCAAAAATGTCTGGGATCACAGAGCTACCAAATACCCCAAAGTAACAACTACTGTCCCAGGAAAGCTAAATAAACCTATAAATGTACTAATGCAATCAATGGCAAGTTAGCAAGTAATCTGAGATGGGTAGTGCAAGACACAAGTCACCCAAAGAACCACAAGGTGCCTGTGTCACCTCAGGATACCAAGCATCAGAAAAAGAGATGGGATTACCTAGCCATAATTCCACATTTCCCTTTAAAAAAATTTATATATATATATTTGTAGAGATGGAGTCTCATCTTGTTGCCCAGGCTGGTCTTGAACTCCCAGGCCCAAGTGATCCTCCCACCTCAGCCTTCCAAAGTGCTGGGATTACAGGTGTGAGCCATCACACCCAGCCACACTTCCTTTTCTTAGAGAAGAATCTACCACCCCACAGCCCTGGAATGCTCAGCCCTATAAATAAAGACATCTTGCCTCACTGGCCATAGTCAATTGGTCTAGAGCTGCATGTCTGACTCAAAAAAGATTGTTCACATTCATTCAGGTCTGAGGAAATAGGTTACTGAGTATAGTCACCTTTTGTTTTTGTTTTTTTTTTTTTTTTGAAGTTTTGTTTTCTGTGTTTTTGTTTTTGTTTTTGTTTTTTGACTGCCAGGAATCTAAACCTTGTTGAGTTTGAGAAATTTCCTACCTCATGAGACCTAGTGGGAAGCATATCCCTCTTTCCACAGTGGAACCCGAATTGCCCAATAATTGCTTTCCCAGCCTCCCTTGCAGCCAAGGAACTGGCACATGACCTAGGCTTGATCAATCAGAAATATCTGCCCTGAACTTTGGATTGGAACCTAGTGATGCACAGTGTGGGAATGCTAGAGAATTGTGTTTCAAGAGCACTGAAGAGGACAGCAGTGGAAGCAGCAATAGCAGAGCCCAGTGCCTTCAGTGTCAAAGGTGCAAACTGTGGGTGCCTGACAATCAACAGACGGGGAGTCTTCCCAGGACATGACCCTGGCTGTCCTTCCGGTTGAGAAGTCTCCCTTGTTTCCTGCCTATTTTCCAAGCCTTCTCAACAATTCTAGGAGCTTTCCAATATCGCCTAGTAAGTTCCTCTTTTACTTAAATTAGCCATGATAGTTTCTGTTGCCTGCAACTAAGAAGAGTAACTGAGACACAGAGTCTAAGTCAGTTGGCTGCCAGCACCAGACCATAAAATAGGAAATGTGGGAGCCGAAGCTGTCATTTGAAAATGACCACAACAGGCCATGCAAATAATAGAAGACAATCTACAGGTGCTCCAAGAAAAGCAGACACCAAAGACAATGAGATGCTGGAAAGAAAAAGTAAGAGAGCGTTCGCACCCTCCCTTAGTATCCCCAAGTCTCAGTCCCACAAGAACAAGCCATACTTCAATTCTTACCTGTGGATTGCCTTAAAATTACCTGTTGTATCCTTAAAATAAATCTCTCATTTTATAAAATTTAATTCATTTTTTAAAAGACTTGTATTCCTTGCAACCAAGTATGTCCTGATTAAGTCAGCCACAGAAACAGAAAACCATAGTTATCTGCGAATACACAAAACATCATGATTAGGACACAGAGGGATTTAGAGTGCAAATCACGAGAGGACCCTCTCTACCCTCCTTCTCATTTGGTGATGACTCTACTTTCAGTTCATGGGTGCTAGAAACATGTGCATCTACTACTGTATTGAAACTTATTAATTAGTAAGTTATTTCTACTACTAAGTACATACAAAAATCATTAGGTCATATCTATACATCACCCAATATAACCACTACTGTGATCTGGTTTTCACTCCAAACACCACTTCTGACATCAAATGTGTGGGAGTTTTTTCCCACGCCAACCAGTTGTCCAACCTTGAAACACCAACTGGGTGTCCTACAATTCAATTCAATTATGATACTAACTACCTGGAGTTAGCACAAGTCTGCTCCAACTTCAGATGACAATCACAAGACTGAACCACCTGTACTTCTGACCAATGAGCTATAAGTCACGGGTTCTCATGATCCCCTCCTCAGGTTTGGTAATTTGCTAGAACGGTTCACAGAAGTCAGGGAAGCATTTTACTTGCATATACCAGATTTTTAAATAAAAGATACAGCTCAGGAACAGCCAAATGAAAGAAATGCATCGAGCAAGTTATGGGGGAAGAGTGTGCCAAGCTTCCCACCCTGTCTGGGTGTGCCACTTGCCCAGCACCTTGGTGTGTTTGCCAACCCAGAAGCTCTTCAAACCCCATTGGTGAGAGGTTTTCTGGAAGCTCTATTATATTGATCAAATCACTGATCACTGATCATTAACTCATTCTCTATCCCCTCTCCCCTTCCTGGAGGTTGAGTTGGGGCAACAGCACTGAAAATTCCAACCCTTAATTACATGGTTGATTCCTCTGGCTACCAGCTCCCATCCTTAAAACCTAAGGGCCCACCAAGAGTCACCTCCTTAGCATAAACTCAGGTATGGTTGAAAGGGGCTTGCTATGAATAACACAAAAGTGCTTCTATCACTCAGAAAATTCCAAGGGTTTTAGGAACTCTGTGCCAGAAACCAGGAACAAATACCAAATACAAATTTTTTTTTGTTATATCACAAAATCACAATAATAGAGAAAGATTTAGCTAAAACGTTAACTCTGAGTTGAAGGCTAAGAAGGCTCCCTGGAACATAAAAGCAATTATAATACCATGTAAGAACCATCTGTCAAGATAGACTCTGCATTACAGAGAAGATGGTGGTGAGGTCTGCTGACAGTTGGAGCCTCAGATCCACTCTGGGAGGAGCGGTGGACAGCTGGCTTCTATGGCCCAGGCTTCTGGCCATTTTTTCACACTCATGACTACATCATGTCTGCTCCCAAATGTGGACAAAGAGCTCTGAGCAAGCTACCCCAAAGTGGGCTGACAAGTGGTGCCGGGAACCCTACAAGGCCAGCACCACAGTCCACTCATGGCCCGTGAACCCAAAAAGTTCTCAGGTTTGTCTTGTCCCAGGAAGCATGTCAGAAACCAAAGACAGATCATCTGCTCTTCCCTTCTGTCCTCTGAGCCCTTCTGTCACCTTTTGTTCTTTTCATTTTCCAGGTTAGCCAAGATGGAAAACAATGAAAACCCTTTAGAGAAGCCACTTTGCCTCTGCTTTTGCTCTTAAAGTGTTCCTGAGTAACCTTTCGGCAAGGCTGCTTCTTATCAAAGGAAGCTAAGGAAAGATAGTTTTGAAGATGAAGAAAGCCACAAACCTCTGTAAGCCAGTTTTAAAAAAAAAATCTGTAAAATACTTCCAATATGAAAATTCTAAGAATCCAAGATTTTCCACTGAAACGAGAAAATCCCATAAGGTCTCAAAATACAAAAATAGCCCTATTTTACCTCAATGATTTGTTGCAGGAATCAAGTGAATAAATGTGAGAGCGGTTTGAAAGGTGTACAGTACTAAATAGTGACCAAAAAAATACTAAAAAGTCATCATGGGGTAGTGCTCATACTAGTAGACACAGTTATAGCCATTGAAATTAGCAAATTATCAGGATCCAGAACCTGATCTTAGAAGATCATAGTCAAATGAATCCATGTATGGGATGCACTTAGAACAGTGCTCCATGGTAAGCACTTTCTAAATATTCGCTATTTTATTATGACGATTACTGGGAATAACAGTGGGGGTGCTGGTGAAGATAGTGGTAGTATATTATATATTGATACCTTTATTCTTATCATTTTTTTCAGTAATGGGATGGGGTCTTTGACTTTATTGCACCATGTAACTTTCTTATCATAGAGACTTAAGTGTTTGGGAATTATCAATCCCTTATGCTGTGATTACATTTACCAGTATTTTACACCCAAGGAGGCACTGTCTCACTACCACCCAGAGACCCCAAATTCAACATAGCTGCTGCCAACAGACCAGTGATTACTGTCGCATTTGGTTATGACCCCTTCTCAAAGCCTACTTTTGCACCAGCTCCTCCTAAAATCCCCAAAGCCATGCATTTCTTTTTAATTAAAATGAAAGATAAGTTTGTTTGGAGAATTTCACAGCAGCCCTAAGGCATCATAAAACCCAACTGGAAGAATCACTGCCTAATAGCTAAATAGTCTTGAAGACAGCCAGAAACCTTTCTTACGTCTTTCTAGAGTGTCTCAAGACATAGTTAAAATACATAACAGCTGATCAATTTTATGCACTATCATAGCCATAAAACCAACCTATATCACAACCTGCTACAGCAAAAGGTCACTTCATGGGTGGCCCAGGGCCCGGCCATTAAAATGAGCCTTCAAGTTAGTTTTACCCATTGGCAATACTAGCATTCAACTGTCACCCTCTCCTTACATTACCATGCTGTGATTATTCCCAGCAGTGGAGCTGGGCCTCCATGGTAACGCTCTTCAGGGAGCTGGGGAAGCTCTTTAATTATTAAAATGAATAATTCTTACCAACACACTTAATTGGGAAATATTACATGTTAAAGGGGCACTAATGGAACAGCTCTGAGAACCAAGCAGTGTGATAGAGTATGCTTTTTGATGTGAATTTTAGCAATAGTCTCCTCATCCCATCACATCATGCATTATTTAGTTGTTTCTTAAAAAAATCTATCATTTCATTTCTAAGTGGAGATGGAATTATTGAACCCGCAAAAGCAAAGCTTTGAATTACTCCCATGCATTTGAACCATAACCAGCCCACAAAAAAAAAAAAAAAAAAAAAAAACAAATACAGTGAATCGTCATATTATCTCTGACTGCTAGGAAGTCAACCAAAAAAGACCCTGAATATTAACATCAACCAGTTAACACAGAGAGTTGAGTTAGCTTTACGGAGGGGTAGCTGCAGTATTCTCTCTAACAGAAACAAAAATTTGTATATTGAAAGCATTTGTCTAACTTCACCCATGAAAATTCTTTTTTTTTTTTTTTTTTTTTTTTTTGGAGACAGAGTCTCACTTTGTCACCCAGGCTGGAGTTCAGTGGCGCAATCTTGGCTCACTGCAACTCTGCCTCCTGGGTTCACACCATTCTCCTGCCTCAGCCTCACGAGTAGCTGGGACTACAGGTGCCCGCCACCATGCCTGGCTAAATTTTTTGTATTTTTTAGTAGAGACAGGGTTTCACCGTGTTAGCCAGGATGGTCTCGATCTCCTGACCTCGAGATCCGCCCGCCTCGGCCTCCCAAAGTGCTGGGATTACAGATGTGAGCCACCACGCCAGACCAAAAATTCTTAAACATACTTGCCATAAGTGTGTATTTCTCTGCGTTATGTTATGTATTCTCAGAGAAATAAGACTTATTCCAGAGACAGATAAAAGAACTCAATCTTTTCATGAACATGTCACCCACAAATATAAATAATTTAAGTGCTGTGGCATGGTTCTCTTAATGTTCTTCAAAAAGACAGTTTCTATCATTAAAGAAGAAAAAACATCCAAGGGCAGTGTTCTTATTCATGATTACAAAATGAACTGATTTTACAAAATAAATTTCTATGACAGAGAAAATGATAGAAGCACAGGGCATAATAATACTGGAAAACTAAAGAATGAAAAGCAAACACTTTTAATACATTGACAAGAGCTTTTTGTGCATTCAGTTTAATCAACATAAGATTTCATAAGTATTGAGTGATCATTAACATCTCACATCCTGCCCACAGGAAAGATGATACCATACATCTTCTAAAAATTTCTCCAGTGGTCACTGGCACTCCACCCACAGGCTCTTTGAGCACCAGAAGGATCCCACAGGGAAACTGAAATTGCTTGCAGCATGTTAGTTTTTCCCTGACCTTGGCTGGTCCCCTGTCCACCAGTACAAATCCTCGGCATTGGCCAGGTCTGTGTTTCCCGGGATTCTTGATCTTTGCCTTCACCCCTCACTCTCCCCCACCAGTTTGCCCCCATTGAATGTCGGTTTAGCAATTAAAAAGAATGACCAGTGTGCCCCTCAGATAATGCAAATGTCAAATTACACTGCTATCTCCAAATTCCCTAGTTGGATTTCTAGATCCTCCAGCTTTCTGAATCACCCTCTTGTTTCACTGTATCTGTCAGGCTGCCTGGTCTCCAAATGCTGAGAGGAAAATCAAAGAGTCACTTGCCTGGAAAGGGGTAATTTCTATCAGTGACATTTCCATTAGGAAGTTTCCTACCGAGCTGCTCTCATCTTAATACCAAATACTCATATTAATGTCCCTCCCTAACTCAGGTCCCTACACTAATTTTTAAAATTAAAATTCGAATGATTTATAATGAACGACTGCTCACTGTCAGGCTGCAAAACCCATGACTCACGGGCACCCTTCTAGACTTCCATGTGCCTGATCTCTACTGTGTGTTTTATGTCAGACCTCTCACTGTTTGGGAGATATCCTATGATAAGCTTGCACAGTTTTTAGTTGTTTAACAGCGCATGCAACACAGAATACATGTAAACAAACAGAGCAGAGGTTTTCAAACCTGCTTTAGCAGCAGCTCTACTCTCAAGCGAAATTTTACAATAAACAAATATAAATACATTATTTATGATCATGTATTTACTAAACGTATGCGTTCATATATGTAACAATTATATTAAGTCAGTTTGTTTTAATGAAAGAAAAAAATGCAGAAATCAGAGATTTACATGAAATTATGTAATAACCTTTGCGTCCAAGTTATTTGCATATTTTTTGTTTGTTTGCACAGATAACCTGTTTCTGACAGCTTGTCTGTATTCTCAAGCTATTCTTCAATTAGGCAGAAATGGCAGGGGTTTTATTCCAAGGCCTACAGAAAGTCAAGATAACCTGGCACAATAAATTGTCATATAAGTGGTCCTGAATGTGTTAAAATTTGGTACATAACACACTTGAGTTATTTCACATATCATGTTTTAATAGTTGAATATATTTGTACATGAAATCTAAATCACGCATTTAGGAATCACTAAAATACAACCATGAAACACTAAGGCTCTGTAGAACACAATTTGAAAACCCAACTGATGCAGATTCCATTGATGTTTAGGGAAATGTAAGCAGCTAAAGAGATAAGGAAAAAGTTGACTTGGAGAAAAGGCTGTGGCTGTTACCCTTGGTAACTTAATTCCCTGAGCACTTGGCTGTATCTATACTCCACCCTCCAGCACTGATTGCATTCTTCCATGCGTTGTAGGAAGGTAAGCATGTGGCTGTCCCCTGTAGGAGATCATATGCAACTCAAGACATTGTTGCATATCATTGTTAGAGACTGAAT
Organism: Homo sapiens; assembly: GCF_000001405.40. NCBI lineage: Eukaryota > Metazoa > Chordata > Mammalia > Primates > Hominidae > Homo > Homo sapiens. Next base: position 71,584,110 of record NC_000009.12, read on the forward strand.
TGTGTCTTCCCCAGCCCCACAAATTCATACATTGAAGCCCTAACCCCTATGTGACTCTAGAGACAGGGCCTTTAAGAAGGTAATGAATATTAAGTCTAGTCCAGTAGGACAGATGTCCTATAAGAAGAAGCAACAACAGAGAGCTCTCTCTCAACATGTGTGCCACAGAGAGATGGGCAATGAGAGGACAGAGCAAGGAGGTACGATCTGCGAGCTGAGGAGAAAGGCCTCGCCAGAAACCAAGCCTGCTGGCACCTTGACCTTGGACTTCCAGATTTCCAACCTCCAGAACTTTGAGAAAATACATTTCTGTCGTTTAAGTCACCCAGTCTGTAGTAGCATGTGATGGCAGCCCAGGCAGACTAATACAATCATAAAATGAATATTTCAGAAAACATTTTTAAAATGAACACCACAAAAGCAATTTCTTTTTTTATCATTGTGAGGTCACCTGAATGTGATGCACTACAAAATGTTCAGCAGGATTACTTTGTAATGACTGTCATTATTCTTCTGTTTGAATAAAAGCAAAAGTTTTGGCAGTTAGGTTTGAAACGGGTGTCCATGGGTTTGATGTGATCTCAGCTCTATCTAACAGCCCCATAGATCATTGTACAGGGCTTTACATACACTGTTAGACTGGTAACATGTTAAATTGAGGAAAGACATCTTTGATTTTTTTGAGACTAATCTACTTGGTTTTTATAGTTTCTTTTTCTCGATTTATGTTTTTCCCGTATTTTACACTAGGGATAACAAAAGCACTACACAGGTATTGCCACTCCACTGTCAGTGACTGTGACAACCAGGAACAATTGATCCTGACCCCTTCTCCCCTCTAGGTTTAAATATAGACTCAGAATCCTTTTTAACACAGTTCTTCAGGGGGCCACTCTCAATCATCAGTCATGTGAAAGGAAAATTATTTACAAACCCTGTATTTTGTCTTTTTGTTCAAATGTGGCTTTAGATATCAACATTTGATAAAATTTAAACATTTAATTATGGGTATGTCATTTACTCACTGGATGAGATGATTTTAGTCTGATCAGAGGTGCTCACTTAACTCCAAGTGCATCATTCATTCCCTGGAGTTGTGTGGTCCACAGATATGTGGCAGGCTTGCCCCTTATTATTCACATTTTCATTTTATTTATCAGTTTTAACTATTTTTAAACAAAATTCTTTTTTTTTTTTTTTTGAGATGTAGTCTCGCTCTGTCACCCAGGCTGGAGTGCAGTGGCACGATCTTGGCTCACTGCAACCTCCACTCCCAGGTTCAAGCGATTCTTCTGCCTCAGCCTCCCGAGTAGCTGGGACTACAGGCACACACCACCACACCCAGCTAATTTTTGTATTTTTAGTAGAGATGGGAGTTTCACCATATTGGCCAGGCTGGTCTCAAACTCCTTACCTCGTGATCCGCCCGCCTCAGCCTCCCAAAGTGCTGGGATTACAGGCATGAGCCACTGCGCCAGGCTAAACAAAATTCTTAAATAGGAGATCATATCCAGTAATGTTAACTTCTTGCTTATAAAAACAACTAATTTGTTTTTAAATATCTTAAATGCCTTTAGTAATTTTTGAATAAACAAAATTTTTTACTATTATTAACTATTATTAAAAAGAACTTAAGATGAGACCTTCAGTTTGGAATGGCAGCCCCAGTGCGGACCCTCCAAGTTTTTCAACAAAATATCATTGTAAGCGGAAAAGATAAAAACATACTACATTTCCAAAATCTAAGGCAGATATAACACACTGCCAAGCCTGGACTATTTTTGCTTTATCATTGTAATTAATAAAAGAGATTAAAAATCACATTGATATCTAGAAACAGAGAAAATCTTGGAGGCCAAGAAGCTAGAACCAAACACCTCAACTTGCCCCCCAACAGCGACACTAAAAGGGACATAAATGGCACTCAAGTGGACAGAATGGAGCCAAGGCCATCTGCATTTTCTCTTTCTTCAAGTATAACTAAGTAGGGACAGACACTATGAAGTCTGGTCCTTTTGAAATATATTTTTTCTTCATGCAATCCTTTGAGAATGGTAACATTTTTTCTGTGGATGGTACCATGGATTATTTTTCAAAGTTCTGCTCTTCCTCTGAGTCTGCCAGATATACTTGCCTCCCCCTTATACTGCAGGCTTCTTCCTTAACCTTAGGTAGGCTAATTTTCATTACTCACCCTCAATCCATGGATGATTTGCCTAGGCTCAGCAGCACTTGCCAATGGACAAGCTGTGTAAATGACCGGTGGTCCTGCTTTCCGTCCACTCATGCCTGGCCCCAGTCCAGATGCCGCATTCATCCTGGCAAGTAGAAGGGAGCAACATTTTGACATTAACTGTTCTGGGCTTTTTAGAAATTATTTATTTTTATTGTGTTCTATGTATTTAAGGTATACAACATGTTTTGATATACATATACATAGTGGAATGATTACTGCAGTCAAGCAAATTTATATCCATCTCCTCACAGTTACCTTTTTATTTTCTTTTTCTTTGTGAGTGGATGTGTGTGTGTGTGTGTGTGTGTGTGTGTGTGTGTGTGTGCACGCACATGTGCATGTACTGAGAACACCTAAAATCTTTTCTAACTGCAACCTCTGCCTCCCAGGTTCAAGCAATTCTCCTGCCTCAGCCGCCCAAGTAGCTGGGACTACAGGCGCCTGCCACCATGCCTGGCTAATTTTTGTATTTTTAGTAGAGACCGGGTTTCACCATGTTGGCCAGGCTGGTCTGGAACGCCTGACCTCTGGTGATCCACCCTCCTCGGCCTCCCAAAGTGCTGGGATTACAGGTGTGAGCCACCGCACCTGGCCAGAGCCAGTCCCTTTTAAGGACTCATCTGAGTAGGTCATATCCACCTAGAATATATTTCCCTTTCTTGAAGTCAACTGTGCCATACAACATAACCTTGTCATGGAATGATGTCTCATCATATTCACCTACTCACAAAGAGAGGAGATTATACAAGCACAAGGGTCACTGTGGTCAACTTAGAATTCTACCTACCACACCTCCTTTCTCCAAGTGTATCAAAAGTCACAAAGAGATGCCTGATGAGGGCAAGGCCCCAGACCTCATCAGACACATCCAGACTGTCTCACTTGAGGTTCTTCAGTATTAATCAATATTTTTATATGTTCATGCATTCTTTCTCATGGAAAAAATTATTTACAGAAGTTGTATTGCAAGCCTGGCACTGTGTTAAGTGCTGGAGACACACGATGACAAGAGGTATGACCCTTGCCCTTGTTCAGTGGTGCAAAGTTAATCAAATAAACATATTATGTAAAATTATATCTTTGATTAGTACAAAGGATATGAGGTACATGGTGATATAAGATCCTATAAGGGGAATATTTGACTTTATCAGAATAAAAGAACAGAAGCAGAGGCTGCTGACTGCCCACCAAAACCCATTCTCAACTTCCATTAGAGAAGAAGGCACAGGGCTGCCCATCTGCACTGCGCTTCCCAACTTCTTTTGACTTTGGGAGTGGCTATGTAAAGAAATCCCCTCCAATGAATAGAAGTCAATAGTGCCACTTCCAGGCCTGGGCCATTAAACTCATTGTCACTCCTATGAGTGACAAAGGCATTGCCCACAGCAACCACGAGTCACATGTTAAGGATGGCAGAGCTTCAGTCAACTTAAGTCCTTCAATGACTCTATGGAGCAGAATCCTCAGCCACCGCCAGACTACCAGTGCTCTCACCACCAAAACCACTCTGGACTGTGATGTGAGAAGGAATGAAACTCCTTTTTCATTTAAGACATTACTTTTTAGGTCTGTTTCAGCAATTTAGGCTTCCCCAAGTAACACAGAACTACATGCTGGCAGGCAAAAAAAAAAAAAAAAAAAGCTTTCTTATATTATGTTTATGTAATGTGTCTCTGAAAGACTTTCACATCTACTGGGAGATGGAATTCTCTCAATAACCCCGTGAGACAGATAGCAGGCCATCTATTATAGGACCCATGCGCCCATGCAGATGAGGCTCAGAAGAATTCAGTGACTCAGGGAGGGCCCTACAGCTCAGTAGTCATTCTGGAATCTCCATCACTGACTCACCATTTGGATTTACACAGGTCACCTCTCTCTTTCATCATTGATAGGATATGGTCATCCCTGTCTTTCTACCTAAGAGAGAAAAATTCTATGGGGGCTGGTCTGTGAATCCCTTAGTAAAAATGACACAGATGTGATATTCAGTTCCATAAGTTACACAGGTAGGAGAGATTTAGCTATATTATTTGGCAATGCCTTCTTAATTGTTTACTCTTCAATATCTTAGCTCCATTGGAAACAGACTGATAGGCAAAACCAAACATAGGCTGCTAAGCTACTATTGGTCTTAGATCTCTTAAATTGTAACATCTGATGTAATATCATTTTTGATCTCATTCTTGATGTAGTTCTTTTGACTCTGTTTACTTACCTGTGTATGTTATCAGAAAATGTACCATTTCAAAATTTTTTATTCACTCATGTGTTCACCAAAAGTTATGAGCATTTACTCTGTTTAAAGTCATTGTGCTAGACCCTGGGTATCCAGTAGTAAACAATGTGGGCATAGTCCCTGCCCTCAAGAAGATTATAGTCTGATCAGAAAAGCGGACAATAAACAAGAAAATATGCAATCTTATTTAATTACAAATAGTGATTGATGGAAAGAAAGAATGAAGAAATGAAGATGATGAGAACTAGGACACACTTTTTATATCTCTCTCTAGTTAAATCTTCTAAAATTCATTCTGCAGAATTAGAATTACTCACAAATGTATTATTTCCAACTTGCTAATATAGCCTATTTTCTACCCTTGGACTGCTTAAGTAGTTTTGCTTCACTTCTAGGAAATGCAGAGCTACATTTGGTACTTAGCAATAGAAATGTCTGAACTTAGGTTCCTAACTCAGCTATCTTTCTACTTCTTCCAAATTGTTTCTGCTTTATTTTCTTTTTCAGGTGAGAAAAATACATATTTTAATCTCAGTCTTTCATTTCAATCCCCTTCTCATGCAGTGTTCCCATTTTTAAGCCTAAGAGATACCGCTCTGATGTTCCTTCCTTTATTTTGTTTTTCAGGTGAGAAAGGAAGGGAGGGAAGGAAGGAAGGCGGGGAACAAACACTAATAAATGAGGGCCTTGCTCTTTTGCACACAACATCCCGATGATCTGTCTTTGGGCCTTGACGGGGTGACCAGATGCGACGTGTTTGAGGAAACCCAGGCACTTCTGGTGGCTGAGGAAGACAGGAAATCCCAACTTGACACTCACAGATGACGGCTAAAGCAGACACAACCACAGGGGCAGAAATCTGACTGCGAGGAACCTGGACTCTGACTCGAACACCCGCGAAGGACAGGGATTGGGACCCTTATATTACTGTTTACCCAGGAGTTACAAATCATTGCTCTTCCCGCCATCTTGGCTCCTGTGGAGGCCTGCTGGGAACAGGACTTCTAAAAGGAACTATATCTGGAAGGCTGTGGTCCAATGCCATTTTTGCCGGCTATAAGCAGGATCTCTGGAACCAAAGGGAGCACACACCTCTTCTAAAAATTGAAGTTGTTTATGCCTGAGATGAAACAGAATTCTATTTGGGCAAGAGATGTGCTTATGTATACAAAGCAAAGAACAACCCAGTGACTCCTGGCAGCAAACCAAACAAAACCAGAGTAATCGGGGGAAAGGTAACTCATGCTCATGGAAACAGTGGCCTGGTTCGTGCCAAATTCCGAAGTAATCTTCCTGCTAAGGCTATTGGACACAGAATCCGAGTGATGCTGTACCCCTCAAGGATCTAAACTAACGAAAAGTCAATAAATAAACTTGGATTTATGCTCTTGAAAAAAAAAATCATTGACCCTCTGAGTTGTGACTTTTCTGGCACCCCATTCGGATATTCTATATGATGGGTATGGTTTTTATTTGCTCTGTGGCCTTGGATGAGCCACTGAAAGGTCTTCAAGGTTAAATTTCTATCCTGTCTCATAATGACATCTTAACCCCTCAATAAAGTATTATATTTTTAAAATTAAAAAAAAAAATCTGAGAGATACTTCGATTCAAGGTTTAAAATACTCCAGAACCATCATTTAATTTGACAAAACTATGTCCTTGCCCTGAAAGCAAGAGTAGAAACTGTGGCCCTGTTATCATAGTCCTGTTTCCACAAAGCCTGTTCTATGTCCCCAAACAGGTTGGCAGAAGAGTTGTAAAGATCTGAGGGCCACGGTGATGAGGGAAAAGATTTTAGGAAACAGAAAAAGAAGAACAGTTATTGAGTGCTTATTATATATTCTAAGTGCTCTCATAGCATTCTCTTGTTAAATGCTCACAACTCTACAGTTCTAGCCTTCTCAGAGATTCCCCCAGCCCATACCACGTGGTCCAGAGAGGTCAAGGTCTTATGTCATGTTCTCCCTTAAACCTCTCTGCATCTCTAAACCCACAGGGCAGAGGTTAGCCCGTCATGTAGGTAGCCTGGTGTCATTTTACATGTACTAATTTCCACATTTAACTAATAAAAAACTTGCCAGAAATTGGATTGGGATTTTTTTTTTTTTAACACAGAGTTTCACTCTGTTACCCAGGCTGGAGTGCAATGGCACAATCTTGACTCACTGCAACCTCTGTGCCTCCCCTGTTGAAGCAATTCTCCTGCCTCAGCCTCCCATGTAGCTGGGATTACAGGCATGTGCCACCATGCCCAGCTAATTTTTTTGTATTTAGTAGAGACATGGTTTCACCATGTTGGTCAGGCTGGTCTCAAACTCCTGATCTCAGGTGATCCCACCCGCCTAGGCCTCCCAAAGTGCTGGGATTACAGGCATGAGCCACTGTGCCCAGCCCTGAATTGGGATTTTTAGCCGATTATAGGCTCAGGGCCATATGACAATAAAAATAAAACTTTAGGGCTACATATTTTAATCTCAGTCTTTTGTTTCAATCCCTTGCTCATGCAATTTTCCCTATTATTAAGCCAAGGAGATATCACTCCAATGTCCCTGGCTCCCTACACAACAAGGAGATGTGCCACCTCAGAGCTGAAACCTTGGGGGAACTCAGGCCCCAAACATCCACGAATAGAATGTATGGCTTCACTGAAGCAGAGTGGCACAATGACACGTGTCTTTACAAATTTAACAGGCTATAATCAGCTACAGCTGCCATGCAATGGCCTGTCTGTCTTGGCATCCACCAGCTTCTGTCCATAACGCAGCTTCTCAGCCGGTTTAGGTATGGGAACCACACAACCTCTAAAGTGAAGGAGGCTTCTCCAGCAAAACCGAACGGCATATTCAGATGCTGGGTGAGGATTCATAATATTTAGCTATTTTGTTAATTAATATAACAGTAATTTCTTTATTCAGTCACAGAAACATCAATGTATCTATGCTGAAGCACCATAATTTTATAAGCACAGTTATTGGGGGAAAATGTTACCTTTTTGTCCTAAAAAGACTCTCCACGCATGTAGCTAGGGAAAGCTAAGGTCAGTGGCAGAGTTATATGCACACCTCCACCACCAACATCACCACCACCACCTCCTCCTTCATCTCTCATCCAGCTCTGCCTTAGGCCCTTTTTTTTCTTTTCTTTTCTTTTCTTTTTTTTTTCCCCAAGACAGGGTCTCACTCTGTCACCCAGGCTGGAGTGTGGTGGCGCAATCTTGACTCACTGCAACCTTCACCTCCTCAGCTCAAGTGATCCTCCCATCACCTCAGCCTCCCAATAGCTGGGACTACAGGCATGCACCACCACACCCAGCTACTTTTCATATTTCTTTTTGTACAAACGGGGTTTTGCTGTGTTGTCCAGGCTGGTCTTGAACTACTGGACTCAAGAGATCCACTTGTCTCTGCCTCCCAAAGTGCTGGGATTACAGGAGTGAGCCACCATACCTGGCCTGTCTGAGACCCTTTAACCCATTTATGCCTGAGGTTGCACTTTTTGGAATTTTTGCAATCAGACCTTGGCAATGATCTTGAGCAGTAGGATATAAATAACTCCCACATATGGGAGGTCGGGGTGGGTGGATCATGAGGTCAGGAGTTGGAGACCAGCCTGGCCAACATAGTAAAACTCCATCTCTACTAAAAATACAAAAATTAGCCAGGTGCGGTGGTGCACGCCTGTAATCCCAGCTACTCAGGAGGCTCAGGCAGGAGAATTGCTGAAACCTGGGAGGCAGAGGGAGGTTACAGTGAGCTGAGATCATGCCATTGCATTCCAGCCTGGGCAATAGAGCGAGACTCCATCTCAAAAAAATAAATAAATAAAAAAACTCCCACATACTTAGCGTTCCAATAATGGAACACTAGGAACAAATGGGTTTTTACCTTGGGGGTTTTAAGTACTCCCATGGCAATGATCCATGAGAGCATTTATCATTCAGTTGTGACTCTTTTCTCACTTGCCTGTATCCTCCCTAATACAGAAGGTTGAGGACAGAAACCACATTAATATTGTCGAACATTGCATTCCCAATACCTTACTCAGAACCTGACACATAACAGGCATCTACTGAGTATTTGCTGAATGAACAAATACATTTCTTCTGCTCTTAGTCCCTCCAGGTTTCTTCTCCCCTTTGCCCCTGTCTCCTTGGCCTTGAGGTGTGCTTCCTGACCTCAGACTTTACTTTCTGCCAGATGGCTTCTCACATGTACCGATAGGTTGATCTGTGGTTCCTCACTTCGTGAATTTTTTCAAAATTCATATTTGCTTCATACATGTGTTGATTGTCAAAGAAGTGCAATTAATGTACATGCAATTGAGGAGTGGGTTTATTCATCACAACCTGGGATGGACAGAGGATTTATCTTTCCTTGAGGTCATAGGGAGACAGCAATATTTTAGGATCACCTAACATCTTAAACAATTATTCTAAAGGGTTTTTTCTCTGCCTGATTCATGCTGCTAAGCTCTTTCTGCATCTGACTTTTTCCTAAGTCCCTTTTTATTATTATAAAAGTATATTGTTCCTTGTTAAAATGATTTTTTAAGTACAAAAGGTGAAAACAGGAGGAGTAATAAATCTCCCGTGGTATCCATGTCTACAGTCACTATGAGCATGTTTCCATCAGACTTTCTACCCTAACTCTTCTTTCACAGCAGAGTCCTATGATCCAATGCCTGCTCCTTGAATGTGGGTTTTTCTGAGGATTCTGTCATCTTTTCTTCATCTTTTCTCATTTTCCATGCTCTCCCTGGGATATCATATTGACTTCCAAGGCTTTAGGTAACCTATGTGTTATTTTAGTGGCAGTAGAGGCTTGAACTGCCACTCTCCCCTCTCCAATTTCAAGGCCATGGCCAATGGAGTATGCCTACAAGGATCATTAGCCAAATAAAAACACAGTGTTTATTAATGGCATTAACAAAGCAGAGCTTGGTAGAACCTGGATTGAAAAAAACAGCTTAGGCTTAGGATCACGGTGACACCTCCTGCTTGTCAGCCCTGAGACTCAGCTATGCCTGGAGTATTTGAGCAACCAAGGCCAGCACTGCATGGCAACCCTGGGTCCACTTACACAACTACCCATGTGGATGAGAATCAGAGGTCTGCCTTGCCAGCCCAGACACAGGAACGGAGAGACCACCCCAGAAAGAACACGCTTCCCTCCAAAGCTTTGATCTGAGCTGATCTTGCTTTGCAGTTTACAGCTGGTCTAGCCAATCTGATCGATGGGGGAAGACAGAGCAGAGAAAGGGAAGGACCACCCTTTCCACAGGGCAGATTCCTTGACACTAACCTGCCAGCAGCGTAGGTCCAGAAAGTGGGAGGAAGAAGAGGGCATGCCATGAATACAGTGGCCCTACCCACAGTAAAATGCTGCCCTTTAATTTCCAGTTTAGAGTTATTGATTAACCTTTTCTCTTTCAGTAAGGAGTGAATGAGGGGTGGGTGAGAAGAGAAAAAGCACCCTCCCTAGCACTCCCCCAATAAGTCCAATTATCTATGGGCTAAAGCTGCAGTGAAAGGAGAATCCTCCCCTAAAATGTGCTGAGTACATAGAAAGAACTCCATAGGCATTTGTTGAGTAAATACATACATACATACATAAATTCTGACGTTTGAATCTGTTTCTCCAGCTCAGCCACCTGTCACAAACTTCAGATGTGTATATTTCCACTTCTCCCATGCTTTCTTTCTGTAAACCAAAAATAAAATTCTAAGCCCCCTAATTGACCAATAGACCCCCCTTCTCAGCCAAGGGCATTCCAAAATAAACCTGAAAATCTAGTTCAGGTCATGATAGGAAGGTGGGCTCAGACATGCCTCATGATTCTACCCTCTCCTCTTGGGAATGTAGGCACGACTGACTAGCATTAACATTAAAACAGAGATCTTAGAAGTGACAAAACAGACTTTTTGTAGCAATAAGACACCAAATTCCAGCTGTATTATAGCATCAAATGACAAACAGCAGGCCCCGGAAGAAAGAAATTGAAGTATTTTACCTCAAAATATATTTCTTTGACATACTTTAAAATGACGCTATAAAGCTGCCTCTTACAGGGATAATCTTGATTCCGCAGAGAATCCCCTTTCCTTCCCAGGTCTTTCCTCAAATCCATGAGAGAATTAACCAAGAGTGTGGCAACTTTTTAGGTCTGATAAGAGCTCTGAAGCCTGCTACTTGGGGGTTTCATCTGCATGATGAAACCTTGGTCTCCACCACCCCTTATCTTAACCCAGACATTCCATTCTATTGATTCCAGGTCTTTAGATAGTAACTCTTTCAACCAATTGCCAATCAGAAAATCTTTGAATCTGCCTGTGATGTGGAAGCCCTCCTACTAGGTTGTCTTGCCTTTCCAAACTGAACCAATATACATCTTACATGTATTGATTGATATCTCATCAATCAATAAGTCTCCCTAAAATGTATAAAACCAAGCTGTAGTCCAACCACTTGAGCACATGTTCTCAGGATCGTCTGAGGCTGTGTCACAGGCTACTGGTCACTCATATTTGGTTCAGAATAAATATCTTAAAATATTTTACAGAGTTCCACTATTTCCATCAACATTTCTATTTCCCATCTTAGTAAATGGAACCATTATCCATGCAGTTATTCATATCATAATATTCATCCAGCTCCGCATAACTCTCTATTAAGTGCAGACCACTCCAAAAAGAACTGGCTTAACCCAGTAGTCAGACTCTTTCTCTCTCTCTTTCTCTCTGCACCCTCCTTCTCTCTCACTCTCTCATTTCTAAAGAAATCCAGGAGGAAAAAAATTGCCTTATTCAAAGGAATTTATCTAGCCTCTTGATATCTAAGAAACATTCCTCGAAGACAACAAAGTGTGCACTCATTTCTTACATATTATCTCACTGTATTCCCTTACTTGATGGATAATTAGCCTGCAAACTTTCTTTTTTATATCTTAGAAATTATCTCTTTTAGAAAATATGTAAGGGCGGTTCCAAGATGGCCAAATAAAAACAGATCCCAGCGTGAGCGACGCAGAAGGCAGGTGATTTCTGCATTTCCAACTGAGGTACCTGGTTCATCTCACTGGGGCTTGTTGGACAGTCAACTCGGAGTGTGAGCCGAAGCAGGGCGGGGCGTCGCCTCACCCGGAAAGCTCAAGAGGTCTGGGAATTCCCTTTCCTAGCCAAGGGAAGCAGTGACAGATGGTACCTGGAAAATTGGGACACTCCCACCCTAATACTGCACTTTTCCAATGGACTTAGCAAATGGCACACCAGGAGATTATATCCCACTCCTGGCTCGAAGGGTCCCACGCCCACGGAACCTCGATCACTGCTAGCACAGCAGTCTGAGATCGAACTGCAAGGCAGCAGCGAGGCTGGGGAAGGGGCGTCCACCATTGCTGAGTAGGTAAACAAAGAAGCCCGGAAGCTTGAACTGAGTGGAGCCCACCGCAGCTCAAGGAGGCCTGCATGCCTCCGTAGACTCCACCTCTGTGGGCGGGGCATAGCTGAACAAAAGGCACCAGAAACTTCTGCAGACTTAAACGTCCCTGTCTGACAGCTTTGAAGAGAGTATTGGCTCTCCCAGCACGGAGTTTGAGATCGGAGAATGGACAGACTGCCTCCTCAAGTGGGTCCCTGACCCCCGAGTAGCCTAACTCGGAGACACCTCCCAGTAGGGGCCAACTGACACCTCATACAGCCAGGTGCCCCTCTGAGACGAAGCTTCCAGAGGAAGCATCAGACAGCAATATTTGCCGTTCTGCAATATTTGCCATTCTGCAGCCTCCACTGGTGATACCCAGGCAAACAGGGTCTGGAGTGGACCTCCAGCAAACTCCAACCAACCTGCAACTGAGGGTCCTGACTTTAGAAGGAAAACTAACAAACAGAAAGGACATCCACACCAAAACCCCATTGGTACGTCACCATCATCAAAGACCAAAGGTAGATTAAAAACCACAAAGATGGGGAGAAACCAGAGCAGAAAAGGTGAAAATTCTAAAAATCAGAGCACCTCTTCTCCTCCAAAGGATTGCAGCTCCTCACCAGAAATGGAACAAAGCTGGACAGAGAATGACTTTGACAAGTTGACAGAAGTAGGCTTCAGACGATCGGTAATAACAAACTTCTCCGAGCTAAAGGAGGATGTTCGAACCTATGGCAAAGAAGCTAAAACCCTTGAAAAAAGATTAGACAAATGGCTAACTAGAATAAACAGTGTAAAGAAGACCTTAAATGACCTGATGGAGCTGAAAACCATGGCACGAGAACTACACGACACATGCACAAACTTCAGTAGTCGATTTGATCAAGTGGAAGAAGGGGTATCAGTGATTGAAGATCAAATTAATGAAATGAAGTGAGAAGAGAACTTTAGGGAAAAAAGAGTAAAAATAAATGAACAGGCCGGGTGCAGTGGCTCACGCCTGTAATCCCAGCACTTTGGGAGGCCGAGGCGGGTGGATCATGAGGTCAGGAGATCGAGACCATGGTGAAACCCTGTCTCTACTAAAAATACAAAAAATTAGCCAGGCATGGTGGCAGGCGCCTGCAGTCCCAGCTACTCTGGAGGCTGAGGCAGGAGAATGGTGTGAACCCAGGAGGTGGAGCTTGCAGTGAGCTGAGATTGCGCCACTGCACTCCAGCCTGGGTGACAGAGTGAGACTCTGTCTCAAAAAAATAAAAAAATAAAAGAAACGAACAAAGCCTCCAAGAAATATGGGACTATGTGAAAAGACCAAATCTACGTTTCACTGTTGTACCTGAAAGTGACGGGGAGAATGGAACCAAGTTGGAAAACTCTCTGCAGGATATTATCCAGGAGAACTTCCCCAGCCTAGAAAGGCAGGCCAACATTCACATTCAGGAAATACAGAGAATGCCACAAAGATACCCCTCAAGAAGAGCAACTCCAAGACACATAATTGTCAGATTCACCAAAGTGGAAATGAAGGAAAAAATGTTAAGGGCAGCCAGAGAGAAAGCTTGGGTTACCCACAAAGAGAAGCCCATTAGACTAACAGCGGATCTCTCGGCAGAAACTCTACAAGCCAGAAGAGAGTGGGGGCCAATATTCAACGTTCTTAAAGCAAAGAATTTTCAACCCAGAATTTCATATCCAGCCAAACTAAGCTTCATAAGTGAAGGAGAAATAAAATCCTTTACAGACAAGCAAATGCCAAGAGATTTTGTGACCACCAGGCCTGTCCTACAAGAGCTCCTGAAGGAAGCACCAAACGTGGAAAGGAACAACCAGTACCAGCCACTGCAAAAACATGCCAAATTGTAAAGACCATCAAGGCTAGGAAGAAGAAACTGCATCAACTAACAAGCAAAATAACCAGATACATCATCATGACAGGATCAAATTCACACATAACAATATTAACCTTAAATGTAAATGGGCTAAATGCTCCAATTAAAAGACACAGACTGGCAAATTGGATAAAGAGACCGGACCCATCAGTGTGCTGTATTCAGGAGACCCATCTCACGTGCAGAGACACACATAGGCTCAAAATAAAGGGATGGAAGAAGATCTACTAAGAAAATGGAAAACAAAAAAAAAGCAGGGGTTGCAATCATAGTCTCTGATAAAACAGACTTTAAACCAACAAAGATCAAAAGAGTCAAAGAAGGCCATTACATAACGGTAAAGGGATTAATTCAACAAGAAGAGCTAACTATCCTAAATATATATGCACCCAATACAGGAGCACCCAGATTCATAAAGCAAATCCTTAGAGACCTACGAAGAGACTTAGACTCCCACACAATAATAATGGGAGACTTTAACACCCCACTGTCAACATTAGACAGAGCAACGAGATATAAAGTTAAAAAGGATATCCAGGAATTGAACTCAGCTCTGCACCAAGCAGACCTAATAGACATCGGCAGAACTCTCCACCCCAAATCAACAGAATATACATTCTTCTCAGCACTACATCACACTTGTTCGAAAATTGACCACACAGTTGGAAGTAAAACACTCCTCAGCAAATGTAAAAGAACAGAAATTATAACAAACTGTCTCTCAGACCACGGTGCAATCAAATTAGAACTCAGGATCAAGAAACTCACTCAAAACCGCTCAACTACATGGAAACTGAACAACCTGCTCCTGAATGACTACTGGGTACATAATGAAATGAAGGCAGAAATAAAGATGTTCTTTGAAACCAATGAGAACAAAGACACAACATACCAGAATCTCTGGGACACATTTAAAGCAGTGTGTAGAGGGAAAGTTATAGCACTAAATGCCAACAAGAGAAAGAAGGAAAGATCTAAAATTGACACCCTAACATCACAATTAAAAGAACTAGAGAAGCAAGAGCAAACACATTCAAAAGCTAGCAGAAGGCAAAAAATAACTAAGATCAGAGCAGAACTGAAGGAGATAGAGACATAAAAAACCCTTCAAAAAATCAATGAATCCAGGAGCTGGTTTTTTGAAAAGATCAACAAAATTGATCTTTTCACTAGGCCACTAGCAAGACTAATAAAGAAGAAAAGAGAGAAAAATCAAATAGACACAATAAAAAATGATAAAGGGGATATCTCTACCGATCCCACTGAAATACAAACTACCATCAGAGAATACTATAAACACCTCTATGCAAATAAACTAGAAAATCTAGAAGAAATGGATAAATTCCTGGACACATAGACCCTCCCAAGACTAAACCAGGAAGAAATTTAATCCCTGAATAGACCAATAACAGGCTCTGAAATTGAGGCAATAATTAATAGCCTACCAACCAAAAAAAGTCCAGGACCAGACAGATTCACAGCCAAATTCTACCAGAGGTACAAAGAGGAGCTGGTACCATTCCTTCTGAAACTATTCCAATCAATAGGAAAAGAGGGAATCCTCCCTAACTCATTTTATGACGCCAGTATCATCCTGATACCCAAGCCTGGCAGAGACACAGCAAAAAAAGAGAATTTTAGACCAATATACCTGATGAACATCAATATAAAAATCCTCAATAAAATACTGGCAAACCGAATCCAGCAGCGTATCAAAAAGCTTATCCACCACGATCAAGTTGGCTTCATCCCTTGGATGCAAGGCAGGTTCAACATATGCAAATCAATAAACGTAATCCATCACATAAACAGAACCAAAGACAAAAACCACATGATTATCTCAGTAGACGCAGAAAAGGCCTTCAACAAAATTCAACAGCCCTTCATGCTAAAAACTCTCAATAAACTAGGTATTGATGTGACGTATCTCAAAATAATAAGAGCTATTTATGACAAACCCACAGCCAGTATCATACCGAATGGGCAAAAACTGGAAGCATTCCCTTTGAAAACTGGCACAAGAGAGGGATGCCCTCTCTCACCACTCCTATTCAACATAGTGTTGGAAGTTCTGGCCAGGGCAATCAGGCAGGAGATGGAAATAAAGGGTATTCAATTAGGAAAAGAGGGAGTCAAATTGTCCCTGTTTGCAGATGACATGATTGTATATTTAGAAAACCCCATTGTCTCAGCCCAAAAATCTCCTTAGGCTGATAAGCAACTTCAGCTAAGTCTCAGGATACAAAATCAACGTGCAAAAATCACAAGCATTCCTATACACCAATAGCAGACAAACAGAGACCCAAATCATGAGTGAACTCCCATTCACGATTGCTTCAAAGAGAATAAAATACCTAGGAATCCAACTTACAAGGGATGTGAAGGACCTCTTCAAGGAGAACTACAAACCACTGCTCAATAAAATAAAAGAGGACACAAACAATTGGAAGAACATTCCATGCTCATGGGTAGGAAGAATCAATATCATGAAAATGGCCACACTGCCCAAGGTAATTTATAGATTCAATGCCATCCCCATCAAGCTGCCAATGACTTTCTTCACAGAATTGCAAAAAACTACTTTAAAGTTCATATGGAACCAAAGAAGAGCCCACATTACCAAGACAATACTAAGCAAAAAGAACAAAGCTGGAGGCATCACGCTACCTGACTTCAAATTATACTACAAGGCTACAGTAACCAAAACAGCATGGTACTGGTACCAAAACAGAGATATAGACCAATGGAACAGAACAGAGCCCTCAGAAATAATACCACACATCTACAACCATCTGATCTTTGACAAACCTGACAAAAACAGGATATGGTGAAAGGATGCCCTATTTAATAAATGGTGCTGGGAAAACTGGCTAGCCATATGCAGAAAACTGAAACTGGATCCCTTCCTTACACCTCATACAAAAATTAATTCAAGATGGATTAAAGACTTAAATGTTAGACCTAAAACTGTAAAAACCCTAGAAGAAAACCTAGGCAATAGCATTCAGGACATAGGCATGGGCAAGGATTTCATGACTAAAACACCAAAAGCAATGGCAACAAAGCCAGAATTGACAAATGGGATCTAATTAAACTAAAGAGCTTCTGCACAGCAAAAGAAACTATCATAAGAGTGAACAGGAAACCTACAGAATGGGAAAAAATGTTTACAATCTACCCATCTGACAAAGGGCTAATATCCAGAATCTACAAGAACTTAAACAAATTTACAAGAAAAAATCAAACAACCCCATCAAAAAGTGGGTGAAGGATATGAACAGACACTTCTCAAAAGAAGACATTTATGCAGCCAACAGACACATGAAAAAATGCTCATCATCACTGGCCATCAGAGAAATGCAAATCAAAACCACAATGAGATACCATCTCACACCAGTTAGAATGGTGATCATTAACAAATCAGGAAACAACAAGTGCTGGAGAGGATGTGGAGAAATAGGAACACTTTTACACTGTTGGTGGGAGCGTAAACTAGTTCAACCATTGTGGAAGACAGTGTGGCGATTCTTCAGGGATCTAGAACTAGAAGTACCATTTGACCCAGCCATCCCATTACTGGATATATACCCAAAGGATTATAAATCATGCTGCTATAAAGACACATGCACACGTATGTTTATTGCAGCACTATTCACAATAGCCAAGACTTGGAACCAACCCAAATGTCCATCAATGATAGACTAGATTAAGAAAATGTAGCACATATACACCATGGAATACTATGCAGCCATAAAAAATGATGAGTTCATGTCCTTTGTAGGGACATGGATGAAGCTGGAAACCATCATTCTGAGCAAACTATCACAAGGACAGAAAACCAAACACGGCATGTTCTCACTCATAGGTGGAAATTGAACAATGAGAACACTGGACACGGGGTGGGGAATATCACACACTGGGGCCTGTCGTGGGGTGTGCAAAGGAGGGAGGGATAGCATTAGGAGATATACCTAATGTAAATGACGAGTTAACGGGTGCAGCACACCAACATGGCACATGTATACATATGTAACAAACCTGCACGTTGTGCACATGTACCCTAGAACTTAAAGTATAATTTAAAGAAATGAAATTGTCTCTTTTAGAAGATTAACCCAAGTTTACAAAATTTTCTCTTTTTTAACCGCAATCTCAGCCAAAAAAAAACCCACAACACAGCCCTTTTTGGATATTATTTGTTACATATACTACATTTCTTAAGCAAGTTAAAATAAAATTATTTCTGCGAACTTTTTCAGCATTGCACTGGTTAAAAATACAGCCCATTGTCTTTTCATGCTATGTATTTTTTTCCCTTGGCTTTAAAATATTGGGAGTTATTTTCAACTACTGAATGATTGATCAAGGAAAAGCACTCTTTTCTCTGTAATATGAAGTTTTCAAGTCAATATTAATAACTTCTTTTCCATATAATTTTAGGACATCTAATCTCCTCCACAAATCTCTGAAAATAGCCAAAACTCAAAGTATCAGGAGGAAAAATCCGTATCAATAGCAGTATCTTCATTATGTTTCATGTTTTTTAAAATTTACCAAACAGTTCTCATCTTAGCAAGAGCCTGGCTAGCTTGTTTATAGAACATTTTGTAGTTTGCTAGTTTGATGTTGCTAGAAGTGATTCAGAAATGTGTGACATTGAAACTGCCTTTGCATAAATTATAACAGAACATGATGGTAGTAAAAGAGATCTGATCTAACCCACTGCCCTCCCCATCTTGCCTTTCCCTTAAGAATTCCTGGGCTTAGGCTAAGCTAACTTTGGTAGACATTGAATTTATAGTTCAAATGATAATAGGACTTTCACAAAAACTCAACCACCTTTGTATAGATAACAAAAGGCCCTCATGCTAGGGGGAGGAGAGGAAACTGAATTCTGCTAAGGTGTAGACTGGTCACAAAATATGCAAATTTACTGTTGTAGATTGACCTTTTGAACTATCTTTTCAGGTTTTATATACATGTGACACCCATGACTCCACCTGGACTCACTGACTGATGATTTCACACTTCCATGCCCCACCTAGAAGCACCTCAGTTCTAGAGGACAGCTTCAACAACCCTATGGTTTCATCTTGGACCCAACAAATCAGCAGTAAGGCCTAGCCACCCCCATCACTTCCCCCAAACTGCCTTTGGAAAAAAACCTAACCTACAAGCCTTCAATATGATTGATTTGAGTAATAACTCTGTTCTTCTCCCACATGGGGTGGCTGGCCTCACGTCAATTAAAATCTTTCTTTACTGCAAAAACCCAAATAGTCTATTCATCTACATTATGGAAATTAATATATTTTGCTCTATAAACTGGTTCTTGGCATTCTCAGCCATATTCACTACTTTTTTTTTATTATCTAGCACCCATGAAGCTATTAAAGTAATTTTTTCAAGATTGGGCATTTTATTCCAGGGAAAGTATTTGTAATAGATTCTAATTTATGAATTTATTCAAATTTAATATCTGTAGGCAGGATCATCTCTGGATATTAAATACTTGGAAAGTTTATATTCCATGAAGTCAGAAGTCTGACCTCTAAGCATGGGCCTACCACTTCTCGGCCTGGTGATCATGAGTAAATCAGTTTTCCAACCTGCAATTTTTAATTTGCAAAATGGAGATGATGGTAATACCTACCTCATAAGACTGTGGTGAAAATTTAATAAACTTATACATGTAATAAGCCAAACATAGCTCCTGGCATATGTAGACATTCAATAAATGCTATTTTCAAAGAAACTAGGGGTGAATAATTTTACATCTTTAAATAAGGAAAGTTTTTCCATGCAATGGTGCTAAAGCCAGAAACCATAAATGAAAATATTACTGTATTTAACTGCATAAAACAAAGTTTTTAAATAACAAACACATTGCAATCAAGGATAAAAGATAACACCTGGAGAAAAAGATTTGCAACATATGTGCCAGGAAAAGGGTAAATACCCATAGTGCCTCAAGTTCTTATAAATCAGCACAAAAGAGAAAGAAAAAAGGGTAAAAAAAAAATGAATAAACAATTTAAAAAGAAATAGGGCTAGTAAATATATGAACAGATGTTCAGCCTCACTAGTAATCAAAGAAATGCAAAAAAAACAACAGATTGGTTATAATTAAAAAGATGGACAAAGCCCAGGATTTGCAAGTGTGCAAGCAATAGGCTGCTCTCACACACTTCTGGTAAGTATATTTATTGATCTAGTCTCTTTGGAGGGTGATTTAGTGATACATTCCAAAGTTCAAAAGATGTAGTCTCTTTTCTTTGTTATGTTAATGTTTGAATACTCTACACATTTCAGTATATTACTAAAATATTCTATATAAACATATTCTATAATATTTTATGTATTCTACTATCAGACAAAATAAAGCTAGCTTCGTTTTGGAAAATTAAAGTAGTTTCCTTCCCTTCTTCTTAGGGTTTTTATGAAAATAAAATTATATTCTCTTCCATATGAGATCTCAGGCAGCCTTATAGGGAGTGAGTGGTCATTGCGGTAATGATTGCTAATATCCCTGTGGCAACCTGCGGATTGCAAAGTATGCCACTTACCTTAATCTTACAACTACTGAACATAAACAGAGCTGGAATTATTACTGATCCCTTATAAATGATTATGAGCCTCAAGCCTCTTTTAATTCCCAAGTCAAATCAGGCACTGCCCCAAAGACTGTTCAAAAGAGGAAAATGGCCAATATTCAGGGACCTGGACCACCTTCTCCACTGGCTATCCCCCAGGGGGCGCTCAACTGACAGTAAATTAGACCTGCAAAGCATCTTCAGGCTCTCTTGCCTGTGGTTCCTTTACCATCTGTTGAATGGTAAAGAAAATCTCTCCTCATTTCAAGTTTATAAAACAAGTCTTTTTTGTTGAAGCTCCTTATCAGATCTGTCCATGGGGCATGAGAATTTTCCCTTTATTCCTCATAAGGCTTGAAATTTTCTTTGTCATCTATGCTCCCATCAGAAATTATGCTGGGAAAAACTATGACTAGGCAAATGACCCTGTAGTGATTCCAGACATCAAGTTCATGGAACCTTCACCCTTGCCCCACCTCCACCCCTCCATACCCATCAGGCCACCTTCCTGCATTAGATATTCAATATGATTATCCGCTTTTCTTCTCACAATGGTTTTTCAAGAAGGGATGTGAGAAAACACACATACACACACATACACACACACACACACACACACACACAGCTTCTGAAGCTCATTTATATCATAGCATAAATGATGCCAACAGCAACAGCATTTCATAACCATGGAACCAAAAATGCAAGGTAAAATAATGAAGTTATTGTAGGTGAGATTTCAGGGTATTCAAATATTGACAAATCATTTTGAGGTGGGTTATTTCTCACATCACATGAATAATGATGGTGCCACATAACATAAGTCCAGAGAACCTAGGCCCAGCTTTAGCTAGACGTAGGTATCTAAATTCTGTTAATCAGTAGATTCTGAAAGTTAGGGAATTTTTCTGAAATTCATTCTAATCTTCTCTATGGGACTTTATAATCTCACCGGCAATTGTTTGACTGTTAATAGCTGATATGAGCATCAAGTTTAGGATGTTCTAAAAGCCTTAAGGGACTTGAATAGTTTCTAACAGCTAGAGAAAAATATGCCAATGTACAGAAGTAGCAACTTTCTGGCCTGAAAGAAATCATAGTAATTACTACAAAAGAGCTCTATTAATGAAATCCTTCATTTTTTAAGTTAACAAATAAAGGTCAGGTATACTATGGTGTAATAGCATGGAGTTAATGAAAATAACAATGCAGGCCTATACTTGAGGACATAGAAAGCTGTCCATGATATTTTCAAGTAGGTTACAAAAATATGACTACTACAGCCCCTTTTTTGTAATGTAATAAAATAGGGGCCAGACGCCTGTAAATCCCAGCACTTTGGGAGGCAGAGGCGGGTGGATCACCTGAGGCCAGGAGTTCAAGACAAGCTTGGCCAACATGTTGAAACCCTGTCTCTACTAAAAATACAAAAATTAGCTGGATGTGGTGGTGGGTGCCTATAATCCCAGCTACTCAGGAGGCTGAGGCAGGAGAATCACTTGAACCCAGGAGGCGGAGGTTGCAGTGAGCTGAGATCATGTCATTGCACTCCAGCCTGGGCAATGAGCAAAACTCCATCTCAATAATAATAATAATAATAATAATAAAATAGGGTTTTATTTTGGAGAAAGAGGAATTAAAGTGGTATCTTTTCATTCTCAATAATCCGTAGTTCCAAGTCATCCTATATCTTTAGCATCAAGATCCATGTTGTATGACCTTAGGGAGGCTCCGACAGAATGTAGAATGGACACTCCTTCCAATAGTAGGAAGCCACCTGAGACTGCTCCTTACAGAATAATGGTTAAAGAAAGAATAAGGTAACAAGGTAGAGGACACAGATTCCCAGGCCTCCTCTATTGGGCTGATGCCTCAGAGAGGAGGAGGTGAGAGCCCACCTGGCAGATAGTTTGAAGAGAATGCAGAAGACAGAAGGACTTTTTCTCTGCTTCCTTCAAGAAACACTGAATTGCTGCAATGTTTTCCTCTGTACTTTTAAAAGAAAAACTTCAGCCAAATTAAATTTAAAGTTTAATTGAGCAATGAACAATTCACGAATCAGGCAGCCCCCAGAATCACAGCAGATTCAGAGAGACTCTATGGATGCCTCAGGTTCAGAACAAATTTATAGACAAACAAAGCAAAGCGATGTACAGAAATTGGAAGTGAGGTAGAGAAACAGCTGGATTGGTTACAGATTGGGGTCTGCCTTATTTGAACACAGTTTGAACACTCAGCAGTGTGAGTAGTTGAAGTATGGCTGCTGGGATTGGCCAAGACTCAGCTATTGTTACCGGCACATACTCCTAAATTAGGTTTTCAATCTTGTCTACCTATTAAGTTAGGTTACGGTTAGTCCACAAAGAGTCAAATATAGAAGTACAGAGTCCTTGTCAGGCCATACTTAATTCACTTTAACAATTCTTAATAGGCATCATATAAGAAGTGAACATACTGTTGGAAAATAAAAAAGACAGATGGCCTCCATTGTATCCAACATACCATAAGGGCAAAAATGAACACACACAATTTTGTATGTAAGAATTGGGGGTAAATAGAACTTGCCCAGTAGAAATGAAAAAAGTAGAGCGAGATAAATAATGTGGCATATGACTTAGAGGAGATGATCTTCCAACTTGATCTGGCAGCAAACTTTTCTCCCCTATAGTAGATAGATGCTCCATCTCAATTCAATGCCCTAGCCACTTTTTGCCAAGAGAAATTGACTCAGTTCTCTAAACTAGACAATAGGCCATCTATAGGTTTCAATTACTCACAACGAGTGGTCTGATGAGTAGAAAAAAAAGTGTATTCAGTGATCAACTCAAAGAAGAATCTTCCCTAAGGAAATTTTGATTAGGATTCTCTAATAGCACAGCCAAAGAGAAGATCTAGAAAAAGCAGGCTATGATTAGCAAATAGGGGAGATAAAAAGGATGAAAATCTCATGGTTTGAATTTGAAAACTGCTTATGTGCCATTTAACACAATAATATGTTGCCAAAAACAGTCAGGCTGTGGAAATCATGACCTGTAATCATCAAAAATAGAGCTTATGTTGTCTTCAGCCCCAACAAATTTAAATTTAGGACAGATGATATTTCTAGCCTCATCTCAGCCAAGTCAAAGAGATTGTTTTCCTAATTGTTCCTCGAGTATGCTTTTCTAAGAACGAAAACCTTTACAAATGTAATTGACTCTTCTAACCAACTGGAGTTGCCAGTTGGTTCTGAGCCGAAGGCCATGTCCAGGGAGTTCCGTAAACTTTGTTCCGTGCCAAGTATATAATTCTGGTCTCTAAACTTTCACAATATGCTTTGAGAAAGTGGCAAAACAAAGTGAAAATTGTTATGCTGGTTAAAGCAATTGCTCAATGGAGCCCAAAACTTGTGGAAGAAAATCTTAGATTGAAAACCTTAGATTCCGACTTCATGGATATGACACAGACCATGGTACTATAGTGGGTACAGCAGCCTCCAAGACATCTGCCTGCTAAGCTAATGGAACAAAGTTATCCAACCATGAGACTGGGAGTTAAGACTCCTGACTTTAATTCTGACATATATGATGTATTTGACACACTCTTGCTTCAGTTTTTTTAGACATCACCATCAAATACCATTTTAATTGTTTGGAAATCCTCCAATTAAGGCGCTCTGTGATTCTATTTTCCCTTTTTGGAAATTCAACAAGGGCTTAGTCACCTACATTATTACAGAGGACCAAAAGTTGAAAAGCTACAATGGAAAATACTTCAAATATCATTGTGTGACTGCTTAAGCCAGGCTTAGTCTCCTCTTTTGTCCAATATTAAAAGCATTTCTTTTTTCTGATCACATGGTCTAACAGAGAGTGGTAATTTCAAATAAGAAGTATTGTCGGGCATGGTAACTCACGTCTGTAATCCCAGCACTTTAGGAGGCCGAGGCAGGCAGATTGCTTGAGTCTAGGAGTTTGAGACCAGCTTGGCCATCATGGTGAAACCCCATCTGTACCAAAAATACAAAAATTAGCCAGGCACATAGTGGCACACACCTATAATCCCCACTACTCAGAAGGCTGAGGCATGAGAATCACTTGAAACCGGGAGGCGAAGGTTGCAGTGAGCCAAGATCGTGCCATTGCACTCTGGCCTGGTCAACAGAGTAAGACTCTGTTTCACAAAAAGAGAAAAATATAAATAGTAATTGAAAACTGTATAACAACATAGTACTATGTCCATGTTGCAAAATAAAACAGGCAGATGAGATTTAGCACCTGCCTACAGGAATCTATAGTTCATATATTTGAGTTAAATGCATTTTGCACCTACTACATGACAACATAGGCATAATCCCTGCCTTAATGGAGCACACAAAATGGTGAACATGATCAATAATTAAACAAGCAATTACAATGCATCATATATGTGGTGTGTTAGAGGAAGCCCAGCATGATGTGAGAGCACAAGCAGGCACCTCAGATGAACTTGGAAACTCAGGCAAAGCTTTCTGGCCAGGCACAGTGGCTCACACCTGTAATTCCAGCACTGTGGGAGGCTGAGGTGGGCGGATCACTGGAGATCAGGAGTTCAACACCATCCTGGCTAACATAGTGAAACCCCGTCTCTACTAAAAATACAAAAACTAGCTGAGCCAGGTGGTGGGTGCCTGTAATCCCAGCTACTCAGGAGGCTGAGGCAGAAGAATCATTTGAACCCAGGAGGTAGAGGTTGCAGTGAGCCGAGATTACACCATTGCATTCCAGACTGGGCGACAAAGTGAGGCTCTGTCTCAAAAAAAAAAAAAAACCTTTCTGGAGGAGGCTGAAGTCAGAACAATAAACAGACTTTTCAAGATAAAACAGAGGAATGTTAGGAATGTTCCCAGTTTTAAAGAAGATTATGCTGGTGAGAGTAGGTGTTTAGTTGTGGCTTATTATTATTCATTCACCAATTCCATAAATATTCATTCAATTTACACTATGTTTCAGATATATAGTAAAATAAATTCCCTTTTTAGTTTTATTGTATTAATACTAAAAGTAATAGTATCAAAAATAACATTAGTAAGGTAAGCACCATATGTTTATTAATTTTGTCTTTCATTCAACAAACACTGGACTGGAATGCCTAAGAAAATAGTTGACATTCATCAAATTATTACTCAAGTTGCAGACATAAAAGAAGTCAAAATCAGGCAAAGCCTGTGCCCATAACTCATGTCAATTCCATTGGTTAGACAATTATTCATTTGTATTTCAATCTTTTGTGCTATGGAAAACATTCTAATTTGAAAAAACATAGAAAGTTGTCAGGTATCTATGAATCGATTCCATTCATTTCATTCACATATAAATACCAACTATACAAAATAATGTTAATAATGTCTTGTGGGGTCTAAAATATATATAACATTAAAATGCATGGAAACAGTAACATAAATGGAGATGAGGCAATAATGTGTTAATGTTTAAAAACACGTTTTCAAAAAAATTATATTTGATTATTTTATGTTTCTGTGGTATAAATACTCACACTATGGCCAATTTCAAACTACCAGTGTTCTAACAACTGGCTTGCAAAATTCCCAAATATTTATCAGTCAATCTTCAGGAATTGATATAAGCCATTAGCACACTACTGGGTGGAGCTAAAGAGAGAGAAGCTCTTCTAAGTTTGTTGCATTATCCTGGATATATTTAAAATAATAGTTTATGTTAGGCTCTAATAAATAATAATATATATTGTCATTTCTAAGTAACTATTAAAAGAAAAAGTAGAAATATGTATGACTAAGGAGTAAATAGAAGGAAAACGGAATAATATGAAATATTTAATTGGCTGGGTGTGGTGGCTTACACCTGTAATCCCAGCATTTTGGGAGGTGGAGGCAGGAGGATCATTTGGGCCCAGAAGTTCAAGATGAGACTGGGCAACATAATGAGACCCTGTCTCTCCAAAACAAAAAATTAGCTGAGTACGGTGACAGGTTCCTGTAGTCCCAGCTACTTGAAAGACTGAGGTGGGAGGATTGCTTGAGCTCAGAAGGTTGAGGTTTGAGCAATAATTGGGCCACTGCACTCCAGTCTGGGTAACAGAGTGAGACCCTGTCTCAAAAAAAAAGAAAAGAAATATTTAATTAATCAAAGAGAATGCAAGAAAGGAGAGTGAAATGGTGAGACAAATAAAAAGCTGATAAGACTGTAGACTTAAACCAAAATATATCAGTAATTATATTAAGTATAAATGGACTATATACCCTAATTAAATGTCAAAGTCATAAGGCCTAAAGAAGAAAAATTACATGACCATACAAATGTGCAGAAAAAACATTTGACAATATCAAACACCATTCATGATAAAAACTCTCAGCAAACTAGGAATAGAGGGAAACTTCAACTTGATGAAGAACATCTGCAAAAATCCAACAGCTAACATTATGCTAAAGTTAGGCTTTCCTGCTAAAATCAGAACAAGACAAGGATGTCCTTTCTCACCATTCCTTTTCAACATTCACTGGAAGTCCTAGCTAATGCAATAAGATAAGAAAAGGAAATAAAAGCTGTATTGACGAGGAAAGAAGGAATAAAACTACATATGTTTACAAAAGACACGATCATCTATGTAGAAAATCTGAAAGAATCTACAAAAAAATTTCTAGAACTAGTAAGCAATTATAGCAAGGTTGCAGGATACAAGATTAATATGTTAATTGCTGCTTTTCTATACACCAGCAATTAACAAGTGGAATTTAAAATTAACACATTATCACTTACATTAGCACTCACAAAAATGAATATTTAAGTGTAAATCTAACAAACTATGTGTAAAATCTATATGAGGAAAACTACAAGTCCGATGAAAGAAATCAAAGTAGAACTAAATAAAGAAGAGCAATTTCATGTTCATGGATGGAAAGACTCAATATTGTCAAGAAGTCAGTTCTTCCCAACTTGATCTATAGATTTACATCAATCCCAATCAAAATCCCAGCAAGTTCTTTTGTGAATATTGACAAACTGATTCTAAAGTTTATATGAGAGGCAAAAGACCCACAATAGCCAACTCAATAATGAATGAATGTCAGCCAGATTACTGACACTACCTAACTTCTGGACTACTATAAAGCTACAGTTATCAAGACAGTGTGATACTGGCAAAAGACTAGATGAACAGAACCCAATAGAGAGCTCAGAAATAGACCCATATACATATATAGTCAGTTGATCTTTGACAAAGGAGAAAAAGCAGTACAATGGAGCAACAAATGGTGCTGAACAACTGGACATCCTTTTGAACATCAGACCTTACATTCTTCATAAGATTTAACTCAAAATGGATCATAGAGTAAAACACAAAACTATAAAACTTTAAAAAAAATGATATTGAAGAAAATCTAGGGTCCTTGGATATGGCCATAACTTTTTAGATACAACACCAAAGAAAGGCACAACCCATGAAAGAAATAATTGACGAGCTAAAAGCTTCTTCTCATTGAATAACAATGTCAAGAACATTAGAAGACAAATCACAAGTTGGGAAAAAAAATTGGAAAAGATATATTTGATAAAGGACTGTTATCTAAAATATACAAAGAATTCCTACGACTCAACAATAAGGAAATGAACAATCCAATTTAAAAAGTGAGCAAAAGATCTGACTAGACACCTCACCAAACAAGATACACAGATGGCAAGTGAGCAAATGATGTTTATTATGATATTCATCATATATCATTAGGCAATTGCAAGCTAGAACAATATGGAGATACCACTATACACTATTAAAATGACCAAAATTCAGAACATTGACAACGCCAAAGCTGTCGAGGATGTGCAGCAACAGGAACTCTCATTCATTGCTGGTGGGAATGCAAAATGGTACTTTGGAAGACAGTTTGGCAGTCTCTCACAAAACCAAACATACTCTTACCATGTGATTTTGAAACCATACTCCTCAGTATTTACCCAAGTGAATTGAAAACTTATGTCCACACAAAAACCTGTACGTGGATGTTTATGGCAGCTTTATTCATAATTGCCAAAACTTGGAAGCAACGAGGATGTCCTTCAGTAGGTGAACGGCTAAATAAACTATAGTACATTCAGAAAATGGAATATTATTCAATGCTAAAGAAAAATGAGCTATCAAGCAATGAAAGACATGGAGGAAACTTAAATGCATACCACTAAGTGAACTAAGCCAATCTGAAAAGTCTATAAACTGTATATAACTATGTGACATCTCAGAAAAAGAAAAACTATGGAGACAATAAAAAGATCAATGGTTGCTAAGGGTTGAGGGGATGGAGGGATGAATAGGTAGAGCACAGAGGAATTTTAGGGTAGTAAAACTATTCTATATACTACAATGGTGGATATATGTTGCTATACGTTTGTTAAAACCCAGAAAATGTTCCAGCATGGGCAACATAGCAAGGCCTCATCTCTACAATTTTTCTTTTTAATTAGCTGGTCGTGGTGGTGCAAGCCTGTAGTCCCAGCTACTCAGAAAGATGAGGTGGGAGGATTGCTTGAGTCCAGGAGGTCAAGGTTGCAGTGAGCTATGACCATGCCACTGCACTCTACACCAAGAATGAATCTTAAAGTAAACTATGGACTTTGGGTCATAATGATACCCTGGTGCTAATTCATGGACTGTAACAAATCCCCCACTCTGCTCCAGATGTCAATAACAGGAGAGACTATGCACATGTAGTGACAGGAGGTATATGGGAACACTGTACTTCTGCTCAATTTTGCTGTGAACCTAAAACTACCCTAAAAAATTAAGCTTATTAATTTAAAAAAACGTACTTAACAGGAAGGTCAATCGCAGCAACTCCACAGTCCATAGTGTCATCAGTTATCCCAAGTTACTTCTTTCTTTCTGCTCTGCCAGTCTCAGTGTGTGGCCCTCACACTCATGGTCTCTTTATGGCCTCAAGATGGGAATTTTACTTCCATCCCCATCTCAACCCTCCAATCAAGAAGAAGAACAAGGAAGTGACAAGAGGAAAGGCAGGCACCACTATTAGGAAAGGAAAACTTTTCCAGAAATCACTGCAGGCTTTTGCTTTCTATCAGAACTGTGTCATGTAACCAATTCTGGCTGCAAAAAAAATGCTACTTTTTTAGCTGGGCACATTAGGGTTTTCTTAGTTAGAAATATGGGAGAAAATAGATCATGTAGACAAGCAGCAGTATCTACCACATAAAGATTAAATAGATGTGAATTATTTTTATTTACAAACAAAACTAAGAGATCAGATATACATACCTAAAAATATATGTGTGTATATGTATATATTTAGTCCTGAAGCTCCCTAGTTCAATGTTCCCATGCAGTCTTTGTTTGGGATGCCTGTAAAATCACTAGCAATAATAATAACTACTAAGTATGCCCAGGCCCTAAAATATGTGTATATATTATTAAGTTTAATCCTTACAATATTCCTATAGGCAGTTAGTATTATTATACCCATTATACTGATGTGGAAACTTAAGTTTCAAAGAAATAATAACTTGCCCAAACTTATATAGGTAGTAAGTGGAATAGTTAGCATTTGGATTAAAGTCTGACTCACTTAAAAAACACTTCTCCTAAAATTTTTCCAGGACCACCTTTTTCCTTCCAAGAAGAACACATTTACCACTCGTTAACAAAGTAAGCCTGACCATCCTTGCTCGCTTAGCAGTTTTTTGCCCAAATATTTCTCTCTCAGACAGAATACATTTCTCATTAAAATATGGTCCATAGTCTGAACAAGTTTCTTGAGTGGTTTTTAAAAAATATTTCTCTTTCATATCCCCAAAATAAGGTCTTTTAGGCATAGAAACAGCTAGTTTCCTTTTAGTTCTCACCCTTAACCAATGGTCACATTGTTCCTATTAGAGACACTGCAGTTCTCAGGGATGCATTTTAGTAGTATCTTTGTAGAAAAAGTATAGGTATTTTTTTTCAACACTTAGACCTTAGAAGAATGTGAGGAAAGGGCAGGTGGGAGGATAGAGTCCCTGCAGTTTATTATTTGAGAAGACAAATTGCTTTTTCATAGAGGATGAACGATGATCAGAAAACAGCAGTCACTGCTAAAGATACAGCATTGTTAGGATGGTTTAAAAGGAACTGGTGTGTCAATGGAAGAGCAAAGTCCAGGAAGACCCAGGGGGAGATAGTGGGCCACAGCCTGCCAACCTGTGCTATGACTATTTCCTTGCTGTGAAAGCAACAACAAAGCCCTGAGTTGCTCAGATAGATCATAGAAAACTGAGAAGTGCACACACTGGACTCTCAACGGTTAAGTAATGCTTGAAAAAGGAAAAAGAGCTAGAGTTCCAACCTGTTTTTCCTTCCGCATGGCCAGTTTTCCCTAAAGCATCCTTATAAAGGATGGTGTATACTTACAGTCAGGAAATGAGGCAACCAGGCCCAGTAACATAGTTCTAATGGGAAGCTCATTAAAATAGAAGGATAATACTTTTTTGCACCATGTCTCCCATAGAACAGAATTAAAATGATGGGTTGTTTTCCAACAGAGACTCAGTTAATAACTGTGGATTACCTTCCTAAAATAGAGGGTCTTATTGAATATTGCAAGTAGCTAACAAAAGACCAGACTGAGAACCATCTGCAGTGATGTCTTTATAGACATTTCTCATCAGAGTACATGGAAGTTGTGGTAGATACTACATATTGATTCACTCAGCACACACTCAGACCCTCTCTAATGTGTGCTCTCATGTACTAAAAAGCTAGTATTTGCATCCTTCAGATCCTCTTGTAGACATACCTGTGAGAGACCTATATTGCATAACACAATGGGAGGTGGCAGCTATCTGGGGAGATCAGATCTTCTGACAAGAAGAGGCATTTGGATCTCCTGTGGGGCATCTGTGGCTGAGGTTCTACTCTCACGCCACTAATGTCATGTATGCCATGCAACAGGCAACAGCAATGGGAAAGTTTCCATTAAAACAATTTAGAGTTTAGAGTGTCTCTACACTATGTTGTTCCTGATTGTATAGTATCCAAATTTAGCTTGTTGGTCCTCTTAGAAATTTATCATACCACTCAATGCTCCAAAATTAACCACTTTATGATTAAACTAGCTAGAATAGATTCCGTCATCTGCAGTTACTAATCCTGGCCCATATAGAAATTTGTACCAGAAATGTTTGCAAAAAAATGGATCCTTTAAGGAAATGAGAATTTAATGCTGGTTATTGTATTTATCAGGCTGCCATAACAAAATGCCATAGGCCGAGTGCTTAAACAACAGAATTTTTCTTTCTCACAGTTCCGGAAGCTGGAAAGTCCAAAATGAAGGTGCCAGCCAATTTGGTAACTTGTGATGGCTCTTTTTCTTCCGGTTTGTAGATCTCAGGTTTCTTACTGAGTCTTCCCATGGGAAAGAGAGGAAGTTCTCATGTCTCTTCATCTTTTCATAAAGACACAAATCTCATCATGGAGGCCCCACTCTCGTGACCTCATTTAAACCTAACTAATTATCACCCAAAAACTTTACCTCCAAATACCATCACATTAGGAATTAGGGCTTCAGCATGTGAATTTAGGGGGAGACAACATTCAGTTCATAACAGTTATATATTCTGGCTGGATGTGAAGACAGTCAGAGATGGCTAGCATTAGAGGTTGGGGCACAAATAGTATAATGTATTTCGATGGAATTCAGTGTCAAACTGTCCCTATGGTCACCTTGAATGCAGGAGCCAGTAGAAGGCTTTGGTGGGCCAAGTTACTGCTGCAAAAAGCTATTTTGAAGAACATGGGGCATACAATGGTTATATGGAAAGTGGGCTAGTGATTTCTAACTGTGGTGGAGTACTTTAATAAAGAAAATGACAAACTCAAGGTTTTAAATCCTTAGCCAAAGGCACAGTCGGAGAACCATGACTTCCCTAATGTGGACATGATCACTTGTAGCTGCGGCAGATGTAACCAAACAGAACTTGCAAGGTCTGATCCTATGGGTTGCTAAATTACAATATAAGTTGAATTCCAACCTCACCCAAGAGTCTTATATGAGAGTTAGGGCACTAATTTGGAAAGTGGGACCTCAAGAATGGAAATAGAGAAATCTGTGGAATTTGGACAACTTCAAGTTATCCATTCTCTCAAATACCACTGACCCTTCCTTTTAGCAAAGGTAGCATTTGCCACCCTCTTTCTCTCTTTGTAAATTATTTTAAAATAGAGATGGAGTCTTACTTTGTTTCCCAGGCTGAGATTGAACTCCTGGGCTCAAGCAATCCTCCTGCCTCAGCCTCCCAAAGTGCTGGGATTATAGTCATGAGCCACCACAGCCAGCTCACCTCCCTCTTTGATAAGACTTTTGCTGCCTCACTTGAAGATTTTGTAATGTTTCTTTAAAAGGAGTTGCCCTATTCTAAAATTCATATGGAATCAAGAAAGAGCCCAAATAGCCAAAGCAATCCAAAGCAAAAAGAACAAAGCTGGAGGCATCACATTACCCAACTTCAAACTATACTACAGAGCTACAGTAACCAAAACAGCATGGTATTGGTACAAAGACAGACACATAGACCAATGAAACAGAATAGCTAGGCCATAAATAAAGCTACACACCTACAACCATCTGATCTCCAAGAAAGTCAACAAAACAAGCAATAGTGAAAGGACTCTCTATTCAATAAGTGGTGCTGGGATAAGTGGCTAGCCATATGCAGAAGATTGAAACTGGACCACTTCCTTATGCCATATACAAAAATCAACTCCAGGTGAATTAAAGACTTACATGTAAAACCTAAAACAACCCTTGAAGAAAACCTAGGACATACCATTCTAAACACAGTCCCTGGAGAAGATTTTATTACAAAGATGCCAAAAGCAATTGCAACAAAAGCAAAAGTTAACAAGCAATACCTAAATAAACTAAAGAGCTTCTGCACGGCAAAAGAAACTAGAGTAAACAGACAACCAACAGAATGGGAGGAAACATTTGCAAACTACATATCTGACAAAGGTCTAATATCCAGCATCTGTAAGAAACTTAAATTACCAAGCAAAAAACAAACAACCCCGTTAGAAAGTGGGCAAAGAACATGAATCGCTACTTTTCAAAAGAAGGCATACATAGGGCCAACAAGCATATGAAAAAAAGCTCAACATCACTGACCATTAGAGAAATGCAATTAAAACCACTATGAGATACTAGCTCATGCAAGTCAGAATGGCTATTATTAAACAGTCAAAAAATGACAGAAGCTGGCAAGATTGTGGTGAAAAGACAATGTTTACACAGTGCTGGTGAGAATGTAAATTAGTTCAGCCACTGTGGAAAGCAGTTGGCAATTTTTCAAAGAATTGAGAACTACCATTCCACTCAGCAATCCCATTATTGGGTACATATCCAAAGGAATATAAATTGCTCTACCATAAAGACACAGGCATGTGTATGTTCACTGCAGCACTATTGACAATAGCAAAGACATGCATTCAACTTAAGTGCCCATCAAAGGTAGACTGGATAAAGAAAATGTGG
The DNA here is from genome assembly GCF_000001405.40 of Homo sapiens. Classification (NCBI taxonomy): domain Eukaryota; kingdom Metazoa; phylum Chordata; class Mammalia; order Primates; family Hominidae; genus Homo; species Homo sapiens. The sequence goes on from NC_000009.12 coordinate 71,617,992, forward strand.
TACATGTACATCATGGAATACTACACAGCCTTAAAAAAGAATAAGATCACATCCTTTGCAGCAACATGGATGAAGCTGGAGGCCATTATCTTAAGTGAACTAACACAGGAACAGAAAACCAAACACCGCATGTTCTCACTTATAAGTGAGAGCTAAACATTTAGTACACATGGACACAAAGAAGGAAGCAATAGACACCAGGGCCTACTTGAGGGTGGGAGGAGGGTGAGAATCAAAAACCACCTATTAGGTACTATGCTTATCACCTAAGTGACAAAATAATGTGTACATCAAACCCCCTCAATATGCAATTTACCTATAGAATAACACTACACCTGTACCCCTGAAACTAAAATAAAGTAAAAAAAAAAAAAAAGAGTTGTCAATTTTCTTTATTCCTGTCATTTTCTTAGTACCTCCAAATCTGTTTATTTTTTATTTTTTATTTATTTATTTATTTTTTTGTTTTATTTTATTTATTATTATTTTTTTTTTTGAGATGCAGTCTTGCTCTGTCGCCCAGGCTGGAGGGCAGTGGCACAATCTCGGCTCACTGCAACCTCCGCCTCCCAGGTTCAAGCAATTCTCCTGCCTCAGCCTCCCAAGTAGCTGGGGACTACAGGCACCCGCCACTATGCCCAGCTCTTTTTTTTTTTTTTTTTTTTGTATTTTGTTGTAGAGATGGGGTTTCACTGTGTTAGCCAGGATGGTCTTGATCTCCTGACCTCGTGATCCACCTGCCTCGGCCTCCCAAAGTGCTGGGATTACAGGCGTGAGCCACCGTGCCCGGCAGTACCTCCAAATCTGTAACAAAAGTCAGATGCCAGGATTTGTCAGGAGGTCTGTTACAAACCCAGAAAAAAAAAGCCTTATGCACCAATAGAATTGTGAGATTTTATACATTTATACCGCCATAATCATCAGGGATATGTGCAGATATAGATTCTGAGGGTGATAAACAGAGTTGAGGGGGAAAAGTACTTTAAGTTCAGGCTGATATTTTCATATGGGTGCACTTAACAGATTCTAGATTCACTGAGTTTGTTAGAATAATTGGCAATGGTTCTGATTCCTCAACTAATTGATAAAATTCAGCCTTAATGGGGCTAAAGTTGAGATCTCAGAAATCCTTGGCAAAATGTAGATGAAGGGAGCTAAAGATTGAGGATACAGGAATATTAAAATGGATGTATTAGGTGTGGCCCATTTAGCCACCAGGGAAGAAAATACCAGGATTTCTTAAAGTTGTTAGTGTCTGTCTTCTGTAGGCCAGAAATGAACATGGGAAAAGCTGCTGTTGAAATACATTATGTAATTTCAAGGAAAATAATGAGATCCTGGAGCCACAGTGGCCAACTGACATCGTGTAACTATAAGAAACAGTGAGAGTGGCTACTGTAATGGACAGCAAGCCTTAATGGTAATAAGAACGATTTGATCTGCAAGGGTCTCTGACAGTGACTTACAAATCTTGCAGTCCTTTAGATAATAGGATTGGCAGTGCACAATTTTTGATCAATTGATCAATTTTGATCAATTTTAATGTAACAGAGAAAACCCTAGGTTTGGCAATGGAGCTTTATTATGGTCCATCAACCAATTCCATACTTGAATTGGTTCATGGCCCCAGGGATCTTTGAATCAGGAGGAAAATGGTACTGTTGAAGGACCCTCAAAGATGCCTTCACTGTGGCCATTTATCAGAGCAACTAGGCACTGAGGAAAGGAAAATCCTCAACCCTTTGGGGATTGAATAATCCTAATGCTAATCTCTGGGAGTCTGGGACACCATTGTCATCTACTCGCCTTAGTGGGAGCTTATGTGGATCAGATGATAAGCTCATTTTTTATTGAATCATATCACAGTTTCTTTAAATTCACTTTGTGGTCATTTCCATGATCCTTGAGTTTACAACTGAAATAAATACATCTGGAAACTGATCTAAACTGCACTCCAACTGACTTCCTTACCCATTGAGTAAAGACTTTCAAGGCCAGGAATGGCGATTCACACCTGTAGTACCAGCACTTTGGGAGACAGAGTTGGGAGGATCCCTTAGGTCAGGAATTCGAGATCAGGCTGGGAAACATAACAAGACAGCATCTTTACTAAAAATAAAATAAATAAATAAATAAATAAATAAATAAATAATTAGCCAGGCATGGTGGCATGGCCCTGTAGTCCAAGCTACTCAGGAGGCTGAGGCAGGAGGATCACTTGAGCTCAGGAGGTTGAGGCTGCAGTGAGCATGATTGAGCCACTACATCCTATCCTGAGTGATCCAGCAAGACTCTGTCTCAAAAAATAATGTTTAAAAATACTTTCAACTTAATAAACTTAAAAATGTCACATCTATAAGAGAATTGGTAAGCAAGATGGCAATACCATTATGTCTCCATTTAGCTTGCCTGTTTAACTCTTGTAGAAAACAGCTGTTTCCCGGTGAATAACAGATTGTAAACTTAATCTGATGTTAATTCCAATTGCTGCTGCTTTTTCCATTTTAGACTATTTACTGGAATAGTCACACAGCACTTAGCATATAATAAATATGCAGTCTGGGAAACGCTTTTTCTCTTTTCCATTATGAAATTCCAGAAGCTGTTTTCTCCTAGTAGGGTTGGCAGATTCCCTATATCCTTTTGCCACAGGGCTCTATCTAATCTATGGTTTTTTGCCACAATTTACTCTGCAGAGACATGACTATTTCACTACTCCATAAGACATCATGCCAGTCCACTACTTGAATGAAATGATGGTGACAGGACCTTGTAAATGGAAAGGAGCAGGTACTTTAGGTATCGTGATAAGACACATGCATGCTGGAGTGTAGGAGATGAATTCCATGGATATTCAGAAGTTTCTGAAAATCTCACACACATACTTCTTCCTTGGCACTCTGTCATCAATCCAAGTTCATGACTATCCAGACCAATCATTAGCCACTCAGTGAAGTTTCTGGCAGGCTTGATGCTTTGGGACAATTGGTGGGTTAACATACACTACATGTTGGCTTGTTGCTTCCAATCACTCACTGAGTAGTTTGTAAGGCTGCCAGCTTTGAATAGGGGCCCAGAAGCATGAAAAGGCTCCCAGTTCTCTAGCTGCAGGGCAAACAATTCTGCCAATTGGCCTTTATAATCCAGCAAATTCAATGATGGTTAAGGTATCTGTCACAAATCAGATGTTATTTGATCATTGTGACAAGACTGGACAGGAGGATCACAGCAAAAGTCCCTTGGAATTTAAAAAATAACCATTACCTCTTTAGCAAAACACGGCTCTAAAAAATAGTTTCCAACTTGCTCCTAAGCCCTGAAAAGATGGACAAAGGGACACAAAGTGACCATGAGATCTGAGATGCACGTGATAAACTGGGATTGAGCCACCAACCCATAAACTGCTGCCCAGAAGCACCTCATAACCAGTGAAGTTTTATATTTAATACCAGGCTCAAGTAAGTCGTGAAAGCACAAATAGTTTGCATGAGCATGTACTGTTAGATACATACTCCTGGTAGGTCTACTTCTGCTGTACTGCCACATGTATGACCTGATGGGAAGTTACCTTTCAGAAGTTGATTAAAGAAGGGGAAAAATATTTGGCTTACAGATGGTCTTGTTCAATATCTTGGCACAGGCCATAAACAGACTACTGCCTAATGACAGCAAGAGACATGACAGCCTTAAGCAGGAGCGACCTTAATCGGGAGTGACCATAAAGGACAGCAGGAGAAATGGTGGCAGACTCAGATCTACAATTACTCCCAGAAGGGAGTGGCTAATGGTTGGTCTGGATAGTCATGGACTTGGATTTATGACAAAGTGCCAGGGATGAAATATGTGTGTGAGATTTTCAGAATTAATCAAGTATTAATATGTTTGTATACAAATGCTCATCCAATGTCCCCACTTCAGAGAGTTTATCAATAATCATGTTGAGAAGATGACTTTCTCTGTTTATGTCAATTGGTATCTTTATCCAGTTGCTTAAGGATTTCTCAATAGACTCATTTATTAAGTAATGATACTGGCAGGACTGAAAAAATGCACTGGCAGAATGGCACCAAAGCTTATCTAGCTAATACCACTGATGATTGCCCAAACTTCCAATCACAAAAACCACTGCTAGGGAATAGACATTTATCCTGGATATGAATTGCCTTTCCTGCCAGCTTATGCCAACATCCCCATCCTTGGACTCTCCATTAAAGTAGACCATAAAATATTGCTTCTGACCAATGACCTCATTTTTGTAGCAAAGAAACTAAAGCCAGTGTTACAAAAGACACTGATCTTAATGATGTTCTCCATCACTCAAAAGCAGTTGACTCTGTTGAATACTGGAATTGCCTACCAAAAACTCATAACCACAGCTAGGAGTTTGGATTGCTACTGTTTTGTTTTTTTTTTGAATGTCACTAGACAATTAAACTTTTATTGAAGCACAAATTGTGGTACAGAAATGCATTTCAACAGATTTAATGCCAACACCAGTGAAAGGAGAAATTACGGCATCAAAACTTTCCTACGTCTATCATACCATGATTTAGATTATGATTCAATCTACATTTCTGTTTTCTAGGCTTTGTCCCACACAAATCTGTGCAGTTTTTCAATATTACAATTCTTAATTCTATTAGGAAAAAAAACAGATCTCAAGTCAACAAATCTATTGGGATATTGTTTATGAGCAAAGTCCACCTTGAGCATTGGTCTTCAAAACAGAGCACCTCAAAATATTAGGCGCTGTGCTCATTACAGAAGCAAACTGAGCACACAGACTGAAAAGTTCCTCAATGAAACTTTCAATCAACAACATGCTTCAAATAAAAGTCAAACAGCATTCCAACCACTTGATTTCAAACCAAGTAGATTTTAGGTTTAGAAACACTTTAAAAAGGTATTTCATTTATAAGTACGGAAGGAACAAAAACATCACCACATCAATCCAGAAATTATCAAAATATTTAGAAGAAATACAAAATTTAGTCAACTTTGCTATTTTCTCAGTTCCTTAAAATCCCAGAATATCTGCAAATATAGCTAAAAGATACCAACTCTTGAAAGCCTATATTTCTAGTCATTTCCCGTTGAGTATTTTGGAATTTTATGTTATGTTTTACTTAGTTACTTATGTATTCTGCTCCATGATGTTTATCTGAATAATTTGGACAATTCTCATTCGGGACCATCATTCATTTCATCCTATGAATGCCATGGTGAGGGAAACACCTGGATTGCTATTCTATAGTTAGTTCTAAACAATATATGCATGCTGTGTCTCCATAGCCAAAATATATGGGTCCATGACTGGACTAGTTTGCTAGCGCTGTCATAAGTTCCACAGACTGAGTGGCTTAAACAATAGAAATCTATTTTCTCATAGTGTGGAGCTAGAAGTCCAAGATGGAGGTGTTGGCAGGGTTGGTTTCTTCTGAGGGCCATGAGGGAAGGAACTGTTTCAGGCGTCTCTCTTTGGTTTATAGAGTGACTTCCTTCTGTACCTGTCTGTGTCCAAATTTCCTCCTCTAACAAAGAGAGAATTAGATTAGGGCCCACCTTAATGACTTTATTTTAACCTGATTATCTCTGTAAAGGTCCTATTTCTAAATATAGTCACATTCTAGGGTTTTGGGGGTTAGGACTTCAACATACGAATGTGGAGAGGACCACAATCTAGCCCATAACAAAGATCAAGGGAGTGAAATTTGGAATAGCATTTCTCAATGTTACTACTCATAAACTCTTGACAAAATTTATGTTTTCCATTATTTGGGGCTCTGCTTGTTTAGAGGTCTTAGCATCTAAGGGAAGGACAACTTTAGCTGATGAAATAATAGTTTTATTGATCTAGAAGGTAAGAATGCCACCTGGCATTTTGAGCTCCTCAGTCTCCTAAATGTTTCCTGTAAAGGGCTGGGTAATACTTCATTGGTTAAGGTGACTGATCATAATAGAGGAAAGGAGCCCTGAGCTCCACAGTGTAAGCAGAAAAGCATATATCTGTATGCCAGTGATTGCTCTGGATCCTCTCCTAGTACTGTTCAAAGGCAATAGTCAAGGAGCAACCTCAGCAGCTGTACAAGGGCAGGACCTCTGAAGTCACATCCATGGGAATAAAACTATGAGCTATCTCACCAGGGTCTTATACCCTAACTGGGGGTAAAGGGAGCACGGAATGAGGGGTGAGGACAGTGTAGAAATGATTAGTATAATATATACTCATATTTCTTCCTTGCTCAAAGATATTAACTCATCTTTTGTTAATTCCTTGTTCTCTATTATTTCACATATGGTGTGATAATGATGAAACAATCTAATTGTGGTATAGTAAAACAGAATTATGATCAACTAGAAAAGGAGTCAATGAGGCTGGGCACGGTGGCTCACGCCTGTAATCCCAGCACTTTGGGAGGCTGAGGCAGGTGGATCATGAGGTCAGGCATTCGAGACCAGCCTGGCCAGCATAGTGAAACCCCTGTCTCCACTAAAAATACAAAAAATTAGCCGGGTGTGGTGGCAGGCGCCTGTAATCTCAGTTACTCGGGAGGCTGAGGGGGGAGAATCACGTGAACCCGGGAGGCAGAGGTTGCAGTGAGCGGAGATTGCACCACCACACTCCAGCCCAGACGACAGTGTGAGACTCCATCAAAGAAAGAAAGAGAGAGAGACAGACAGAGAGAGAGAGAGAGAAAAAAAGAAAGAAAGAAAGAAAGAAAGAAAGAAAGAAAGAAAGAAAGAAAGAAAGAAAGAAAGAAAGAGAGAGAGAAAGAGAGAAAGAGAGAAAAGGAGTCAATGAACTTTTTCTGTAAAGGACCCAACAGTGAACATTTTAATTTTAGGCTTTTTTAGGCTTTGTGTGTCATAAGGAAACTGCAGCAATTACTCAGATCTGCCACTGGGGTACAAAAGCAGCCAAAGACAACATGTAAACAAATAAACAATTTCAATATACATTTATTTTTCAAAAATGAGCAGTAGGCTGGATTTGGCCTAAAAGCTGTAATTTGCCAACTGCTAAACTAGAGGATAAAGGTACATCCGGATGTTTGCGGTGATTGGTGAGATTTTGATTCTCCCCTTTAGAAAGAAGGTGAAGGATAGTTGTTTTCATTTTTTCGAGAAAATGGGGGTGTTGATGTTTTGAAGTTTAATTATAGGTCTTTGTGGGCCCAGCAAAGGAGATGGACTGTCAACAGTATTGCAAACTGGCTCACTCAACTCCTAACCCAAACCTCTTTTATCACGCTTTCCTGTACAATAGAGGCTGGAAAGCTAAAACTTCATTTCTAAGAACGCCTTTCCACTGAGGGTTTTTTTTTTTTTTTTTTTTTTTTTTGAGACGGAGTCTCGCTCTTTCGCCGAGGCCGGAGTGCAGTGGCGCTATCTCGGCTCACTGCAAGCTCCGCCTCCCGGGTTCACGCCATTCTCCTGCCTCAGCCTCCCGAGTAGCTGGGACTACAGGCGCCCACCACCGCGCCCGGCTAATTTTTTGTATTTTTAGTAGAGACGGGGTTTCACCATGTTAGCCAGGATGGTCTCGATCTTCTGACCTCGTGATCCGCCCACCTCGGCCTCCCAAAGTGCTGGAATTACAGGCGTGAGCCACCGCACCCGGCCTCCACTGAGGTTTTACATGTGACTTAAGTTCCACCAAGAAGATACATTCTACAAGCCCTGAGGGAAGAAGTGAATAAAGTGGGTACGGCAGTGCTCAAGCCCATTAGCTGTTGGGGCAAGCACAATGGCAGAAGTGCTTCGTTCTCTGCAGACTAAAATGGTGGAGCTTTTACTGTGTGGCACCAAATATCATTAGAGTTGAGCAGAAGGCAGCATTGGAGGAAAACTACACTAGAACCATTTTTGGCAGCATTGGCATGGTGGGGCCCTCCAGGCTGCCTTGTTTTCTACTATTAGCATCCAAGCTTGGTTTACTGCCGTCCAGGAGAGCAGAATACTAACAAATTCTACTTTTATCATACAAAATTCTCCCTTTCTGAATACAAACTCTGTTTTAATAATTTTGATTACCCAGCAACTAGTTTAATGCCTAGCACAGAGTCAACATATGTTAAATTGTAGTGAGTTGAAATTAGTGCCTTGCTATTATCCAAAATAGAAGAGATTGTTGCCTAAGATATATATGGCTAGAGAATGCTGTAATGGTCATACCAATTGTCTTTTCCCCCTACCAACCAACTTCTGAAACCTTGGCAAGGGAAACTAACAACACAAAAACTTTTGAAATGAGGTTCAGAAGTGGAAGGCCCAGATTGCAATGGGGTGAAACTTCACTTTTCACAAAGTCAGATCTCCAAAAGCAATGCTGGATATCCACACAATGGCTGGTGTAGACATACATATGTATATAAATCTGAAATAATTCATTTGCATTCATCATTAATAATTAAATCATTTAGTCTACTTTCAATATCTCAATGGCAGAGCCTAGATATTGGAGGAGAGAACACTCATAGTCTAGCTATTGTGTACAATATGCTTTAAATACATTTTTCTTATTTGATTCACACAACACTCACAAAGTAGACATAGTTTAATCTTCACAGCCCCCATAAAATAAATATCATGAGAAACCAAACCAGGTAGGGTTGGTTGAGTAACTAGCAATAGACATTTATTGAAATGCCACTCCTAGAATGCATCATTCTCCCCGTTGCCTCAGGCTTTGGACAGGTCTTTCCTCTGCCTAGAATATTCTGTGTGCTCTGTATCAGTGAATTACTATTTATTCACCTTTCAGATCTTAGCCTACACAGTACTTACTCAGAAAAACCTTTCCTGACCCCAACCAGATCAAGTTCTTTTGTTACTCCCTATATGTTTTCTTCTCAGCACATATTACAGTTTTCAACTTGTTGTGTGGCCATCAGATTTTTCTGTGTCCTTTACTAACTTGTAGATTCACTGAGGCTTCATAGATCTATCTCTTCATATCCCCAATGCCCAGCACAGAGCCTGGCACATAGTAGGCACTCAAGAAGTATTTCTTGAAAGAATAAATGCATGAATGAGTGAATACAATGTGCCAGGAGTTGCGCTAAGCACTTTGCCCTATCTCATTCAATCCTCACGGCAAACCCATGAGTTATATCCTAGTGTTATCCCTGTCTGGCAGATGAGAAAACTGAGGAGCAGAAATATAGTAACTTACCAAGGCTCACATACCTTATGAGTGGCAGAGTGGAGATCCAAGTCTGGGATCCTTCCACTATGTTGTATTACTATAATATATTTCAATTTGTATTTTCAGGTAGATTCTTATTGCCCTTCATGTAAAAGTGAAGAATAAAATGAAGCACTACAAGAAAAGATGGCCAGGCACAGTGGCTCACACCTGTAATCCCAACACTTTGGGAGGCCAAGGTGAGCGAGAAAGTTAGAGGACGATCGAGTTCTAGTTGACCCAGGAGTTCAAGACCAGCCTGGGCAACATGACGAAACCTCATACTACAAAAAATACAAAAATTAGCCAGGCTTGGTGGCATGCACCTGTAGTCCCAGCTGCTCAGGAGCCTGAGGCAGGAGGATTGCTTGAGCCTCAGTAAAAGAGTGATACCCTGTCTCAAAAGAAAAAGAAAAGAAAGAAAGGAAAAAGAAAAGAAAAGACAACATTCATGAACATGGTTTAATTACATGTAAAGGCTGCTACAAATGGAAGAAAGCACAGTGTCGACTCAGATTTGAGATTCTTTTCACACTGTGGTGGCAGGAAGCAAAAGCTGGGGATTTCATAAAGCAGACTTTGCACTGGAAGAGCTTTAAAAATAGCTCAGCAAATCCTGCTACACACACTGAACTTTTATAACACCATCATTTAAAAGGGTGGTCATTCTGGGTTTTTGCAAAGTTACTAGACAAAAAAAAGTCACTAAAGTCATTTTTAAAAGTCACTTAAAAATCCTCTATAAATAGATAAGTAGGTTATCTTCCATACAATTTCACATTTTGGGGGAAACTTTTCAAAAATGTCATCATCTGGATTATTTTACTTGTAAATAGACCTTTATTTTTGAATATATACATATATTCAGATTTAATTTTATATTTTGAGCTTTTTTTCTTTTCTCTTTTTGACTTTTGGAATCTCTTATCTTCCTGCTACTTTCATTAGTTATTACTCCCACTCCAGGGGAATCCATTTTAATAACCTAATCTGTATCTTTTCATATATTACTTATGCTCACATAATTCTATTTAATCATATACTTATATATACACATCTATACATTGTCAGAACAACTTTTTTTGGTTCTAGTTTAGCAAGAAGAGGTTCACATTATTTATGCTTTTCTGTGCCCTGCTTTTCTCAACCCCTCATGGAAATCTCTCCAAGTTGACTGGGATCGCTCTAACTCATTCTTGTAAAACAGCTGCATAATATTCCATATTCTTCCCGTTGATAGAAAATGCTGTCTTCCTGTGGGCCACTAGAGAGCACCACTGAAGCAGTGTCAAGTTAAGCAGAGTCTCATTTGGGGTAGAAATTTGGAGACATATTTGTTATTAAATTTAACCCTTCATCCTCACTGTTCTGATCAAGATTTTGTTCGTTCTCAGCTGAAGATGCAGAATTGTTCCTGACTTCTACACAAGCCTATGCTCAATGAGGGAACTCAGAACTCTCTAGCTTTCTCCAAGTATATCTTACCTACTATTTCAGCCCCAGTGAGATGATAACAGGCTTCCCAGGGTTGCCTGTTCAGATTCTCCACAGTTGTTCACAGACCCAGAGGAAAAAGTCTCTGCAGAAATATTATGATTGGCATGACAAACAAGAATAGCCCCTATCAAAGCTGTAACTTCTACTGTAATTCATAGAGGACAAAAAAATTCCAGTAAACAGGCTGAGAACTTGACACATGTTACCTCCCTTGATATTCACAGCAACCTTTGAAGTAAGCACACTTGTTACCCCATTATAAAGATGAAGTGTGTGGTATCTCTATACACACATGATAAGACACACATCCAGATGCAGACCCTTACAAGATACCTCGGGTGTTTCCTCATGCCCATCTAGTAAGTCCGTCACTGTGTGGCCCTTCCTGCATCTCCATCTTCAACCCTTGGCACCATCTGTCTCCATCCAAATTCAATCCAAATTCCCTAGTTTTTCAAAAACTACAGAGTTCTTAGAGCTTTGCATTTGCTATTCCCCTGTCCTATGTGCTCGGCTCCCTTCCTCAGAGTATCACCCTGACCCCAACCAACCCTTTATCTGCAAGGCAAATTCCTCTTTGTTAAAGAAGTCAGCTTACATTTTGCCATCTGCGGAGCTTCCCCGGGTAAACTAAATATTCCTTGTACGTTAACATAATGGAAAAAGTTGCTTACTTATCTAATTTCTCTACTAGAAAAAAGTTCTAAAGCTGAGACTTACTGGTATTAGTCTCTCTGTACCTGGCACAGTGGTTGGTACATGGCAGATGTTTGATGTACATTCAGAAATGAAAAAATGACTGAGTGAATGAGCTGTGAGGGCTCTCTCTGAAAGAACCAGAGTCAACTTCAATTCTTAGCAGCATTAAATAAATAAATAAAAGCCAACAGACTTGGGTCCCTTTTTTTCAGAGATTTCTGTGACAAATGCATTTACCAAGCCAATCTGTAGCAAATGAAGAGTCCCTGGCTTTTGTTCTGCAGCTGAGCCTGCAGCACTACTTTGCCTGTGGATCTGGACAGCTGAAATTGAAGAAAGAGCAAGGGTGTCAGGCCATTCATATATGCCCAGGATCTGCTATTAGTTTCTGCTGAGAGAAGATAAGGTTCAATTTTTTTATTAGAGTGGAAGTACTTCAGCCTCCAGAATTATACAGCAGCCATTGGGGTGACAAAGAGAGAAAACTCACCTTTTATCCAAAAAATGTGTGGTAAAAGTATACGTGAGTTTTCTCATCAAAAACACACACAGGGACTGTTTGGCTTGGTTGGGCTTCCTTATCATTTCCTCTTGCTAAAGACAGATCAGTGCTCCTGGGGAAATAATTGAAGGCCCAGTGCAAAAGTCACTGGGCCCACAATTACTAACGCTACTACTTATGTGTTGTTTTCTTTCCAGCAAACTCCAGATGTTGCTAAGGAGAATGCCCCATCATTACATCTATTGACCAGAGCAGTGCTCTTTGCTGCCCAACAACAGGACGTTCTCTGGAAGCTCATTCTAATGAGAAACTGGGTTATTGTGGACTTCTTCACCAAGGAACACAGTCGAGGTGCTATAGCCCAGGTAGAACTTGCAGCTACAAATGCATATATTCAGGGTTACTGTGAGATCTTTGGAGAAGTTTTCCTCTCTCTCACAGAAGTTGGCTTTCTGCTTTATATATTGGATGTTTCCAATCTAATCAAACAGAAATACATGTAAAGTATTTTTCTTCTTCATGCCCCCAAATTTTAAACACATTTTTAATATAACAGGATCAGAGATTTGGATGGGGGCCCTAAACTTTCTCGGCTCCTTGCAGGGAGAACTCTACTTAACTCATCCCTGGAAGCAAACTGCCCACCCTGTTCTCAGAAATACCTCAAGGAGACTTGGGACCGCCTGTGCATCCTGCTATCTCTTAGCACAGTTTGCTTCCTTGAGGCCCAAATACCATTGTCTCCATTTCCTCTACTGCTCAAGTAGAAGCTTAGCTTTTCCATTACTTTCATTTCCTCTGCCGCCCAAGTAAGAGCTCAGTTTTTTTCCATTGTCTCCAGAGTCTATAGAGCTGTTTTGTGCCTCTATATCTTTGCACATACAATTCCATCTGCCTGGAAATCTCTTTACCCTTTCTCACAGTAAGAAATTCTGTTTATTCTCCAACACTCAGATCCTTGGCAAATAGCCCTCTCATCTCCATATTCTGCTGCTCTTTAATCTAAGATATTAATTACTAGCCCCTGATACTAGCAACAGCTCTTCTGAAACTACATTATTCAAACTGTGGTCCTTAGACCACAGCAGCAGGAGATTAAAAATGAGAATTCATGGGCCATACTCCTGAACTACTGAATTATTATATCCTAAAATGGGGTCTGGGAATATGGGTTTTAACAGGCTTACCAATCTTTGAGAAGCCCTACTATGCAATAATTTAATCTCAGATAACCTTTGGCATTGGTGGATTTAACACTCTTAACAGATGAAAAGGATCATGATAAGTACTTATTATTTTACTGAATAAAATTGGAACAGAATTCTGAGACAGTCATTAGTGAAAAAGAATCTATGTGACAGCCCAGACTCTACATCTCACTGAGATTATTGCTCTTCATTTTTGATTACAGACCTATTTTGGAAGAAAATTATTTGGCAAACTTGAAAACCCACAGATATCTCCCTTGAAAATGTCAAAGGTCAATGCTTTTGCCTTTTGCACATTATTTCGGAATCATTCCTTTGCATGTTTGTCTCTTAATAGCCATAAAGACTAGACCCATCTCTCTTTCATCTTGGAATCCCAGGACCGAGCACAGGCCCTGACACATAGTGATAATTTAATATGTTAACAGGAAAAAAAATGCAGGAATGAATGTCCACAACAGAGCATTTCTTTCTGAAAACTCACTGCCTATTTTTGACAATACAGCCATCAGACTCAGTTTTGGTTTAGTCTCTGCAAATAGTTTTGGCATCTGCCAATGTTTCTCAAAGTGTGTTCTCTGGACCAAATGGCCATCAGCATCATCCTGGGTATATATCCTGCGCAGATTCATAGACGCACCCTATAATATTGAATCTGAATCTCCAGTTTTGGGTATACAGAAATCTCAGTGATTTTTATGTAAACAATGTTAAAGAACCACTGGATTATATGATTATTCCAATTTAAGGCACTCTAAAATTGGTCACTAACCAAAAAATAAGAAAAAAAAATCCCCAACAAGATGGCTTATCATCTAAATTCAGTAAGGGAGAAGTCCTAATGAAGTAGAGAAGAAAGCAAAGATCCCATGGAGAAATTTCATTATGCAAAGATTCCAGACAATCCCATGAGTTTCACTGCATGTTTAGATTGAGATTCATATCTTTGTCAATAGCTGCTTTGGGAAGTGGGAAAAGAGTTTAAGAAGTTTTTTTGCTAAGCTACTCCTTACATAAGAAGCCAGTGAAATATACTCCCAGGAATTCAAATCAAGGGAAGGAAAGCAAGTGGAGGAAGTAGAGGAGTTGGTTTTGGTTTTTGTTGTTGCTTTTACAGGAAAAAGAACTAAACATAGAGCTATATATTCTTCCCAAGACCACTTCTCTCAAAAGAGCCTGATGCAAAGGCCCAGTAGACACCAAATCACCATGGTGTGCCTTCAAGGGGTTCAAAATGAGGTATCTATTTCACGAGAGTTCTTTAACTAAAGATGCCGTCTCCTGTTCCACAATTTAAGATAATATCTACAATAGAAATACCCTAGGAAGAAAAAAAATAGTTTATTTTCAACATATAATATGGGGAGTTGGTGGTGGAGGTGCGCAATTTTTAATCTCCTTAAATTACCTCATAAGAAAGCAACCAGAGCCAAACCAAATAGCCACAGACAATAGTATCTATAACCAAATCAGGTAATAAGTTGTCCTCATGAACTTGAGTAGACGTGGGTGGGAACAAATCATCAAACCCCAGGGAGTCTCAACATGTATACAGGGGGAAGCCATGGAAAGCAAGGGGACATCTAATGGATGTTGAAAGAAGATAACTCCAAAAAATATTGGCTGGAAAGCATGGTCAGCCAATTTGAAGATGGCGGCTGAATTGGAAGGGCTTTTTGCAGATGATACCAATGGGATGGCAGTGAGATTTTAAGAGGCTGATTTAATCTGGAATTTATGAACTGTGGAAACAGATTTGTCCTAGTACTCTTTCAAGAAAAAGCGCCATGCCAGAAAAAACTTCTTGGAATAGAACCCAAACTGACCAACAGGAGAAAAAAAAGAGAGAGGAGAGGGGGAAGGTTCAGATAAAGTTGGGATGAGTAATAAAACCAAAGATCTCCGAAAGTATGAGGCCATGTTTTTGAACAAAAGCTATTAATCAACAAAAAGACAGAATTCGACAGCAATGAAGCTAGAAATGCTATCCTGACTCAACCCTTCCTCCTGAAAGTTGAGGAAAACTTATTTCATATAAAAGCAAGCAGCAGAAGAAGATTACGGTTGAATTCTGGACAACGATTTTACAAGGAAATAGAAAATAAGTCACAGGAAAACATCCCTGCAGATAATGAAAGCACTCTAATGCCCACAAAACAGATGAAAACTATAACCTCATTTTTTAATGAACAAATTAAAATTGTAAAATGATAAACCTATATGAAAGAACAACACAAATTAACATTTTTAAAACTCGGAAACGAGGTATTAGAACCAAGGACAAAATTAAGCCGGTCGCAGTGGCTCACGCCCGTAATCCCAGCACTCTGGGTGGCCAAGGTGGGCGGATCACTTGAAGTCAGGAGTTTGAGACCAACCTGGCTAACATGGCGAAACCCCGTCACCACTGAAAATACAAAAATTATCTGGGCGTGGTGGTGCATGCCTGTAGTCCCAGCTACTGGGGAAGCTGAGGCAGGAGAATCGCTTGAACCCGGGAGGCAGAGGCTGCAGTGAGCCGAGATTGTGCCACTCTACTCCAGATTCAAAGATGGAGAACTGAGCATTTTAGGACCAAGGAAAACGATATGCAACTTAGCAAGCTGGATTTGTCTCGGGCTTTTACCAGCCCAAATTTTGCTCAGAGAAGGGGCATGTATGTTACTTGGCATGACATGACCAGGTCATTATGGGTATCAACCATCATGCCATGCTGAAAGCGATAATGCAATGGGCTCTCCCACTCTGAACCTAAGGCAGATGCCATTTTTACCTCTCGACATAAAGTAATATAGAGCATGGGGATGACCTCAACTAGGAACACTACTGAATCCTCAAGGCAAAATGATGGCGTCTGAAGAAACATAAAAGCATACACAATTTTCCCTTTGTTAGAGTCAGGTCAGATTCTACCTTTTATTTTTCATTCATCTCAATAGACATTTATTATATAGCTATGGTTGGAATCATACAGCATATAGCCTTTTCAGATTGAGTTTCACTTAGTAATATGCATTTTGGATTCCTCCATGTCTTTTTGGGTTTTTTTTCTTTTTCTTTTTTTTTTTTTTGAGACGGAGTCTCACTCTGTCGCCCAGGCCGGAGTGCAGTGGCGGGATCTCGGCTCACTGCAAGCTCCGCCTCCCAGGTTCACGCCATTCTCCCGCCTCAGCCTCCCAAGTAGCTGGGACTACAGGCGCCCGACACCACGCCCAGCTAATTTTTTTGTATTTTTAGTAGAGACGGGGTTTCACCATGTTAGCCAGGATGGTCTTGATCTCCTGACCTCGTGATCCACCCGCCTCGGCCTCCCAAAGTGCTGAGATTACAGGCGTGAGCCCCTCCATGTCTTTTAATGGCTGAATTTCTTTTTATACACGTAAACTGTGGGTGTGGGGAGGGTAAAAGCACATAGCACGTCAAGAGTTGAGACTCCAGTGTTGTTTTCCTTCTACAATAAAGCCCCAGGCTCACACACCTTACATTATGATAGCCCACTGGTCAACCTGGGAAGTGCTTATATGTTAATTATCCTAAACCTGTTTTGCTACAATGTGTCGTCTGTGTCAGGCACTGTGCTACAGCTCAAGGATGAAATATAGGGGTCCCAGGCCCAAAGAGTTCACAGACTGGTCAGAAAGACTACACATAAATGCATGAATTGCAATAGAAAATAGTAGGGGCTTTAGGGGAGGGATAACAAAGGGCTTCAGGATCATACAGGATAGGACTGAGCCTTAGTCTAGTCCGTCTGGTTTCTATGTCCGCTGTGTGCTCACTGCTGACTATTAAACTGAAGGACCGATAGGATAAACCAGCTACTTTCCAAAACTGGTCAAATGAAAAAACACTGGGCTCTAGGTAAGGTCGGAGTGCCCTCTACTGAAGCAGGAAGATAGAATTAGAAGACAAACTAGTCTGAGTAGAAAAACATTAAAATATTCTTTCTATCCTTTTCTTTGTAGAAATGAATAAAGATCCACCTCTTATAACAATAGCCATCTTAAGTCTAGTAGATTGTGCTTATTGGATGGAAAACAATAGGAGGGCAGGAGAATAGCAAGCAGATGTGAACATCACAGTGGCAAAACAAGTTTAGGATAACTAGCATATAAACACTTTCCAGGTTGATTTGGGGGCTATCAAAATCAAAGGTGTGTTAGCCTGGGACCTTATTGTAGAAGGAACTGGAGCCTCAACTCCTGACGAGCAATCATGCGCTTTCACTCTCCCTATTCCCACATTTTATGTAAATAAAAAGAAATCCAGCCCTAAAAAGACATGGAGGAAATCTAAATGCATATCTAAGTGAAAGAAGCCAGTCTGAAAAGACTACATACTGCATAATTCCAACTATATAATGCTCGGAAAAAGTCAAAACGATGGAGATAGTAAAAAGGCTGATAGCTGCTGGGGGTTAGAGGGGCTGGAAGCATGAATAGGCAGAGCACGGAGGATTTTTAGGGCAGGGAATCTACTCTGTATGGTAGTATAATGGTGAATACATGTCATTACACATTTGTCCAAACTCATGGAATGTACAACACCAAGAGTGAACCCTAATGCAAACTATGGACTTTGGGTGATGATATGTCAAAGGATTGAATTTGATTTTTTTTAAAAGAAATTCTGGCTAATTCCATCATCAGGGCAAGTCTCAGAAGGTAAAAGAAGATCATAAAAAGGCAATATGTAAATTGAACATTGTATCTGTAAGCACATGGCCCGTCAGTGGGGCAGGGCACTCCCAGGCTGGTGGGGGTGGGCCCTCAAGCAAGCCACTTCTTTCTTTGCTGTTTTACTTCAGTCTGAATGTCAGTTTGAGTTCTACGGTTTAAGATCTATGTTAAAAATAAGTTAGTTATGATTACAATCATTGCTACTTTTGAGTGAATGCTGAAATTTCCACTAAATCAATCAGAATTTAACCAGTTTCTGGAAAATGTAATGATAGGTAGGTTCATCGATTGTAACAAATGCACCCCGCTGGTGCAGAATGTTGATAGTAGGGAAGACTGTGCATGTGTGAAGGTGAACTTTCTGCTTGATTTTGTTGTGAACCTAAAGCAGCTCTGAAAAAAAATAAGATCTTTTAAAAAATTTTTAAAGAAATTCAGGCTAATTCCTTCATAAGGGCAGGTCTCAGAAGGCAAAAGAAGATCATAAAAAGGTAATTTGTCTTGCCATCTAAAGCGACTGTAGATAAGAAGAGAGAATGTGTGAAGGACAGATGACATGGTAGTATGAGCCTCAAAGAAAGCCTCCTTATTTACTTCCTCTTGCTCAACCTCCCTATCAAACAGCAAGCTACAGAGACAATATCATTACATATGCCAGAAATTGGTTAAATTCTGATTGACTTAGTGGAAATTTCAGCATTCACTCAAAAGTAGCAATGATTGTAATCATAACTAACTTATTTTTAACACAGATCTTAAACTGTAGAATTCAAATTTACATTCAGATTGAAGTATGACACCAAAGAGAGAAGTGACTTGTCTAAGGGTCCACCTCCGACAGCCTGGGAGTGCCGCCGCACTGACTGGCAATGTGCTTACAGATCAGTGTTCATTTACGTTATGCAACAGAAAAGACAGAGGCTTCTAAAACTGAAGGTTCTGCCATAAGTGACTCTTGAGCAAATGAGATATTTTATAGCAGCAATTGGGGCTGCTTTTTTTTTTCAAACCAGGACATATGCTAAATGTGGATAACTGTCCTTTAGGTTAGATTATTTGGTCTGAAGTCCTTTTTCCACCTTGAATTAGCTTCCAAAAATGGAATCTCATATTTTGAAAGTGTTCTTGATAAGTCTTCAGAAATATCCCAAGAGGAGCACTGTAGTCATTTACTTAAATGGCATTTAGAGTAATTAACAGTTTTAGAATTTTTCCTGGCCTCTTTAATTATCCAGTGAGGACTAAATATTTCATCGCTCCTGCATGATTAACGTGCTAGTACAGATGAAAAGGTAAGGGGAGGTCTCTGTAGAACAGGTGCTTAATGCCTTACTTGCAATAAACATCCCAGCCACCATGAGTTTGGACATCTGGTAGAGATTTTGTAGTGATATAACATCTGGAATTTAATTTGCTACATGTAGTAGAAACTCCTTCTATTAAAAAAAAAAAAAAAAAAAAAAAAAAAAACCTCTACTTTATTCAAAGCAATTTGCAGTCTTAT
Source organism: Homo sapiens (assembly GCF_000001405.40). NCBI lineage: Eukaryota > Metazoa > Chordata > Mammalia > Primates > Hominidae > Homo > Homo sapiens. The sequence continues at coordinate 71,637,268 of NC_000009.12, forward strand.
AATCCATTCATACCCCTACCCAGCCCTTTAGAAAAAAAATCTCCACAATGCCTATTGTGAAAATCCTTGAAATTTCTTGGCTTTGCAAAATGATAACTTAATGCATTTTAAGCAAGGTTATTCCAATTCCTGCTTCCATGTTTCCATCCATTAATGAGCTCTGGCTTTATAATTAAAGTGACCTAGTGTGATATTTCAGCTTAATTACTCAATGCTGTCATCTATTTCAGGGCCTGTGAATTCAATAGTATGTATGGAGGCCCAGTAAGAAGTGAGGGAGGAGAGCAAGCAGAGAGTTCATTTGCATTTATTGAGTTCATTCGTGTTTATGTGCACAGTGTTCTTCTCCTGTGGAAATGGACTTTTGTGACTGCTCTTTTCACAGTTCAGTAGATTGCTCTCTCCACTGCAAATGGCTGCTAGCAATAAACACCCTTACTTTCATCTGTGAGACCCAATCATTTCCTGGAGATAAAGATGGCTTAGATTAATGTAAAATACATTCCAAGACATTTCTTGGATGGAGTCAGAATATTTAAAGAAAACCTAACAGGCAGACCTTAGATAAGATGGCTCTTTTTTGCTCTCTCTCTCTCTTCTTTTTTTTTTTTTTTTTTTTTTTTTTTTTTTTTTTGCCATCCTCAAATGTGGGGCCAACTGACCTTTGGAAAGCAAGAAGGGGCTATTAAACGATATCAACCCCTTCTTCAGTCTCAGGGTGGCAGAGCTCCCTCTCTAAGAAAGCAGGTTGCCCACCAGATGAAAGGCTGGAAGTTGATATTCAGACCCTGAGTGTGCCTTTCACAGTCCTTTCTAAACTTGGCCTATGGTCAGTTTTGTGTGTGATATCAAGCTGATAAGTATTTCTCGGAATGATTTCCTCCTCCATTGAACCAGATCCTGAAAGGAAACGTTGATTCTGGCTCTTCCCTAAATTGCTCATCCTCAGCATTTCCTACCATCGCTATCATTAAACAAAAACTGTCCTCAAATAGTTATGACTGTTACAAACATCTTATGTTCATTTCTTTCAGCGATTTCTCCTTATAATAAATTCTGCTTTTGGATCCAATATATCAAATTCAGCCTGCTAAAGCACTTACTATTTTTCTAATAATTGAAACATGAGTTTATTGCCTGTGAAAAACATGTTCAGCCCAGAAAAACACATTCTAATAGTCGAGACCTTTTGAAATGTAAACATTACATATGGGAAACATTCAATATGGGAACAGTTTAAGTGGGTTTCTCTAAGTCATTACCAGATGATCTTCCAGTAGGCTCTAGCCTCAAGATAAAATGAAACCTAAAGTTGCCTGAGTAGATTTGTGGTGATCAGCTTTAAATATATTAGACTGGGAACATATGTTTTTTAGGCAAAGGAATCTTGACGCAGCAAAACCTTTTGACATGACAGAGGAAGGAAATTGATCTGAGTAGCTGTCTGTAGTATGCCATTTGCTGTGATCGGTCTCTCGTCTAGCCTGATCTCTGGTGTCCCTGTTTGTATTGGAGCCATTTCCTGCCTGATAGTACGTTCCTGTTCGACACACCATGCCTGGGAAAAGGCAGTACCATTTACCCCCACCCAGGCACAAGCTGTAAGACGTCATCAGAACCCTCTGTTTCCGTTACTGGGTGTTGGTCATTCTGCAGGGTTTGCATCTTTCTCTATTTACTTCCTGCCCAGTTAAGGGAAATCAAAAGAAGTGTCCCAAGATTTGGTTTCAAGATGAATTGACAAAGCTCAAAAAAAAAGAAGACAAGGAGGAGGTGAAAACGTAGTTCAAGGTCCAAGATTTATAATCAGAATTTTGAAGCCTATAGAATTTATCTGTTCCTTGCTACTCAAAGTATGGTCCATGGACCAGCAGCACAGGAATCATGTGGAAGCTTATTATAAATACAAAACCCCAGACCCCACCCAAGACCTACTGCATCAAAATCTGCATTTTAACAAGATACTCAATTAATTTGTGTGTGCCCTGAAATTTGAGATATACTGATCCAAGTCAAGCCTTTTATTTACAGATAAGGAAACTGAGTCCCAGGTGAAAGGCTTATGCCAAACCACAAAACTATTCATCCCAGAGGAGCTGGGACTAGAACTTTAATATGAATACTCTGGCCAGTCTTCTTTCTCTGTATTTGAATGGAAGACATACAGCTCATGCCCTGGGGACAAAATTTCTTCAAATTTGTCATCCTCTTCAACTCACAGATTACACCTCTTCAACTCACAGATTTCTCACTCATCAGAGCTTCTTCACTTCTCTCTTCATCCATGTTAGATTCCATTACAATCCTCATCCTGCAAATTTCTGAACTCCCCTTGAACCATCTTCTCATTGTTTCACACACTCTGAGCAGAGCACCTATCATGAGTGAGCTCAACCAACCCCTTTCTCCACACCTGCACCCAAACAGCTGAGCAAGGCTGGAGAAATATCATTGAAACATACAGATTGCTGTCACTTTATATTTACAATCAGCAATCTCAACTAAGCCCTCAACAGTGTCCACTAATCTTATTATATGTCTACAGTAGTATAGTACATTTTCTACCCTTTCATACTTTTTGCAATTTCCTCAAAATTCCCACTACCTATTATCTCTCTCTCTCTCTCTCTCTCTCTCTCTCTCTCTCTCTCTCTCTCAGACAAAATCTCATTTTATTACCCAGGCCAGAGTGCAGTGGTGCTATCACGGCTCACTGCAGCCTTAACCTCCCAGGCTCAAGTGATCCTCCCACCTTAGCCTCCTGAGTAGCTGAGACTACAAGCACACACCATCACTCCTGGCTAATTTGGTTTTTTATATATTTTTTTTAGAGACAGGGCCCCTCTATGTTGCCTGGGCTGGTCTCAAACTCATGAGCTCAAGTGATCCTCTCGCCTTGGCCTACCAAAGTGCTGGGGTTACAGGCGTGAGCCACCACACCCAGCCCACCACCCATTCTCAAGTAATGATTTGTCTCCAATTTCACTGAGACAATACAAGTAATCAGCTATTAAACCTTTCAACTTTCTACCACTGGTTCGAAATCTACATACCCGTCTGCACCTGCCCACACCCATATTCTCCTTTCCCCTCTCTCCCACCTCTTAACACACTAGTTTGCAATGGGCCCTGTGAAACCACCCACTCTCCCCTTCTCAGGAAGGATTCTTGCACTATAGATCATTTTTTCTTTTCTGAATATGCCATATGTACACATCCTTGCTTCTGAATCAATCTCATCAGCATTCAGTTATATCCCAGTACCTCCCTTCTTCAACAAGAAGCAAGGAGGCAAAGCTTTGGAGAGAATTTCCTTAATTTGAATTCTCTCAATTCTCTTCCTCACAGCAGCTTCTTGAAAGAGTGTATTCTCTACACAAATACTGTTTACTTTTCATCTTTTATTCACTATTTCTTTACTTTGTTGATTTTATAAAAGTGGCACATGCTCCTTTTTTAAAAATTTAAGCAATAAAATATTTTTTAATTATGAAAACAGCCCCAGAACTCCCACAACCCAGAGATAATCATCCCTTGTCTCTTTGTAATCTCTCTTTTATATTAATATATGTCAACATGAAGGGGGATAGATAGAGTAAAAAATATAAAATGGGATATATTCTATATGCTGTGTTTTAAAATGTAAGATTTAATTGTATTTTTTCAAATGCATTTTTCCCCAAACCTTATTTATTTTTTATTGTACTTGAATTTAACAACAGAACAAGTTTAGAAAGCAAAATTAAAAGACATTCCTGGCCATTTGCAGTGGTGGTTTATGCCTGTAATCCTAGCGTTTTGGGAGGCCGAGTCAAGCAGATGGTTTGAGCACAGGAGTTTGAGACCAGCATGGGCAACATGTTGAAACCCTGTCCCTACACACACACACACACACACACACAAAAACCCTACAAAAATTAGCTGGGTGTGGTGGTGCACACCTGTTGTCCCAGCGACTCAGGAGGCTGAGGTGGGAGGATCACTTGAGCCCAGGAGGTTGAGGCTACAGTAAGCTGAGATCACGCCACTACACTCCATCCTGGGTGAAAGAGTGAGACCTTGTCACCAAAAAAATTAAATTAAAAAAAAAAGAATAACTACTTTGAACAATAAGAGAAGTAGTCTTTTAACCTATCAGAAACTCAAAAGAATGCAACATTTGTCTCTCACTTACCTGTGGCCTGGAAGCCCCCGGGATGACTGGAGAGGGGGTGGGTGGCTTGTTTTGAGTTGTCTCCACCCTTCTGGATGGAGTTAATGTACTTCTTACATATATTGATTGATGTCACATGTCTCCCTAAAATGTATGGAACCAAGCTGTGCCCCGACCATCTTGGGTACATGTTGTCAGGACTTCCTGAGGCTGTGTCACGGGCACGTCCTCAACCTTGGCAAAATAACCTTTCTAAATTAACTGAAAAAAAAAAAAGGAAAATTAGTCTTTTATAATTGCCTTCACATTCTTAGTTTTATAGCTTATCTTGTTATTTTAACTGTATCAAAGTTTTTAATACTTATAATCTGTTTTGTAATTATCATCCTTCAAGTATTGTGTTCTAGTTCTCTATTTAAATATATCTAATCCTCAACACTGATTATTTTTACTGTAGGTTTTCCATTTCTGAGTATATTCAACAAATGTATTTGAAGCATCTAAACATTGGAGATGCGACTAGAAAAACAGGTAAGAGCTTTGTTTTTATGGAACATATTCTAGAACAGGAGAGAGAAAACAGAAGTAAACAAGACAAACCAAAAACCAATATAACTTTCAGATTGTGTGTGATAAGTACTGTGTACCTTACATAAGGACATATACTGAATAAGTAAGGAAAAAGCTATTCTCATCAAGAAAGGCTTCCCTTTGGATGTGGCATGTGAGCTGAGTCCTGAATGATTCAAAAGAGCCAATCAAAGAAAGGGATGGGGGAGCAGGAAGAGGAGGGACATTTTACATAGAAGGAACAGAAAATGCTTAAGGCTACATAGAAGGAACAGAAATAAGCTTGGCGTATTTGAGTAACAGAAAGTAGGCCCATGTGGCTAGAGCTTAGTGGGAGACTAGGAGACGGGAACGTGCAGTTTGAGACGTAGACAGGAGTCAGTTCACAAAGAGGTTTTACGCCAAGGCATGAAGTTGCAACTTTATTCAAAATGCAATGCAAAGCCTTCAGTAGGCATAAGCAAGAGAGGGAGAGAGGGATATAAAGTGATTTATGTTTTCAGACGACCAGTTTGACTCCTGTGTAGAGAATAAATTGAAAGAGGAGGTGAAGTGAAAAGGTAGAAGCAGGAAGTTCAGCTAGGAGATTATTGTAGTAATCCAGGCAAGAGATGATGGTGGCTTGGACTAGAGAGATACCAGCAAGGATACAGAAGAGTAGCAAATTTGGGATATACATTATAAATAGAGGGGATGGGACTTGCTAGTGGGCTGGATGTGGAGAAAAATAGAACCAAGGACAAATCACAGTGGTTGGTTGATTTTGTTTTACTGAGCAACTGGGTTAAAATTGACGCCATTTACAGAGAGAAAGAAGGCTGGAGAAAGTATAGGTTGGACTGGGAACAGATGTCCAGGAATTTCACATTTGAGATATCTACTGAAAAATCCATCAGACAGGGGTATCTACGTCTAGTTGAGAGTTGAATGGAGAGAAAAATTTGGGAGTGCTCAACATGTAGATGCAATGAACACCGTCGGAAGGATTGAAATCACCTAGGGTGGGTAAAAGGTCCACAGTCCTCACTTTGCAACAAAATTATCTGAAAACCCTAAGAAACACTTGTGGCTGGGCACGGTGGCTCAGGCCTGTAATCCCAACACTTTGGGAGCCCGAGGTGAGAGGATTGCTTGAAGCCAGGAGTTCGAGACCAGCCTGGGCAACATAGTGAGACCCTCGTCTCTACTCAAAATAAAAAATAAATAAATACTTCTGCCCAGTTCCTAACCCCAAAATAAATCAGCATGTGTGAGAATGGGGTCAGCATCAGTGTAGATAAAGAAATGGGCCAAGGGCTAAGCCGTTGGGTACACTAACATTTAGGAGAATCCAGTAAAGGAGGCTAAGAAGTCGCCAGGGAGAAAGGAGGAAAACTAGGAAAGTGTGCTGTCCTAGAGGCCAAGAAAAGAAAGTGTTTCATGAAGGATGGAGAGGCTGCTCTTCTGCTGAGACATTGGGAAAGATGAGAACCAAGTAATGGCAGTGTGAAGGAGAAAGTTGAGCAAGTTGCCACCTGCTTTTATCAGCCGTGTAAAGGGAAACCATCAGCTGAGAAAGTGTAGGAACAGAATGACACTAAAGGTTGGAGGAGAGAGAGGAAATTGTGTAAATGTTATTTTGAAGAGTCAGAGAGTAAACAGAACATTCAAGGAAAGCCAGGAAGTGTCAAGTGCTGATTTGAAAATTAGGAGAATAGTTAGTTTACTGGTATTAGCTATTCCAACCCCATTCAGGTGCTCAAAGTGGGCAAGTAGTTGGCTTTCATAATGGTAGGGTTTTTGTTTTCACTTTAGTTTTATTTTTGTTAGTTTGTTTGTTTTGCCAAGTAAACACTATGAAGGAAGACAGGAAGGCAAGACAGTTAACTTAAACTCCTAATTTCCCAGGGGTTAATTACAGTGACAGAACATAGCGTCAACACCTTCAACATGGGAAATCTCGTGCTCTAAACCAAGCAGGGGGGACATTTGCAAAAAAACAGAAAGGAAATAAAAAGCATTATTCAGATTTTCAAAGGAATGTGCTTTTAAGTAAATCTAAGCTGGATGAAGAGAGAATGAGACTGGAAAGCTTGATAATGAAATGCTGAATAATGAAAAGTGGTGGGGTTAGTAGATGGGGATCCCCATGAAATAGAAGAACTGGTAGGGGGCTGGGCACAGTGGCTCATGCCTGTAATCCCAGCACTTTGGGAGGCCCAGTGGGAGGATTGCTTCACCCTGGGAGTTTGAGACCAGGCTGGGCAACATAGTGAGACCCTATCTCTATGAAAAATTTAAAAATTAGTCATACATGCTAAAGCACACCTGTAGCCCCAGCTATTTGTGGACTGAGGCAGGAGGATCACTTGTGCCCAAGAGTTCATCATTGCAGTGAGCTATGATCATATGACTGCACTCCAGCCTGGGCAACAGAGTAAGATCCTAGCTCTGAAAAAAAAAAAAAAAGAATTGGTGGGATGTAGACCTAAGAGTGAGCCGGAGGATCTGTGGTGGTGAGACCTTTCATTCTAACTGCATTCAACTCTTACCTTTGCTACATTCACTATGATATTGTCAGCATTTCCTCTATGTAAATAATTTGATTTTCAGCTGTGTGTACTCTGCTGTCTGTTGTTTCTAATTTATGTATGTTTTATAATATTGTTTTGTTTCTTAAGTTATTCCCTTGACTCTGAAATCTGTCTCATTTTGTTCTGCTTTTTGTGTTTTTTTGTTTTTGAGGTTTTCCTGCCATCATGTCCTTAAATTCTTATTTTATAAATTCCTGTTTTTAACAAGGAATCCTATTTCTAATTCTTTTATGACCCAAAGGACCCATGGAAATGTGGACTATTCAACTGTGTTTTGCCCACTACATTCCTTCTTCCCTCCTTAGTCCCTTCTTCTTTTCCCTCCCTTACTTCCTTCTTTCCCTTCTCCTCTTTCCTCCCTTTCATTCCTTTGTCTGCCTCCTGTCCTTTCTTCCTTCTCTTCTTCCTTCCTCCTTCCCTTCTTCTTCCCCCTTACTTCCCTCCATGCTGTCTTCTCCCTTCTAGCCTTCCTTCCTTTTCATCTTTTCTCCCTCTTCCCTCCTCTCTTTCCTTTCCTCCTTCCCTCTTTTTTTCCTTCCTTCTTTCCTTTTTTTCCTTTCCCCCTCCTTCCTTCATTTTCCTTTTTCCTTCCTTCCTTCTTTTTTTCCTTTTTTTCTCTTTGTCTTCCTTTTTCCTTCCTTCCTGCTTCTTTCCTTCCTTATTCTCAATTTATCTAGCACCATCGCTTGGATTTTTGTTGTTGTTGTTGTTTCACACAAGTTTAAGGCTGACAGCTCTAACCAGAACTTCTCTTTACTCTGGTAGACTGCAAGTCAGGCCTCATTGGCACCCTTTGCAGTTCATCTAAGACTGTGCTGTTTTCCCCTCTGGGCAGCAGGTGAAGGAGTGAATGTTGTATTAGACCCATCTTCCTGTGGCCTGTGGTGCAAGGGAACAGGAGAACCTTCTGCTGGGGCTCTGAGCAGCCTCAATCCACAATGTGAAGACATGAGCTCTTCTATTTCTTCAGAGTTTTTGTTTATTTGTTTGTGTTTTTGAGATAGTCTTACTCTGTCACCCAGGCTGTAGTGCAGCGGCACAATCTCAGCTCACTGCAACCTCTACCTCCTGGGTTCGAGTGATTCTTGTGCCTCAACCTCCCGAGTAGCTGGGATTACAGGCACGCACCACCACACCTGGCTAATTTTTGTATTTTTAGTACAGACAAGGTTTCACCATGTTGGCCAGGCTGGTCTCGAACTGCCCTCAAGTGATCCGCCCACCTCGACCTCCCAAAGGTCTGGGTTTACAGACATGAGCCACCACACCCAGCTAATTTCTTCAGAGATTCTCTTAATATCCTGTATGACAGCATATCACCTGGCTATTGGCGCCAGTCCCCCAAAACCTTTCCCATGGGGCAAGAGTGCCCAGAGCCTTCATGTTACTGCCCAATTTCTTGGAAAGCCCTTCTTTTCTCTACTGATACCCTGCGATGATACTTAAGCATTTCTCTTAACTTTCCCTAGGCTTCCTACTCACCCCCTCAGTCTCCTTCTCCACAAACTGGGGAATTTTGACAAGAATGTTCAGGACTCTATGGACTCCCCATCTCTCCCATGCTGTCTCTGGAAGGTGGGTGTGGGTTAGATGCCATGCTAGGCCCAGCCATGGTAGAGTCTTCTGAGTCTTTCTTTAGCTACCAGGTTTCCACAGTTAGTGAAATTGGAAACTTCTCCTCATTTGACTGCAGCTGGTGAGCTTACTGTTGGTTTTGATTATATTTGTTGTTGAGAGGCAGATTTTTGTGATTCTCTTTCACACGACTAACTGGGAAGCACCAAAAATGAAATCTCTCCCTCTGCCTTCTTGTGGAGACAGATCTTAAATATGTAAATAAACAAGAAAGTTTCAAAGCATTGCAACAGAAATAAAATACAAGGAAAGCAACATCTCTTTTGGTTTGTCTTACTAGCTTTACCTTCCTTACTCCCTGGAACTATCATTTATAGGGATCTAGCCCTATAAATGACAAGTTGTTGCTTTAGTTGGATGCTGTGAAGCTCTAAATAAAACTGCTCCTAAGTGGATTGTGATGTCACACTTAATAAAAACTTTATTTTATGGGATAGTCATGGGAACAATGACAGGTTAGACACACTAATCTGTCTCCAGGTGGTGGGCAGGGGTCGGGGGGAAGGGAGTCCTCATCTCTAGCATTTACAAATTTCTGTAGTATAAATACTTATGCCATGCTGATTTCAAGCTACTAACGATTTAATAACTGGCTTGAAAACTCCTAAATATTAAAAAAAAAAAAAAAAGAAAACTCCTAAATATTTAACAGTGGGCTCTTGTAAGTCAATACAAGACAGCAAAAGCCAAGCCCTTCAGTCTGTGCCCCATTGGGGCTGCTACTCTGGGACCTAAGCTCCAGTTCTCATTTTCAGAGTGGCCTTGAACAAGTTATATAACTGTTCTTAGTCTCCATATTTTCATTTTTATAAAAGGATCAATAATATGATAGAAATGTATGATGGTTAGATCCCATAATGTTTGGTTCATAAAATCTTCCTAATTCATCAAGCACATACATGATAGAGGGGGAGAGGTCTATCATGAGCTGAGCTGTGAACTTGAGATTCTGAGGAGCTTCAGAATAAATGAAGACAGGTTCCTGCACTCACTCCCCATATAATTCATTTGTTAAACTGCATCCCCTCTCATTCCCTCCCTCTTTCTCACATGCATACATGTCCAGTTGAAGCCACCTGAATGTCCGATGTTGAAAGCTCAGTTTCCCGCTGTTGTCCTGACTTCCTTAGGGAGTTTTGATGAGTCATTCTGGCTCCGAGCCCCGCCACTTCCTCCTCCTGCAGAGGAAGCTCATTTTCAGCACTCACACCCACAAACCACACAGGAAAGCGAGAAGTGGGATTAAGTGAAAATGTTGAGCTCCTTCCATCGCCTCTGGTCCACTATTATACATGATCTTGCCAACTGTTCCTTGACTGTGTCTGCAGCTTGTCTGAGAACTGGAGTGGCCCCTGGAGCACACATCCCTGCCTGTGCATTGCCTGGAAAGTCGAGCTCTATAGCCAAGGAAAAACCTCCTGATTGGAAGGCAGAAAGCACTGGGTTTTGATCCAGCTGAACTGGATACAAAGATCTTAGTTTCTTCATCAGCAACCTAGGCATAAATAGTTAGGCATACTTCATAGTGTTATGTAAAGATTAGTTGAGATAATGCATGCAAAATGCTGAGGATAATGCCTGGTACATAGAATATCCTCATATATGTTAGCTAAAATAACAATAATAACCTTTTCTTGAGACAGGGTCTGGCTGTGTCACTCAGGCTGGAGTGCAGTGGCACTATCAGGGCTCTCTGCAGCCTTGACTTCCCAGGCTCAAGCAATCCACGCACTTCAGCCTCCCAAATAGCTGGGACCACAGGCATGCACCACCACACCTGGCTATTTTTTTTTTTCTAGTAGAGATGGGGTCTCACTATGTTACCCAGGCTGGTCTTGAACTTCTGGACTCAGTGATCCTCCCACCTCAGCCTCCCAAAGTGCTGGGAGTGCAGGCGTGAGCCACAGCTCCTGGCCAACAATTATTATCATCATTAAGTAGATCTGCCTAAGGATATCTTTCCAGTCTTTGAGAAGCTTCCCCTATGACTATTTTAAAACGTGTATCCTTTAATAAATTTCAAACTCACTATTCAGGATTTCTTTCACTGAGTTGCTATTTTTTAACTTATCCAAAAGCTCTTTCATAATCTTTTATGCCATTTTGCCGAATAGGAATTTTTCTGTATGGTTTTGCTCTAGATGTCAGTCTAGACTGTTTTGAAAACCTCATACAAGATTTGCTTGTTCTCCAGACATTTATTTATCATTTGATTGAGAAATCTTTTTATCTTTTTTCTATTATTTCCCTTTTTCTTGATTTTTGCAATGCAGATGGAAAAAGGAATCAGTGTTGGGTTGATGGCCATGGGTGCTTAGGAAAGCCTGGATTCATTTATTCATTCCACACACATTTGTTGAGTACATTTCTTATGCCTTTGTGTCAGGCACTACTCTAGGAGATAAGCCCACAGAGAACAAAAACACAGTCCCTAGCTTCAAGGACTTCTGAGACTAAGCAGAAACTACAGACAGATCAACTGGTGATAAATGTGTGGTGTGTTAAGTGCTAGATACAAGAATTCATATACCACTATGGGAACCTGTGGGTCAGAGGGAGCTAAACTGGGAAAGGAGGAGACAGGGAAGTTTTTCTGAAGTTTGCAAGTGACTTTCACGTAAAGAAAGTGGACAAAAAAAATCCCAGGCAGGGCCAGGCACAGTGGCTCACGCCTGTAATCCCAGCACTTTGGAAGGCCAAGGCAGGTGGATCACGAGGTCAGGAGACTGAGACCATCCTGGCTAACACAGTGAAACCCAGTCTCTACTGAAAATACAAAAAAATTAGCGGGGTATGGTGGTGGGCACTTGTAGTCCTAGCTACTTGGGAGGCTGAGGCAGGAGAATGGGGTGAACCCGGAAGGCGGAGCTTGCAGTGAGCCGAGATCGCACCACTGCACTCCAGCCTGGATGACAAAGCGAGACTCTGTCTCAAAAAAAAAAAAAAAAAAAAAAAAAAATTCCCAGGCAGAAGGAGCAATAAACACATAAGCACAAAAACATGAGGGAGCCTGGTCTACCAGCAGCCGCATGTGGTTGTATTTGTTGGAAATTAGGAAGAAGGTAGGGAAGTTCCAGCAGTGGGGCCTTATAAGCCAGGTCAACCTGTTTATAGAACATCCTGATATCAATAGGGAGTGATCGAAAGATTTTAATCAGGGGAATAAAGAGACCAGACTTGTGCTTTGAGAGGTCACTGCAGGAGCGATATGGAAAGACTTAAAGTGGGGAAGTCTGAAGATGGAAGGAGGTAAACACAATGGGTAGAGAACAAGGAGGTTTGAACTGAGGAGACAGCAGTGGGAATGCAGAGAAGTGGAGGGCTATGAGAGAGATGTGAAGCAGCAAACTCAATAGCTCTTGGTGACCAAATAGACATGGTAGATAAGAGAAAAAGAAGAGTCCAAGGATGACTCTTAAATTCTTGGCTTAGGTATCTAAAGACTGTGGTGCCATCCAATGAACAGGAAGCACAGGAGGAAGAATAGATTTAAGGGGTTAAATAATTATTCGTTTTAGATATCTTAGGTTGATTTGCCTGTGATACGTCCAGACCAGACCAGGTGTGGTGGCTCACGCCTATAATCCCAGCACTTTGGGAGGCAAAGACAGGAGGATTGCTTGAGCACAACAGTTCGAGATCAGCCTGGGAAACATGGCAAAACCTCGTCTTCACAAAAAATATGAAAATTAGCCAGGCATGGTGGCATGTACCTTTAGTCCCAGCTACTGGGGAGGCTGAGACTGGAGGATCACTTGAGCCCAGGGAGGTCAAGGCTGCAGTGAGCCAAGATTGCACCATTGCACTCCAGCCTGGGTGACAGCGTGAGGCCCTGTCTCAAAAAATAAAAATAAAAGTAAATGTCCAGGCCAGACAAAAGTGTTTCAAAGTGGTGCAATGTGTCTAGTTTGGAGTTTGAGAGACAGATCTTAGCAGAATACAGGTAGTAATCAAGGTCACAGACATATATAGGGAGTCAGCGGAATGAGAAGAGAATAAACAGTCAAGGAGGAAAGACTGATGCTATGGTTTCCATGTATGTGTCCCTCCAAAATTTACATGTTGGAACTTAAACCACAAGGTGAAGGTATTAAGAGGTGAGGCCACCTGGAGGTGATTAAGCCATCAGGGCTCTGCCCTCATGAGTGGGATGAGTGTCTCTATAAAAGGGCTTGAGGGAGTGAGTTCACCTCTTCTGCCCTTCTGCTTCCTCCACCATGTGAGGATACAGTTTCATCTCTTTGGCCATGTGAAGACACAGCAAGAGGCACTATCTTGGAAGCAGAGAGCAAGTGCTCACCAGACATGGACTCTGCTGACACCTTGATTTTGGACTTCCTAGCCTCCAGAACTGTTGTCTGTAAATTATCCAATACAAGGTAAATTTTGTTATAACAGCAAATAAACGAAGACAACTAGCGACCATAAATAGCAAAAAAGAAGAGAAATAAAAAGGAAAAGCCAAAGAGATAGAAAGGAAATAAGAAGAGTGGGAAACCATATTAATACTTAAGATTTGTGGCCAGGTATGGTGGCTCACTCTTGTAATCCCAGCACTTTGGGAGGCCAAAGTGGGAGGATCACTTGAGCCCAGGAATTCAAGACCAGCCTGGGCAACATAGCAAAATCCTGTCTTTATAAAAAAAAAAGAAAAAAAAACCTACAAAAATGATCTGGTGTGGTGGCAGGCACCTATGGTCCCAGCTACACAGGAGGCTAAGGCAGGAGTTTTGAGCCCAGAAGGTTGAGGCTACAGTGAGCCGTGATTTTGCCACTGCACTCCAGCCTAGGTGACAGAGGTCTCATCTCAAAAAAAAAAAAAAAAAAAAAAAAAGATTTAAGGCTCAGTTCAGGTACCACATTTTCCAGAAAAGCAATTACCTGTCTCCTCCTGACACCGAAGCCCCATCCTATAAAACCCTCAAGGGTATGGTCCAACTTTTACACATCTCCACATCTGTAGAACCTAGAATGGTTTTCTGACACATTGTATCTATTTGGTCCCTCAATATATGTTTTTTCAAAAAAATTGAAATCAAGGGAAGAAAGACACTCAAATGAGAGGAAATGATCAGCTCTGTGAAATACTTCCAAGAAGCCAAGTCAAAACGTTGTACTTCTAAACAAGACAGTCAATTTGCAATGGCAAGAGAACTTAGTAAACTAAAAGAGGCAGAAACCAAATAACGCTGGGAGTGAATTGAGACAGTAGGGAAAGAAAAAGTAGATTTCTCTTCTGAGAACTTTGTCAGTGAAGAGTTACATCACTTCATATAATAGCTGGTAAGGAAAGGATTTTCACCATAATGGCTCTTGAAATATTATGCCACTTTTGAGGCAATTTCTTCTGCTTTATTACAATGACTTTTTCACCTAAAACATACGAGACAAGTCCTCTATAAGAAGTGATATTTTGGTATTCTGGTTCCAGGCAAAGTCACACTCCCCAATTTACTTGACACAACAGTTTCTCATCAGAGTATCATGCAAAACAAATTTGAATTGCACTCATGTTTGTATAAATCCAAATCTGTTTTGAATATGTGAAAAAGAGGCTAGGGAGATGGCTTCTTCTTCAGTCTTTTTTCACATGTAACAACTCCACATTTCTAAGCACTCTCTTGTCTGGACTTTATTTTATGCTGCGAGTGTGTTTCTATGCTATAAGATTACTTTCACTGCACTTTGAGTGCAGACACCTCAAGCCCCCAAAAAGTTGAAAAATTGTTGAAGAAGATGATGCAAAGAGAAATAATTAGCTTAAGAAATTTTCATTCTATCACATTTAATGCACAAATTATTGACTTTCAAAATGTTATCCATTACTTGTAAAAATTTGTTTTTATCATTCAATATATATTTACTAACTATGAAAATGATTTGGGTATCATGGGTTCTGATGAAATTCATCAAAATATTTCCATTAAAATTAATGAAAATATTTTCCTTATGGAATGGCTTTTCATTTAGCAACAGACTTTTCAGAAATGAATTTAAATTGTTAAAGGAGGGATAGGTGTTGTGAAAATGGGAGGGTGATAGAGAGTCATGGAGATTTTTTTTAAAGATGGAAGATAGTTTAGTGCAATTGTATATCAAAGCGAAACAAAAACACAGTAAGAGAGAATGAAGATACAGAAGTCAGAAGACATCACTGATAAAGTGATTTCCTGAGAAAGTAAAAAGGAAAGAGGATCCAGAACACAGGTGCCTTGCACTAATGTGGAATGAAGGCAACTGTTCTCATAGAAACTCAGGGGAATGGAGGAAATAAAGGCTGCAGATTCAGATCAGTGGGTCAGGAAGAGGAAGGTGTGATGCCCAAATTTACATGTTAACTTGGCTGGGCTGTGGTGCCTAGCTACTTGGCAAACTCTAGTCTAGATATTGCCATGAAGGTATTTTTTAGATGTGATGTGCATTTAAATTAGTAGACTTTTCTGAATAAAGCAGATTACCCTCCATATGTGGGTGGGTCTCAGCTAATCAGGTGAAGGCCTTAAGAGAAAAGATGGAGGTCCCTGGAAGAGGAAGGGATTCTGCCTCCAGACTGCCTTCAGGCTCAAGACTGCAACATCAGCTCCTAACCAGAATTTCCAGACTCCCAACCTGCCCTGCACATTTTGTACTTGCCAGCCTCATAATGGTGTGAGTCAATTTTTGAAAATAAATTAATCTCTAGACAGGTAGAGAGACAGACGTAAACATCATATAATATACGTAGGGCTAGGCATGGTGGCTCATGCCTGTAATCCCAACACTTTGGGAGGCTGAGGTGGGGGGATCACTTGAGCCTAGGGTTTGAAACCAGCCTGAGCAACATAGTGAGACCTCATCTCTACAAAACATAAAAACTTAACCGGGTATGGTGGCACACACCTATAGTCCTAGCTATTTGGGAGGCTGAAGCGAGAAGATGGCTTGAGCCCAGGAGGTCAAGGCTACAATGGAACCATGATCATGCCAGTGCACCCCAGCCTAGGCAACAGAGCGAGATCCTACCTCAAATATAAATATATATATATATACACACACACACATGTTGTATATACACATATTTATTGGTTCTGTTTTTCTGGAAAAGGAGAAAAGAAGTTCAGGAAGTTCAGGGAGAAATGCTTTCTGACCACTATTCCCTGGATGAAATCCTGGATGGCATCATCCACTGAGAGCTGAGGGTGCTGCTGAGGGAGCATTAGGAAACTGGCAAACATTTGCATAGTTATTGTGGACAAGCAGGAGGTTGCTAACTCAAAATGTGCAGAAACATTGTTAGAGCAATTTAGAGATACTGACGGCTCAGTGCTGGAACAGCAGAAGACCACCTCTGTGAGGCCCCTGTTCCTGGAGTTACGTGTGGTTGCGTAGATTCTGTATGAATATACAAGACTTGATTTTTGGTGGAGCATGGGGAAGGATCTGCTGTGTAGAACTGTTAATGAGAATTTTATATATATGAGGAAATAATACACTTTTTCACAAATGTATTTATTCATTTTCTGCAATACAAATAAGAATACATGTGATGGTTTATCCTTTCAAAATCCAAATATCCAAGTATCCATCCCCATATTCAACAGGCGATATTTTTGCCATATTCTCATCAGAACATTTGTTTTCAGAAGTAGACATAGCAAATATCATTGAAGCCTCAATGTTTCTCCGTCTCTCCTCAGAAGTCATTAGCATCCATGTTTTCATAATTTATCTTCCAGGTATTTTATGCATAAGCAATATTTATATTTATTTGACATTGCCATTACCAGTAAAATAATAGAGAATTGTTTTTGAATGATTTGATTGTTTAAATAAATGTCATCTTACTGTACAACAATTTGCTTTTCTCACTCAACTTTTTGTTTTTGAGTGTTATCATGTTAATACATGTAACTGGAAAATGAGATTTTTTATTATAGTTTTTAAGTTAAGAATAGAATAACTAATTTATTTTACTTGAAAAAATCTTTTTACAGAGTTTCTTCTTAAATTTTCATCTTAAATTACACCTTTCTAATTTAAATGAACAGTTTTTATATACTGATTGTATTAATTGAAATAAGAACAAAATGACCAACAAAGTTTATTTTTTTAACTAACACACACACACACATACACACAATTCTCTATTATGAATATTTTAACAAATGTAGTTTCCTAAAACAAACATACATTGTCTCAAGTTTACAAGTCAACATTCTTGCAATCTCTACTAAACAAACTTTTACACATGGCAGGAAAGTTCTTTGCTCTTTCAAGTAAATAGTCTTAGATAAGAGATCATTGGGAGGCCGAGGCGGGTGGATCACGAGGTCAGGAGATCGAGACCATCCTGGCTAACAAGGTGAAACCCCGTCTCTACTAAAAATACAAAAAATTAGCCGGGCGCGGTGGCAGGCGCCTGTAGTCCCAGCTACTCGGGAGGCTGAGGCAGGAGAATGGCGTGAACCCGGGAAGCAGAGCTTGCAGTGAGCCGAGATTGCGCCACTGCAGTCCGCAGTCCGGCCTGGGCGACAGAGCGAGACTCCGTCTCAAAAAAAAAAAAAAAAAAAAAAAAGAGATCATTTCATGATAAGTAAAGACAAAAGAAGCATAGATAAATTTTATAATCATGGCAACTGGAATGTAAATATTCTCTAAGCTTCTGCATTATCTTTTTCATCTAAACAAAGAATAAGGGCTAACCCAGTGTTTGGGATTCTCAAAAACACTATGCTAATAACCTCATTGAAGTTTTTTATTACGTATTACTGAACCATGTGGCTTAGAGTTTCAACTATAATTTTAACTGAAGCTGATTCTAAGTATTTGAGGTAAATAATGTTCTATGATATAGAACATTAAAGAATCTATAGGCAGAATCTATGGCCACATAGTAGCAATTCATGTTAATTCTTCACAGTATTCCATTGTATAAAGATCCTACATTCTAATCTACTCTCTGGCAATAAGATTAGTTTATTTCCAGTTTTTAATTATCACAGGGAAACCCCCAAGAACATTTATGCATATGCCTCTGAACTCACATGCAAGAGTCTATGTTCCACATTAAGTCGACTGCTGGATCACCGGGTAAAGAGAATGTGCATCTTTGATATGATACAAAGATCATATCTTTACTAGAAATTGTTAAAATTGTTTTGAAGAAGTTGCACCAGCGTAGCCTTTCACCACTCCTGTGTGAGACTTCTGGCTTGTTTTTCCACATCCCAACTCAGACTCGGAATTACGAGACTTTTAAGTTTTCACCAATCTGCTGGGTATAAATCCGTGCCTTTAATCTGTATTTCCCTAGTTACTGGGGAGACTATGCTTTGCTTTTGGATTTTGGATATGCTTTGTGGCCATGTTTGTTTCCTCTTCTGTGAATTGTTTGATCACATCCTTTGCAAATTTTTTCAAGGTCTTGTATTTTCTTTAAAGGTTTGTAGGAATTCTTGATGTATTCTGCATACAATTGCTTTTTCAGTTTTATGTGTTGCAAAAACCACCTTCCAGTGTGTGGATTTAGTACTACCATTTTAATTTGCACTTACCATTCTTCTCCTCCTCCTCCTCCTCCTCCTCACTCTTATGTTTGCTCCATTCTTGCCTTCTGTTGTACTTATAACATTTATAAATATATACATATGTGAAAGGAAAATAAATCTTGGGATAAGCCAAAGGGAAAAGTCAAGCTGGGAACTGCTTAGGGCAAAGCTTCCTCCCATTCTACTCCTAAAAAAGACAGCTACTGAAATTTAAAAAGCCACATAACCTCCTTCACAATTTGTCCACCAGGAAATTCCTTACAGACAAAGGTCAGATAGAACTCAAAATCATTCCTCTGCTCACTGAGATAAATGCATATCTGCTTGCTTACTTTGGAGAGGCTAATCAGAAACTCAAAAAAATGCAACCATTTGTTGCTTATTATTTACCTATGACCTGGAAGCCCCCTCCCCGCTTTGAGTTGTCCCACCTTTCTGGACCAAAACAATATACATCTTTATACATATTGATTGATGTCTCAAGTCTCCCTGAAAATGTATAAAACCAAGCTGTGCCCCGACCACCTTGGGCACATGTCATCAGGATGTCCTGAGGCTGTCACAGATACGTGTCCTTAACCTTGGCAAAATAAACTTTCTAAATTTATTGAGACCTGTCTCAGATATTTGGGGTTCACACATATATAGTCCATTTATTTTCCTTTGTGGTTTTAAAGCTATACATAGTTCCTATTCTTTTAATGGTCACTCAGGTTTTTTTTTTTTTACCTACATACTTAGTCTTTCCAGTAAAGTCAGCAGGAGTGGTTCCCAAAGCATAGACCCCAGAGCAGCAGCCTTAGCATCACCTGGGAACTGTTAGAAATGCAGATTCTCAGGTCCCACCCCAGACCTAATGAATCAGAAATTCTATGGGTGGGTACACAACCTGTGTGTTCCAAGTGATTCTGACGCATGCCAAAATTGGAGAAACACTGGTCTGGAATTACTTAAATATTTCTATCAACCTTCTCCTACCCAATCTCATAAGAACCCTCATCCCTACTCCACCTTCTTCCTTGGTATTCTTGCCTGGAATTTTGATGTCTGTGCTGTGTTTGTGTGTGTGGGTGTGGAAATAGTGTCCATGGTTAATTAAATAAAACAGCATTTCAAGAAGATTAGTTTCTCTTGGGGTTTTTGTTTTGTTTTGTTTCATCACAATCCTTGGATCTCTGTTAATGGTCCTTTCATTAAGGACCCTAAGTTGTTAAATTTTCCTAATGCATTTTTGAAAGTCTTTATATGGTCTTTATTTTTGAATCTTGGTTCATTCGGGGTTTAGAATTCAAAGTTTGCAGTTATTGTCTATCAGCACCTTGAAAATATTAATCTGTTGTGATGCGGTATCTGTTGCAGATGAGAAGTCTGTTGATCACCTAATGAGATCTGTTAGCAAGAATTCTGTCTTTCTGTCCTGTGTTTTTTTTGTTCTTTTGTTTTGTTTTGTTTCAGACAGAGTCTCACTCTGTCGCCCAGCCTGCAGTGCAGTGGTGCAATCTAGGCTCACTGCAACCTCCATCTCCTGGGTTCAAGCAATTCTGGTGCCTCAGCCTCCCGAGTAGGTATGATATGTTTTGGCTATGTGTCCCCACCCAAATCTCACCTTGAATTGTAATAATCCCCATGTGTCAAGGGCAGGGCCAGGTGGAGATAATTGAATCTTGAAGGTGGTTTCCCCCATACTGTTCTCGTGGTAGTGAGTAAGTCTCATGAGATCTGACGGTTTTATAAATGGGAATTCCCCTGCACATGCTCTCTTGCCTGCTGCCATGTAAGAC
This sequence comes from Homo sapiens, assembly GCF_000001405.40. Classification (NCBI taxonomy): domain Eukaryota; kingdom Metazoa; phylum Chordata; class Mammalia; order Primates; family Hominidae; genus Homo; species Homo sapiens. The sequence continues at coordinate 71,657,507 of NC_000009.12, forward strand.
GTGACTTTGCTCCTCCTTTGCCTTCCACCATTATTCTGAGGCCTCTCCAGGCATGTGAAACTGTAAGTCCATTAAATCTTTTTTTCTTTATAAATTACCCAGTCTCAGGTATTTCTTTATCTGCAGTGTGAGAACAGACTAATGCAAGCTGTGATTACAGGCATGCACCACCACACCCAGCTAATTTTTGTATTTTTAGTAGAGACAGGGTTTCGCCATGTTGGCCAGGCTGGTATCAAACTCCTGGCCTCAAGTGATCTGGCTGCTTCAGACTCCCAAAGTGCTGTGATTACGAGTGTGAACCACTGCGCCCAACCTTCTCCTGTGGTTTTTAAAACTTTTGTCTTTACTCTTGTTCTGCAATTTTACCATCTTGTGTCTACATGTGCATTTATTTCTATTTATCCTTTTCATTATTCTTTGTGCATTTTTAATTGTAAGGATTTGTGAATTTCTTTGTGAAAAGTCTTCAGTTCTTTCTTTGAGTATTCTCTCATTATCCTTTTTTCCCTTTATGTATGTATGTATGTATGTATGTATGTATGTATGTATGTATGTTTGTAGAGATGAGGGTCTCACTATGTTGCCCAGACTGGTCCTGAACTTCTCAGCTCAAGTGATCCTCCTGACTTAATCTCCCAAAGTGTTGGGAATACAGGCATAAGCCACTGTGTCTAGCCTGAATTTCTAATACAATTGTTCAGAGCACTTTTTTCTTCAGCTGTGTCAGCCTAGAGTTGATCCAATCTATTGTGTGTGTGTTTTTTTTTTTAACTTTCCAGATTTTACATACATGTTATCCAGGTGTTTCTATTTCATATGTAACTGTTCTTATGTCCTTTCTGCCTTTTTTTGTTTGGTTAATTCTTTTCCTTTTTTTTTTTTCCAGTGGAGATGGGGGTCTCACTCTAATGCACAAGTTGGTCTTGAATTCCTGGGCTCAAGCAACCCTCCTTCCTCTGCCTCCCAAAATACTGGGATTACAGGTGTGAGTGACTACACCCGGTCCTTTTCCTTTTATTTACCACTCTGATGATCCTAAACTCGTGTGTTTAAAGCCTTCTTTATCTTATTCTATTATTTTATTATTTTCTTTTTATTTATTTATTTATTTACTTTTTGAGATGGAGTCTCTGTCACCCAGGCTGGAGTGCAGTGGTGCGATCTTGGCTCACTGCAACTTCTGCTTCCTGGGTTCAAGCAATTTTCCTGCCTCAGCCTCCAGAGTAGCTAGGATTACAGGCGCCTGCCACAACGCCTGGCTAATTTTAATATTTTTTTATTAGAGATGGGCTTCGCCATGTTGGCCAGGCTAGTCTTGAACTCCTGGCCACAAGTGATCCACCCACCTCAGCCTCCCAAAGTGCTGGGATTACAGGCATGAGCCACCGCACCCCGCCTTATTCTATTAATTATACGTAAAGTAAATTTGTCACAAATGTTGGCTTTCTCTCTTAGACTAGACTTCTTCATGTTTTGGACTGTGTACTTCAGCTCATCTTAGGTGAAATTTTTTTCTCTTTCATCCTTTCCAGCCAGTCTCCAGGTTTGGGGTTGTTTCTACCTGGCCGTTCAGAGCCCTCAACTTCTACTTCTAGTGGTGGCTCACAACTACCTCTCTCCCCCACATGCTGTGTGGTATTGCAGGTATTGATGATCTGCCAAGGTGTGGGGCTTGCTTAAGATTTTGGTTGTGTGCTTATACAGTTTCTTTCTTTCCTGGTTACAAAACTTCACAGAAGTGATAGCCCTAAGGAGTTTTCCAGACTTGTTTCTTAACCAGGGGAGCTTCATTCAGTCCCCTAGTTTCAAGAAACTCCTGCTCCCTTTCAGACATAAAGCCCAGCAAGGCCCAGAACCAACCCCCAATTATAACTTTGTGGGTTTGTTGTGATTCTGATACATGGAAATATTGTTTATTATTGGTATACCAAATGCTTCTATTTTCTATTTTTATACTAAAGATGGCATTTCAAAGAATAAATTTATAATGCCTACTGAACTGCATTAGTCAGTTCTTGCACTGCTATAAATAAATACCCGAGACTGGGTAATTAATAAGGACAAGAGGTGTAATTGGCTCACAGTTCCACAGGCTGTACAGAAAGTGCAGTGGCATCTGTTCAGCTTCTTGGGAGGCCTCAGGAAACTTACAATCATAGCAGAAGGTAAAATGAGAACAGCACTTCACATGGCTAGAAAAGAAGCAAGAGAGAGAAGGGGCACCTGCCACACACTTTTAAACAACCAGATCTCATGAGGACTCACTATGGGAATGACAGCACCAAGGGAGATGGTGTCAGACCATGAGAAACCACCCCCGTGATCCAATCACTTCCCACCAAGCCCCACCTCCAATATAGGGGATTACATTTCAACATGAGATTTGAACAGGGACACAGATCCAAACCATATCATTGACACACAGATTCTGACAAGAAATCTGCTTTGTTATGTTTTTAGGGCCCAGGAAGGTAAACAGAATGATGCAGACTTCCAGTTTCTGGTCTGACATGTAAGAAGCTTGGAAGTCATCACTCTATCCTAGCAACAAGTAAAAAGCTGAACAAAATGAAAATCAGTAACTTTTCTTAGATCTGTCAGAGAAGTGAGGTCACATCAAACTGCTGCCCTCAAAGCTGGAGACAGACAGGTGGTTACAGAGAATAATAACTTACCAGAGCAGAACTCCATGAGCAGAAACCTCCACAGGAAAGGCTAGGAAAACCTAAGCTGTAACTGAAGAGTTGCTGAAGCCTTGGTGTGGACAGGTCTGAGGGTTAAAAACTCCAGAGGGGCCATTCACAGGGCCAACCTCATGCTTTTGTGAGTTCCCCACGATCTCTACCAGGTTCTCACAATGAAGGCTGGAGAGAAATCCACTGAGACTTACTGCAGGGGGAGGGGGAAGGGAGCCATTTTAAAATATGCCAGAGCATTCTGTGCATCTTAACAAGGTCTGCTCTCAAGAGTAACTCTTTTACCAGTGCCTACCTTAATGGGTTATTTTAGAGCCTAACCAACAGGGAGTAAGGGAAAAACCCAGCTCCAGCCCCGTTAGCCGTCCTGTCCCACCCAAGGGGAAAGAGAGCACTGAGAAGTACTTATGAGGTTCACAGCCCAGCCCGGGGCACAGACTTCCTCTCTCCCCACACCTTATGCCACATTGCTAAAGGTCTATTTACTGGAATTACTTTCACCCAGTATGTCATGTCTAGCTTTTAAGAAAAGATTATAAGGCATACTAAAATGCAAAAGACACAATTTGAAGACACTGAGCAAACCTCAGAACCAGACTCAGATATGGCAGAGATGTTGGAATTATTAGATGGAGGTTTTTTTTGTTTGTTTGTTTGTTTTAAACAAGGTCTCATTCTGTCTCCCAGGCTGGAGTGCAGTGACACAATCACAGCTCACTGCAGCCTCAATCTCCTGGCCTCAAGCAATCCTCCCACCTGAGCTTCCCAAGCAGCTGGCACTAGAAGTACATGCCACATGGCCAGCTATTTTTTTTATTTTTTGTAGAGACGGGGTCTCACTATGCTGCCCAGACTGGTCTTGAACTCTGGGCCTCAAGCAATCTCCCCGCCTCAGCCTCCTAGAATGCTGGGATTACAGGCATGAGCCACTATGCCCAGCTCAGATCATGAATCTGAAACAACTATGACTATGTTAAGGACTTTAATTTAAAAAGTAGAAAACATGCAAAGACATATGGGTAAAGTAAGCAGAGAGATCATTACTCTGAGAATCAAAAAGAAGTGCTAGAGATCAAGATTACTGTAACAGAAATGAAGAATGCCTTTCATGGTCTCAATAGTAGACTAGACACGGCTAAGGAAAGAATCTCTGAGCTTGAGAATACCATAGTAGAAACTTCCAAATCTGAAGAGGAAAGAAAGAAAACACTGAAAAAACAGGAAAGAATATCCAAGAACTAAGGAACAACTTCAAAAGGTATAACATATGCATAACAGGAATAGCAGAAGCAGAATGATGTATAATAATCATGTTCACATATATAATCCATTTAATGTCAACTTCTAAGTTCTCCTGGAAGATAAGACAATTATCCTCACTGTAATTGTTTGTGAAATTTCTTCATAACTAGGTTATAAGCCTCACCAGAAAAGCAAGTTTGAAATCACACTTCATATGCAGCAATGTAGAGACCATGTGGACTCTCATTTTAAAGTACTTTCAGTAAGGTCTAAACAAGTGGTTGCAAACTCTCAGCACACATGCCATGGTTGATCTAGGCAATTGTTTGCTGTATTCTATCCCACCATACTGTGGCAGTACCTCATGATCCTTCTCAATACAACACACTAGGTAGTCATTTCCAATTTTCTGGAGTTAGCCCACAAAATACATTCTGTTTACCAATATTTCCTAAGGTGTTTATGTGGCAACTTCCTTCTACAAAACATTAATTTCTGAAAAACAAAAAAGGATTAATAGGGTCCCATGAGTTTGAAAACGCTGAATCAAAATTACACACATTCTTCTTTTAACTGTGAGACTTCATAATATTCATGATGTGTCTATTTTCTAAACTTTCTAAACCAGGAAGGGGCAGCTTGTGAAACAAGCATGCCCTGAAGCATACTTGGACAATATTATTCTAGAAATATTCATGGATACATTGTTTACGGGAAACTAGGAGTTTGGGAAGGGTGCCTAATGTTTTTAGGTTAGTGCTATAGTACAGGGATTTTGCAGATTTTTCTCCACCCAGGCCAGATGCTAAGTATTTTAGACTTTGCAACCCATAAAGTCTCTTTCACAGCTACTCATCTCTGCTGTTGCAGCGCAAAAGCAGCCATAGTCAATCCTGGGTGTGGCTGTATTCCAATAAAATTTTGTTTACAAAAAGAGGAATGTGGGTTGTAGTTTGCCAACCCCTGCTACAAAGAATAATAATGATGCTTTGTTGAAAAACATTTTTATTCAACAAATACCGAGTAGCTACTGTGTGTTTTTTGGTTCCGTAAATATTGTTGGATGCATGAATACAGTAGTCACCTCTTATACATGGGTTATATATCCCAGGGCCCCCAGTGAGTGCCTGAAACCACGGAGAGGACTGGACCCTGTATATGCTGTTTTTTCCATCTAATAACCAAGATGGCGATTGTGACTAGCAGGTGGGTAGCATAGTAGGTAGTGTATATAGCATGAATACATTGCACAAAAGGATAAGTCCCGTCCCAGAGGGACAGCATGAGATTTCTTCACACTACTCAAAATGGCATGCAATTTAAAACTTATAAATTTTTTACTTCTGGAATTTTCCATTTAATATTGTCAGACCAAGGGTGACCATTGGTAACCGAAACCACAGAAAACAAAACAACAGATAGAGGGGGGGCTACTGCAGATGAAATCAGTGTGTCGGGGAGAGACCAAGGTGTTTAAGGCACAGACACTGTACAAAGTCCTAAACCTTTACAGTTGACATTTACTTATGGTTTTTTTGCTTGGCTTTTTGTAAAACTATTATTTTTGCATCACCATTCCACAGAGGAGGGAACTGAGACTCAGACTTCCTTTGGTGGCCATGCCAGAGGTGGCATCAAGGAACACAGGATGCATAGGCACACCACCAGTATAGCTTTTCTAAGTTACTGATGCTTTGTGTGTCAGCTTGACATTGCCCAAACTTATGGTGTGAGTCCTACAAATATTAAAACCACAATAAAAAGATCACGAAAAAAACAACTAATTTGCTTTAGGTAATCCAACCCTGCAGTGTTTATGTGTTCCATTCTTGAGTTGTTCAAAGCAACTGATTACATCTTTTTCCCACATCCAGTTCTCTAGTCCTCGGCTAAACTTAAAACCTGGCCAGTAGCAAGGAAAGATAAAGGCACCCTCTGTTTTTTTCAATGTTTTGTTTTGAAACCCTGATGGAAAAGCTTTATTTAGATCTGGCTAGCCTTTATCCTGCAAAACTTCCCAAACAAAGGCTTCATGGCTTGGAGTTTTTCCAGGTCCTGTTGATTCCTGTAAATCAAGTTAACCCAAGGCAAGTTTGGGCTTTGTTCAAATCCCTACTACCCTCCACTTCCATGCCTGTTTCCCATGCCAGCTGTTTAGACTACAGCATTCTGATATCTGCAACCCACCGTTAGGTTAGGCTATGTTCTTGCCCAGCAAAAGAGAATCCCAAGATGACAAGTATTTAGCATCTGACAACTACAGAAGCAGGGAAAGGGAAGCGATTTATAATGAAAAGGAGATGGGTGCCCCCATGTTTACTTTCTCAAGCTCTGTTGCACCATCCCTTCTAATTGTAACCTTTTTGAGTAAGTACTAGAAATTAGCCTGTTTCTAACAAAAGAAGCCATTGAAGCCCCCCTTACCCACCCCCCTGCACCCCTATAGCACAATATACTAAATTGCTGATGTGAAACAATTAGCATTGCGGCCAGACATAGGGCTCCAATTTAAAAAAGTGCTGTGTCCCTTGAAATTCCTTAGGCTTGGCTGCCTTGCTGGCCACAGAACCAGCCACCGGAATGTTTAATAGCCCAAATGCTCTCTGCCTAAACCATTTGTTTCTCTTCCTAGAATTCCTATGGAAATTTTCTTATGAAACAGATCTAAGAGTCAGTATGTACAAAGAGCTTCCTTTTGAACAATTGTCTTCCACTCCCCTATTCCCAGCCAGATCGGATGAAAGCAAAAAATCTTCTCAGATTCCACAAGCAAAATTGGGCCTCATAAAGGCTTATAAGAGCTAAAAAAAAGTGGGAGCCATTCTTCAATTGGATCAAATGTCTGATCTAAATGAAAGCAAATTCCTAGGATTCCTCTTCAGCTGGCATCATTCAGTATAGCCAGTTCTCAAAGTATTGCTACAACATCCGCCAACAGGGATTGTCACCACTCATAAACATCTGTGGATTTAACTCACCCCAGAGCTCTGAAGACTGGGAAATCCAGCCATTTGTTATTTCTGCAGAACAAACTAACCTTGACCCAATAAGGGACAAAAACAAGGCAAAGCAAAATTAAATGACAAGACCTAGGTGTGACTGATGGAAGGCAGAATATAGAAACGGGGAGAGGATTTGTTCTTGGGAATGTGTAATATCCAGTAAAGAACACCTGACTGGCTTTAACAGCCATGTCTACTAAGCACAATTTTTTTACCTACTAAAAACTCTAGTTTGGTGGCTTATCCTGTGTTTGTTTTTTCCCTCCACATCAAAGAATAACACACTTGACCATGGCTTGTCACATGTGACTTGCATTAACTAGTCATTCAATCTGTAAACATGACACTCTAGAACTAGGTGTTTTCTGAGATCCTCCGGCACTACAATTCTATGAAAGATTTTTATCTTTAGAGTTTCAGAAAACGGTATGGCATCTTTTCCCTTCCCTAAGATTAAGAAAAAGAATTCATAGAAATTAAAGCAGACCCAGTTTCACCTATGAAGGAAAAATACATACCATTGTCTGATGGAGACACATACACCAGTTTGAGTTATTGGGGGCAAAACACACAAGACTTCATTTTTCCTCTTCCCACAGCACTGGCTTCTTGGGCATTTCACACGTCCTTCAGGGGATAACAAAGAATATAAGAAAAGTTAAGACTCAAATCAGTTTTCACACAGTATCTGTTAGGAATGCTAAAAATAAGCTAGGTAGCAAAGAGTAGTCATAATTAAGGTTGAAGTTTAACTGTGAATTTCAATTACCGTATTTCTATAAAATTTAATTTTTATATTTCAGCAATACTAAGACACATTTTTATTTTCACATTTAACATCTCTGAAATTGGAATGCAATTCTACATTCCAGGGAGTTGCATTTTACAATTCCTGTCATCGAGGCACCGTCATGATGTAGTTGTCATTGCTGAGGTATGTACAGCATTGGTCACACCTGTTCATAGGAATGTCATCATCTCTATTGAATGATGTACAACCTGGTTGCTATGGTTTGAATGTCCCCTGCAAAACTCATGTTGAAACTTAATGTGGCATATTGAGAGGTGGGGCCTTTAAGAGGTGATTGGACCATGAGCCAGCATGTTAGCACACTCAGTCCCCTCACCATGTGATGCCCTGCACCGCCACACGACTCTTCAGAGTCCTCACCAGCAAGAAGGCCCTCACCAGATACGGCCCCTCAATCTTGGCCTTCCCAGCCTCCATAACCTTAAGAAGTAAATTCCTTTTCTTTATAAACTACCCAGTTTCAGATATTCTGTTATAAGCAACAGAAAAGATACTAATATATCAGTACTACAGCATTGAATTTAACTATGATTTGACATTTAGATAAAAGATTTCAAGAAAGTAAAAAGACACAGAAAACAGAGCAGAGGGGTATAAATTTGACATAAGTGAAATAAACATTCTATTGTGTATATACAAAGACATAAAAACTGAGCAGAAAATATTCACTGTAGGAGAAGAATGACTATGCTTCCATATTTTCTTATAAAGGAATAACAAGTGCTTTACAGGAGCTAAAAAAGATGTTCACAAGAATATGATGTTAGGGTTTGTTACTGAGGTGTGTGCAAAATGATTGCCTATCACAAGGCAAGGAAGGCAACTGGGGACAGGACAAATTGCCACACCCCCTGGAAGAGCTGAGAGACATTTCAAAGCAGTAAGAGGTTGCTGTGATCAATTCATATAAAGTTGTTTTATTTTTTCTTCTCTTTCTTACTAATACATAAAATAATGGTAAGATTTGCAATTGATGGAATCTTAGGGTTGATGGGCTGTATCTTCAGCATCATAACTAACTGAATATGAAGTAGACCTTGATAAGAGATTGAAATAATATGTGGTGTTGTACTCATGACTCATCTATGGAAAGTCATCCTCTTTGTGACCTCCAGCCCCTCAACCCCTCAGTCAGCAAGACCACTGACTGCTCTTCCCAGCTAACTTCACATCCATGGCCACTCAGCCCAGGCCCCCCTAATTAGTCCTTTCACCATGTTCTTACCAACACCTTAAAGACCGGTTTTTTCCCCCATGATTTTCTATCTTGGTTAATGACTTCTGCATGTACCTCGTTACCCAGTTTCAAAAAGTAAAACCTTCTGGTTCATAGTAGATGCTCAATAAACGCCTGTTTCTTTTATCATATGCCTCCTCCCCAGCTCACAAATCCCCTCTTCTGGGCCTAACCACACTCCGTGATTTCACAGAGCTCATATAACCAGCTTTCTCCAACACTCATTACATTCACACTAAAGGTTCCCTGTTTTCAAAAAACTTTGCTTCCACCCTGACTTTCTAGCAACTTGGTAGCAACTAGAAAAGATCATTTTTAGTTTGCTTTTTGCCACTTTATTCAAACTGTCTTTTCTGTAAATAAATCTCAGGGTAAAAAATATATATATAATGGAATTCTACCTGTTTTTGGTTTTAATTCTGCTGAATGTCTCAGCAACACTTGATACTATTTAAAACTTCCTCCTTCCTGAAATTTTCTCCTTTCTGACTTCTGAAATGCCATTTTTTCTTGGTTTTCTTCCAAAGTTTATGAAAACTTCTTTGGTTACCCTTTCTGGAATCTTTGCCTCTATTCAGCCCTCAAAAGTAAAGTGCTCCATTGCATATACATTTCCGTATTATCTCATTCCAAATCCATATTTCCAATTCCAGCCTGAGCTCCAAACAGCATTTCAAACCATCTCCTGGAAATCCTCATCTAGGTGACTTACAAAGATCTCTGTCAACTATATCCCAAACTAAAATAAACTCCTCTATATTCTGACTGTTCTTATACACAAATACTCAGTTAAGAACACGATTATCTTCATACACCAAGTGAGAAACCTCAGCATCATCTTACACTCTTTCTTCTTCAACTCCAACTGTAAGTACCACCCAGTCTTGTTAAGTCAAATTCTGTGAGATCTATTGAATCAAATCCTTTTGATTTTTATTCATTTTTACAAATGTTTAGTGAACACCTTCTCTTGGGGATGGCTCTGTAAAGTGCCAGTGATAACCCTCTCCTCCTTCTAAGTTTGATTCTCAGAGATAGATCCATTCTTCAGATAGAAATTAGAGTATGTGCAACCCAAATGAGGCTCCATACACACAAATACACACATGCACATGCACACGGGCACACACACACACACACACATACACATGCAAAAACCCAAATTTGCAATCCATCTTAAAAGAGAGTCTGCAAAGAAATATGTCCAGTCAGCTACATGGGGAATTATGTGCTGTCTTGCAACCCTTGAGCCTAGAGAGCTTCTAGAAAACAGGCTCGGGATCATCAATCAGGTTGGCTTACATAATTAGCAATCAGGCTTGCTTACTTCGTGGAGGAGATCAGTAGAAGAACATATCCACCCTATAGATTAGCCTAAAACACAGCCCAGAAGAATATTAGCTGCTATGAGCGAATTCCACAATATCACAAATCAGATAAATAATTCTTATTTTGTGAAAAAGGTGGAGTATAAAATGAAGAGAGAGAATGTAATTGGAAGTGTTACTGTAATGCTATCTCACCTGATAAGTGGAGTGGAAGTCCTATATTCGTTTTCTGAGGCTGCTATAAAAAATTACAACTAGGCCAGGGCCAGTGGCTCACACTTGTAATCTCAGCACTTTGGGAGGCCAACGTAAGAGTATCCCTTGAGCCCAGAAGTTTGAGATCAGCCTGGGCAACATAGGGAGGCTCCAACTCTAAAAAAAAAAAAAACTACCAACTTGGTGGCTTGATGACTTAAACAATAGAAATTTATTCTCTCATATTCTTAGGGGCCAGAACTTTAAAATCAAGATGTTTAGGGGGTTGGTTTCTTCGGGAGGCTCTAAGGGCGAATCCATTCCTTACCCCTCTCCTGGTTTCTGACGGCTGCTGGCAATTGTTGGTGCCCTTTGGCTTACAGTTGTATAACTCTATTCTCTGACTCTATCTTAACATGTCCCTGGCCCCTGTGTCTCCCTGTATGCTCTATGTCAAATCTCCTTCTCCTTTCTGTTAGAAGAACACTAGTCTTTGGATTTAGAATCTATCCTAAGTGTAGGATACTATCACTTCATGATATTTAAGTAATTATATCTACAAAGACCTTATTTCCAAATAAAATCACATTTATAGGTATCAGAAGTTAAAACTTGGACATATCTTTACCTTTTCGGGGACACTAAACAATCTACTACAAGTCCTTATGAAAGCGTGAGCACAAGGATTCTCCCTCTACTTCTCTTTTATTCCAGGAACTGTACCAGGCACCAGAAACACAGAAATGAGTAAAATCAATGCAGTCTGTGTCCTCACACTCACTGTCCATTCTTCACTTTTCCTACTAATAATGCCTGACCAATTTAAATGGTCTCCTAATTTTTCTCCTGGTCTCAAGTCTAATTAGTGACAGATTTTAAAACATGCACATTAGTCAGAACAGGCAAGGTTCTGCTGCAACAAATAACCACTGTATTTCCATGTCTCTTTTTTTTTTTTTTTTTTTTGAGACAGTGTCTTTTTCTGTCACCCAGGCTGGAGTGCAGTGGCACGATCATAGCTCACTGTAACCTCAAACTCCTGGGCTCAAGCAATCCTCCCACCTCAGCCTGCCACACTCGGCTCATTTTTAAAATTTTTGATAGAGACAGAGTCTTGCTTTGTTGCCATGCTGGTCTCAAACTTCTGGATTCAGGCAATCCTCTTGCCTTGGCCTCCCAAAGTGCTGGGATTATAAGCATGAGCCACCACACCCAATCTTCTCAGTGTCATAAAGCAAAGAAGGCTTGTGTCTTCTTATTCATATCCCTGAAAGAATAGCTGAGTCTTCTCTATGTTTTTCTCATTCAAGGACCAAGTCTCATGCTTCCATAAAAGCTAAGGCAGAAAAACGAAAAATGACAAATCGAACAATGTCTCTTAAAGTTTCTACCCAGACATGGCACATGTCACTTGCACTCATTTCTCATTAGCATTGGTCCAAGTAAGTCATGTGACTTTGACTCACCTCAAAGGTATACAGAGAAGTATGTAGTCCTAATATAGGCTTAGAAGTGTGAAGAACTAGCAATATTCAGTGAATAGCTCTAATAACTACCATGATCATCCTAATGTTTCAATCTGTAATACACATGCCTTGCTTGCAGATTAAAGTATACACTCCTCAGCATGGCATTCCAGGCTTTATATAGAGATCCCAATCTCTATTTTCTGCTTCATTTCTGCCACTAATGCTCCAGCACTTTGACTACTCAAATTCCCTGCCATGCTGTGCCCTCTCTAGCCTCCAGGTGTTTGTTTACACTGTTCCCTCCACCGGGAACAACCTTTGTCCTTACTAATTTTCCAGGTTTCTTCTTAAAGGTCATTTCTTCTATGAAGCCTTTTCCTTAGGTAGAATTAATCCCTCCATCTGTTATCATATTTCATTTTTACATAACTCATTCCTTCACTAATTTATTTCCTCAAGAAGTAAACCACATGCCAGGAACTGTGCTGCAATAAAGAAAACAGCATAGCCGTAGTCCTCCAAAGCTTTTTGCCTAGTAGGGGAGAAAAGAAATGTAACAGGCAATTAAAATACAGAATTTCACATGCCACTTGAGGAGAAGGATGAGGTGCTATGGGAGCTCATTAGCCAAGAAAAGGCTTGGGGAGGAGAAAGATCCAGGTGAAGAAAAGCTTGTATAAAGGCCCATAGAGAGGAGAACTCATGATGAGTTTGGAGAACTGAAAATATGTGCTTAAATACAGGGGAAATGCATGGCACACACTGTAAAGTGAATTGAAGATGGCACCATGTCTTGAACTGGAGAACAAGACAGTCTCATTTACTACTTTCACAATTCATCAGAGTAATTGGTTCCTTATTTTGGCCTCTTTGATCTATCAGTTTCTGAGATCTGAGAGGGTATTTCTCTTTGTTGTTGTGTTGGTGGGCTTTGTTTTGTTTTGTTTTTCTGAGACATAGTCTTGCTCTGTCATCCAGGCTGGAGTACAGGGATGTATGATCACGGCTCACTGTAGCCTTGACCTCCCAGGCTCAAATGATCCTCCCACCTACCTCAGCCTTCTGAGCAGCTGGGACTACAGGCACGCGCCAACGCCCAGCTTGTTTTTTGTGTTTTTTCGTAAAGAAGGATTTTTGCCATGTTGCCCAGGCTGCTCTTGAACTCCTAGGCTCAAGCGATCCTGCTGCCTTGGCTTCTCAAAGTGCTGGAATTATAGGTGTGAGCAACAGCACCCAGCCTTCCTCTTCATTTTGTAATGCTACCGCCTATTATTATGCATTGTCTTGTTTCTTTATACTTTTTTTTGCTGAATATTCTATTCATATTCTACTAATATTAGTATTAATTTTATCAACTTTTAAAAAATTAATAAACCATTTTCTCTTTTCATTTTTAATCATTCCATAACATTTTAAGATGTGTTTATAAACACCACATAATTATATTTTACTTTTTAGTCCAGAGATTGTCCAATTCAATATTAGAAAAGTGAGTTTAACCTGTATCTACTTTGTATAATTATTAATATATTTACACTGGCCAGGTGCAGCAGTTCACTCCTGTAATCCCAGAACTTTGGGAGACCAAGATGGGTAGATCACATGCGACCAGCCTGGCCAACATGCCAAAACCCCATCCCTACTAAAAATACAAAAATCAGCCGGGCATGGTGGTGACTGCCTGTAATCCCAGCTACTGTGTGTATATATATATATATATATATATATGTGTGTGTGTGTGTATATATATATGTGTGTGTGTATATAGATATGTGTATATATATACACACACACACATGCGCTCACACCTTTACATTTTACCGCCACTTTGATTTTTGCCACCTTTACATTTTACTTTTTGCCATTCTTTTTTTCTTTTTGCTATTTTATTAAACAGATCAATTTTATAGACTTCTTTCTTTTCACTTTCCAGTGTAGAAGTTATGCATTTTGTGTTTATTTTAGCATACATTCTTACATGTATAATATGCTGACAAAGTGAAAGGTAATCAGTATTTCTTTTCTCTACGGAAAAAGACAAGGACCTTAGCAAACAGTAACTTCCTCCAAATTTCCTCTGCTTCAAGGTTTCCAAGTTACTGTGGAATATTTTATTTCTAGCTTCTTTTGAAACACAAAACACAAAAACAACTGTTCTTGTTATTTTATGGAAAATACTTTTTGAAATTGTGTTCAACATTTTATTGCTTCCTTTGTTCATCATTGCTTCTTGTACTTTATCACTCCACCCTGCAATCATTTATCTTCTCACTGAACCCCAGGGCTTTAGCCCCAGTCAAATAGATACTTTAACCCTAGGGCTGCTTAAAGAACCACCCTCATATATGGGTATCTGGGGTCCCTGAGTTGTAACCCAGCACTTTGGAGCGTCCCTCTGGCTCTTCATCTACAGTGCCTATCCCCAAGAGCCAAGGAATCCAGGAGCCCAAGAGGACACCCCACCAGAGCAGGTACCTCTGGTCTTCCTCTGAACCATGTTTCAAAGATCCAGGACCCAGGAATTTCCTCTGAATGGCAAATGTTAAGGGAAGGCTTTCAGTGTAGCTTCCTGGTCCACACAGACCTTTACATCCTGCTCATTGATACTAGTTCCTTCCACATTTCCAAAAAGTACAAATTTTGCTTTATGTTGAGCCAGATTTGTGTGAGTTAATATAGAATCTAATAATTCTGTATGTCTCAAGAGGAAGGGTTGTTAGGAGGAGGGGAAAGTAGATTTTATATGTACAAAATCCACTGCCTTAATCTTAATTTTACATATAATTAAATGTATGATTTAAGTGAAATAAAATTAATTGAATTACATTGGTTAATTTTACAATTAAATTGATTGAATTAAAATTATTAAATTATACATCAAGAAAATCCTCTAACTGTGGCCCAAATCGTACTGTGGACCAGATAAGTCTATGATCTGGGGCAAATTACTTTATTTTTCTGAGCTCCAATTTCTCCTTTTAAGAAAGACACTGATGTGGATTGCACATAGTGACTTCCTTCCAAAGAATACAGCATGGAAAAGAGGGAGAGGGCAGAAAAGCAACTCTGCAGCTAAGAAACGTGGCAAATCCTACCTGCACCAGGTGATCAAGGTTAACATCAAAAGGGATGTCATGATAATAATATGTGGAGTTGATATAATGTGATGGGAATAGTACTTTATAGTCTTCCTCACTGAAACTCAGTCTAAAAATGAGAAAAATATCAGACAGCCTCTAATGAGGAACATTCTACAAAATAGCTGATCAGTACTCTTCAAAACTGTCAAAGTCATCAAAAAAAGGCAAAGTCTGAGAAATGGCTACAATGTAGAGGAGCCTAAAAAGATATGACCAATAAATTCAATGTAATATCCTTCATGGGACCCTAGAACAGATAAACAACATTTGTTAAAAACAGAAACTCGGAATAAAATATAAACTTTAATTATTATATCAGCATTAGTTAATTAAGTGTAACAAATGTACTATACTAATGTAAGATGTTAGGCTGGGCATGGTGGCTCACATCTGTAATCCCAGCACTTTGGGAGGCTGAGGCAGGTGGATCATGAAGTCAGGAGTTCAAGACCAGCCTGGCCAAGATGGTGAAATCCCCGTCTCTGCTAAAAACACAAAAATTAGCCAGGCATGGTGGTGGACACCTGTAATCCCAGCTACTCGGGAGGCTGAGGCAGGAGAATTGCTTGAACCTGGGAGGCGGAGATTGCAGTGAGCAGAGATCACACCACTGCACTCCAGCCTGGGTGACAGAGCAAGACTTTGTCTAAAACAAAAAACAAAAAACAAAAAACTAATGTAAGATGTTAATAGGAGAAACTAGGTATAGGGTATATGGGAACTCCCTGTACTATCTTCATAATTTTTCAATGAATCTAAAGCTATTCTAAAATTAAAAGTCTATTCTTAAAAAATTTAAATGGGGAGATTCCATAAGATAATTTCTAGGAGAGTTTTTAGCCCCAACATTCTGAGATCTAAATGTAAAATAATGAATCTTCAAGTTTAGCAAGGAAAGAAAGAAAATCTCTTCTTAGAGGTAAGAAATTGGATCATGCAACCTCAAAAATAAGTGTATATCTATAAATATAATATTACCATTTCACATGAATTCATTTGTAACTTGTCTACCCAGCACTGTTTTCTGAACGTATCCATATTGATACACAGAGACATAATTCATTCATAGTTAACTGAAGTAGAGTAGTTCAATGTATTCTATAATGTGTTTATGCAGTCCCGCATGATGAACATTAATGTTCTTTCCAATTTTTCACCAATATAAACACAGCAATGAATTTGTCTAAACATGTTTGCTTGTATACATGAGCAAGAATTTCACAAGTGTATATATACAATTAGGGTAGCAAATATACAAAGCTTTTAGATACTGCCAATTTGACCTCCAAAGTATTTGTACCAACTTACTTTCCAACCAACAATATATTCCACAGTTTCATTTTCTCTACATATTCACTAACCCTTTGAATGGTATTTCATTTTTTAATTTCATTTTCCCTGAATACTAATAGAGTTTCCATTCAGATTTCTATTCTATGAGTTGGATATGATTAACATTTGTCCATTTTTTTCCTGGCTTGCTTTTATTTTCCTCAGTGATTTATAGAACACATATATATTCTTGATAGTAATCCTTTACTGGTCATACTTGTTACAAATATCTTGTTCAAGTTTTTGGTGAGTCTCTTGACTTTGCTTATGGTATCTTTTGTCACACAAAAAATTCCATTGCACTCTGGTATCAAAGTTTGTGTTTCCCTAAAATTCCTATGTTGAAATCTAGTCACTAATGCCATGCTGTTAGGAGCTGGGGCCTTTGGAAGGTAAGGACAAAGCAACAAGGCTCCATCTATGAACCAGGAAATGAGTCCCACCAGACATCAAATCTGCCAGCACCTTAATTTCAGACTTTCCAGTCTCCAGAACTGTGAGAAATAAATTTCTGTTGCTTGTTAGCTACCTAGTATACAGTAATTTTTATAGTAGCCTGAATGGACTACAACAAAATTGGTACCAAGAAGTGGGGTGCTTTTATAACAAATACCTAAAAATGTTGAAGTAGCTCTTGGACCTGGCTGATAGAGGCTGGAAGTGAGATTCACGCTAGAAAAAGCCTATGTTGGCATGAATGGACCATAAAGGGTAATTCTGGTGAGGGCTCAGAAGAGCTGTAGAGAAAGGCTGAATCTTCTTAGAGAATACCTACATGATCATGAACAGAATGGTAAAGGCTATTCTGATAAGGTCTCAGATGGAGATGAGGAATACGCTATTGGAAACTGGAAGAAAGGTGATCCTTGTCATAAAGTGGCAAATAACTTGTCTGAATTATATTATTGGCCTAGTGTTTTTGTGGAAGGTAGAACTTATGAGTAATGAAATGGCATATTTGGTTGAATAAACTTCTAAACAAAGTGTTGAAGGTCTGGCTTAGATTCTCTTGAATGTTTATAGTAAAACGTGAGAAAGGGGAAATGAATAAAGGATGGATTTTTAATCAATAAGGAAGCAGAACTTAAAGATTTGGAAAATTCTCAGCCTGTGTATACTGTAAAAAGTGAGAAATGTGTTGGGAGCTAACACCAAGGGTGTGGCCAAATGACCCTTTGATAAGGAAATTAGTATGGATTGGCCAGGTGTTACTCATCAAGACAATAGAAGAATGACCCTGAAGGCATTTCAGATTGGGGCTGCCACTCACAGGCCCAAGTGCAAGGACCTGGGGGAGAGAATGATTTCAAAGGAGGGGTGATTGGCACCCCTGGGACCTTGGCACCCTCTGCCCAGCCCTGCCTCAAGGTTCTGCTTCCTGCACTTTGTCACCATGCTCCTCCACTGCCCCAGGTGTGGCTCTCGTGGCCCTGATTCAATATGCACTACACCCAGCAGAGCTATAAGGGTCTGGCTCCCTCTACCTAAATTTCAAAGGATGACCTGGAGAGCCTGGAGCCCAGGCAGAAAGCAGCCATGAGGTGGGGCCACTGCAGGGAACCCACACTAGGGCAATTCCCAGTGGAGCCATGGGGGGCATGGCCACATTGAGACCAACAGTTAGAGCCACTGGCATATGATTATATCTGGGGAGAGCTGCAGGTTCAAGACCCAGGCAAGGAGCCACCATGGAGATGGGGCCTGCTCAAAGCCCCATTAAGAGAACTGCCATGGGAATGGGGCTCCTCAAAGCCATGAGGGCAAGGCCATGCCCCAGTGGGTTCAGAAAGGGGAACTTCAACCCCGCTAGGACTGGCAGGAAGAGCCTCGAGTCAAAGAAGATTATTTTCAAGCTTTAAGGTTTTGAATTGCTCAGGAACCATTACCCTCTTCTGCCCTTAAATAAGCATCCTAACTAGTGGAATGAGTCACAGAACCTGGAAATAGACGTGTGACAAAGATGGCATTACAAATGGAATGGAAATGTCTATCCTGTTCCTGTCCCACCATTGTGTTTGGAAGCACATAACATATTTGATTTCACAGGTTCACAGCTGGAGATAATTTGCCCCATGATGAGTCATACCTTCAGTCTCACCTATATCTGATTTGAATTATATTTAGATGATACTTTGGACTTAGATTTTAAAGTTGATGCTGGAATCAGGTAAAACTTTGGGGGCTACTGGGATGAATATACTTTTCATGTGAGATGGAGTTTATTTTGTTTCACGGTGTGAGGTAGGGATCTAATCACATTTTTTTCCATATGGAAAACCAATTTTTCTCACATTATTTATTGAATAATTTATCATTTACATGCTGATTTTTAATGCCATCTTTGTCACACATCATTTCCAGGTTCTCTGACTCATTCCACTAGTTAGGTTGAAGGGCAGATTTCTAGGTTTCAACCCAAGATTCTAACGCAATCCACCTAGAATGGAGTCCATAAATCTGCAATTTCCATAGTTCTGATGGATATTGGCCATAAACCTCACTTTAAGAAACATAATCCTTGGCTTTGGTAAACAAAAGAGAATGCCAGAGTCCAGGGAAGATGATATTCTTTAATACAGGGTAGCCTCCCCTTTATAACCTGTTCTTTTTCCAAGTGGTACCTGAAACCTTAACATCCACTATTCAACAGCCCATTTCAATGCAACTTGACTCACAGAAGTCTGACCACAGAGAGAAGCTAAGCCCTCATTCCTTCTAAACTTAGAAACTCATACTAAGCAGGTGGGTATATCTAAGTAGCTAACTTCCCCATGGTAATTAACAGATTTAACTTTTCCCTTGAAGCAGGAGTCTACCTACCACACACACCAGTGTAACATTATTTTTGTAGCCCTCAGCAAGATAATTACATTAGTACAACAAATGAACTCTCAGACTATGAGAGCAACACACACACACACATACACACAAAGTAACAAGGAGGGCAGAATTTGTTTAGAAAAATATTCTCTCACTGAAGCACACTCAGAAATTCAATGAATAGATAGAGTCCACTGGCTCTGACCTGCTAGTGGAAGAGCAGAGATGGTAGGAAAACTGAAAGAAAACCAAGGTAGAGTCACTGTTCTTCCTCCTCATTTTTTACTTCCAATGTTACCATTCTTTAAGTCTAAAACTCGCTACCTTTATGCTTCATATTAGCCACTTGTCTTCTGTAAACAGATAAAGTTAGCACCAAATAAAAAGAGCCTCTTGTGTTAGGTAGCAACAATAAAAATACTAAATTCTTAATTTAGAATCTGACTCTCCAAAATATCCAACACTTACACTTGTTATCGACTTTAAATCCAATTATTTTAGATAATATTACAGTAAATTATGACTGAAATCAACAAATTGACTCATTTCAAGGAATGTGAAACAACAGCCAGAAAATTTAGATTATCAATATAATCTATATAATAAAATATAATCAATAATTATATTGATTATAAAATATATTGATTATAAAATAAAATATAATCAATATAATAAAATCACACCTTCCCCTCACAAAAATAATTTTATGTTGGTAACTGACCCTCTTCCTGGGGTCAGTTCCTGGAAAAAACTGCACAGGAAGCCCCTAATCCTCATGATTCCTAATCCTGTTTATGTATCATCTATCCACTTGCATCTTTCCTTAACTTTTCTGGCATATGTTTTCAATATAGAGCTGCAACAAAGGAAAGCTATAATTAACAAATCTCTTCCTCTTAGCTATTAAAACAGGTGACTTATAGAAATGCAAGACATTACAAAAAGAAAGAATTTTCCAGTGCTCACAGAGCACAGCTTCCAGGAAGATGTTAGGATAAACATGCTTTCTTGTGGCCAGGACCCTGGGCCTGGAATCTGAGTAGATTATATGTTTCAGAGCCAGGTACTGTTTCTCATCTAGTATCTGTGTTCTGAGAACATTGCTTAAGCTGGAGGAAAATCACAGTATAATCCATGACCTTCCGGAAGGTAATCAGAAGGGATTCTACTCAAGTACAAATACTCATATCCTGTAGATGTACTGACTTCACTACCCAGTGACTAGTTCTCCAGGGTGTGAATTTTCCAGATCTGTAACTTCCTCTACACACAGACGAAATCAGTCTCATATGGAGGTCGATATGCTGCTGGAGGGCAAAAGTCCTCTAAAAGCCAACAAATCAGATATGTCAACAAAAATTCCAGATACACATTACTTTTAGAACTATAAGGTGCTGTGGGCAGATATTTAAAATCACATTGTCTCCCAAGAGACAATTTGTTTTAGACATAAGGACTGACCTGATTTTGAAATACTTTAGCAAGGGCTGAGGATCCTGAGGGTTAGAAGAAAACATGTGAGCAGCAGTGGAGCATGAGTTACGAAACAGTTCTGGGAATGTGGTCTTCCAGTATAACAAGGGCCACAGGAGTGGAACTTGGGCAGTTGGGAGGGGGCAGAGGTGTGACTAAGCAGAAATGGGGCACAGAAACACGGGAAGGTTTGTTGTCAAAGGCACTCATTTTCCAAGTCCTTCAACTCAGCTCAGCTTGTTATATGAACCTTAGCTCTAAACCATTTCACTACATGTTAGCATTTTTTCCTACTTGATAGGAAGGAAAAGTGAAATTGTGTGTGGTTAAAAAACTGAGAGATAGTGGGCTGGGTGCGGTGGCTCACGCCTGTAATCCCAGCACTTTGAGAGGCCGAGGTGGGCAGATTACCTAAGGTCAGGAGTTCAAGACCAGCCTGGCCAACTAGAAACCCCGTCTCCAGTAAAAATACAAAAATTAGCCGGGCGTGTAGCACATACCTGTAATCCCAGCTACTCAGGAGGCTGAGGCAGAAGAGTTACTTGAGCCTGAGAGACAGAGGTTGCAGTGAGCCGAGATCGTGCCACTGCACTCCAGCCTAGCCGACAGAGCGAGACTCTGTCTCAAAAAAAAAAAAAAAACCTGAGAGATAGTTAGAAATGAGATGCTTCTGATCCCTGTTAGTTTATGGTACAGAGGGGTTAGAATAGACAAATTATTAACTGAACTAAAGTTTCCTCTCACAAGAATGAAGAGCTAAAAACTATACATACTAGCAGCAGAACAGGGTAAAGCCACATGTTTTCCACGTTTGTTTGTTTTCCACATTTCATAGCTCCAGTCTGTACACAGCTGATTTGTTGAGTTATGGTGCTAGGGCAACTAAGAGCATGAATGCAAACCTCGTGATGTTCAAACCAAGTCAGTAAATGGGTATTGCCTGGCCTGAGGTCTCATTTTCTAGATACAAGTAACAGCAACAGAGTGTGTCGAAACTAGGGCAGGGTTTGCATCAGGTATCCTCAGTGGTTCCCAAAACTGGCATAATCTTAGAAGTTTGTTTTTTAAAAATCCACATTCCCTAATCCTTAACCCTCAAGACAACAACAACAAAAACACTACTAAATTAGAATTCACAGGAGTCTAGAAATCTAATTTTTTAGAAAACAAACCATCACGTGTTTCTGATGACCAGCCATGTTCAGGAGCCACAGCTGTTCTCATTTAATCCCCCCTGTAATTTCACAAAAGTTACTAATGGATCCACTTTATAGATGAGAAACCTGAGGCTCAGGAGGAAGCTGCTCCTAGGACCACCGCTAAGTAGAGAGCCTTAGCGGAATCAAACCTAGATTGGTCAGCAAAACAACCATACCTACAGCAAGTAACTGTATCAGACACTTTACCCTGACTCCACTTCACTTCCTCTAAGAACTATTTTACTTAAAAAACAACTGACTGCATGCACTCTTGAAAGAGTCAACAAGTTTTGTCATCTTTCTCTCCCATCGGAATTCTCTCATTCTCCTACCCATAGTGGGAGCTAAGGATGTTTCTTGCCTCCTAAGACTTGGAAGTCTTGCGTTCTCCCACATCAGAAACCTACCTGACCCAGGCGCTCCTCCCTCAGGAACTGGATGTTGACAATCAACATGGGCTGATGGGAGAAGGTGAACCTCCCACACCCACCCTCTTCCCTGGCAAGGGTCAATCTCATTATCCACTACTCAGCCACCTCCTGCAGCCCTCCATAAAGTTCATGCATTAAAAGGTTTTTGCTTACAAAGCAAACTGCTTGTATGAAATGATTCATTCTACCTCACAAAAAAATACATCTGAAATTATCAATCAGAGCTTCAATAAATGTAAAATTAGTAAAAAGGGTGGATAGTTTCATCAAAAAGCAAATAAACTTATGTTTTTGTTAGTCTGTGCAGCCTAATTGTGGCCAAATGTACATTTTCCTTCAAAATCCTTAAAATAATAAAACAAACTTGCAGAAAATAAAGAATGGCTGGGATTTCAGAGTAGGAATAACTGTAGCCAAAGGAATCATTGTAGTGGTATTTCAGGCATCATGGCGGGAGGACTTAATCACGGGCTCCAAACCTTTGCCCCAGTAACAGCCACATACTCTGCCCAATATGAAATCTGCCCTAGTCAGAAAAAGTTCTAGGGAAGACTGTGTAGATAGAATCATTAAGGTTAAAAAAAATCAATTTTGTTCAGATGTGTTCTCTGTTGAAGGGAAAGAGGGAAAGGAAGAACAGCCTCACTACATGCTATGAGATGGTCAAACTTTAGTGTTCACAAGAAACATCTGGAAAGCTTGTTATAACATAATATTCCCAGCTTCACAACTCCTGGAAACGCCAGTTCTCCTGTCTGAGCTGGGGCTTGGGATCCTGCATTTTCATCAAGCACCTCAGGCGATTCTGATGCAGGTTTCTTCCTTAAGTTGCTATTTAAAAAATTCTGACAATGTGGTAAGGTTCCAAGAACAGGACAATGAACGCTGGTCTACACTACACTGAGATCAAAGGTTGGTAAACTTTTTCAGTAAAGGGCCTAACAGTACATATTTTTGGACTGACAGTCTCTGTAGCAACTACTCATTTCTACCCCTGCAGCAGGAATTGCCCACAGTTAATAAGTATACAAGAATGAGCTTGGCTGTGTTCCAATAAGATTTGATTTATGGACACTGAAATTTAAATGTCATAGAATTTTCACCACATAAAATATTACTCTTCTTTTTCTTTCTTTTGTTATATTTAAAAACATAAAAATGATTCCTAGCTCAGAATTGCAGGCAGAGGTTTGCCAACTCGGATTTTTCAATTGTGATCATGAAGCCAGCTTTTCTATGGATGAACTTTAAAACTTAATTTTTCATATTTAGACTAATTATTTTGTCCCTCTTAGGAAAATTACAAAAACACATCTATAAAGATGTTTTCTGGTCCACCCTTTGCTGTATTTTCAGATATAACATGTTCACAGCTTGCTATGGCTGATAATTTTGGATGTCCTGTGGGGCACAGTTCCTCATTTAGAAATCACAGTTCAGTCAGTCATTCTCTAAATTTACCACATAAAAATAAAAAGTGTGCGTGCCCTTATCCACAACACCAGGGCCTACTGAAGCATCCTTTTATTAGTTTTTTTCTCAAATTGAAGATAAATAAGGGAAAAACAAAAAAACCTTTTCTCTTCCAAATGACTCAAATGGTCTAGCAAGTCTGTGAACAGCATTTTGCCATTTGTGAGCAAGGAACCAGGAATGGAGTTCCTTTATTTTTTTTCCCTCCATGACCTTTTGTTGAAAACTAGCTTAAATAGTGTCTGCTCACATTTCCAGCACACTGGGTTATAACAGTAATAATGTAATCATAACTAACAGTAATGATACAAATCTGCTGCCCTATTAAAGGTCTTTACCTCCAGGGGAATTTCTCAGGTTATTAAACATTGTTTAATAAGTATCTGGAAACCAAATAAGAATTCCAGAAGTAAGCTCCAACTCTGCATGATGAAATTAACAAACATTGTCATCATTGAATCTATGTATTGTGTTTATCTACTAGGAACAACAGAAAAAAACACTTGAACTAACTAAGCTCATTCCTTCTTACTGAAATGCTTCTCAACCAGACACATCCAAACATGACCTCATCTCTTAAGGAATGAAAACCTACTGTAGTTATCTAAAGCACTCAAGCCTCGATCTGTCACTTCATTACCTTCCCCTCCTCAAGACAAAGTAACCCACTTTAATGGCATGAGGATGTGTTGTCTCTTGATGAAGTTAGAGAACAGAGGAGTCATAAATCCTCTCTTCCCATCCCCGAGTCTAAACATCAGCTTAGAGGCTGCTTTGCAGTCATAGTCCATGAGATGGTGCGTCTGCCTTTCATCTTCTTGCCAGCACTCTCTTCCAGCCTCTGAAGATAATATATGGCATGCTGACTCAGGTGGAGAGGCAGGAATCACAGCAAAGACTTAAACCCTAGTCTGTGGATACATGAGAGCCCTCTGTGTTGCTCGTCAGCTGGCTGATTTGTGGACGACCACATTTTTGGAGCTCAACCAACTGCCTCACCTGATGGAAAATGCTTATGAACTTATAAATCACCTTTGAATATATTTTCTTGGTAGAAATAGAACAGATTGCTAGCTCCCAATTCCCTGAAATGTATATATCAGTGTATAGAACCAATTTAATGATTTGAGAGGACTGAGGACTAAAAACTGTATTAAAAGCTTCTATTAAAAAGAGACAATAGAGAAATGCTTTGTTTAGGGCTGGGAGTTTTGTGAGTAATATAGGAAATGCAAATAAAAATAATAGGTAAATGCAATTTTGTTTTAGTCACAAAAAAATTACAGACTGGAGTTAAACAGTGGGCCTATTATATTAGTGCCGTGGTTCCGAAACCTGGCTGCATATTAGAATCATCCAGGGAGCTTTAAAAAAAATTCCAGTGCTCAGGCTGCACCCAACACCAATTAAATCTGAATCTGGGGGGAAGGGAGTAAAGTCCAGGCCTCTATATTTTTTTTTAAAGCTCCTCAGGTAATTCCAGTGTGCAGCCAAGATGGAGAACCTCTGCCTTGGAGAATACAGTCCCTGCCCTTCTGAAGCTTACTCTTACAATATTTACTTGGTGGATTCTGTCCACCAAGTGTCTTCCTCACTTCCGTCAGTAACTTCTTTACAGCTGGAATCTGGAATTTTAAATTTATAGATAGAGATATAAATTCACATACAGGCCAGGCGCGGTGGCTCATGCCTGTAATGCTAGCACTTTGGGAGGCCAAAGCAGGAGTATCACTTGAGGTCAGGAGTTCAAGACCAGCCTGGCCAACACGGTGAAACCCCACTTCTACTAAAAATACAAAAATTAGCAGTGCATGGTGGCGGGTGCCTGTAATCCCAGCTACTTGGGAGGCTGAGGCAGGAGAATCACTTGAACCTGGGAGGTGGAGGTTGCAGCGAGCTGAGACTGCATCACCTCACTCCAGCCTGGGTGACAGAGCGAGACTCCATCTCAAAAATAATAACAATAATAATAAAATAAATAATAAATAAATTCACATACACACATATATAAAATACATGCACACATATTTTTATTTAACTTAGGCCCTGATTATTAGTATATAAAACAGAAAAACCAAGTGCCTTGGTAATTTACATATCTTCTCCAAATCTTTAAAGAACCAAGCTCTAAAAAACACACGTAAAGATATTTAAGTCATAAAACACACACACACACACACACACACACACACACTCTAATGACCTTCAGGAACCATAATCCAATAATATATTTAATAGGTAAGATCTCATTCATCAATATACAAAAAAAAAAAACAAACCAGAAAACAAAAAACTAACTTTGATTAAGACATGTGCCCTTAGTAAGGGCACTTACAATTAGAAAGGTTTATCGGTAGCACTTTGAGGTAGCATATTTTGTAAAGTCACAGGGCTGCTCTGCAGTTTCTCCTGGATACAAAGGTAGAGGCCATCAGCCTTTGCCCCTAGAAGAGGAAAGTGAAATTATCTGTACTCATTGCCAGTGTCAGCCTGAACACACTTTCTACCACCCACCCTTGGCCATCCCTCCTCTACACTTTATGCGTCGGGGGTTTAGAACAACGTAAAGGCATTTTGCTGCTTCTTTCCTCTTGGTACGGCAGCATCCCAGGCTGTGGAGCCAGTTGCCTCTTGCCGCATGTGATTCACCAGCAGGAGACGCATGCACCCTGTGGAAAGGGAAGCTGGGCATCACAGCATGCTTTTTAATTGGCTTTAACATTTCATTAAGTAAGAGTGACTCATTCCTGCAAGGCTTTAAAGAGGTTCATTTCTGAGTATTCTCTCCACGATTCTGACCCTAGAAAGCGCTCCTTTTTTTCCTCCCTGGGTGTAATCATTTTGGGGTATCATTAAGCTTTCTGGGATTTTCCTGGCAGGAGGGTGAACAGAAAAGCTTTAAAAAATCCACACAAAACAATAACAAAAAACCCAAGTGCAAGAGCAATACCAAGAACAGACTTCCTTTGTGCAAGTTAAAATGATACAAGTTTACGGTTCAGGAAAACAACCTACTTCTTAAAACAAAACAAAACAAAACAAAAAAGGAAATATTCAGTTGAGCTCTGCATTTTAAACACAAATATACAGTCAAAAGAGGCTAAGGATTAAAGCTGCAAAAATGGTCCCAACAGCCTCAGACTTTTGCTGCAGGAAAATTTTTTGCCCAATGGTCACAGATTAAAGGGATATCTAATCCCCAAGAGCCCTTTTGTCCCAATATACTTCCTGTTTGAAAGTTTAACCCTTACAAGTAATTGATATATAAGTGAATAAAAATAGCACATGTCCAGGCAAAAAAGGGCATGAGCTGGGCCTGAGTTGCCACTTAAAACTGTCATTCAATATCATAGAAAATCCTCAAAGGCTGCCCAGAAACAGGGCCCCAGGCACTGCTGAACATGCCAGCCACCAAGTCAACTGCCACCCGACCCAACTGAGCATTAAACTTCAAGTATCCAAGGTGCTACAATAGCTGGTCCTCTAAAGACCTCAGGCTGACTCTCAGAAGCCCCCACTCCACCCCACCCCATTATACAAAAAGTAAAAACATTGCTCATGGTCATTACAAAATACGGGGGTGGAAAGTGAGGAATAAGAGATCTGCTCTCTGAATACACCAGCCTTACAAATACAAACAACGTCTTTAACATTTTGTACAACTAGAAGGTGCATGAAGCTGGTATCCAAGCAATAATTTCAAACGCTTTCTTTTCTCCCCATTCTGTATCAAACTGGAAAATGGTTCCGTTGGGTTAACAGTGTCATTTTAAAATGCCATAAATTAAATAAGTTAGTTCACATTTTTTTTCCCCCAGCACTTAAGTTACAGTTAGTCTCTAATGTGCTTTTGAAGCTTGCTTTAGCAGTTCCAGGTCTCTTCTGCGGACAGTGGTGGCTCTGGGACAACCATATTCGTCCAGCTGCAAAGGTATGAATTGTTCAAGCACCCCAAGGCCCTGTCCAGCAGGACTGGTAAATAGCTTAGTCCATGATGGTTTAAAGTTTCCACTGAATCCCAAAAATATGGTACTCCCTAAAAAAAAAAAAAAAAAAGAAAAAGAAAAAAAATCAATTTTTATAGCTACATTCCAGCAAGAGAATATAGGAGGTGAGTCGGAGGTGAGCAAAACAAAGGCAGCTATTAAAAAACTCTGCACTTCCTTACATCAGCAAATGAACTCTCACCACCCACCTTTTGCCCCAGATAACAAACCACATCCCAACACACTTCCTCTCACATTGTGCCCTTATTTAGAAATCATCTTAATGATACCCACTCCAGCAAACAAGCTCATGAAAATGGTCTGGTAGCTGAATTGCACCATAAAATTACCTATGTTGCTGGCCCTGTAAGAACTTCATGAAATAATACAAATACAAACCTTTGTCATAAAGATGAGCTGGTTTGGCTAATCCCAGAGGTACTAGTAAGTGTGAAATGTTTAACTGCTTTATTTCTCCTCTTGTGCTCAACAGAACAATGGACCTGTATGTGAAATTTAGAAAGTCAGAGCCAATTTCAATCCTTCAGCATGAGTATCTTTCTACTGAGTATCTTTCTGAACTGACTGCTGAATAGAAATATTAGATAAAAGCAGAACTCCAAAAAGAAAAAAGTCTAGATGATTTTCCATCCAATTCCCACTCTTCCACCCCACCACCATGGGCTTCACACGTTGCTCTTACAAGGGGTAACGCATACATAAACCAAATCATTTACGTACGTTCACCTAGTGCAGGGCTTCCCAACCCCTGGGCCATGGATGGGTACCAGTAGATTAGGAACCAAGTTGCACAGCAGGAGGTGAGCAGGCGAGCGAAGCTTCATCTGTATTTACAGCCACCCCACAACACTTGCATTACAGCCTGAGCTCCGCCTCCTGTCAGGTCAGCTGTGGCATTCAACTCTCATAGGAGCAGAACCCTATTGGGAACTGCACATGTGAGGGATCTAGGTTGTGTGCTCCTGAGAATCTAATGCCCAATGATCTGTTGATCATCACCCCCAGATGGGACCATCTAGTTGCAGGAAAACAAGCTCAGGGCTCCCACTGACTTTACATTATGGTGAGCTGTGTAATTATTTCATTATATATTGCAATGTAATAATAATAGAAAAAAAGTGCACAGTAAATGTAATGTGCTTCAATCATCCTGAAACCATCCCCCTTCACCTCCAGTCCATGGAAAAATTATCTTCCATGAAACCAGTCCCTGATGTCAAAAAGGCTGGGGACTGCTGACCTAGTGGATGGTCTGGGGCACAGCTCTTTTAGGGAATAGTCTATTGTTGTTGTTGTTGTTTATAATTTGTATAAATTTGTGAGGCACAAGTGCAATTTCATTACATACATAGGATTGCATAGTGGTGAAGTCAGGGCACTTAGGGTATCCATCACCCAAATAATGTACACTGTGCCTATTCAGTAATTTCCTGTCATCCACCCCTCACCCTTCCTTCTCCATTGTCTATCAGGGAGTAAGTCTACTGTAACATGGGAGAATGGTTTTGTTTTGTTTCAAATACTCTATTTATTTAAGTTCTATTATCTATTTATTAAATAAATGGATAAACACAATTCTAAAAATAAATAAACGACTAAATGTGTTTTCCATGGTTTGAATTACCATTTTTGTCACATAGTAAGCCAACATACATACTTGGACCTATCTGTGGATTCTCCGTTCTTCTCTGATCTTGCTCTTCTCTGCCAAAACTATGCTGGCCTATGGCTTCACGGTCCATTTTAATATTTGATAAAAACAAGCCCTTGTATTACTGTAATTTGTTTATATTTTACTACTTTCTCATTTATTCTTCCAGATGAACTACAGTATCAACTGTCAAGTACAGTAGAAAAGTACCTTTTGGGACACTAATGGAAATGTGTCAAATTTATATTTTAACTAAGTAAATGTAATGCACTTGAATCATCCTGAAACCATCCCCCTCCACCTCCAGTCCATGGAAAAATTATCTTCCATGAAACTGGTCCATGAAATTAACATTTATTAATTTTCCATTCAGAAACAGAGTCTCTCCTTTTATTCAACTTCTGTTGCATATCCTTTAGCAATATATTTAATAATGTATTTATTTTCTGTGTGTGTGTGTGTGTGTGTGTGTGTGTGTGTACACATACAAACTCACTCTTTCAAAAACTTTAATCAGAAATGTTCTTGGCCAGCCGGGTGCAGTGGCTCATGCCTTTAATTTCAGCACTTTGGAAGGCTGAGATGAGAGGATCATTTGAGCCCAGGAGTTCAAGACCAGCCTGGGAAACACAGCAAAACTCCATCTCCACAAAAAATTAGAAAAATAATAAAATTAAAAACAAAAACAAAAACAAAAAATAACCAGCCAGGCTGGTGGTGTGCACGTGTAGTCCCAGCTACTTGGAAGGCTGAAGTAGGAGGGTCACTTGAGCCTGAGAGGTCAAGACTACATTGAGCTGTGGACACATCACTGCACTCCAGCCTGGGCAACTATTTTTGTTTTCTTTTGTTTTTTTAGAGATAGGGTCCTTGCTCTGTCACCCCAGCTGGAATGCAGTGATGCAAGTATAGTTTACTGCAGCCTCAAACTCTTGGGCTCAAGGGATCTTCCTGTCCTAGCCTCCTCAGTAGGTGAGACTACAGGTATGTGCCCACATACCCAGATAATTTTTAAATTTTTCATAGAGACAGGGTCTCATTACATTGCCCAGGCTAGTCTTGAACTCCCGGCCTCAAGCAATCGTCCCGCCATGGCCTCCCAAAGTGCTGGGATTATAGGCATGAGCCACTGTGCCTGAACTCTTGGCCGGTATTACTGAAACAAAAATTTTCAAGAACAAATCAGTGTTTAGGGGGCTCTGAGTAGCTCTTATTAATTAAAAGGTAACATTAGATTGATTTATTTTCAGAGTCATCAAGGATACCTACAGGAAGTTGAAATTTGTGTGGTATGTCTTAATGTGGGTCTCGATGGTTCTTAAGATTAAGTACCTTAAGTTTCATGCTGGTATGGGTTCTTTATGGTAGTCTTTCTTTCTTTCTTTTTTTTTTAGAGACAGAGTCGCGCTCTGTTGCTCAGGCTGGAGTTCAGTGGTACAATCTTGGCTCACTGCAAACTGCCTCCTAGGTTCAAGCAGTTCTCCTGCCTCAGCCTCCCGAGTAGCTGGGATTATAGGTGCCACCAACATGCCGGCTAGTTTTTTGTATTTTTAGTAGAGATGAGGTTTCACCATGTTGGCCAGGCTGGTCTCGAACTCCTGACCTCAGGTGATCCTCCTGCCTCAGACTCCCAAAGTGCTAGGATTACAGGTGTGAGCCACCGTGCCTGGCCTACTGTAGTCTTTCTAAAGCAGTGGTGACACAATCTAAAATTAGTGCAGCAGTCTAAGCACGGCTACCCTGCAGACCTGACCTTCTTCAATAGGTCAGAATTACCCATAAGATCATTTACAGGTCACCCCGCAACCCTATACACATAGACACGTGCTCAGTCTCCCTAGAAGTCACTGCCAGTTGCTCCATACCTTCTTAACACTTTGTTAAAATGTTACACACACACTGAATTTTTGCAAACGAAACCTATCTGCATAACCAGAGGCAGATCAAGAAACAGCATTACCAGTATCTTAAAAGCCTTTCTGTTAATGAGTTGGTTTTACCTCTTAAATCTATGGGGTACCTTGCAGGACTACCATGTTGTCCTAAATACTTGTGGTGAGATTTATGTCCTGGATTGTTTTAGGGGAAGTGAGTGCATGTATTTTCAACATTAGGAAAAATCTTTAAATCCTGCAAGAAAATTGAGGCTGTACAAGTGTCTTAAGCCAGAAGACAGAACGACATATATACATTTAATGTTACATCCAAATAATCCAGTGACTTCATAGAATTTATTGGCATCCGGTTCTATAAAGCATAAGCTATTGGAAAATGATTCTAAAGCTAGATAGGCCTTTAATTTGGGGAAAGCTTAAGTTCCTTCCTTAATGGTTCCATTAAATGAAAGCGGGTGTATAAATCAACATCTGCGGCAAAGGCAGAAAACACCCTGAGTTCATCTCCTTGCCTCCAGGCAGGGTCTCACCAACCCAGAAAAAGAAAGGTTTCTCTCCTGTGCAGCTTTCTTCAGAGACATCAAAGAAAACCAATCAGACTAGTGCTCTGTAAGAGCGATTGCACACTCAGCCACTTCAAAAATCAATTTACTCTTTTCCAGTCATTTCCAAGTGACCCAGGTGATGACTTCCTGTATCACAATCATAGTGCAATGCTGTCCAAGACCGTCAGTGCGACAGAGGGTTGCAAAGGTAAACTGCCTGGAAAATCACTTCAAAATAGTAATAAGCCTTCTGAGGGAGTTGTGGACAAAGTATATCAACTTAATACTAAAAAGTATAATGCTCTGATATTTGTTTTACGAAACTCAAAAAATAAATAAAATAAAAAGTGGGATAGTAATGTTCCAAATAATGAGCTCTTTTCCTCTGAAGAGCCTTCCCACCATTTTGCAAAATGTTGCAACATCCAAGTTCTGCCACAGGTAAGCAATGGCTTGTCAATGATAAGCAGCTTAGACGACATGGGCGTCAATCTGAGGTAGGAGAGGAATGAACACCTTGCATAGTGCCCTGAATGTCCAGAGAGTAAAAAATCGGACTTGACCAGGCATTATCAGTTTGGAGCACTCCACATCTTTAAGGTGGCTTTTCCCTGTTACAGCACAAGCTTGACCTACCTTGGAGGGATGCCTGTTTTTAAATACTCTTCAATGCGACTGACATCAGCAAGAGGAAAAACCGTTTTTTCCGTCAAGCGGAATGGAACGCTGCACGGATCCACAACAAGGAGGAGGACGCCTGCACTTCGGAAGGTAAAGTCAGTGCCATTGACCTGAGAATGCAAAAACATCTTCTGCTGTCATCATCATTTTGAGAACATCTGCAGGATGACTCATTTTTCCGGCCCTTTCCCTGTGTCTTCTAAACCCATGATTCAAAGTATATTTCCAAGATTCAAATTGTGTGCTTCACTTGCTTTTTCCTCACCATCTGAAATTGCGTCTGTGTTCCTAGGCACTGCCTATAGATTCTGCCTTGACTGATGTTTGCTGACTGGAGAACCTGCTTTGAGCAAGGCATGGTGGCCCCCACTCAGCTAAGCTGGGTGACTTCACTCTGAAGTGTTCAAGGTATTCCTTCTTACACACACTCTCACTGGGGTCAAAGCTTTATAAGTCAATGATAGATGGCTGCCTCTGTACTTCAGAGTAGATGGCTTATTGTCATATTGGTTCAGAAAAGAATACACACACACACATATAAATATGTATCATGCCTTGATCCACAGGAATTCCACGTTAGTTTATATTTGTAGTTTGCTACAAATAATAGCTCTCCTCTGAGATCAAAATGACAAAGTGATAATTTTACCGGAATTTAAGCTACAAAGTACTACTACATTTATTTCACAACTATTGTGAGCTAAATTTTCAAAGTCATCCTCTTTAAATCAGTGGTTTGTGACCTTTTCAAGAAAAAGGAACTCCAGATATTTCCAAATATCATTAATTTCTCAGCCAAAAATGAAGGAGCAAAACAAAACAACTAAGCACTAATTAAACCCATAGGCACTGTTCCTGTTTATAAGGTGTAAAATTATAAAGTATGCTAAAGGCTAACAAAGGAGAAATGTTCTTACCACTACACCTGTCCATGCCTGGGGAAATTATAATATTTAAATTTTACTTCTAATCACTTTTGATCTCACTGGTATTCAAAATGGCACTTTAAGGCCAGGTGTGGTGGCTTACGCCTGTAATCCAATCCCAGCACTTTGGGAGGTTGAGGTGGGTGAATCACCTGAGGTTAGGAGTTCATCCTGACCAACAAGGTGAAACTCCATCTCTACTTAGAGATACACCGGGCGTGGTGGTGCATGCCTGTGATCCCAGCTACTTGGGAGTGAGGCAGGAGAATCATTTGAACCCAGGAGGTGGAGGCTGCAGTGAGCGGAGATGGTGCCACTGCATTCCAGCCTGGGTGACAGAGTGAGACTCTGTCTCAGGAAAAAAAAAATAAATAAATAAAAAAGCCCTTTAGCTAATTGCACCAATCCAGTGAAAATAGTTCTGGAAGCATTTGAAGTAAATTTTATATGTGGAAAGACTAGATATGATTTCCTTATGTTTTTAAATCTCACTACTTAAAATTGAGGTACACTTAAGAAAAAAAATACCCAACAGTCCTCAACATATTCAGACTGCCCCCATGAAAAGTATCCCCAAAGCCTGTTGCTTAAAAAACCCACAATACTTTCCATGAAAACTAAAGCAAAGCAAGGTACTGTGGCCCATGCTTGTGATCTCAGCTACTTGGGAGGCTGAGGTAGAAGGGTCACCTGAGTCTAGGAGTTCAAGGTCAACCTGGGCAACATAGCAAGACACTGTCTTAAAAAAAAAGCCCCAAAGCAGCTGGGTGCAGTGGCTCATGCCTGTAATCCCAACACTCTGGGAGGCTGAGGAGGGTGGATCACCTGAGGTCAGGAGTTCAAGACCAGCCCCCTGGCCAACATGGTGAAACCCCATCTCTACTAAAAATAAAAAAATTAGCTGGGCATGGTGCCTAGCACCTGTAATCCCAGTTACTCGGGAGGCTGAGGCTGGAGAATCTCTTGAACCCAGAAGGCAGAGGTTGCAGTGAGCCAAGATCAAGCCACTGCACTTCAGCTTGGATGACAGAGCGAGACTCTATCTTAAAAAAAAAAAGAAAAAAAAAAACAACCAAAAACCCCTAATGCAATCCCAGATCTTAGGGAAGAGTTTTCAGATAATGAATGTAAAAAGCATTGGGGATAAATATGACTTTTCTAGAGTCCCAGGCACCCAGTGTGTAACAACAGAGTCAAACAATGTTTTCAGACTCTGGGGCATAGCCTGCCTGATATTTTTTTTTTTTTTTTTTTTTGGCAAAACGCTCTCCCCATCTCTCTCTCTCTCTCTCTCTACCCCCCATCTCTCTCTCTCTCTCTCTCTCTCTCTCTATTACCTAGTAAACTACTAGAACAGTGAGACTCAGCACCCACCTGCTTCCCTCATGCAACTCCCACCAGTTACCATGCTAACAGGCTGGGATCAGGTTCCTCATGCAGCTGACTGCATTCAGATGCTGAGCTAGCAAATTTCATGCCAATAAAATTACATCACGGGTGTATTACAAAATGCAGGACTGCTAAAGGAGGGGAACAAGCATAAACACAGACTTGAAGAAACTTTAACCTGGTGTGGTGGCTCACACCTGTAATCCCAGCACTTTGGAAGGCCAAGGCAGGAAGATCACTTGAGCCCAGGAGTTCAAGACTAGCCTGAGCAACACAGTGGGACTCCATCTCTATAAAAAATATTTTAAAACTTAACCAAGTGGGACTAAAGCATGTGCCTTTAGTCCCAGCTACGTGGGAGGATCAATTTAGCCTGGGAGGTGGAGGGTGCGGTGAGCCGAGATTGCGCCACTGCACTCTGGCCTGGGTGAAGAGGGAGACCCTGTCTCAAAAACAAACAAACAAACAAACGACAACAACAACAACAAAAACCAAGAGTCTTTGAGCTACAGTTACATAGGGATAGTCTTAATTCAGAGTTGGGAAGTAGAACTTAAGTTCCGGAGCTGGATGGTAGTGATGGTTGTACAACAATATGAATGGACTTCATGCCACTGAACTGCCCACTTGAGAATGGTTAAGATAGTAAAGTTTATGTGTACTTTATGACAATAAAAAAATTAAGAAAAAAAGTAAAATTTAATTTTCTCCACATATATGTGGATTTGTGATTATGTTGCCCACCACTAAAAAAACCAAGCCCCTAAAAAGACCACATGAGATGGCACAGGCCTTGGCTGAGTATTACCTGAAAGGCTGGATACCTGTCACCCAAAGAGTTCTTTGTATGGTGGCACCTAGGTCAACCTGATTTTGGACAGGCCACATGCTGAGACCTGGTTCTCAGTGGCTAACCTTGCTCTATGCGCAAATGCTAGTGTTGACACTGCAACTCATGTCTATACTTCCATCAAGCCACTTAGAAAAGACAACTAACACTTTGCATCTTCATTTTCCTCAACTGAAAAAATAGAGAAGAGGCAACCTTAAAATAAAAGGCCGAAGAGATGTTAAAACTTTCATTTCCCATATCTTAAACAATCTTGAAGCTTATTTTAAGTTTCAAAGAATAAGGTTAATGAATAAACACAATCTACTCAGGAAAAAAACATTTCTTAAATGTATTTAAAAACACAAATGTTTAGGAGTTATTTATACCTCTATTGTATTGCTTGCTACCAACAATAGAAAATGTGATGACAAACCAGTGACTATAGCCAGAAGTAATTCATGTCACCAAGATAGAAGATAAAAGCAAGAAGCTGTGACGGTGTACACATCTGCTTTGGTCTGAATGTCTGTGTCCTGCCAAATATTTCTATGTTGAAATCCTAATCTCCAAGGTAACAGTATTAGCAGGTAGAATCTTTGGGAAGTGATCAGGACACAACAGTGTAACCCCCATGAATGGGATCAGTGCTGTTATAAAAGAAGGCTGAGAGAGACCCCTGGACCGTTCTACCCTGTGAGGACGCAGTAAGAAGGCACCATCTATGAACCAGGCTCACCAGACACTCAATTTGCTGGTGCCTTGCCCTTGGACTTTCCAGCCTCCAGAACTGTGAGAAATAAATTTCTGTTGTTTATTTTTATTTATTTATTTATTTATTTATTTATTTATTTATTTTGGAGACAGAGTCTCACTCTGTTGCACAGGCTGGAGTGCAGTGGCGCGATCTCAGCTCACTGCAGTCTCCGCCTCCCGGGTTCAGGCCATTCTCCTGCCTCAGCCTCCCGAGTAGCTGGGACTACAGGCACCCACCCGCCTCTACGCCCAGCTAATTTTTTGTATTTTTAGTAGAGACAGCGTTTCACCATGTTAGCCAGGATGGTCTCGATCTAACCTTATGATCTGCCCACCTTGGCCTCCCAAAGTGCTGGGATCACAGGTGTGAGCCACCGCACCCAGCCAATTTCTGTTGTTTATAAGCTACCTAGTTTATGGCATTTTGTTATACCACCTAGAACAGACTAAGACAACACCAGATGGTACTTACAGAAATAACAGACGGGTCTCCACGCTGGGTTTCTGCTTTATCAGGTGACTGGAATTGCACAGGGAGGTAACTTTTATGAGGATCACTAGTAAACACCACCTAGACAGAGAAGAAGTTCCATATTTATGGCAACTCTTACCTTCCTCCAAAAGGTTCCCTCAATATAAAGTTAATTATAATTAAAGCCAGTGGTTGTATTTCTTATTCTGAACTTTTTGTACATATTTCATGACCTAGAATTCCATCTTGATATTCTTAACACAGTAAGTATATATTTGTTCCTCATTTTCTGGAGCAATCCCAGTTTCAAATAAATATTATTCTTGTTGTTCACTTCAGTTCCATAACTGATTAAATAAATGTGCTTTATATTTATATTTAAATCTTTGTAAACATTTTATGGAAAAACAGGCACAAATATTTTTTAAAGTTTTTTTCAGACCATGGTCCCTCAGTCACTCTAGGAATGAGGAAAGAAGTGTAGATAACAAGGACTACCCTGTTAAGAAACGTTTACTAACTTTGAACATGAGCAGGTCTCAACTCCTCTTTGTGACCTGCAAGGCATTCCATAAACAGAGTTGTGCCTTATAGACAGGCCCCTATTTTTCCCTGTGCTGTTACACTCAGGCAGGGCCTCACTTTCCCACAAGCACTCCACCCTCTTCCTTGCCACTCTGCCTTTGCTGATGCTGTTCCCTTCCCAGGAATGCCCTTCCCTTTTCCCTGTACTCCTCCAAATTACTCCCAGTCTCCAAAACCTGTCTCCTCCCTAAGGGCTCTCTTCTCATTCAAAAACACTTAACTCTCACACAATTTAACACTTAGAGGTACACTGTCCATATAAACCAATGTTAAAAACTTCCCTGCAAGAATAAACAATCAGCCGGGCATGGTAGTTCATGCCTGTAATCCCAGCGCTTTGGGGGGCTGAGATGGGTGGATCACCTTAGGTCCGGAGTTCAAGACCAGCCTGGTCAACATGGCGAACTCCAGCCTCTATTAAAAATACAAAAATCAGCCAGGCAGGTGGTACACATCTGTAGTTCCAGCTACTTGGGAGGCTGAGGCAGGAGAATTGCTTGAGCCTGGGCGATGAAGGTTGCAGTGAGCTGAGATCGTACCACTGCTCTCTAGCCTGGGCGACAGAGTGAGACTCCATCTCAAAAAAAACAAAAAACAAAAAATAAACAGTCAAAATGATCCCAAGTCGGAAGCTGGGTAGTTCTTTGAAGTCTCCAAGTTTGGGGTCAAAAATTCCTGTGAATTTTCCTATTTACTCCTAATATAAATGTGTTTGGTTTTGACAGTCAGAACAAAAATTAGGCCGGGCATGGTGGTTCACATCTGTAATCCCAACAATTTGGGAGGCCAAAGTGGGAGGATCGCTTGAGCCCAGGACTTTGAGACCAGCCTAGGCAACATAGTGAGACCCCGCCTCTATATTTAAGAAAAAAAAAATTACCCACAAATTTTCAAGTAAAAGCGATGTTCCCAGCGACTTCAACTACTTTGCAACTGCACAAAGTCAGTAATCAATACATTTTAAAAAAATGAATTCTGATCAATGCTTCATGCACAAAAGATAAAGAATGCTAAGTATGAGTGCATGGAATCATTTAACAACATAGGCCTAGAATATTTCCAATGTTAATTAAATTATTTTTATAAGTTATAATGTTTATTATAGATTATACAAAGTCTCTTCAGTATTGAAGGGTCTTAACAAATCCAGCTTGAGAATTAGGCTGGAAAATTTACTTCCCCACAAAGACTACCTCAAAATGTCACTTTAACAGTCAGATTATTATATCAGCCTGGCAAGGAATCATATAACTTTCATATACAGGGTTGTTTTTGTTGTTGTTGGTTTCTCTGGTTGGTTGATTTTTGATTTTACTTGTATGAGAGAG
The DNA here is from genome assembly GCF_000001405.40 of Homo sapiens. NCBI lineage: Eukaryota > Metazoa > Chordata > Mammalia > Primates > Hominidae > Homo > Homo sapiens. The sequence goes on from NC_000009.12 coordinate 71,696,422, forward strand.
TAGAGGTGGCTCAGAAATATGAGAGACTAAGACTGATAGTAGAGTTGCCATTAAAAAAAAAAAAAATTGGCCAGTGCAGAGGCTTACACCTGTAATCCCAGTACTTTGGGAAGCTGAGACGGACAGATCACTTGAGGTCAGGAGTTAGAGACTGGCCTGGGCGATATGGCAAAACCCCATCTCTAGTAAAAATACAAAAATTAGCCAGGTGTGGTCACATGCACCTGTAGTCCCAGCTTCTCAGGAGGCTGAGGGAGGAGAATCCCTTGAACCCGGGAGGCAAAGTTGCAGTGAGTCGAGATCATGCCACTGCACTCCAGCCTGGGCAACAGAGAGAGACTCCATCTCAACAACAACAACAAAAAGCAAAACAAAACAAAAAAAGACTTATACATTCTAGTGGGAAACATAAATCCACCTCTTTCTTCCTGGTCTTACTGCCATGAATGGATATAAATAATGAAAAAAAAAAGAGAGAGAAATATGGAACTTACTAGTGGAAGTAATTTTGTTTTCTTAAATCACTTAGAATAGGAAGAAATGAAAAGAAAGATTTAGTTTTCTCCATATTAATAGGCAGTATGCATATTTGTGGTAATTATTGCTTTTTAAAAAAAATTATCAGTGGAACTCAAATGTGAACATGTATCAGAATCAGCTGCAGGGCTGGTTAAAATAGATTGCCAGGCCGCAGCCCCACAGTTGCTGACTCAGTAGGATGAGGGTTGGGCCCAAGAATTCCCATTTTCCACAAGTTTCCAGGGGATCCTGATGCTGCTGGTCTGGGGGTCACACTTTGAGAACCATTTCCCTTAGCCCATATTTGTTTGTGTGAAATATAAATCAGGGCAGCTCCATCCTTTGTTTTTTCACTTGGAATTATCTGATTTCCTTTGGAACTCCTTCTGTATGCCCAATTTTAGTTCATATTTTGGGTTCACTTTCATTGCAGTGCTTTCTTGAGATCCAGTAGGCGGCCATCTAATCAAGAATGTTAGAAGAAGCATTTGCATTTCGAACCAAAGTCAGTCGGTACTTTTTTTTTAAATAAAAATGATAAAGTGATGTGATAGTCTGTACTTTAATTACAGATAGATATAATAGCATATGCTTCAAAAATAAGAGCGGATTTCCACCTTATAAAAAGGAAACAATTTTCATATTAGCTGTATTTTTGAAAAGAAATTTCACACTGTGCCAACAAAACAAAGTATCTTTTTTACATCACTGGCATGTAAATCCAACAGTCATATTGCAACAGAATCAAACATCTGAGAAAGAAAAAAAATGAGGACCAACATAGCAACCTCTAATTTTAAACTGTGGAAAATCTGCAGTTGTTCAAGGTAAACTGACGTATCACAGGGGCAAGTATCTCTGTCATAAATTTGAACTAGTTTGCTTCTTACGCGCTTCACATTTTAGCATGGGCCAAAATTCAGGAGATGCCATGCAATGTCCATAAATGGGCAATATAGATGTTTCAAAGAAAAGTGCTCCTATTGCAAAGAAACCCTCTGACTTTTTCTCCTTGGCCACAGACCACTTTTCATCCTTGTTTACCTGCCGAGTGCCACAGCCTTGACAGAGTCCAGTGAGCATGGCCGGCATCCGCTTGACCACTGACGGCTTTCTGTAGTACTGTGGGTATGCTTTGGCCATGCAGTTACTGATGTCCTTTGAGTCTGTGGCTGCTTGGATCTTGACTCTTTCACATCCCTGAGATGAACAGTAACTGTGGCCATGCCTGTGGCTTTTGGCTTTGAGATACAAAAACAGTAACCTGCACAAAACAGAAACCAATCCATGTAGTTAGACTTATTCTCAAAAACTTACAAAATTCCTCAAATCAGCTCATGGCCAAAAGGGATATTCCTCCAATTAGTAACTTTTCCTTAAAACATAAATTACAAAATGAATAGTTATTTCTGTTTTCTTTCTATCCTTCAAGGGTCCTAAGTCAAATGCAGTAACACTTTAGGAAATATGTCATACCCTGCTTCCATTGTTGTGGAACATATCAAAGCTGATTTCTGGTTTGAATTAGTTCGATAGGTAATTTGGGGGGATGAAATTTGGTTTGGCTCAAAAATTCCTTGGAACACTTTATACATAATGTGTTGAGTTTAGGATTTGGTAAATTAGTGTGGTTCATTCTTTTTGTTGTTCTCATTCATAAATCATTTTGGTTAAGGCATAAAACTGAAATAATAAAAACAGGAACTGTGACTTCTTTGGCTAAGGCCAAGATAAAGTCTCAAATCAATTCCTGTGATATTTATGAAGAGCAGATGGACCTGGGTTCCTTCGGTCTATATTAGGGCCAAAACCAGGCAAAATGAACAGTCCATCCCACCCATTCTGAATTATCTTCCCACTGCCAAGATGAATGAAAAAGTCTAACTTCCAGGTAGCAGTTCAATCTCTATCAGCAAACCCAGTCCTTCCAAACCAAAGGAAGTCAAGATTCTAAAAAAACTTGATCAAGTGTGATTGATTACTAGAAATGAAGAATTCACATTTTAATGAGGTCAATAAACAGTACAAAGTTGAGATTATGAGGTATAAATCAGCTCAAATGGCACACTGAGTATCTCTAGGACTGAGAGCATTAAAAAAAAAAAAAAAAAGGCAAAACCCGCAATTCGCAATTACTTTTGCACCAATCTAATAAAAAGAATTAGGACCTCAGGATTCTTGAAATACCCAGATCAGAAAGTATTTTCCATCTTTTTACACTTTTAATCATTAACTTGTCACCAGACTATCCTTCCAAATGTGGATATTCTTTTTATTCTTGTGGAAAATCAAGTGGGAATCTGGAAGTTCTATCATCTACAGAATGAAAGTCCAGGTAGTTGTTTAAGTCTAAACAAAAATTGAAAATCAATGCTGGGTGTGGTGGCAGCAGCTACTTGTGAGGCTGAGGTGGGAGGATCACTTGAGCCCAGGAGATCAAGGCTGTAGTGTACCACAACTATGCCTGTGAACTGCACTCCAGCCTGGGCAACATAGGGATACACCGTCTCTTAAAAAAAAAAAAAGAAAGAAAGAAAGAAAAAGAAAGAAAAATTAAAAATTGGAGACAATTATGACAATAAAACTTTTAAGCTGATAACACTGGCTGGTGGGGGACTGGGAGGGCAAATGAGTTGCATCTTATTTAAAGGCTAACCAGGCACTTAACAACTGAGCCCCGACTTCATTCCCCAAGTCAATCTCGCCACCCTTCTCCCCACTCTGAACTTCTTGCCTTTCCCCAAACACGCAATGCCATGTTCTACCATGCCCCCATGCATTTGTGCACACTGTCTCTTCTGTGTAAGACATCTCACCCACTTCTTTTTCCATCTCCTCCTAAGTGTTTCTCAAGAATTAGCTCCAGGATCACCCTCTCAGGATGTCACTGGTTACTCTAGGCTGAACTTCTGAGGCAATCCAAAAGCCACATTGAATATAGAACCGAGAGCATTCAACCTTTCCTTCTCTAATGACTTGATTTACATGCCCACATTCCTCAATGGACGGTGAGTTTGCAGAAGAAATGCATCTTCTTTCCATTGGTATCTTTATAGTGCATAGACAATGGCATATAGGAGGAATGTCTGCGTGAGGAGAAAGGCTGAAGGAACACGCTACCTGCTGGAAGAGTACAGGAGATGGAGCCTACCATAGCCCACAGGCTGAGAGACTGTAACTGGGTAAAAGCAGTCAAAACCAACAGGACCCCAGAAGAACAGGATTGGAATTAAAAAGTGGAAAGATGCAGCCTAGAGAAAGTTGAAAGCAAATATTCCACAGTTACACAGTGATTTTCAAAAACTCAAGGTCAACTTGTAAGATAGCCTAAGTCAGGAAGAGAAAAATGAGCTTTCACTGAAATATGAACTATATCACATGTAAATAATCATATGAAGAACATTATTATGGGAAAAAATTATTGTAATTTCCAACTGGGCCTACTGATTCTTCATCGACAAGGGATAATTTCTTTCTCTAAATTGCCTCAATACGTATACAGCAAACATCTTCACTCGATCCCTACTGCCAACTATAATTACGAGCCATTCTAGTTCCCCTCTAAACCTCTAATAGAGAAGATGTGCAGAGAATTACCCACATCAGCTGCTTCACTAAACAGCCGCGATGCTGAAGAACTAGCAATTTCACCATTAAAGAAAAATAGGAATAATTCTCATTCCCTGGTTTCACTGAATTACCCCGTGCTGGAGTCAAAATAGAATTTCCTCTCGGATTGCTTTCTTTGCAGTTCTTCCAGTGAATGCACAGGCTCATATTCTTCGATTTTGGATAATGAGCCATTCTGCCGCTGCAAATAGCCAAAGGTAACTTGAAAACTTGTGTTTGATGGATAGCAAAGGCCAACTCGAATCCAGTCATTCCTTTAAAGGAGAAACATAAAAAAATTAGTTTACACTTCAGCCATTATCTGTTAAGTACTATAGCGTATGCAGATAACTGTCCTTCATGTGCCACTTCTTCCACTTCCTGCCCATAGTTTTCTCCTCCTTAAATTTCTTCTGTGTGTTGGGCCACTGACAGTGGAAGTTCTGAACCATGGCATACTAACAAATCACCCACCTTCATCTGTTGCTCAAATTTCTCATATCAATAGATATACAGCAAAAATATGAGCCTTTACAATTTTTTTTGTTTTTGTTTTTTTGTTGTTGTTGTTTTTGAGATGGAGTCTTGCTCTTTCACTCAGGCTGGAGTGCAGTGGCGCGATCTCAGCTCACTGTGACCTCCGCCTCCCAGGTTCAAGCAATTGTCCTGCCTCAGCCTCTCGAGTAGCTGGGATTACAGGGGCACAACACCATGCACGGCTAATTTTTGTACTTTTAGTAGAGACAGGGTTTCACCATGTTGGCCAGGCCGGTCTCGAACTCCTGACCTCAAGTGATCCGCCCACCTCAGCCTCCCAGAGTGCTGGGATTACAGGCGTGAGCCACCGTGTCCAGCCCTAAAAATTCTTAGTTTTAAGAGGATTTGAAAGAACATTAAAAAGTTGGATAAAACAGACTTAGACACTCTAAAAAGATAAGAAAATTAAGTGAGATGGTTGGGTATAGGTGTACAAGATAGAAACACTAATATATGGAGAGTGGAACTGTACATTGGCAAAAGCATTCTAAATAATTTTTTTGTTTATAATTTTACCTTTTATAAATGTATTAGGATGAGTTCCTAGTGGGAAAATTGCTGTATGTAAAGGTATATGCCTTTTTAAAGCTTTTGATGCATATCACTAAATGGCCCTAGGATTTTCTTAGTGTCCTTAAATATAAAATTAATCCTTTTTAAAAATTAAAAACATTTCCACTTTTTATCATTTTCTCTCTTTTTTGACCTTTTTATTATAGTAAATATACCTAGGATAAAATTTACCATTTTAATAATTTTTAGCCATATGGTTCAGTGGCAATAAGTACATTCTCAATGTTGTTCAATCATCATCACTATTTCCCAAACTTTTTTGTCATTCTAAAAAATGTTTAAATAATATGTAACAAGGCCTTAAAATTCTTCACATAGCCAGGCGGAGTGGCTCATGCCTATAATCCTAGCACTTTGGGAGGCTGAGGTAGGTGGATTACTTGAGTGCATGAGTTCAAGACCAGCCCGGGCAACATGGCAAAACCACATCTGTATAAAAAGTACAAAAATTAGCTGGGTGTGGTGGCATACGCCTGTAGTCCCAGATACCTGGGAGGCTTAGGTAGGAGGATCAACTTAACCCAGGAGGCGGAGGTTGCAGTGAGCCAAGATTGCACCACTGCATTCTAGCCTGAGCAACAGAGCAAGATGTTGTCTCAAGGAAAAAAAAAAAAAAAAAAATATTGTTCACCTAGGTTTTCAAGTGAAAAAAATAACCCCACTAAAGAATAACTAGAAAATGCAGACAAAAGATAGAAAAGATGTTCTATGAATTATTGTCTATAATAGCAAAATGCGGGGGGGCGGGCAGGAGAAACAACCTAAATGTTCATGGGGTAAGGGGGGTAGTTAAAAAAATTATGGCACATCCATAGACACAAAGCAACTTGAGGTTAGAAAGAGGGGAATGTACTATATATGTTTACAATGCCTCGCTTTGGTTAGGAGAACTGTAGATTATTTCCATTTTCTTTATGTTTTTCTATATTTTCCTTATTTTGTTTAATGAATAAGTACTGCCTTCATAACTTCTAAAAGTGTTATTTTCAGAAATGGCATTATGACAAAATCTATGACTTCCCTATAATTATCTTAAATTGAGGGGTAAAAAATTGTCCATCTCTTCCTTTTGCCTCTGACCATCGTGTAATTTTTATAAACTTTCAGCTAATTAAACAAGTATGACTGAATTTCATGCCCATGTGGATTTTTGAAACTTCTAGGCTCAGCATTTTTTTTCACTTTAAAATGTCTTTACTTGCTCAGTATCTGATGGAAAGGTATGCACGGTACTTTACAAAACACTGCATATCATTTTATTGTCATACCTCACCTCCAATTCATAATTCTGCCCAATATAACTTATAGAGTACTGATCACCCTTTGACATTTCTCCATCCTCTCTGACAATTGTTTGTTTCTTTCATTGACTTCTCTGCAACTCACTGATGATATTAGATTGGGCTTTCAGAAATCTCACTCTGGCCACAATGTGGACTAAGGATTGGAGGTGGGGAGACTGAAGTGGGGACTGCTCCACGGAGCCAGGCAAGAGATGGTGAGGGCTTGACTTAGCCACAAACACTGTGGGTAGAAAGAAGTGGACAGATTTAGATGACTTTAGGAGCTGGAACCAACAGGGTGCAGTTACGGATAAGATGGAGTGATGAGGGAAAAGGAAGAGACAGGAATGAGTACTGGCCTTGGGGCTTGGTTGACTGTGTGGGTGGGGCACAGAGGGCCGCAGCAAGGATTACAGGAAAACAGTAACAGTAATGGTAACGGTTCAGCTCAGAGCACATGCCAGAGCCCTAACAATCTCAGAACAAGGGCATCTGCCACGATGTTCATCATCCTTGGAAGTGACTTTCTTAAAGCTGAATTCCTACATGCTCTAGTCCTTCTATGTTCATTTCAACTGGATGTTTTAAGAGTGTTCTGACAAGTCAGGGCTTGATGACGACTCAGGTGAACAAGCCATTTCAATTTTTCAGGTACATATCTCAGCAGTTTCATGGAGTCGCATGGGTTAATAGCCACATGTATCTAGATTGATAAGATACATGTGGTTTACCCCTCCCTTTCTAAATAGTCCCATCCCACCTTCCTTGTTTCACCTTCTGTCATTTCCCCTGACACACTCTATGTCCCCATCACACTGACTCCATCATTTCCCCCAGGAGAACTGGCCCTTTCCCAACACTGTGCTTTTATTAATATAACAAGACAGATTGCTTCATCAGAATCATTCCTCACTGCAGCCTGGCTCAACTCCCTTAGGCAGAATTATTTAATAGTTGCTCTATCATTTGTCCACTAAAAAATAGCTTTGGTTTATCTATCTACTTGAGTTTTTTCTACCTGTCTACTCTGAACTCCTAGAAGGCAAGTACTTCTCTCATTCACCTTTATGTCAACTTACACACAATAAACACTTGAATAAATCAATTATAAAAATAGCCCCTTGGATTGCCTGTGATTAGAACAGACAACTGAGAAATCAAGAAGGGATAAAATAGTGCTTTCAGGCAGGGCTAGCAAATACCTGGCCTTCATGTCCCAACTCTTTCACTTCTTGCCCCTAGCAGGCATTACTAATCCATCCCACTACTTTCTTCTGCCAAGTCTAAACTCAGCCTCAAAAATCTTTTAATTTTTCAGGTAAGCAAATGCTCCACTGGAAGAGCATAGAAAACTACTTCCCATCCCAGCTAGAGGGAATTAAAGCATTCAGCAGTATTAAAACCTATCGTTGAATGGCTTTATGTGCATAATAACTTGACCACAGAGAAAAAAAAAGCTTTTGAAATGACAGGATTCAATTTGTATAATCTCTTTAATTCCATCAACACAAAATATACAGCCTCCCCACAAGAGAAGCAAAGTATGTAAAATTGGCTTTCTTTGCTTGCTGCAAAGGAGACATAAGTTATTCTTTTTCTCCACTAAATTACTACTTGCTCAACTATTTGAAATAACAGTAACAGAAACATACTTGTTGAAGTTGACGAGGTATAGAAATGTAGTCCGTGGTGCCGGCCCATTCCAGTGGATGGTATAACCCTTCTCCAGCATGACGACAGGCTGGTACTGTGGAAAGGCAGCCTTCTGATTAATACCTCGGAGCACCATAGGGTTGGACGGATACTCATCTCGTGTAATGGTCATAGAAAGATTCTGAGTGCTCCATGTCTGTACATAGACCTTGAAAAAATAATCAAGAAGTAAAGGGAAGAGAATGAAAATTTAAACAGCTAAAAAGACATTTTCAGCACAAAGTCAAGTGTCTCAACTTTGAAAAGGGAGATTCTGTGATCTGTGCCAGACTAAGTGAGCAGCAGCCAACTACATCCTCAGCCACTTATAGTGCAGCCTACTTAAACTAGAAATGGTAAAAACAGACCATGTGCTCTGCTAGCCAAGATCTTCATCATCGCTTCCACCACTACAGGCCAGCTTATTCATCAGAATATAAAACTTCTGTGGCTTATACAGCTTGTCAAAGAAATCTCTCAGTCTAAAGAACACACATACAAAAAAAAATTAGTAAACTAATGTGAAAACTGATATCCTCTACTCAAATCTAAGAGACTTTCTTCTAAACCAAGAGATGAAAAACTTATATATCTTAGAGCTTTGGCTTTCAATTTTCCATGACCTACGTCAGCCCACAAAGCCATTTTTCACCCATTCAAAAAAAAAAAAAGTTATAAAGTACTGTGCAACAACTGAAAAAACATTAAACTGAGACAAATTTGAAAGTCCTGAATGTATTCCAGTGGCATTAGAGCTACTTGCCATGCCAAAACAAAGCCATCCCCAAATGTATCCTACAAAGGAAAATTCTTAGAACAAATCTCCTAAAACAAATCAGTATCTGTAACCAAATTCTCCAGAATATTAAAGCAGCAGCAGAATATTGACATTTAATCTACAATACTTCTGTATTTTTCCCTGTCATTTCTATAATCTTATCCATATTGACTCCTCAATTTTATGTCCTTTTTAACTACCTCAATTATTTAATACTCTACTGACACCGCTTAAAGATTTAAAATAGACAGGAAACATTTTTAAGACTATTGATTGTCTTCATTTAAATATATACTCAATATATAATATATATTAATTTAAACATACTTATGTTTAACATATATTTATATATATTTATGTATATGTATATTTACATGTACATTTATATATGTGTATGTGTGTGTGTATATATATATAGGAGGCTGTACATACACTGCATATCTGTCCCCTGCCTTAGTAACCTTAACTCTCCCTATATCACCATCTTTCTCCCTGAGTACCTTTATCCCTCAGGTCATTAAAAAGCACATATTCGGCCAGGCACAGTGGCTCATGCCTGTAATCCCAGCACTTTGGGAGGCCGAGGCAGGCAGATCCCTGGCGGTCAGGAGTTCGACACCAGCCTGACCAATATGGTGAAATCCCGTCTCTATTAAAAATACAAAAATTAGCCAGGTGTGGTGGCGGGTGCCTGTAATCCCAGCTACTTGGGAGGCTGAGGCAGGAGAATTGCTTGAACCTGGGAGGTGGAGGTTGCAGTGAGCCAAGATAGCACTATTGCACTCCAGCCTGGGTAACAAAAACAAAACTCCATCTCAAAAAAAAAGGAAAAAAAAAAAAAGCACATATTCCACTAAAAAATATTTACAAATAGTTAAATCATGATCATTCTATCTTGAGATCCAATTGCTCCCATTTTTGGCATACTACATCATTTCTAAGTAACAACAAATGGCTGCAGAACTGGGCTTCTGGCCCAAATTTCAAATTCTCAGGAGTAAATTTCTGGTCCATAGTCCTACGATTCCCAGTGCCCCCTGAGGAGTATTAGATGACTTATTTCTTTCTTCATCTATAAACAGAATTACTACTCTGATTTGTAATATAGATCAGGTTAATATTCTCAAATACATTAGATATTCAAAGGACTGAATGCTTTACTGAGTGAATGTTGAATAAATGAAAAATATGTCACATTGGTAGTTGCAATGGTAATTTATAAAAGAGCTACCATAACCACATATTTATAGAAACATTTATGATCACTTAAAAAATATAGTTTTCATTAGTGTGTACCTGCCACTTTAAGACAGACAGATAGATATACGCACACATGCATGAATACTCATGGCTGGCAAGAACTTTAGCCAAAACTGTAGCTACAAAAAGGCTAAAAGCTTATTATTTATTTATTTATTATTATTATTATTTTTGAGACAGAGTTTCGCTCTTGTTGCCCAGGCTGGAGTGCAATGGCATGATCTCAGCTCACTGCAAACTCTGCCCCTGGGTTCAAGCGATTCTCCTGCCTCAGTCCCCTCGAGTAGCTGGGATTACACGTGCCCACCACCACGCCTGGCTAATTTTTTCTATTTAGTAGAGATGAAGTTTCACCATGTTGGCCAGGCTGGGCTCGAACTCCAGACCGCAGGTGATCCACCTGCCTCAACCTCCCAAAGTGCTGGGATTACAGGCGTGAGCCACCATGCCCGGCCTTAGTTTTTATTTTCTAGTTTTGTTTCAGTTCTAGAACGTCTATAGTTCCTAGGCATTGATGGGTAAACTTAATTTGGGGAAGGCAATTCTGATTAAGAATAAGATAAATGGAAAAAATAAATCACATTATAAACCATGTTCCTTTCTTCTTTATTCTACTGTAGTTAATTCTCCATCCCTTCTGGGACTTAGGCAAGTATTACTTTTTTTTTTTAGTATTTTTTATTTTTGCTCATGGAAATGAGAAATCCCATAGCAATAAAGAAGCTAATACCCCCACTAAAATAAACCAGAAAGTCTCTCCCGTCTTTATTCCTCTTAAGCCCTTTGTTTAGTCTATAGATAAGGATCTAAACTTTTTAAGTTTTAAAATTTAAAAATCACCTGCTTTAATTGTCGTAATTCAAAGTCAGAAGAACAAAGAAGAATTCTGATCCAAGAAGCTCCAATTATTGAAAGCTCAGGTGGTGGAAACAACATGTAATTCAGGGGGCTCAGAGAAGTGACAAGCGGGAGCCCGAAAACACACCTTTGACCGGCAAAGTGAGCAGAGCTCAGTAGAGGGGAAATAGCACAGCACGGATCCTCCCCAGGAAGAGCCCATGCTACGAAAAGAACATCTAGCAGCAAATCAAAGAAAGGGGCTTCTTTCCTGTCTTTAGGGCTATCACAGCCCAATTCTATGTGGAAAATCCCTTGCTCTTCCTCTAATTCTCGTCTCCATGTTCTGATCATCTATTTCCTTTATCTCCTCTGACAGTCTATTATTAAATCCTGGCCGGGCGCGGTGGCTCACGCCTGTAATCCCAGCATTTTGGGAGGCCGAGGTGGGCGGATCATGAGGTCAGGAGATCAAGACCATCCTGGCTAACACGGTGAAACCCCGTCTCTATTAAAAATACAAAAAAACTAGCCGGGCATGGTGGCGGGCGCCTGTAGTCCAGCTGCTCAGGAGGCTGAGGCAGGAGAATGGCGTGAACCCAGGAGGCGGAGCTTGCAGTGAGCCAAGATTGCGCCACTGCACTCCAGCCTGGGCGACAGAGCAAGACTCCGTCTCAAAAATAAATAAATAAATAAAAATTCCTACCCTTTAATTGTCTGCATGGGGCAGAGGGTGGGGGCAGGATCTGCTCCTTTCAAAATCCTGGGCAGCTGGTACCTCCATTCTGCAATCTCTTCCATCCACCAAAATGTCACTATTAAAATCACCTTTGCAACTTACAGCTCTTCTCCTTAAATAATACTAAGAGCAGCGGGCACTGAACTATGTGCCAGGCCATATGCTAAATGCTTTACATATGTGCATGTACTCTATCTTCACAACAGCCTCCTATGAGAGTAACTACTATTATCCCCATTGTGTACCGACATAGAGAAGTTAATTAACTTTTCCAATGCATACTTTAGAAAATAACAAAGCCAGAATTCAAACCCAGGCAGTCTAGCTCTAGAATCTGTGCTCTTAACCATATATACTACGTTGCAAATTAGTTCATCCTCTTATACTAGGCATCAAGTTAATACACATTAATGCTTAATGTCTTCAAAGAGGTGTTTCTCAATGTATATCATCTCCTCCATATTTTCATAGACATTATATCATAATAGAATTAGGAAATTTTCCTTGGATTCCTTTCTTGTCCACTCACTCCTAATCTCCAGCTCTGTCCCCGGGAACATCTCACTTTTCATGTGACCTATTGATATTTTGCCTCAAAAGTCAGATTCTTTCATTAAGTAGAGATTACTGACCCCAAAAGCAAAGGATAAAAATCCCTCTTAGAGGGCATAGCTGTAGTGTGGCAAGAAAACCTAAGAGTCAAGAAACATGGGTTCTTGTCCCAACTACGTTCCAACCACATTTAACCCAGGGTAAATCAGCTCTCCTCTCTGGGACTCACTCTTTCACCTCTTAAACAGATCTGGAGTTGGGGAGTTTTAAGAAAAATTCCAGGAGTCCATGACTCCTAATGAATCGAAAGAAAGAAAAGAAAGGACAGGACAGGACAGGAAGATAGATCATACTTTGGAAAATGTCAATCACACTGAAAAGCTGAAGAGTACTTCTCACAGAAGCAGTGCTGGCAGGAGCTGGTAGGAACTTGAGCATTATACATTTGCTAAGCCTACCTGTGCATAGGTCCCACTGCAGATCACTGCATTCCACTTAGACACATTTACACAGCTTGGATGGCGGATCAGGTAGTTGTCCATTCTTCCCACATAAGCATCCTTGTATCCTGTCACAGAGCCATCAATGTCATGGAATATGGAGTTCTTATCACCATCCATCTCACAATCTTCAAACCAGGGACCAGGCTTTCCAAAAAAGACATTCAGAGAGACCTGACCACAGTGAAAAAGAAAGACATCACAAAGTGAGGGCTCCTGCTATCTCAGCATCCCCTGCAATGACTCAACTGCAGGTCCATTGTGATTGCTTTAAGGTTAGAGCAGTTCTGAGTTACAGTTCATAGTTGTCAGCTATGGCACTCAAGTCAGCCTGAGTTTTCTACTCAATTAATGACATGCTGGGGTTGGGGGGAATTTCCCAAAACCTTATGGTGTTTAATGGGCAAATGTTAAACTTCATCGTTATTTGTATTCTTCTTTTCCCCACTTAAAAACTATTACCTGTTCTCCAGACAAAACTCATTTGTGGGGAGAGAAAGCAGAAGAGTTGTGGGAAGGGAGACTATGCAGTCACATATATTTGTTAAAAATTATAAACTGTACATGTAAGATCTGTGCATTTCCCTACATGTAAATTATATCTCAATGAAATAAAAAATCTATGATAAGTTATCTTCAGAGCTAGTTAATCATTTTATCTCCAAATGCTTCAGTTACTTGTTCATATGACTCCCCCCACCAAAAAAATAAACAGATAAGTACAGGTCAAAACAGAAACACAATTTAAGTGTTGACTTAGTATGGCTGAGTTATTGATAAACTCACTAGAATCTGCTAAAAAGCTTATATTACTATCTCGCTCCTCAATACAGACCAAACTCAGCTCAACAATTTTCACATCCAGTAGAGTTTACTTAAAGCCTTTATCAAACACATAATGTACAGCTGCAAAATGGGCTGCAGGTGACATGTTTTACAGTCTTTAGCTGCTTCTTATTAGCAGTAAATTATATAATACCAACGCTATTGAAGTCAGGCAGATACCTCTCTTAAATGCTTTTATGCACTTTTTGCCCTGGTGTGTTTTTAAATCAACAGAACATCTAAATGATAAGCAACTCAATGGAAAACTGTGACGTCTAGGACAAGTAGCGGCAAGTTCTTGGTTCCACACTTCTCTTTTCCTACGTGGTTAAATCTGAGAAAAGCTTAGAGCATATTTTCCACCCTTTTAAGTAAAGCAAATTTTGCAAACCGCTCCTTTTATAAGCTTCAGAGCATCCCCACCATAGAAAACTCCAGACTGGATGAACTGCTGGACTTAAACAATATGGATTGTATTATGCTGTTATAACTTTAGGACAACAAATGCAGTATCTAACAAACTGCTTTTCAGTATGCCTATGCCAGTGATCACTAAACAGGATGCATAGAGAACTACGGGGAGGTCCACATGGGCAGTAAGGAAACAGCAAGTCTCCGTACTGGACAGGGGATCCAAGACTCATCCTGCTGATTTATGTGGGTGCCATCTACCAGCCTAGTCCTACCCATCCCCTGGAGTCACATGGCCTAAAAAAGAACCAGCCAACCAAGCTGACACTCCAATTTGTACTTGTGCCTCTGATCCACACCCAAGCTGTTGTAGAAAACCAGACATAGACTTTGATAAACCTATCAAGCTCTATTTTAAATTGGGCAACTATTAAGTTTGTGGGTGGATGTGAATGAAAGAATGATGACTTATTTCCCAGGTGTGGCTGCCTGTGGGAACAGGCAGCTAGATGTCCTGAGACTTCTCTGTCTTGTGCCATTGCCACCATGGAACTGGCAAGATGATGAAAGCCTGGGGGCATGTAATCAGATTGTCCTGTGAGTTATGGGTACAGGTAATACTGGTGAAATTGGTAAGAAAACCATTCCTGTGGGCTACTGTACTGTAAATGGTAATTTTTACAGTCTATCTGCAATCTTCATAAAAACCTTCCAACAGTTTATATCAGAAATAACCCAATTTCAGCCAGATGCAGTGGCTCACACCTACACTCCCAATACTTTGGGAGGCCAAGCTGAGAGGACCATTTGAGGCCAGGAGTTAAAGACCAGCCCAGGCTAATGAGGCCCTTTCTCTATTAAAAAAAAAAAAAAATTTTTTTTAAGTAGCCAGATGTGGTGGCATATGCTTGTATACCCAGCTACTTAGGGGGCTGAGGTGGGAGGATGGCTTGAGCCATCCATCCAATTGAGGTTGAAGCTGCAGTGAGCCATGACTTTGCCACCGTTCACATCAGTGCACTGCAGCCTGGGTGACAGGCTGAGACCCTGCCTCAAAGAAAAAAAAAAAGAAAAGAAAAAAGAAATAACCTAATTTGTATCACACTGCCACAGTATTCTGCTTTATTCACAACCTCTTATTCTCTAGTCCCCCAGAAGAATAGCCCTCAGACAAGTAAAATAGCAGGAAGGATCCAAATCTCTTAGTGGAAATGGGCTACCCAACCAGCGTATTTCACTGAATTTTCCAAAATCGTATGTCCTCTTGTTCCTATGAAACTCTACAACCTCTGTATCATCACTTGAAGTCATTTTCCCTATCAAGGTATGACTTGAATGTCAAACATACCCAGAGTCACACGGGACTTCTGTTCTCCCCTTGAACTCAATGGGAGAGAGTGCATGGAATTAGGAGCTGGCTCTGTGTGTATGTCTCCTCCCACTCGTACAGACTCGGTGCAAATCCTTTGCGTTTTTGTCTTTGGGAATGTGCTATCCCTCCTTTTTTCACCATAGTCACTACGTAAGAACTACAGAACATACTTACATGTGGACCAAACTTCACGAGGGAGATATTATTCCTGGGGGTTATCTGCCAGGAATTCTTCATGAGGAAGCCAATTGCACTGCTGTACCTATCTGGAGTTGGCACATATTTTTTGAAAGTGCTCCTTGTGAGATGAATGGGCCCATCATAAATCTGAAAGCCTCTAATTGGGAACGTCCTGTGGAAATACAAGATTTTGTTTAATGCATATGGGCTGTCCCCTTAGCAGCACTTCACTTACTTGTTTTATGAAGACAGCTAAATATCCGGTATGAACTAAGCAAAATTCTAGGATACAGTAGGAGCCAAAACAAGATACCTGATTGAATGAAACATATGCTGTAGTGGGAAAGACAAACAGAAAAACAAAGGATCATTTCAGAAAATAAGTGCTATAGAGACCATAAGACACAACATTATCATAGATTGGGTGGGGAGAAAGATGCTATTTTAGACAGAATGGAGGCCTCTCTGAAGAGGTGACTTTGTCTTCCTAGAATCAACTCAGTTAAGATCTTTTATTCGGAACCTCAGGTACTTTGGTCTTCGTTTCCAAATCTCCAACCATGAGAACAAAAGACAAGTCTGCGCTTAGGCAGAGAACCACCTCTCAAGCCACTAAATGATGGTACAAAGGTGAAATGATACATTTAAAAGTGTGAAAACATGAGCCCTCAAGGCTTACCATGTCAACAGGGTTAGCTAGACTGAGAATTTTGTTTTATTCATTTTCCCCCTTTCTGTTCAAACACAAACTCCTTAGCCTACTAATCATAAATCAATAACTGTAATTAATGTATAGGAACTGGTAATATTCTGAATTCCTTAAGTTCCTCTCCTATTAATTCTTTAATTGCATGGCAGAGGATCTCTATAGCAACTAATTATTCTACAACTAGGCAATGTTTTACAGCAAAAGCATATATGCTAGCAAGAAAACCAAATAGCCTAGTTTGAAAACCTTCGCATCATGATGTATTTAATATTTCTAAGTATACATCTCAACATGGTTCTCCCCTGTAGAAAAAGTTGTGATATGGTCTGGCTCTGTGTCCCCACCCAAATCACATCTTGTAGCTCCCATAATTCCCACGTGTTGTGGGAGGGACCCAGCGGGAGATGACTGAATCGGGGGCGGGTCTTCTCCGTGCTGTTCTCATGACAGTGAATGGGTCTCACGATATCCGATGGTTTTAAAAACAGGAGTTTCCCTGTTTTAAAAAGAGAGCACAAGCTCTCTTTTTGCCTGCTGCCATCCAGGTAAGATGTGACTTGCTCTCATTGCCTTCTGTCATGATTGTGAGGCCTCCCCAGCCATGTAGAACTGCAAGTCCAATAAACCTCTTTCTTTTGATTTTAAATTGCCCAGTCTCAGGTATGTCTTTATCAGCAGTGTGAAAACGGACTAATACAAGTTGTAAAGATATGATCATATTAAAGCTGTTTCCATTAAATAATGAGAAAGTTTGATTTTGGAAAATCCTCCTTACCAAACAGCAAAAAGCATTTTGAAATAAAACTGGAGGTCAATATAAAATACAGAGTGAAATTGATTTGGCGACCATCACATTGCAGCCCATATGACAACCAATACAGCTTTTTAAAAAATCTACACCTTAGAAACAGCAGCAAGAGCCTAATTGTGAAGAGCACAGCACTGAAGACAACCTAACTGGGTTTGAATTCCACCTTCTCTACCTTTAGTAAGATACTCATTTGTAAAACAGGATGCTGGCAGAACCTATCTCATTGAGCTTTGTGAGGATTAAATAAATATATTTACAACAGGGCCTGACATATCATAAGCATTTAATACATGTTAGCAATTAAAAAATCCATGAAGTTCTTTTCCCAATGGCTTCTATGGGCTAACACGAGTTCCACACAGAGTGTAGCACATAGCAGTGCTCGATATTCCACAACAACAAGCACAAGGGGTGAGAAGCCAAGCATGGTGACCTTTTTCCAGAAAATAGTACAGCTCTCCCCCGAGTCCTCACTCTGCGCCACCACTCCCCAAAGCTACAGTCTGTATGTCCCATTCCTCTGCCTTGTTCTAGCCCAACATTCTGCGACAGCACTCCTCTAGGGGAGTTGATTCTTAAAGAATTATGACATGGGCTCAGATGTGAGGCCTAAAAACACTGTTGAATATTTTTCTACCTGGTTTTCTCACAAGTAAAATGAGAAGTCCAAACTGTGCCTCAGAACTGAGATATGAATTATTAGTTAATAGTTTCCTTAAAGCTTTGAAGACGTGCTAAGTACAATTTTAATGACTCTGTGATGATGATGACAGAAAACATGCCAAGAGCCTACCCCATTCCCTTCAACATCTAAACTGCCATTAATTAGACAGCTGTGGTGGGGTTTTGAGTTAACTTTGGCATCAATCAACTCTCATTTCCTAGGACTCTTTTCAGTAGGTAATTTCCTTTTTCCAGTAGTTATTTCTGAAAACCAACAACACACATTGAGGAAAAACTGACCTAATGTCATAGTTTAGGGTTTGGCAACTTTCTATGGCTCAAGAAGGAAGAAAAAAAACAGTTTATATAAGGTCTTATACAAGGAATGAGAAACAAGACAAGTTTCTTTGTTATAAAATTGATAATTAAATCTATGAAATGTTTAATAACTAATGCTCCAAAATTTCAGGAGGATAATACACATAATAATTATAATAGTAGTAGCAGTAGCAGCTGTAGCAGTAGTAGTAATAAATGATAAAATAGGAAAAGAGTCTCATGGTAGGAACCAATCCATCCAGGATTATCACAGAAACTTCCCTGAGGGTTAGGTTTTCCTTTATTGCTTAAATTTAACACTCCACAGCTAAAGCAATGCTTACCTGTTCCTGGGTAATGTTCGAGGCTTCTGGTCTATTCCTCCAGTGCCTACATACTTGTTCTGACCACCCTGAAAGCCGTAATTCCTGCTCTCCCCAACAAAGAGAGATTCAGATACCTCTTGGCTGGAACCTTCATCACTTGGGAAGCTTCCATCACTGTTAAAATGCGAACAATCATTAGCTACATTTCTCCAGAAAATTTAAATGTATTCCCAAATGTAGGCATGCTATAACTGAAAAGCTAAAAGTTTTAAAAGAAGTCAATAGCTTTTCTAATACACATTCACAAGTCTTCAGAAACTGCTTTTTTTTTTTTTTTTTTTTTTTGAGACAGGTTCTTGCTCTGTCACCCAATGCTCGAGTACAATGGCAAGAACATGGTTCACTGCAGCCTTGACCTGCTGGGCTCAAACAATCCT
This sequence comes from Homo sapiens, assembly GCF_000001405.40. Taxonomy (NCBI): domain Eukaryota; kingdom Metazoa; phylum Chordata; class Mammalia; order Primates; family Hominidae; genus Homo; species Homo sapiens. Next base: position 71,715,353 of record NC_000009.12, read on the forward strand.
CCCACCTCAGCCTTCCAAGTAGCTGGGACCACACATGCGTGCCACCATGCCCAGATAATTTTTTAAAATTTTTGTGGAGATGGGGTCTTGCTATGTGGCCCATGCTGGTCTTAAACTCTTGGCCTCAAGTGATCATCCTGTTTTAGCCTCCCAAAATGCTGGGATTATAGTTATGAGCCATCACACTCAGCCTTGAAATTGCTTTTAAACTATAAAAATACCTATACCTACTTATAGCCTAATATATATATACATACATATATCCCTCTTAAGATATATATATATATATATATATACTTTTTTTTTTTTAAAGAGACAGGGTCTCATTCTGTCAGCCAGGCTGGAGCAGCAACCTTGAACTCGAGCTCACAGGATACTGCCATCTCAGCCTCCAGAGTAGCTAAGATTACAGGCATGCCACTATGCCTGGTTAAGGTTAATTTTTTTATTTTTGGTAGAGACAGGGTCTTGCTATGTTGCTCAGGCTGGTCTCAAACTCCTGGCTTTGAGCGATCCTCCTGTCTTGGCCTCCCAAACTGCTGAGATTACAGGTGTGAGCCGGTATGTCCAGCCCTCATATGAATTAATAAATGATTTACAAATTATATATAAACAAACTTTAATTTAGCAGCAATAATTGATTGCTCTAGTCTCAAGCAATAACACTGAGAATGAGGAGAACAAACTTGTCCTGAATATAAGAATTAAATGACAAGCATATTTAACATGACAACTAGAATGACTATTATCTGTAGAAAAACATACAGAACAAAAAGTTTAGTTCTTAAAGAACTAAACTTGCTAAATTAGAGCAGCTTCTAAGAAAGCAAATATTAGTTTTTTAATTTTCTCCCTACTTTTACTCCCTTCCTCTTTTTTCCCCTACTTTTTAAAAACTTTAGTCTAAATCGCAAGTGTTTTCTTCTAAGCAGAAATTATCCTTCTGTGAAATTCCAGCTATATTAACCTAGTACTTTGCTATGAATTCAATTAATCCAGAAAAAAAAAAATGTATTTTTGGCCCTCTAGTGGCATCAGGAAGAGGTTGCTAATTTTTTTTATGTTAAAAAAAATAATAAAACATTCCTGTGTATTATCAGAAAAAAAAATCAAGGGTTATTTTAAAGCTTTAAAATAAGTAAGTATTTTTAAGCAATTACAAACCTGGCAAAGGTCAGTCCTATTCCATTATCTGCAAATCTGTAAAAGAAGAGAGAATGAAGAACATTTTAATTTACCATATTATGTAAAAAGAGGTAATTCTCTCAATATTTAATTATCATGAAATCCAAAAGGTCCCAATATTTACTCTCTACATGACCACACAAAAATTTGATTTCACAATAACTAGGAGCACAGAATCTGCAGTGAGGGCACCCAGTTCAAATCCGGGCTTTGTCAATTATTAGCTGTGTGACTTTTGGCAACCTACTCAACCTCTATCTCTCACTTTTCCCATCTGTAAGTTGAAATGAAAATATAACCTTCCTCATAGGATTCTTGAGAGTATTAAACATACTAAATAATTTCTAGTGTTGGCAAGGTATGGTGGCTCATGCCTGTAATCCCAACACTTTGGGAGGCTGAGGCAGGAGAATCGCTTGAGCCCAGGAAGTCAAGACCAGCATGGGCAACACAGGGACACTCTGTCTCCACAAAAAATTTAAAAGTTAGCAGGGCGTTGTGGCACATGCCTGTGGTCCCAGCTACTCGGGAGGCTAAGGTGAGAGGTTTGCTTGAGCATAGAAAGTTGAGGCTGCAGTGAGCTATGATTGCACCACTGAACTCTAGCCTGGGTGACAGGGCAAGACCCTGTCTCAAAAAATAATAATTTCTAATGTTAGGAACAGTGCCTGGCAAACAGTAAGCAGTGTATCAAAGTATTAGCTATAATTATTATTTTTATAACTATGTTTTAAAAACAACTAGACTGTGGTATATGATTCTGAAGCCATTTCTACAGATTCAACACAGTATCAGTTTTTTGGATGAAAAAACTCAGAAATGATGTGAAATGCCAAGAAGCTAATTTCAGTGCCAGAAAAAAAAATACACACACACATTTTTCTAGACTGTTGAACACTAAATCTTAGCTCAACATGCATGAGACCACTCCTAAAATTATACAAATGGGAAAAAAAGTGAGATACTTACTGCCTCAAGTCATGTTAAGATATAAGTCAACAGATTTACTGAGTTGGAATTATAAAGCTTTTATTTTGAATGGCAATAGAAGAGCATCAGAAAAACTAAGGAGTTTTCAAGAGGAAGGGAAAAGATCCAGGTAGTTTTATTTAGCGCTCTGACATAGACCATGCTTGTTATATAAAGTTAAATTCCCGGTTTCTGTTCAATTTCATCAAAAACTCTCATGTCACCGGATAAGTTCTGTTCCAATAAAAGCACCAGAATGAGACAACTTCAAACATTTGTGGTCTTTTAACTCTAGCATACTTCCTCAGAGCTTGTCCTGTCTTAATAATAATAATATGATTCCAAGAATCATCACTGTGCTTTCATGCTACTGGCTTTAAAAAAAATCTGAAAAATAATACATCAGTGTCATCATATAATAACTTGGTAGAGAATACCCACGCTGAATTTTGAACGATAATATCTCCTCCTCTGACCCAAGCTCCATTATCATTATTTTTAAAAGCAATGAGCCTGTCAATTAGAGCAGCAACACGTGGTTTTTCGGGGTTTGCATCCTGATGAGGTCGAAATCTAGGGGTTAAAAAAAGAATTTTAAAAAATATAACATAAAAGCCATAGGAATTAGCTAGTTATAAGTTTAAGTGTCAAGAAGCAGAATTTAAATTTGACCAAAACAAATGAAAAATTCTTAAGATACAACTTACTTACATTTTAAACATTCAAAGAAGAAATTACATTTATTTAACCACAAGTTTCCAGAGAACCAACTGCTTTTACATCTTCTTAGTTTGTTTTTGAAAAATCAATTAAAATGGACACTGCAGAATATTATTGCATAAAAATCATTTCCAAAAAAACCCAGATCAGGAAGTATGTCATGTGTGTTTACAAATCCTTAAGGTACATGTTACCAATATAAACTTATTTAATAAATTAATAATATATTTCAACATACATATATGTGAACTAGAGTATAATTTGAGTTGTATGCTGGTTAAATGTTTAGATATAGACAAAACTGGGTTCAATATCATTAAAATGCCTAAATTTAAAATAGACTGTATTTTTTAATATTTTCTTTTTTTGAGACAGAGTCTCACTCTGTCACCCAGGCTGGAGTGCAGTGGCGCAATCTTGGCTCACTGCAACCTCTGCTTCCCGGGTTCAAGCATTTCTCCTGCTTCAGCCTTCTGAGTAGCTGGGATTACAGGCATCCATCGCCACACCCACCTAAGTTTTGTATTTTTAGCAGAGACAAGGTCTCCCCATGTTGGCCAGGCTGGTCTCGAACTCCTGACCTCAGGTGATCCACCCACCTCAGCCTCCCAAAGTGCTGAGATTATAAGTGTGAGCCACCGCACCCAGCCAGACTGTATTTAATTAACATATTTATTATAAATACTGAACTTCACCTTTTCTTTTTCTTCTCTCTAAAACAGTTATAAGGACCTTACTGAAAAGGTAAAAACAGTTGGTGTCAAAAACTGTCCACTATAACAACTCAAATAGTCAAACGGCCCCATGATGCTCAAATACTCAAATACATGATATTCAAATACTCAAATGGCCCCATAAGGCCACCTATTTTTTTTTAATCATTTCTGTCTTAATCTTACAAAACGAACGGAAGAAAAAAAGAAATCACAGCTTTTCAGAAACCAATTCAACAGGTAGAGATTTTCAACCAGTGAGGAAACATCATTTGCCTAATGCTAATACCACAGCTGTTGGCACACAGTAGGTGCTCACTAAATGGATATGATGGCAGAGGCAGCTATCGAGAGAAAATAGCAAGTGCAAATGTCCTTAGGCATGAGTGAGCTTAGCATGTTCAGGAACAGCAAGGAAGTTTGCTGGAGAGAAAGAAGCAAGGGAGACAGAATAGAGAGGAGGGCAAGGGCTAGGTAAAGATCTGGGTCTCCATTGGAAATGCAATGGGAAGTCAATGGAAGCATGGAATCAAGGAAGGGATGTGATCAAATTTCTTTTTTGTTCTTTTAAGAGATCACTGATTGCTATTTGGAGAATGGATTATAGAGAATGGACTCTAAGGAGACCAGTCAGAAGGATCTTCATGTGTTTCAGACAGATGCATGTGTGGTATAAACTGGGGTAGTAGCTGCGAAGATAAAGAGTGTCATATCCATCTTTAGATTATATGGCCCAAGTCCCTTTACCCTAACTAGCTCTGACTTAAGAGGTAAAAAGTTTGACTCTAAGCCAACATCTACTCTCTGGCATTGTAGTTCCTGCCAAACAGCTTTGTAGTCATTACATAATAGTAAGCAGATGGAAGAGTTCCGGAACGGAGACATACTGTTCTAAACGAAAGCAAAAAAAAAAAAAAAAAAAGAGTACTATAAGGCAGCATCTGATTCTCTGCTGTAACCATCTCAACTTCTCTGAACTTCCTATCAATATAAATCAATCACGACACCCCCACAGTGCCCAGGCATGTACAGGGAGAAAAAAAGTAATCAGTAACTGACCACTTGCTTTGATACCCTTTATTTCCATCTTCTTTCCCACTTGGCATATAGACAATAGTTACTTTTTCCCGATTTTCTTATTATCATCATTGAGTTTTCAGCACACTTCTCAACTGTCTCTTAATTGTCCTCTGCTTTAAATGTACTAGGTGGTTCTAATGCCCTTTCACTCTTGTAGATTAAATTTCCTAATTTCAAACCAAGAGCTTTCTTCAGTTAAAATTTTCCATCTTTGGATTCCTATATTTTCACGTCTTGAAGACACAAGGAAAGGCTTATGTGATTAACAGGTTTTTTTGTTTGTTTTTTTGAGATGGAGTCTTGCCTTTTTGCTCAGGCTAGAGCGCAGTGGCATGTTCTCAGCTCACTGCAACCTCCACCTCCAGGGTTCAAGTGATTCTCCTGCCTCAGTCTCCTGAGTAGCTCAGATTACAGATATCTGCCATCATGCCCAGCTAATTTTTTGTATTTTTAGAAGAGATGGGGCTTCACCGTGTTGGCCAGGCTGGTCTTGAACTCCTGATCTCAGGTGATCCACCCGCCTTGGCTTCCCAAAGTGCTGGGATTACAAGCCTGAGCCATCACGCCCGGCCCTGATTAACTGTTCAGTCAGCTTCCTCTTTGATGAACAGATTAAATATCTTCTGGATCTTCTAAGCCTGGTGTTTAATATATGAGCTGGTTTATTACTCATTTATGCTAGTTTTTATCATTTTTACCATGTCTAAATTGCATGAATATATATATGAGCATAGTCTAAACACTAGTTCAGTATATGCACAAGCTCTTGTTCCTTTTCTGCTATAATCAGTTCTTTTCAATAACAACTTCCAAATGGAGTCCAATTCCTTATCAATATGTATGTAGTTATAAACTAGTAAGAGAAATAAATAATGGAGAGAAGAAAGATAACCATTTTCATAATATCACATACACACACCTAGTAAGGAACTACTTAAGCCATTATGAGTAAATTGTTTTATTGTCAAGTCTAATTAAAACATCAATGAACTCAAATATATTTACTCTATTCATATATATACACACATATATTCACATATATACACATACACATTACTATAAATATACATAAATATATATACATAAATAAGTTTTTAAGGCAGGGAAGAGAACCAATTGTGTTTATGGATTTTTTGGCAATGCTAAGCAAAGAACACATTACTTTCTACCAATTATAATAAATTATATTAGTTCTACCAATTATAATAAACTCTTCAAAGCTAAAAAAGCAGCAGTAACCTTCTAGATAGAATTCTTTATTTGCCAGCTAATATTCTCCTCTTAGTTCATAATTTATTGTCATCTATATACTCTTTTTTCTTCTTAAGTTTATCTCTTCTATTTTTTCACTTCATTTGTTGATCAGCTTTTAGGTATCCAGTTCTTTGTGTTTTATTTTTTAAAACGCCCACAGTTTCTTGGTTTCTCAAATGCTATCTGATCATTGCATCAACATATTTCAGGCTCAACTTGATGTTTGAGGAATCCTCAAGACAAACTAGACTTTCCCCAGTTTTCTTCTGACCTCATGTCTTATTAAAGTGTTGTGAGAATCTGCCTCACCCTGAAGTCAGGCTCACCAACCTATGGTGTGCTTCCTACTTGATTCTTTGAAGAACAATCAGGCCTGGTATTCTTTTCCTAAGTGTCTGTCAACAAAGCCTATTAAATCTAGCACTCTATCAACTCCATAAACTGGTCAATCAATTTGAAGTATGGAAAATAATAATATGTACACAGGTTCTACTGAATATGACTTTAAGTCACCATCTTTTCCAGAAAAGTTTATTTTCATCTGGGACATTTTCTTTATTTTGGCTCATATATAGCATGTAAGAGAACTCTGCTGAAATGCTGATCCATACCTAATGCATTTTGTGATTACAAAAGAAAGTAACCTAGAGCCTGGCTATGATGTAAATCTGAGGCTACAAAGGGCTGAACCAGAACCAGGTTGCTCATCAAATTTGGGATCATTCCTTTTGAAATATTAAATGCAGTATTCATTTTGACCACAAAGAATAAATTCTATATGGTTTGGTTTTTCAAGGATGAGACTAAACATCTTAGTTTAACTTATTTTTCAATGAATCATACTGCACACCAAATTTGGAAACTTTCTCAACATATCTCCTCTTTTTTCTTTCTCTTTCTGCAACTCTCTCTAGCATCTATTTATAGCAATGAAAAAGGAGAAAAACATCAACCTCTTTAGTATTTCAATAAGATAAAAGACCAGTCACAGGACCTGGGACAACAGAATAAGTGGTTTTCCAAAAACCCTTTTACGAACTTCTAAAACTTTATTTTAAATGTATTACCACAGAAAGAGCACAATAAACTCCAGTTAGAAAGTTTTGCTTTGGCAAAGTATAGCTTGAGTGTGACTTAAAAGAGCCAGCTTTACCTTGCACTATTGTCCAAACAGAGGTATTCCCTTGGGTCAGCAGCACTAGAGTTGGTTGTTTTGACACCTTTGTCAATAAATAAGCCAGCCTGAAAAATATAAATAATGGACTGGAATGAATATGAATCCCAACTTACAACAACATATACAATGATTCATGAAAATAGATTTTAGCTTATCACTTCTACCAAAAAAAGTGGGGCAGGGAATCAACAGCAAAGGTACTGTAAAAAAAAAAAAAACAGCTACTTTCCTGGATATTTTCTACTCATTTAACTCATTTCACTCATTTAGTCATTCAACAAATACTTACTGGTAGGCACCCAGTGTTATACATTAGTTAACAAGAAAAATATGATCCTTGTTGTTGCTAACACAAAAACTAGCAGAAAGACATGCAATTAAATAAATAATTACAATCCAAAACGATAAGCATATGATAAAGGAAGCAGATGAGGTTTGAGCAGAAAAGAAGGGCATCTGGAGAGGCCTTTTTTGTGGGTGGAGGTGAGAGGATTCAGGGAATGTCTCCTAAAAGAAGTGACCTCTTAAAGCTGAAACCTGAAGGATGGAGAGAAATTAAGCAAAAGAATGGATTGGTGGTGCAGGGGAGGAGGTGGGAGGAAGGAGCTGAAGAGCCAGAGAAAATAACTCAAGGGAATAGTTTGTACAAACGTCTAGAGATGGCAGAGAGCATGGAACAGCCAAAGAAAAAAAAAAAAAAAACAAAACCATGATGGACAAACAAAAATGTACGAAGGAAGGAAATATAATGGAGAAGGCTAAAGAGGAGCAAACATCAGATCACATGGAATTGATGTGCTACAGAAGTCAGGACAATAGGAATTTAATAAACGCATTGTAACCAACTGCAAGTTAAGGAAAAAACACTGTAGCTATAAAATGGATAATGGATTGAAAGAGAATTTAAAAAAAAAAAAAGGAGGCAAATAAGGTAGAAGATGATTTCAGTAATCCAGAAGAGAAATAAAGATGATCTAGACTCATGGCCATACTAACAGTGGAAAACAGATAAAACGAAAATTATTTACTAAGTAGAATTGATATCATTTTGTAATTGATAAAATTCTGTGGGTGAGGGAATGAAAGCAATAAAAGCTCATATATTTTTGGTTCAGGCCACAGCTGAGTAGTGGTTTTGTTCACTGAGACAGACATATGAGAATAGGTCTGGGCCTAAAAATAAGAATTTTAGTTTGCAACATGTTTTATTTATGTCCATAAGACATTCAAAGGGTACTCAGTAAGCAGTAGGATAAGCCTGACCAACCTGGACTAGTACAGATTCGGGAGGCATCAGCAGTTGAAGCCATAAGGACCAGTGTGTGTGTGCGCACACATGTGGGTGTGTGCCTGTGTGTGCATGTATGTGTTTATGAGTTATTCCAAAATGACATGTTTCTTTTTGAGTACTCCAAGAATTCAATCTCCTTTGGCTATAAAGTATTATCCTGGACAGACATTTCCAAATTTAACAAATTAACACCTAATCATCCACTCATGTCAATTAAATTTAATATTCTTATTAATTGAGTAAATTACTGCACATTAAAAATCAATTAGAATGGGGCCAGGCATAGTGGCTCACACATGTAATCCCAACACCTTGGGAGGCCAAGGCAGTCAGTTCACAAGGTCAGGAGTTCAGACCAGCCTGGCCAAAATGGTGAAACCCTGTCTCTACTAAAAATACAAAAATTAGCTGGGCATGGTGGCAGATGCCTGTAATCCAAGCTACTCAGGAGGCTGAGGCAGAGAATTGCCTGAACCCAGGAGGCAGAGGTGGCAGTGAGCTGAGATCGCACCACTGCACTCTAGCCTGGGCGACAGAGCAAGACTCTGTCTCAAAAAAAGAAAAAAAAAAATTCCATTAGAATGAGGTGCTTTTTATACCATTTACAATTAAGAAAAATTGAGGATTTCTACTATGAAATGCTATTTTCAATAAACATTAACTTAATCAACTATTCAGCTCACAAAAATCAGTTTTGTATAGTTTTTCCTCAACTCTTCATCAAGTGATTCTAAGCTCTTCAAACTGTAACACACTTAGGTTTTTAAAGGATCCTCTGAGTATCATAAATGCAAAGTATTCCTTGAACTCTGGTGCGGGTCACATCAGGGTAAAGGATCTGGGCATCACACACATAACAAAACATTAAAGTGCCTGTGAGCACAAAATAAACCAAATGTATTTATCACCAGGGGGCGAAGGGTTAGAGCCAAATTTCATGAAAAAATGGAAACTCCTAATGGCCTTTAGGTTACTTGATCTGTATCATTTTAAATTAGGTCAATTATTCTTAAGCAATATTTCACTATTTATATAATTAGTATAATGCCTAATAGGACACTCTACCAGCCACTGTGAATCAAAAAGAAGAGATGAATTATGCTTATCAACCCCTAGAAGGATATTATTTAATGTGTACCTCCCTAGAAACAGGTAACGACATTAAAGATTGGAAAGAAGTTGAGAGGGAGGAAGAGGTGAGAAGAAACAAGGGAGAGGATGAGGACACATGAATCAAATCCATTATGTAATTATTCAGGTTACACGTGCATGTATGTGTTGCACATACCTGTATGCGCAATAGGTATGTATAAATGGAATGCTCTCTATATATCCTGAACAGGGAGGGGTTAGGTGTCTGTTTTTAATTACAAATTACTTTCTCTGATGACAAGTTCTACCAAAAATTGACATTTCTCAGCTATAATCTACTACAGTTTGAATGCATCCCCCAAAAAGCATGTGTTAGAAAGTGCAAAAGTATTGGGAGGTAGAGCCTAATGGAAGGTGTTTAGGTCATAACGGATTCGCCCTCTTGAATGGATTAATGCTGATTATAAAAGAGCTTGAGGCAGCAAATTTGTTCTATAGCTCTCTCGCCTTCTCCTTGCCCTTCTACCGTGGATGACACAGCAAGAAGAACCTTACCAAATGCTGTCCCCTTGATCTTGGACTTCCCAGCCTTCAGAAGTGTGAGCCAAATAAATTGCTGCTCATTATAAGTTAACTAGTCTGTGATATTCTACTACAGCAGCACAAAGTGGACTAAAATATAATCACAATAGTTCATCCTTTACACTGTCTAGCATATGTACTAATTGTTAAAACTTAGAAACCTACCTTAAAATTTGAATGGACCCTGTTGTTATAAAATATACCCAATGGAGTGAGTTCTGGTTTTGCCAAGAGCTGCAATCCACTGGATTCCCCAGTTGGTTCCTTGTGGAATAAATACCATATTCCAGCATCCTACAAATGAAAGGACAAGCCCATTAAAAGCCTAATTTATACAGATATCTATGAAACACTCTCATAAACTAACTTCTTCATCAGCAAGTTTAATCTTTTTCACCCAAATTTTTCATTATTGCAGGTTCAGAATTGACAATAAAAAGTTGTACACACGTCTCAAAGTGGTTATATCATGTATTTTTTTAAAAAAGCAAATTTAATTTTGCTTGCAGGATTGGACAAAAGAGAAATAATTGGCTGGTATAAAAATTCACTTTCAAAACTTTTCCATCATTATCTACGTTAAAAGTTATGCAGAATTAAAACCAAATCGGCTTTCCATGTAACCAAGACAGCACAGATGTTAAGCAATATGGTTTTTATCTGTTTACCTCCAAACCTGTTCAATAGATGAGTCATGCCTATTAAACAACTGTCCACCAGCACGCAGAGATCACTGACTTCTTTCAAACAAGTCTAATGCCCTTCCTGTCCTGAGGCAAATTTTTGCCAAAGAAAAAAAAACCACCACACGTATGAATCAGGATACTGTCTCAGGCTGGGCCCTGTCTGTTCAATTTCAGTATTACTGACCTTAATAGGAACATAACAGTTTAAAATTTTTTGACACTCAAAAATTAGACATAAAAATGGAAATAAATGTTAATTCCCATGACAAATCTTTATTTTACAACTCAATTAAAAATCAGCCCAATGTGAAGGACAACTTCACTTTATGGAACTTCGATTAAATAGTTTGTTAAAACTTAATCATACAGTGTAAAAGGACAGCATTAATTCAAATTCAGCACACATTTATTTAGTGCCCACTATATGCCAGGTATACAGTAAGACTATTCTCAAATAATTCATAGTCTAATAAGAAAGATAGAGATAATTAAAATATAATATACCTAATAAGTACTTACTAGCTGTAACAAATAGAGTCCATTGGGAGGAGAGATGAGAGAGGAATTATGGAAAACATATATTTATACCTACACACCAGAATGAATGCCATGTGTAACATTTTCCATGATAAAAGTCTACAAATGGGTCTTAACAAAACAAACTACTCTGAAAAATGTTTGCTACCTCAACTCTTCTGGGCACAAAACAGACAAGTTGACGGGATAAGACCTGGAGGGTCAGAAGAAAACTCCATACCATAACCCATAAGCTGAGGGCAGAGTGGACCATCCTAGGATGCAATGGAGATGGAGATGGGAGTGGGACGGGGATAAGGGGAGTAGCAGCTGTTTCCTGTTAAAACACAGTGGTGTCAACACAGGTAAAAGGAGCTTTGTAAAAGGCAGTGGAAAGGTACAATGAAAAAAATGGTTTGATTTACTTTGGGAGGAAAAACCCTGCCCAAATTAGCTTTTACCGGAACAGTTTTTCTAGAGAGAAAATAAACAGCTCACAGAATAAAAAGGACGAACATACATGCAACGCTTTCTTCTTTTCTCACATGAGCCACAGTAAGGGTATCTGGCAGCCTCACCTTCTATTTTTCATGAACTCTCGGCAATTTGCTTTAATCTTCAAGCCCTGACTTCTAAAAAGAGCTAAAAGAAATCTTTGTTCTGACTGTTGACGCATAATGTTACATAGATCAGAAGATGGCTGTGCATCAACTTCTTGGTCATCTTTACTCAAAAACTCACTTTCCAGTTAGAAACTCTAGCACAAACCTCATACAGGCTCAAAAATATTTGATGAAAAATCAATGAATGAAAACCTAAAATGATCAAATGTCTGGGTTTCTGCCCTGTCAAATAGAATCTTCAATTGACAGGGACCTTCAGATTATGTGTTATGTTTTTAAAGAAAATAACAGATATGAGTTCAAACCATCACCCACTGATGCCTTTTTTCCTGTTATCTCAAATAAATACTCCCTTCAACTAATCTTTTGCTTCATCTTAGCAAACAATGCTAGGTATTTATTTCCTTTTAAAAACTTTAAATAGCCATGATGTATAAATATGAATATTTAGGTATCACTGCAAATTTCATTTTTTTAATTGCAGTCTTCAACACAGTTACAATCTCGATAGCATACTATCTTAAAAGATTCATTTAGTGGATGGGTACGGTGGCTCATGCCTGTAATCCCAGCACTTTGGGAGGCCAAGGCGGGCGGATCACCTGAGGTCAGGAGTTCAAGACCAGCCTGGCCAATATGGTGAAACCCAGTCTCTACTAAAAATACAAAAATTAGCCAGCCGTGGTGGCAGGGGCCTGTAATCCCAGCTACTTGGGAGGCTGAGGCAGGAGAATCGCTTGAACCCAGGAGGCGGAGGTTGCAGTGAGCCAACATTGCGCCACTGCACTCCAGCCTGGGGGACAGAGCGAGACTTCACCTCAAAAAAACAAAAAGATTCATTTAGCCTGAGTATGGTGGCTCATGACTGTAATCCTAAAACTTTGGGAGGCTAAGGCAGGTGGATAGCTTGAGCCCAGGAGTTCGAGATCTGTCTGGTCAACACAGCGAAACCTTCTCTCTCTCTCTCTCTCTCTCTCTCTCTCTCTCTCTCTATATATATATATATATATGTATATACACGTATATATATATATATATATGTATATATATATATATATATACATATATATATATATACGTATATATATATATCTCAGCAGGTATGATGGCATGTGCCTGTAGTATCAGCTACTCAGAAGGCTGAGGTGGGAAGATGGCTTGAGCCCAGGAGGCAGAGGGTGCAGTAAGCCAAGGTCACACCACTACACTTCAACCTGGGTGACAGAGCAAGACCCTGTCTCAGGGAGAAAAAAAAAGATTCATTTAGGTTTTAAATGAGCAGTTTTAGTAACACTAAAATTCTCAATAATAAATACAAATTTCTCCAAACTTATCCAGGGGACATTTCTACTACCCAAAAATATCATTTAGTCTCTTAAAAATTATTCTCATGTGTGTTTTAATTCATCATAACGAGTTTTGCTGCTTTCCCAAGGAAATGAAATTCCCACTTGTATATAAAGCCTTACATTCAACAAAAGGGTGTGCCCCCTGACCAGAGTGACAACTGTCATGGTATTCTCCAAAATAATCCATTCTCATAAAGAAAAGCTAAGGTCTTTTTTGTGGGGTTTTTGTGTGTGTGTGTGTGTGTGTGTGTGTTTTTATTGACACGGGGTCTCACTCTGTTACCCGGGCTGGAGTACAGTGGCGCAATCTTGGCTCACAGCAGCCTCCACCTCCTGGGCTCAAGTATCCTCCCACCCCAGCCTCCCAAGTCGCTGGGACAATAGGCAAACACCAGTAGGCCTGGCTTTTTTTTTGGAGGGTGTAGGGGGAGGTGATGATTGGGTTTCGCCATGTTGCCCAGGCTGGTCTCGAACTCCTGAGCTCAAGCGATCCAACAGCCTCGGCCTCCCAAAGTGCTGGGATTACAGGCGTGAGCCACTGTGCCTGACGTAAGCCTATTTTTATCAACACCCTGAAATTGAAATTATCAGTTACTTGGCCACATATGACTTAAATATGAGAAGCCAGAAAGGTTGTACTTAATACACCAAAAATACACTCTGGAAATAACATAACCCTAGTGATTAGCCCACTTCTTTTCCCCCTTTGGCATCTCTCTTATTAAACTCATAAATACTAATGGGCACAGGCCGGGCGTGGTGGCTCACGCCTGTAATCCCAGCACTTTGGGAGGCCAAGGCAGGCAGATCACGAGGTCAGGAGATTGAGACCATCCTAGCTAAAAAGGTGAAACCCCGTCTCTACTAAAAATACAGAAAATTAGCTGGGCGTGGTAGCAGGCGCCTGTGGTCCCAGCTACTCAGGAGGCTGAGGCAGGAGAATGGCGTGAACCCGGGGGGTGGAGCTTGCAGTGACCAAGATCGCGCCACTGCACTCCAGCCTGGGCAACAGACCGGGACTCTGTCTCGAGAAAAAAAAAAAAAATTACAAAAAAGATACTAACGGGCACAAAGAATTTAGGAGAAATAGAATAATCATCTCTACCGTATTCTGCTCTCAACTAAACAAGTAGTACCAGAAAACAATGTCATGCTTGGGTTACACTGGCACACATGACATTAAATCCAAATAAACCAGACTATTTATAAACAAGAAAAACATTAAAACATCTGAGGTCACTTTAACGTTATTTACCTGTGAGCCTGCAGCTGCATTATTAATCAGATTATTGTTGGGATGAGCAATCCAGAAAGTTGAAACAGCCCTGCAAGGCATTTTTCAAGGTGATTTAAACATTCTTCATAAAAACTCCTGCCCACTAAAAACTTCCCCCAAAACCTCTTCCCCAAAAGTCAAAGGCCCTGACTCATGGGTTTTTCTCTCCGCCAATTACTCACATACAGTCAGTAGCAGGCACAGGAATGTAATTTCCAAACACTTTATCTCGCATGGTGGTACACATGGAGTTGTTCCTATCGGTGGGCAGGAGAGTACCCGGCTTGGTGAGGAGTCCCAGATTGTGGAACAAAGTATTCCTCTGTTCAATACCATCTTCCAAAAAGAAACAATGACCTAGTGTGTCAAACCCAATGGTGTCTTTTATCTGCAGAAATAAAAGTATATTAATGTCATTGGTAACAAGAATGATTGTGATTTAAGTGACAAGCGCTATCCAGTGTAGCATGTTCAGTACAAGTGGAAAAACAGGTTTGAACCTTAGCAGAATGGGCAAAGTGAAATGTCAGGCTTAATTTATCTCTGAAGGGGATAATCTGCTTGGGTCCCACAGGGGAAAAAAATAAAAATAAGTTGTAAATAAATAAATAAAAATAAAATACAAGACATAAAATTGAATTAAATTTAAAAGAGGATACTCTGGGTGGTTGGAAAGGTAGGCTTCCTTCAGACAGAAAAATCGTGGAATGCTCAGAAAAGGCAGGATAGAGCAAGGCATGTGGCTAAACAGTTTACATATATAAAATTGAGAAGACATGAGAATTAAAGAGAGTTAACTATTTCAATAATATGGGTTGACCTAATGCGAGGCTACTTACTAGCAAGCCATTTGTCCCATGCACAGTGATGCACCTTGAGAAGCTGTGATGAATAGACAGGCCGTCCACAAATGTTGCATGTCTGTATCCTCCTTTATAATCCACGTCACCACACAGGTGAAAATGAACAGGGTATCGCCCCATCTGCTGCTGACCCATGTGTTTCAATTCCACATAAGAAAGATGGACTGAAGTAAAATTTTTCATTATCTGTAAGTCAAGGTACTAAAATCAAACTCATACTTTTCAGAATAGGGAAGTAGCAAAAAATATTGTTCTAGTAGAAAACATCCAAAGGAGAATACTTATTAAAACATTCGATTTTCTTTTGCATCCTGTTTTCCCAGATTGCCAGTTAATAATTTAGGAAATGCTTCTTTACAAAAGCAAATACTTTAAAGAGCCACAAAAATAGCCTCCAATTAGGAATAAAGGCAAATGTAATCAGGAAAGCTGCAATAATGATCTCTGCTAAGTGTTTTGATTTGTTCAAATATTTTGGTCATTCCCAGTCTCGTCTTGTTCTTTCACTTCTATAACCTCCATCAGAGTCTGATAAATAGTTATTTATTTCTAGATCCTCCCCAGTGTTTTAGTTAGCACATAATATTGTTGGCTTAAGTTACTTTTAAAAGTTCTTCTGTGATCCAAAGTTTGAGCACTCTCAATATATTTAAACACTAGATTTTCAATCGTATTACTAACAACAAGGGAATAGTACTGATCGACATTTCAGAAATCCTTGTAACAGGCGGGGTACAGTGGCTCACACCTAGCACTTTGGGAGGCCAAGGTGGGCAAATTGCTTGAGCCCAGGAGTTCAATACCAGCCTGGGCAACATGGCAAAACCTTGTCTCAAAAAAACAAATGCAAAAATTAGCCAGGCACTGTGGTGTACACCTGTAGTCCCAGCTATTTGGCGGGGCTGAGGTGGGAGGATCACTTGATCCCAGGATATTGAGCCCACAGTCAGTTGTGATCATGCCACTGTACTCCATCCTGGGTGACAGAATGAGACTGTATCTCAAAAAAAAAAAAAAAATTCCTTGTAACAGAAATACTACTTACAACCACAGCCTACTCAATGCACAAAAAGTGATTTAAAAACACATGTAGCCAAAATGCAGCCCAGAAGTCCAACAGATTAGTATATATTAATAGAATACTGCCTAGCATATAGTAAGTGCTCAAAATTTTTCCAGAACAAAAATTTGCATACAAAAAATATTTTTATAGGAACATATTTTGCATGTGCTTGCTAGTATTGCTAACCCTTTGGTAATACTATGCTTTTTAAAAAAACTAATTGATTCTTTCAGAAATCGCATGCATGGATACCAACCAAGAGCCTTCAGTTTTTTTTTGTTTTGTTTTGTTTTTTGGTCTCTGTAATTGGTTCTTCCCAATATATTGATTTGACTCTTCATGGAACAATTCTTAAATGGTTTAACTAGAGGTCCAGGTCAACTAACTGAAGTCATAACATTCTATTTTAATCATCTAAAACCTCCTCATTGTCATTTGAGAAACAAAACATGATTTGCTTTTAATATCCATTTATATCTTGTTCCAAAACTTGACAGTTTCTTCAAACATATATTTAGCAACCAGGATTTCAAAGAAATAATCAAATCCTTTTGCCTACCATAATGTGTCCCCCAAAGGTATCATAATCAAAAAATTGGCACTGATTTTCTGCGTAGCATGAGTCCTCCACTTCTCCTTGGATCACAATATTCCGGGTAAGAATTCCAACCTCAGCTCTCATGTCTACACCGTCTATGATCTCACCCATGTGCAGGAACTGAGGGGTTTCTGGTTGATATGAGCAAGGAAAAAAAAGAATATTAGAACAAAGAAAACATGAAACTCACTTCAAAAAGACATTCTCTTCATTCCATAACCCCAAGATGATCCTGACAACTTATCATCTGCTCCCATTCTCTGACACTTCAGAATCAGAATCCCAGGACACGGGGAATTTTTTTTTTTTTTTTTTTTTTTTTTTTTTTTTTTTGTGAGACGGAGTCTCACTCTGTCCCCCAGGCTGGAGTGCAGCGGCATGATCTTGGCTTACTGCAAGCTCCGCCTCCCGGGTTCATGCCATTCTCCTGCCTCAGCCTCCCAACACAGGGAATTTAAAGATCATCTAGTCCAGCCCCCACCCACTGCCTGAACCCTCACTACTAACTGTTCTGCCAATTCTCAAACCCACACACTGACAGAAAGCTTGTTCCTTCCTGAAGCAGCTCAATCCTCCCTTCAACAGCACTAATAATCTGGAATCTAATGATCTATAATCTTTCTCTCCAGTTTCTGTCCATACGCTCTTGGTCTCCTCCCCTAGGGCATATGAAGAACCAAATGCATAGTGAGTCCATAAAACAAATGGTGTGTAGATATTAATATCAGGGTGTCAACTTGTTTATGCTTTTACCTGAAAGCTGAAGTAATCTGCAACTGGACATTAACAATAGATAAATTACCATCTTTTCTTTCTCATTTCTTATTTTATGTTATTATGCATTCTTTTAAATTCCCACATTTACTGGAAGTGTAGAAGCACTTTAATAATGAGCTTTTCACTGATGATCTTATTACATAAACTCAGGAAGGAAAAATACACATAAATCTTGGGAGGACAGTTCATGAAGACTCATCATGCAGACTTGTTAACAAGAGTTGGAATTTCCAAAAAAAATTAATGCCAGATGGTATCATAGTTTTGGGGTTTTTTTGTTGGGGCAGTGTTCTTGTTTTGTTTATGCCCTGTATTATCAAGAAGGAAAAGTACAATGTTGACGGAAGCACAGGGAAAAAAGGCCAGGTGAGCCAATCACTATTTTTTTCTAAAGCAGAAAATTTTTCCTTAAATGTTGAAGCTCTACCTATTACTCTAAATTACTGAAAAACTAAAGAAGCACTTACTGAACAGTTACTGTAAACTCTTTTGTTTTATACCATAAATGTATAATGTTGAGTTCAAAAGAAAAGCAATAGAATGAGTGAAATGCACAATGAATCCCATAAATGAAGCAATGTACAAAGGGGCTGTGCCTAGTACCAGGCTCAAAATGAGTGCCCGGTAAGTGTCAGGCATTCTTTCAATATGCAACTTACAGTAAGAATTTCTTTGTGTAGTCTTTTTTTTTTTTTGAGACGCAGTCTCGCTCTGTCGCCCAGGCTGCAGTGCAGTGACATGATCTCAGCTCACTGCGACCTTCGCCTCCTGGGTTCAAGCGATTCTCCTGCCTCAGCCTCCCTAGCAGCTGGGATTACAAGCCTTGTGCCACCATGCCTGGCTAATGTTTTTTGTATATTTAGTAGAGATGGGGTTTCACCGTATGGGCCGGGCCGGTCTCAAATGCCTAACCACAAGAGATCCACCTGCCTCAGCCTCCCAAAGTGCTGGGATTATAGGCGGGAGCCACTGCTCCCAGCAAGGAAATGTAGTCTTAAGAAAATACCTATCTGATTCCATTTTAAATATCAATGAGTTTTTGTTTTTGTTTTTGTTTTTGGTAATCAAATAGGCACTCGAAAACCATAGGATTTCTTTTAATTAAGAAATACTTCTATTAATAAATGGATCTAATTCATCATTGGGTTTACTATTATCTGATAGTAGAAAATTAATACAAAAGAAAATGGAGGGGAGGCAGCGGGAGGGAAAGCATCAGGAAAAATAGCTAATGCATGCTTGGATTAATACTTAGGTGAAGGGTTGGTAGGTGCAGCAAACCACCATGGCACACGTTTACCTATGTAATGAACCTACACATCCTGCACATGTAACCCAGAACTTAAAATAATAGAAAAGACCTTGGAAAATCAATTTCTCTAGTTGACATCTTTTTTTTATACAAAGAAACTGAAGCAATATGTATCATTAGCAGCAAGAATATTGCTCAATAGCTATTTTTATCTAATATTCCCTGGAATCTAGTGTTTGATGCACTCCACTGCTATGACTTTCAATACTGATGATTGTGATGGTGGTGGTGGTAGTGATGGTAGTGACTGAGAGGAAAAAGGATTTCAGGAATCAAATCCCAAGAAAATAGTGTGTTTCCCAAGAAGTACTCTAAGCAGTTTAATACCTTTGACTTTGACCTGAAAATGGCTGCATTCAGAACAGGGAAGAAGAGTGAACTCCTCTGCTTGGTACATGGAATAGTCTGTGCTTGCGACCACAATCTGGTCTCCAGGTTTCCAACTACTAACATCATCTAGCAAATTTAGCTTCACTCCATCTACAACCTCTACCCGGAATCCTGAAAGAGAAACGCCTAAACCAAAAAAAAAAAAAAGAAAAAGAAAGTGATACATTAACAGTATTTTTTTCTCTCTAAAATGAACCCTCACACTGATTCACAAATCAAAAGTTAAGATAACCACGATTCAGCAAATTTTTACGCATGCTACCATGTATTAGTCACTCTACAGATATAAGTAATAAAAATATGAAAACAGAGAGATCCCTGCCTTCAAGGGGTGAGTGCCCCATGTACCTCTAGCCATGAAGGAACACAAGATGTCACCTTAGTAAACCATTATTTTATACTTTTGAAGAAGGCTCTAGATCCCCAAATCTCTTGCTATATTTAACTCAGTGCAACAACTGTTATACTGACCCCAAACCATCCTAATATGTGACAAGTACATATATTCCAGCAGAAGTTGTCAAGCAGAGGATAGGTCTGTAATAAATACCCAGTGCTTCAAGTTGATCCAAGCACAGAAAAATGGATAGAACATTAGCACACTAACAATCTTAATATTAAGAATAAGAATTTGTGGGCCAGGCGTGGTGGTTCACACCTGTAATCCCAGCACTTCAGGAGGCCAAGGCAGGGGGATCACTTGAGCTCAGCAGTTCGAGACCAGCCTGGGCAACATAGTGAGACCCCTGTCCCTACAAAAAAACATTGGCCAGGTATGGTGGTGTGTGCCTACATCCCCAGCTCCTTGGGCAGCTGAGGTGGGAGGACTGCTTGAGCCAGGAAGGTTAAGGCTGCAGTGAGCTATGATCGGGCCACCACATTCCAGCCTATGAGACACAGCAAGACCCTGTCTCAAAAATAATACATAAAATAACAATTTGTGGCTGGGCACAGTGGCTCACGCCTATAATCTCAACACTTTGGGAGGCCGATGCCAGAGGATCACTTGAGCCCAGGAGTTCAAGACTAGCTTGAGCAACAGAGCGAGGCCCCATCTCTAGAAAATATTTTTAGAAGTAGCTGGGCATGGTGGCACACGCTTGTGGTCCCAGCTACTTGGGAGTCTGAGGTGGGAGGATCACTTGAGCACAGGAGTTTGAGGCTGCAGTGAGCCACGACTGTGCCACTGCACTCCATCCTAGGCAACAAAGCAAGATCCTCTCTCAAAAAAATAACATAAAAATCTGTCTCAGAAAACCCTTCATCTCTGTGCCTTTGATGGTGATTTATTCTTCCCCTAAAATGTCCTTCCATTCTTCTTGACCAACCAACATACTGTCCTTTTTATGAAGTTCAGGCAATTCTTTAAGGACTTCCCAAACATCCTTGTTGGAAGCAACCTCTCTCTCTCCGGTATTCTCTCGGTATACTGCCTGGTATTGTTCATACCTTCCCAGTGGGAGGACTGCTCACCTCCTTGGAAGCTGCATCAGTGAAGGTAGCAGGGTACATTATTTACGTATGCACTACTCTGTCTTGTTTGTGGTATGTATCCACGGATGTCTACTGAATGGATGAGTATGACCAGTATGATCTGCAATGTAACCTGAGGTCACATGATGGTGCCCCTGTCCAACTCAGCTCCTTTCCTGGGATGATGTAAATTATGTAATCTAATGACTACTAATTACTGATCTTTCCTAATATCTTCTTTGAAAGTCAAAGTTAGTTCCCAGTTAAGCAGACAGGAACTGAAAATCTGATCCAACTTCATAACTTGGCTTCTTTTACATGCTATCCAGTATAGAAATGTTTTCTGCTTCTTAACATTCATGATATAATCTGTCATAAATCAAAAACTGATTTAACGGAAATGTCCATGAAATAGATGAGAACTACTTCATAACACTGACAGAGAAGGAAAACATGACATTTCAAAAGATAGCTGTTTAATAAATATCAGTACTTCTCTGTCGTCTAATTAACAGCATACTACCCTGTGGCTACTTTAAGATGCTGACTCTAGGATGGGCGTGGTGGCTTATTCCTGTAATCCCAACACTTTAGGCAGCTAGGGCGGGAGGATCACTGAGTCCAGGAGACCAGCCTGGGCAACATAGTGGGACTTCATCTCTACAAAAAAATCAAAAACTTAGCCAGGTGTGGTGGTGCATGCCTGTACTCCCAGATACTGGGAAGATTGCTTAAGCCCAGGAGGTCAAGGCTGCAGTGAGTTGTGATTGGACTACTGCACTCCAGCCTGGGAGACAAGAGTAAGATCTTTCTCAAAAAAAAAAAAAAAAAAGAAAGAAAGAAAGAAAAGTCTGTAATCCCAGCACTTTGGGAGGTCAAGGTGGGCAGATCACCTGAGGTCGGCAGTTCAAGACCAGCCTGGCCAACATGGTGAAACCCCGTCTCTACTAAAAATACAAAATTAGCCAGGTGTGGTGGCACGTGCCTGTAGTTCCAGCTACTCAGGAGGCTGAGGCAGGAGAATCGCTTGAACCCTAGCCTGGGTGACAGAGCGAGACTCCGTCTCAAAAAAAAAAAAAGAAAGAAAAAGAAAAAAAATATGCTAACTCTAAGGGATGACAATATGAGTGAAAGAAGAACACATTCACTTTGGAGAATCAAAAGTGGGGAAATTCAAGCAAGGAACAACCAATAATATGTATTCTTACAGTCTTTAAAAAAAATTATAGACATGGTCCCACTATGTTGCCCAGACCTAACCTTAAGTGATCCTCCCACTTCAAGCTCCCAAAGCTCTAAGACTATAAGCATGAGTCACCGTACCCGGCTCTGCCAACTATCCAGATAAAACTTAACCTGGGCAAGTCTTGGATTCTGTTTTTGTACTCTTGATCTACCCTGCTTTTCTATCTCTATAAAGCACAGAAATAAAGTGCCTAACAAATCTAAAATGTTTTCTGAATATGTGTCTTGCCAGATACTAAAGCCTGTAAGATTTTATACAAATAATAATATTAATAATAGTAATTCTAACAACAATAATGATAGCTAATAGTTGTTGAGATCCCACATGCATAATACCCATTCATCAAAACAACCGTGAGAGACAGGAGCTATTATATTTATTAGAGATGAAGAAACCAAAGATCAGGGAGTTTGAATAACAGCTAAATATGGTAGAGCCCCCAATTTAAAGCTAATCTAATTCCAGAGCCCAATTTCTTTCAAAGCCTCTATATTATACTCTCCAAGAATCAAAACAAGCAGGTTAAGAACAAATAAAGAAAACCTCATGGAGGCAAAAACAACCCCTACCCCAAATTTCACATTTTTGCCAACAAAATAAATTCCCCTAAGAGCAATTAAGAAACATTCTTTTTTTCATATAAAATTTCAGTAATGCAACCATGCCTGTCATCCCAGCACTTTGGGAGGCTGAGATCGACAGATCGCTTGAGGTCAGGAGTTGGAGACCAGCCTGACCAACATGGTGAAACTCTGTCTCTAATAGAAATACAAAAAAATTAGCCAGGCGTGGTGGCACGCACCTGTAATCCCAGCTACTTGGGAGCCTGAGGCAGGAGAATTGCTTGAAACCAGGAGGTAGAGTCTGCAGTGAGCGACAATCGCACCACTGCACTCCAGCCTGGGCGACAGAACAAGACTCCATCTCAAAAAAAAACAAAAATTCAGTAATGCTTTAGAAAAAGATGACTAACCGGGTATGGTGGCTCACGCCTGTAATCCCAGTACCTTGGGAGGCTGAGGCGGGTGGATCACAATGTCGGGAGTTCAAGACCAGCCTGGCCAAGATGGTGAAACCCCATCTCTACTAAAAATACAAAAATTAGCCAGGCATGGTGGTGGGTACCTGTAACACCAGCTATTTGGGAGGCTGAGGCAGATAATTGCTTGAACCTGGGAGGCAGAGGTTGCAATGAGCCAAGATCAGGCCACTGCACTCCAGCCTGGGCAACAGAGTGAGACTCCGTCTCAAAAAAAAAAGATGACTACTAGACAAATAAATTTTGATTTGAAAGATCACTAGAATTTGTTTCTATCTGTTAAATTTTTTTAAAGCCAGAAGGTTAGATGGGGAAGATTTGTATTAGTCACTAACACATTTTTTCTTGGCTTTAAAAGAAAATCCTGTCTCGGATTATCTCCTACTAGCACTACTGAATGGGAAACATAAAAAAAGTTCATTCTCTGATTCCTGAAGAAAATTTTCTACCTCTTCCAGAAAGTAAGTCACTGAGAACATGAGACATGAACAATATCTTACGATAACTAGAACATACCATCTTTCAAAAATGAGTATTTATCACTAATGTGGAAATGTAAATAACATTTCCTACAAAGGAAACGTTGACTAGAAGTCTGTCAGTAATTATCCCCTGTCTAGAATACCAGCTATTTGGGAGGCTGAGGCAGAGAATTGCTTGAACCTGGGAGGCGGAGGTTGCAGTGAGATCATGCCACTGCACTCCAGCCTGGGTGACAGAGTGAGACTCTGTCTCAAAAAAAAAAAAAAAAAAAAAAAAAAAAAAGATGACTACTTTTTTTTTAGTGGTACTGGAGACAGGACCACTAAACTCCACTTACAGGACAAAATTCCTGCTAAGAAACGCTTCTTATCTACCACCTATGCTTTTTGGCAGAGGCAAAGAAACAGCAGTCATCTTGGAGGCAGAAAGCTGGGGCTTGATTCCAGCTTCCTCATCCCTAATAGATCATCTCTTCACGCCAAGCCCAGAAGATTGTTTCTAGACTAGAGAATGGTCTATTCTAGTTTCAGCACCCCCAACTCAGCTTTGTTCTAAAACAAGCTTGTCCAACTCACAGCCCGTGGGCCACATGTGGCCCAGGACAGCTTTGAATGCAGCCCAACACAAATTCATAAACTTTCTTAAAACATTATGAGATTTTTTTTTTAGCCCATCAGCTATTATTAGTGTTACTGTATTTTATGCGTGGCCCAAGACAATTCTTCTTCCAATGTGGTCTAGGGAAGCCAAAAGATTGGAGACCCCTGTTCTAAAAGATTACTGGATTTTGTTCTAAAAGATTAAGCACAGTAGGAAAACTAAGTTTCAACTTCAACTAGTTGAGAAATCTAACCAGGCGGACTGTCATTTGAACATAATACTATTCTTAGAAAAAAAAAATCTGTCATAATACTTATCAGTGTCTTACAAGAGTATAAACTCTACTTGCCTACCTTCAATCCATTCACTATAAGCTGTCACAGAGAACTTCTGGCCATCCACAGTATAAAATTCTCTTTGGGCAAGAGCCTTCCCGCCACTGCTATGATTTTCATAGTTTCTCACGGATTCATTGCAAGAAGTGCTTCCACCATCAATGACACCAACTAAAGCCCAAGCTTGCCTAGAAGGAAAAAGAGCATGTGCATTTGATTACTTGTCATGGTATTCACAAAATCCCTGACAAAGATGTTATTACAGAGTGCTGTTTAATTCTCATATTTCATTTTCGTCAATCCCTAATGTTTTTTCTATATGAGGCTGCAGTTCCAAACCTTGACTGCACCTAGTTCTCCTAGAAGGAAATGCAGCTACTTTTTAAATACTTGTTTGTCCAGCTCTGTAATAGGTGAAAGACCGATGACTACAATTTCAATTAATCATTGACTTACTTCCTCAATACACATCCATATCACACATAACATTCTGGCCAAAATCCATTTACTTTCTCTTAAAATGATTATCACATGCTCTCTTTTAAACTTTCTATTAATACAATGTTCTCAAAAATCTAATTGCATAATAGAATTACCCAGGGAGTTTGAAAAATATATCAATGCACAGACCCCATCCCAGATAAAGGGAATCATGTTAATAATTGCAAAAGGTTGGGTACAGCATTTGTAGTTTGCAATAATTTATTTTTATTTTTTGGAGACAGGGTCTTACTATGTTTTTAAAGTTCCCAGGTGACTGGAACATGCAGTTAGGCTTAAAAACCACTGATTTGGGCAGTGGTTCTCAAACTTCAGTACGCATCAGGATCAACAGAAGAAAGGAAGGGCATGCTGAATTAGATTGCTGGCCCCACTCTCTCAGTTTCTGAGATGGGACCAGAGAATTTGTATTTCTAACAGGTTACCACATTATGTTAATGCTGCTGGTCAGGGCACCATACTTTGAAAACCCCTAAATTATAGACTAGAGGTTAGAGTAGTGATCATCAACCTTCAGTAGCCTGGGAGTCTTATCCTTCTTTTATCCTTCTTCCTGACATAATTGATCTAAGGTGCACCCTAGGTGTCAAGATTTTTTAAAGTCTCCAGGTGTGCAGGCAAGGTTGAGAACTGAGTTAGATTTTTTTTTTTTTTTTTTTTTTTTTTTTGAGATGGAGTTTCGCTCTTGTTACCCAGGCTGGAGTACAATGGCGCAATCTCGGCTCACCGCAACCTCCTGCCTCCCAGGTTCAAGCAATTCTCCCACCTCAGCCTCCCGAGTAGCTGGGATTATAGGCATGTGCCACCACGCCCGGCCAATTTTGTACTTTTAGTAGAGATGGGGTTTCTCCATGTTGGTCAGGCTGGTCTTAAACTCCCCATCTCAGGTGATCAGCCTGCCTCGGCCTCCCAAAGTGCTGGGATTACAGGTGTGAGCCACCGCAGCCAGCAGAGATTTCTTAACGTTCCTAAATTAAATCAAAGCTGTAGAATCACTATCCAACAGATTTTAAATTTTATATACTATATGTCTATTTGTTGACAGCAATGTGTTTGAAAACACCATTATTTCTTTTTCTTTTCTGGTTTTTTTTTTTTTTTTTTTTTTTTGAGACAGAGTCTCACTCTTGTCGCCTAGGCTAGAGTGCAATGGCGTGATCTCGGCTCACCACAACCTCCACCTCTGGGGTTCAAGCGATTCTCCTGCCTTAGCCTCCCAAGTAGCTGGGATTACGGGTGCCCACCACCACACCCAGCTAATTTTTGTATTTTTAATTTTTAGTAGAGACAGGGTTTCACCATGTTGGCCAAGCTGGTCTCGCACTCCTGCCCTCAGGTGATCTGACCTCCTTGGCCTCCTAAAGTGCTTGGATTACAGGCATGAGCCACCACACCCGGCCTAAAAACATTTCTGATACTAAATATCTGAGAGACATGCTCAAACTTGTGACCAAAAGCAATCAACGCAAAGGGACAATTTTTAAAAACCAGAAAATCTGCTTTAAGACTCCTGGTTTAAAACACGAAAAGAAAAATGTCAACTTCCCACTCTAGAAAAAAAATAACAAATGTAATCTGTGTCTGACAGATGGCTAGATATTCACAGATAAAAGTTAACCGAAGCATGCCTACACCCTTACAAATTCCACAGCCGCCCCTGTATGGATTAGCTACTCTTTGGACGACAATGCTTTGTAGCTTGTTTTATACCACTTGATAAAGCAGAAAGAATCAAATAAAGAATGTCTCAATATATTATCTCCTATTTGGAGAAGAAAAGAGAGGAAGAATTATCACAGGCTTCCTTTCTTTACCAGAACTGCCTCAGCAACTATAAAACAATGTTCTTTCTCTTCTATCGACATTATCTCCAAAACACTCCTACTTCCCTCCTCCACTTGAGGGAAAATTTCAGCGCACCAGAACATTATCTTCAAAGGCCTATGTGTTTATGTACATTGGAGATAACGTCAATGCAATGGAACGCTGGCAAAAGATCACAACTCTAAGTTCTCTATGAAATCAAGAGCAATATTTTAAAAGGAATTTAGAAACCAGTAGGGAGAGGAACCTAAGAAAGTCAAAATGGTCACAGCTAATGATCATGCAAAACTAGAAACAATAGTAGCATGAAGAAATACAAGTTGTAATCCCTGGCATTACTGGATAATGAAACAAAGTAGGTATCTAACTTAGAAAAGATCATGCTTCCACTCCTAGGTTTATATATTATAGAAATACATGCACATGTACATTAAGAGATGGATCAAGGAACATTTAAGGAAGCAATTTTGTAACAGGTCCAAACTGGAAAGCCACTCAGATGGCCACCAATAAATAAACTGTGGTATATTCATACGACAGAAAATAAACAGCAAAGAAAATGAGCCTCGGCCGGGCACATGGCTTATGCCTGTAATCGCAGCAATTTGGGAGGCTGAGATGGGAGGATCACTTGAGGCCAGGAGTTTGAGACCAGCCTGGTCAATAGAGTGAGACCCCCATCTCTATTTAAAATTAAAAAAGAAAAGAAAAGAAAATGAGCCAGCACTACATGCAACAATATGAATAGCATTCAATAACATAACACTGTGCAAAGAAGCCGGACACAAAATATAACATTGTCGGCTTCCATTTATATAAAGTTGAAAAACAGGCAAACCTAAACTTTAGTAGATCCCACAGATTCAGGAGCATGGCTCCCTTCGGTGGGGAAGAGAGTGATTAATGCATAGCAGAGGGGAGGAAGGGAACTTCTGGGCTGCTGGCAATGTCCTATTTCTTGACCTGGGTGGTGGCTACACAGGCATCACATTGCGGCAACTTATTAAGCTCTACATTGTTATTTTTGGCACTTTTTTGCATGTGTATCATATTTCAAAAACAAAAACCAGAAAGAAAAAAAAACCCTTTGAGGTTTTGCACATGGAATTCCCTTGGTCTGAAAAAGCTTTCTTCTCCACTGTCTACACAGCACGCTCCCGAACTTCTTTCAAGTCTCTTGCCTTTGG
Source organism: Homo sapiens (assembly GCF_000001405.40). Lineage (NCBI taxonomy): Eukaryota > Metazoa > Chordata > Mammalia > Primates > Hominidae > Homo > Homo sapiens. The sequence goes on from NC_000009.12 coordinate 71,743,557, forward strand.
GGAGCCTGTACTGATTCACTAGGCCAATTGAGAGGCTCCTTCTGTTAATACTCACGCTCCCATTGCACCCTGTAACTGCAGCATGTCTCACTGTATGATCATCATCTATTTAGGTCTCTGTTTATCCACTAGATTAACCATGGGCTCTGAGACAGTGTCCTTTCGTCTAAGCATCCATGGGTATCCAGCACTTAGCATCTCCTAAATATCCCCTACATGAATAAAAGCCATTTCTAAAATGTTACAGACTGTTTTTCTTCACTATTTTTTGTCTTTCTAGCCTGTTCTAGAATTGCTGTAGGTAATACCCCATTCCAACAACCTACTATCAAAGGAAAAAATAGTAACTAGATCATTACGGCATGTCGGTTTTGAGGTACTCTTACTTTTTCCACCACAGATATTCCCTGACTTTACTAAAAGCATTCAGCAGAATTAAAAGCTTCTGTCTTTTAAATGAAATGTTAGGTCGGCTACTTCCCCTAGACTCAGAACTGCGTTAGGAAATCACAGTTAATTAGAATATGGCACAAGAAGGCTGGGTGTGGTGGTTCATGCCTATGAAGCCGATGTTTTGGGAGGGTGAGGCAGGAGGATCACTTGAGCACAGAAGTTTAGACCAGCCTGGGCAACAAAGTGAGACCCCCTCAACTACAAAAAGTTTAAAAATTAGACAGGTGTGGTAGCAACTGTTTGTAGTCTCAGCTACTTGGGAGGCTGAGGTGGAAGTATCACTGGAGCCTGGGAGGTTGAGGCTGCAGTGAGATACGATTGTACCACTGCACTCCAGCTCGGGCAACGGGGCAAGACCCTGTCACTAAAAATAAAAATAAAAGGAATAGGGTACAAGAACCATAAATAGCAGAAATGAATTCTACTATCTGGATGAATTTCCTAGCCCTTTAACTTTTTCCTTCCTCATATATGCCAGGGGTCCATAGACCTGTGCCAATCAAACATGCAGATTCCAATCAGCCTGCAAAGGAGTCCGAAAAAAGAAAAAGAAAAAGAAAAACTGCATATTCTACCCCCTCAGCCTTTTAAGACAGGTTTAGAACTTAGCATGAAATTCTGCCCTAACCTTTAAACTCATTAAGTTGCCTCAATTAGCCTGAGTTTCATATGATCTTCAGAAGGTAACGAAAGGAAGAAGTATCTTCAGAGGCAAATTGTCCTTAAACTGCCTGACTGTTTTTCAGTACCACACTTCTGCTCTCAACTTTTCACAAGTCTGGCACTCCAGTTCACAAAGGGCTTTGTAAACCAAAGCCAATGAAAATAGCTTTTGTATGTGGTGTCCTATCCTCCAGCCCCATGTCTCAAAGCTACCAGACATGCAAATGGTAGAGTGGCCCTTCTGATGCCTGAGTCATGCTGTGGCTGTGGCTCCTTTCCCCACCCTCACTCTCCTCTCACACAGACACGGACTCTGATAGGGATCTGGGAAGAAGGTATGCCTACCTGTAGCCCAGTCCTTGGATCAGTTCACTTCCCAACCGTTCCTGGATCATCTGGATGGTTCCTTGTAAGAGACTTTTAGCGGCTGAATCCCCGACAGCTATGGCAACAATCCGACCTGGATCCTGGAATCTCAGAAACTCCTGAAGCCGCCTGCTCTCATTGCGGTATTCATGGGTATCAAATCTCTCACTTTCCAAAATTTTGGCCGTGTCTTGGTCAATGACCCTCACATTGAGGCCCCGGGAAAAGTCCTTTTCAAAGGTATAGGACCCAAAGGGCAAGCCTGAGGAATTCAGGGTCCTTGCCAACAACGTCCACGATGCCTTCCGTGCCCCATGTAACTCCAGTGTCCCGCCAGCTTCCACACCAATAAACTTTTTGCCAAATGTTGGCATACTTTCACCTTCATCTGACTTGCCATACAAGGTAATTGTCGCTTTGGATTTATAGCGGCATTTTTCTGCTCCAATATGAAGCGCCCCACCATCCTGGATCAGGATGTAATGAGTCCTCAAAGTAATATTTCTGGATCCATCTTTATTGTCCCCAAATACAAGCAGTCCTGCAGGGAACACCACCCTGTAAGCCAACTTCTAAATCATCTTTCTGAGATACAAGGAAATAGATTTCACCTTAAGTTAAATACACTTCCGCAATTAGGTCGGAAAAAAGAATTCGCTAAGAATCTGCTTAGAAAACTAAAGGGAAAAATGAAGAGTTCATATCTTAATATACTCTCAATGCCCATGACTGTGAATTTCAACCTACTCACTTTAGAGGTTAAATCATTTCTCTTAAAAATATCTAAGAGTCTACAAATCTGAATCTTATTTTTGTATATGTTTACTCATGTTAACTCTCAGAATTGTGACAAAATCACTCTCAGAATTGTGACAAAAATTTAGCTCTGAGAGATCACCTCTCTGGAACTGTTTCCTTGTCTATAAATCAGGGGTCTTGATTTGAGTGATACCTAAGGTCTAAGCTCTTAAATTCTATGTTTTTTATCTCTGGATAAATTCTCTGGTTTTATCTCATGATCTTTCCAAATCTCCATGGTTAGAGTGACACCACAAACTAAAGCCTATTCTGCCTAAAAATAGTCTTCTACATAAGGAACATCAAATATCCCCCACATTAAAGAGCAACCTTGCAGTTCCCATAGGCAGGAACCATTACCTACCTCCATCCTGAATGACTATAGAATGCACGGTGGCGTCTGAGGTCAGACGGAGCATATCTCCCTCCTTGATAACAACTTGCTTTGCAGAATCTTGTCCTGGATCCCAATTCCTGAGACGAGGATTTTGATCTGGGCAATTTTCTATAAACACATTGATATTCCATCCAACCCATTAAAATGCAGGAATAATATAGCCGAATCTAAGCACTACCATTATTTACTGCAGATCTGCAAAAAATGTGCTAACATATGTTGATTTCCTGCCATTAGAATGGAAATCCCACGCCTTCCCACCAGCAGAGAACCATCTTACCCTTTAATTTGTCATCACATTTCCATTTTAAAGTTTTACCACAAAACTAAATTGCTAGCATCTAGTTCAGGACAAACTTCACCAAAAAAAAAAAAAAAAAAAAAAAGTTTCCCTGAATCATCTACTCTGGAAATAAACCAATAGTAAGAGGCAAAATTATACATTCTCTTGGGATTCACACTAGAAAGCTGTTTTAGAAAAGAAATGTGTTCACAACATCCTGGTAAATCAAAAATGAAAATTGCTAAATAATACATTGATCAGGTCTTCACAAGTTCCTTCTTGCACACAGTGAATGATGAAGTAAGTACTGATAGCACCTCTCTCCAAGACTGAGAAACATCACTATCTTCAGCCATGTGCACTCTCCCAACAAAATGAAAGAGGCAAGTGGCTAAAGACATAACTTCTCATTTTCAGAGATGAGGAAATTACAGGTTAGAGAAACCAAAGATTACTTAGCAAGCTGAGTGATACGCAAGTTTCCCCTTTTAGAAAATGAGATTATTGACTTGTAGTGTTCCTTTACTGGAATTAGAACTTGCCTCTTGAATAGGTATTATAATAACAAAAATATAACAGTATTTAATTAAAATAGCCATAGCTATTTAATGTATGAAAACTTTAAGGTCCGCCATAATTTTGAAGAGGGGAGAAAAAAAATCACGCCTTCAATTTTGATCAACCTATGGCCAAGTATTTGTGGAGCATCAATTTATCCACTCTGTACCAGATATTTTAAAATTTATAAAGCATAGAATCAGCTCACATTTCCTCAGAGTTTATATGCAAGCTTTGGAGGGAAAAAACACCAAGTATGAAATAATGAAACACTGAACAATATGGTAGTCAGTCGAGGTTCAAAAGACCTCAGGCAAAGGAGGCATGGGGCTGGAGTAACTGAGGCAGCTTCATGAACAGGTGACTTGAGAGCTGGACACCAAAGGATGGGCAGTATTTAAATAAGAGGATCATGAGAACACTAGTAATGCAATTATCCCTTGAGATCCAAGTAGTCCATTTGGTTGTTCAGAATTCCAAGGTGGCTTTATTTAAACTCAGCTAAGGTAAGAATAAGCAAGATATGCTTGAAAAACCATAGGAAGAAATTCCTTTCATTAAGGTGGCAGGTACATGTTTAGGAATAACAAGAGAAAAAGTAGAGAGGTAGGGTGCTACACAAACATATTGTTCTATACAGAAAAAAAAATGATTCCTCATTTTGAACTTGCATAACACTAATGCAAACATCTTCCTGTTTCTGAGCTCTCACAATGCCCTAGGTTTATGCTTTCTCTTATTAACCACAGCTACAATTAGCCTCACCAGTTATATCCTTGGCAATTATTTCATGGAATTAGTTTTTCTCACAGCAGTATCATAACTGTTGATATTTAATGCTTCTGATAAGTCAATGAGTATCACTATTATACTAAAAACAATCTTTAAGCTTTTCTTCCCATCAAAGAAACAAAAAAACTCTTAAATTTGTTTTGCCTTAATAATGAGGATTCCTTAACTTTTCTACCTCCCTCTTCCCATACAACATCTAGCTGAAATTCTCCATAGTTTTATAACAAGCACTGTACCCAGCTATAAAGAAGGAAATCCAGTCTTTTGAGATCTGGAGCCTACTTCAATGATTATATAATTTCTCTTAATTGTTTTTAATTATTTCCCAGGAGAGCATGGTTCATTAGAACCATCACCAAAAATTCCAGTCTGTTTCCTTCCAGTAAAATGCACTTAATGAGAAAATGTGTAGTCTGTACAAAGCACTGAAAAGTAGCTCAGCCAACCCCACCTTCCCAGCTACCCACTTGAAGAGCAGTGAGTATATTATCAAAGTTATGTAACAGCAATAACCACAGTCAAGCTGACCCTGAAATATTTCAGCATACCAGATCTTTCCACTGATGATCTGCACTTTACACTGCCAAAATGTGAAACTAAAGAATGTTGGTTCAAGGAACCATATCAGCAATGCCCTGTTTTAGATGGAATATGAAAACACCAATCAAAGCCATAGACTTCAGCTCTGATTTCCCACTGGTCTAGCATCCCTTTACTGCAGAAGAGTTGGGAAGTATGAATCAGCACAGTGAACTTGGTTATTATGAATCAGCACAGAGAACTTGGTTATTCTGCTGGGAAAAGGAGAGAGGAAGTCATACCGCATGCAATGGAAATCAATGTTATAAGTTCATAATGTGGTCTACTTGTTTGGTCCATAAGGATATTAATGTGCATGTCTCTCTCATTTGAGGTTTATTTTCTTAGAAGTACTAGCACTACCTCTCCCAGAACCTTAAAATTTTAAAAATCCCTTGAAAGCACCCAAGAAAACTAAATAATAAAGTATTTGTAAGTCTTATAAGTAGTAAAATGCCTCTGAACTGTTACAGCCACTTAAGGAAGCATTTAACTTGACAAAAATCTGTTGTAGACAAATATGGTACCCAGTCCAGGCTGTTAGAGTCTTCTCTCTTCACAGCCCCGAGTCCTTTGATTTTAGACAGATGGATGGTATTCTTTTATGAGGCAATTCTTTGTTGGTATTCCAATAAGGCTGACTTGCAACCATCTTCTTCAAAACTTTTCAAAATATTGATATATCATTAACTTGAAAAGAAAATACCATTTAAGAAATTAAAATCTCCCTGCATAATATTTAACTATGAAGTAATGACTGATTTTTAGACAAAGGTGTCAGAACTTATATATCCTAAAGGATGCTTCCCTTCCAGGATATATATTGTTACTCAAAAATATTTGAAACTTTTCCTTTGGAACTGCTTCCCAAGCCCATTTCAAGCCACAAACACAAATATTATTATTTTTAGTCACTTACTTAAACAAAAAAATCTAATATAGTTCACTATACGTATGACTAAAAAAAAAAAAACTTGCGGCCGGGCATGGTGGCTCACACCTGTAATCCCAGCACTTTGGGAGGCCAAGACAGGCAGATCACCTGAGGTCAGGAGTTCGAGACCAGCCTGGCCAACATGGTGAAACCCTGTCTCTACTAAAAATACAAAAATTAGCCAGATGTGGTGGCACTTGCCTGTAGTCCCAGCTACTCAGGAGGCTGAGGCATGAGAATCATTTGAACCCAGGGGGCGGAGGTTACAGTGAGCCAAGAACACACCACTGCACTCCAGCCAGGACAACAGAGCAAGACTGCCTCAAAAAAAGAAAAAAAGAAAAAAAAAATTGCAGCAGTCCAAAAATCATACCTACCATAAGAATTTAGTGAAGGCCCTCAAAGCATTTCCAAAAGAGGTACTCCAAGACCTCCCTGAGTGCTGCAACAAAGTGGCACAATGGACAGGAAGAGCAACCATTTAATCATTTCCAACAGATTATTGAACAATTGCTCTCATTCATAAGAAGTGACACCTCGTATTACCTAACTACATATTAGTTAGCTAGGGCCAACTTAAGATAAATTTTTTTTTAAGTATTCTACTATTTCCTCCTCTTTTGTCTTCTAGAATATGTTCTATGTGCATATACACACACTTACCATCTGGAGCATATTTTGAGGATATTCCTAAAATGATTGCAAGTGCAATAAAAAATGAGAAACTAGTAATAGCAAAACAAATGAAAGTATTTTTGTGTCTCTTTTGCTTTTGACTTTCTCTCTGGGCTTGCTGTTCTTCAGGTGAGAATGCGAAGGTTGCCCGGTCTTCTCGTCTGATGGAGGTAAATTTGGCTGAAGCTTGACTCTTTGGAGGAGGAGGGGGACGCAATGGGACAACCTTCCCTGGAACATAGCCAGATGGGTGACGACTATTTCCATTCTGAGGTTGGAGGAAAGCAGGGGAGTGTCCCCTGGAATCAGTGGCATACATGATACACTGTTACTGTGAAAAGAAAAAAAAATTAAGCTTCAGTATGTGTAAATTCTTTTTTAATTTCTTTTATTTATTTATTTATGAGATGGAGTTTCACTCTTGTTGCCCACACTGGAGTGCAATGGCATGATCTCGGCTCACCGCCACCTCTGCCTCCCAGGTTCAAGTGATTCTCCTGCCTCAGCCTCCCGAGTAGCTGGGATTAGAGGCATGCACCACCACGCCCAGCTAATTTTTTTTTTTTTTTTTAAGTAGAGACAATGTTTCTCCATGTAGGTTAGGCTGGTCTCGAACTCCCAACCTCAGGTGATCCACCCACCTCAGCCTCCCAAAGTGCTGGGATTACAGGTGTGAGCCACCGCAACTCGCCTTTAATTTCTATTTTTTAGAGACAGGGTCTCACTCTGTTGCCCAGACTGAAGTGCAGTGGCATGATCATAGATCACTACAGTCTCGCACTCCTGGGCTCAAGCAATCCTCCTGCCTGAGCCTCCCGGGTAGCCAGGACTACAGGTACATCCCACGATGATTGGCTAATTTTTAAATTTTTTGTAGAGATGGGATCCTGCTATATTGCCTAGGCTGGTCTCAAACTCCGGAGCTCAAGTGATTCTTCCACCTCAGCCTTGCAAAGTGCTGGGATTACAGGCGTGAGCCCCAGTATCCAGCTGGAATGTATGAATCATAAATGGTTTTTTTAAAGTACTTTTTAAATTGTGTTAAATATACCATAAACTTACATTTTAACTATGTTAAGCGTACAATTCAATGGCATTACGTACATTCACAAAGTTGTGTGACCATCACCACTATCCATTTTCAGAACTTTTTCATCATCCCAAACAAAAACTCTATATCCATTAAGTAACTCTCCATTTTTCCCAGCCCCTGGTAACCATCATAATGACTTCTTGAAAATATCAAGTCAGCTTACATCCCTGATCTAATAAACCATGTTGACAATCACCTTCATTACTTGTGTTCTAATGTCACTCCTTCTCAACCCTGGCTGCATAGTGTAATCACCCGCTAAGGTGAATGCTCAGGGCACCACGGCTAAACAATTCAATCAGGATTGCTGTCCCTGGGATCTAAGTATTTGCAGCTTTTAAATGCTCCCCAAGTGATTCTCATGAACATCTAGGTGAGAGCCGCTGTTCTATGCCAACTGTTCTCAATTTTCACTGTGCCTAAGAATCATCAGAGAAGCTTGCTAAAAACCTAGATTCCTGGCCTCTTTGCCCTATAATTCTGGCTCAGCTGGTGCAAACAGGGCCCTGGATTTTACATTTTAAAAAAATATATCTTGGCAGGTCACACTTTGAGTATCATTATTCTAAGCTCTTCAAATTGAAGCTAAAAGTCCATGTGTCATGAGGACCCAAAGTTGCCCTAAAAGTTCCAATAGCTAGGCACTCAAGTTTGGGTGTTTTAATTTCCCCACTAGACTTATCTAGTGATTAAGCAATTTAAGTATTACTATCTGTGTTATCACTTAACGATATAGATTGTGAATTCATTTAGTGAGAAAGTCTAAAGTCTATCTTATCTCTTTAAATCCTTAAATTTTGTTTGAAAAAACAGACAAATATTATGGTTAAGATTATAAAAATAGCTAACACAATTAGTGCCTTATGTGTATTAATTCATTTAATATATTTAATACAACAAATCTATAAGGTAGATGCCATTACCTCCATTTTACACATGAGAGAAACTGAGGCCCAGGGAGGTTAATTAACTTCCCCAAAGATCACACAGTTAATATAGAGGAGAACCAGGACTTAAACCTAGGTATTTTTACTCTAAAGTTCAGGCTTTTAACTTACACCACTGTGTCTTTCCAAACAATCGAGAGGCAAAGAATGAGCTTTGCAAGGGTGCTAAGTCTAAAAGGCCTATTAATCTCAGGAATTCTTCATAAGGAAGTTTAAACTATACATGCTTCATTTTTAACAGAAGCTTACACACAAAAACAAGGAAGTCCTTTTTAATTTTTTACGTTCTCTATAAAGAGCAATTATAAGTTTTTGAATTAAAGAATAAGTTTTGAATGAAACCTTACTTTGTTAATTTGCCAAGAGGAAGGAAGGAAGGAAGGAAGGGGGAGGGAAGGAGGGAGGAAGGGGAAAGGGAAGGGGAAGTGGAAGAGTTCTTATTGCAATGACTGGGGATAAATGTATGGTGTGCCCTATGGCTTCAGAAACATGGTGTTTAACCTCTTACATCCCTTCCTTAACAACTGGAGCATCTCAGAGTCACCTGACTTCATTCAATACCCTTACAATTAATCCCCTTCATCTTCTGCCAAACAGTGAATAAGATTCTAGTCATAAAGGTACTTCCAAATTGCTCTAAACTATCAGCAAACCCATTAAACACAAAATGGTCATTAGAGAAGCCACAAACAAGCAATTCCCAGGACCCAAACGACCTGGAAATTAATGGGGGCAGAAAGAGAATCTAATCAGGAATTGATGCTGATTTTACATGGGGCAAAGAACATTCTCAGAGTCAGTGTTTCTGTCAAAAACACTTGGTTTGTGGGGTTTGATTTCTGAACAAAAGTAATTATTTAGATGAAGCTCAAGCTTCATGACAAAAGAAAAACACCACCATTCAAGGTGCTATTGAAGAACTGCTGCATGTGCCAAGCAGCAGACAAAAATAATGGAGACATTCTGCTGGAACAAATGAAAGAGTACAATAAAGACCCCGTTATGATCCTCTCTGAACAAAGAAAGGGCTAACGTAGGTATTCTTGAGTGTCAGCTCACCAGGGTGGGAGGGGAATCACAGCCCTAATCTGCTCTGAAAGGGAGTGGGAATCTTTTGTTTCTGAGGCTGCAATCATCTGATACCTTATTGTTTCAGGGTGAGAGATATTACTAACAGGCTGGTGGGGGCGGGGGTCTTTGGTGGGAGATAATGGGTCTCCAGATGTGCCCACAATAAAATAAAAGGCATGAGAGGCTAAATGAAGTCACCAGCCTACTGGGAATAATTTGTGTCTTCATGGTCAAAAAATGGATCCCAACATGAAAATTCAGATGGCATCTGTCACAAACTAAAGGGGTCAATAAATCAAAAATAAGCATGGTCGTGTTTTTCCTATAAAGTTCCTGCAAAACATGTATGTAAATGTGTATACACATGTTCTGAATCCATTACCTCTACTTTATTGAAAAATATGTAAATGTATAAGCAGCAAATACAAGATTCTTTTCATAAGAGGTAATATAGTGTTGCACCATGTATTAGAATAAAATAACCAAAAAAATCATATTTTAAACAGATAGCTTCCTCAATTTATTCAATTTTTTAAAAATATAAGATACATTGCTTCAGGATTTCACTTTATGTTTGTGGATTTACTTCAGGCACAATATTATGTATTAATTACTTAAAAATATATTTTATTGATAATTATAGATCTAAATTATTCGTGAAAAAATCAACATTTCATTCATTCAGTAAGCTAATTGTGAGCTCTTGCTATCGTTAGAGGATTGTGGTAGGAACTATGGGGTATACAGAAAAAAGATTTACAGCATCCCCAAGAAATGCAATTCCTAAATTCAATTTTAAATCACTTGTTTTGACCACATGTTCTCACTCATAGGTGGGAATTGAACAATGAGATCACTTGGACACAGGGCAGGGAACATCACACACTGGGCCTGTTGAGGGGTGGAGGGCTGGGAGAGGGATAGCATTAGGAGAAATACCTAAAGTAAATGACGAGTTGATGGGTGCAGCAAACCAACATAGCACACGTATACCTATGTAACAAACCTGCACGTTGTACACATGTACCCTAGAACTTAAAGTATAATAATAAAAAAAAGATTTTTTAAAGAAAATAAAATAAATCACTTGTTTGGAAGGCAAGTGAAATTGACCAAGTTTCCCAGGCAATCTCAACAATGGCTGTTTAATCCCTAAAGTTGTTAGTACTTGTGTTTGGGGTCCTGAGAACAAAAGAGGAGTCTACTAGGGAAAAGACAATGTAGTCCTCTCTGGCTTTCAAGGCAAACTTAAGCACCATTTTAATAATTTCGCTACAGACCAGTATTTCACTTTAATACTCAGTTTGTATCACATGTTATTTTTTTTAAATGGTCGTATTTCTAGTGGAAAACACATGCTATGAAGAAGGAGCATATGAGTATTTTATGACACATTTTTAGACAAACTACAGACTGTGACAACACCTAAAATAAGACAGATAATCCAAAATGGGGATAATCTAAGTCATTCATATTAAAATTGGCAATGTACTCTACAAAGCTTTTAAAACATAATTTTTGGTATTTAGATATTCCTTGAGAGAGTCGTTTTGTGAGTATTTATTTACTGGATTATAAAAAGTAGTAGCCCAAAAGGCTTGGTTATGAATCAAGCAAGCAAGTAAGCAAAGCAATTAGAAAATTGCACAGGCAATTTAGGCAGTATTAAATTAAATAATAAAGAAGTGACTCAGACTACGAAAACATATCTACTTAAAATATACAAATGCTGTTAAAAAAAAATACAAATGCTGGAAAAACATAAGCATTCCAAAAAGTAGCTAGTGCTTTTGTCTAATTCTCAGTTGCCCCCACAAAAAGATACCTTAAAAACTCACTGTTATTTTAAATTAAATTCTTCTCTTGGGAAAAAAAACTGGTGTATTACCTCAAAAGCAGTTCAAAGTGAGAGAGACTTGTATAATTGGTAAGAGCATCCACTTTATTTGGTAATAAATTACAGTAACTAAACATAGAAAGCAATTATTTTGAGATTTCAATAACATTAAAGGAAATCATGCTTTTTTTTTTTTTTTTTTACCTATAAAAAGAGGCATGATTTTGGCCAAGCAAGGTGGCTCACACCTGTAATCTCAGTGCTTTGGGGGGTCAATATGGGAGGATTGCTTGAGGCCAGGAATTCAAGACCAGCCTGGGAACCTAGTGAGACACCCTGTCTCTACACACACACACACACACACACACACACACACACAAAATTAAATCAGCTGGTTGTGGTGGTTCCATGCCTGTAGCCCTAGCTACTCCGGAGGCGGAGGCAGTGAGGCAGGAGGATTGCATGAGACCAGTAGTTCAAGGTTGCAGTGAGCCATGAATGAACCACTGCAGCCCAGCTTGGGTGACAGAGTAAGACTCTCTAAAAAAATAAAAAATAAAATTAAATAAATAAAGGAGAGGCATGATTTTAATAAAATTGAGCTATTCTCATTTAATGCTTTCAAACACCACACTATCTCATCCATGAACCCTTCTCAAGTTTCCATAAATTAGCAGGGCACAATGGCTCACACTTGTAATCCCAGCACTTTGAGAGGCTGAGGCAGGAGGATCGCTTGAGCTCAGGAGTTCGAGACTAGCCTGGGCAACATAGTGAGTGAGACCTTATCTCTATTAAAAACCAAAAAAATTAACTGGGCATGGTGGCATGTGCCTTTAGTCCTAGCTACTCACTAGACTGAGGCATGAGGATCACTTGAGCCTGGGAGGTGAAGGCTGCAACAAACTGACTGCACCACTGTACTCCAACCTGGGTGACAGAGCATGACTCTGTCTCACAAAAAAAAAAAAAAAAAAAAAAAAAAAAACCTCTTACAGGATCATCTTACTTTTTGCCTTATGTTTCAGTTAATTTATGTACTTGTCCATCTGCAGCAGACCACAAGCCTCTTGAGACCAGGAGTGATTGGTATTCTCGCAAAAGCTTACATACAACATACAGTAGATACTCAACAAATGATTGTTGAATTTAGATCACAAATTCCTGCCAAGGAATTAAGCAAAAATGCTAGATAGATAGATAGATAGATAGGCTATATATATATGTATATAGGTGTATATATATATATATATATGTATATATACACACGTATATGTATATACCTATATATATATACCTAGCATATATATATGTGCGTGTGTATGTGTGTGTGTATATATATATGTATATACATACATGTAGTTATTGAGGAGGAAACAAATAGTTGAAAAAATTAAGTCCACTTTCATTCAGAAATCAATTTGATTTTGTCTAAGCATACTCCCAAAGAATCTCTTCAACTACAGATTCCTCTCTCTCTCTCTCTCTCTCTCTCTCTCTCTCTCACACACACACACACACACACACACACAAACACACACACAAGAGAAAGAGAGACAGAGAGAGAGAAATTTCCTATTTAATCCTTCTTTGACATCCTTGAGGCTCTGGGCAATTTGACTAATTTCTATATCAGTTTCTCTGATTCAGGAGAAAATTGAGAACAATACTACTTAAAGCAAAAAAAGTCTATGTGTTAATTCTTATAAAATGCAATTCTAGTATGAAAACTAATAGGTGACTAAAAGGTATTATTAACAACTGCAGGAAGGAATTCTAAAGATAAAGAGCAGCAAACTACCTAGATAAATTCAACCTTTCACAATATTTTGTAATAGTTTTAACTACACATTATGAAATGCAGTAGGCACACAGAAAAAAAGAAACATTCCACTCCACTTTATTTTGTTATGTTGACAGCCATTCAATGCTGTGATCAAAGAGAAAGGCTTCTCAACACAGAGAAAGCGGCAGCAGTTCAAAACTAGTAGGAGCTCTTTAAAAGGGATTTTAGTGTTCTTTCAGCTGCTGAGATGTTAATATGCAAGACAAAGGTACTTATCACTTACATGGTGGTTGAGGACACTTGCCCCCTAGGCTATATCATCAGTCCCCCAAATAATCTAGCCCTTCCAACCCAATGCAGAGAAGGTGCCACAGCCACACAGTCCAAGAAATGCATATTGGCCCCATCATCCCCTCATATTGAACAACTAATGAAAATACAATACTTTTGATTCATTTAAGCTCTCTCAAATCACGCCTAGGCTTTTTAAGAAAACTAATTTTTGAATGGAAGATTCAGGCTTGTGGGAAGAGCCAAGAAGTTGGCACGATCTAATCAGGTCAGTTCTTTTTTGATCAAGGACATAATTTTTTAAACAATACTCAACCTAAGGGTCAAGTTACAATTTTTGCTTTCGGAGAGTTTCAGTACAACTGGCCAAAATTTGGCTAAGAACATTTTTTCTTTTATTACGATCTTAGAAGATCTAACACATTCACTAGTATGCCCAAAAAGTAAAAACATGCAGCAAAAAGTAAAAAGAGGAGTGAGCATGAATTATCATGAAAACAGATGATACTATAATTATTTGTACTTTTGACCTAATAAAATATTTAACCAGATTCTAACTGCCTTGAATTTTCAATTAATAATTCCACATTCCCAACCTCCTACTTTCAGGAGAAGAACACAACAAAGAATAACCATCAGGGATCACCATTTAGATCTTCTGGTTTGGTTTGGTTTGGTTTGGTTTGAGGGGAAGCAGGGTTAGGGCGTTTCATTTAGTTTTGTTTTAGATTCAGATTATGTCCATTGACAAACAGTGAACTCAACAAATACCCTGTACATAAAAAAGTGTTCAATTAGAAAATAACCTTAGCAAAGCAGACTTTTTAGGTCCTCTAATTCCGCAAGTTTCAAATAAATAATTAAGTGTGACCAATACTCTCAAGAAGATTATGTACTTAAATAACTATTATAAAGGTTTTCAAAGAGTTTGGGTAGGGAGGAATCTTTCTATACGTAGTTTAGCAGAATATAATGTATCACCTATTCTATTCCCAGAGCACACAGGATAATATACATTTTTTAAAAAAACAACCACTGCAAAGAATTCAACATAAATGCTAGGTCTATACATACAGCTATTTATGAGAAAACGGACATATGGTTGAAACAATTAAGTCAACTTTCATTCAGAGATCTGCTCGATTGTGTATTAGCATACTCTCAAAGAATTGAAAACCCTTAGACCTCTAAACAGGTGTGGGGCCAAGGACCTTGGCCACCTGAAGGTTCACTGAAAAATCAACTCACAAAAGCCAGATCAACAGGGGAAAAGACACAAAACTTTATCTAATGTGTTATACACAGGAGACTTCAGAATGAAAACCCAACCCCCTGGTGGGGTACAGAAGTGTGTAAATACCTTCTAGAAATTGGAGAAAGAATGCAGGCTCAGAGCATGGCCGAAAACAGGTTACAGTAGTAAATCAGGTTTTAGCTGTAAGACAGGTTATGTAAGGAGGCTTGGCAAGCAAAGGTGGTCTTGTTATGTAGATGAACCGAACCTCACAGGTAGCACCCCTGAGAGGAGAGACGGCAAATGTCTCTTTCAGATCTGTAAGGAGTCAGACTTAATTAATCCTTCCTAGAACCGGACAAGAGAAAGCCTGGCTGCATTAATGCATATTTTCTATAGATGCAAATTTCCCCCATAAAAGACTGCTTTGCAGGGTGACTTCTGTTTGCTGCTGTTTGCTGACATCTCAAAATATGTCAAAGAAATATATTTGGGGGTAAAATATTTTGATTTCCTAAAATAGAAGATTTTCCACAGGACATGCCTTCACACTGTCCCACAAGGCGCATTCTCCATTATTTCTTTGCCCTTGTCACAGCGCTTTTGTCTTTTTCCTTCAACTCTCAAAAATCAGTATGAGTCACAATCACCTGCAACTGTTTGGCATGTTTCCAAGAAATAAGACACTCTGCACAGTTAGTTTACTTACACAGATCTTTGTTTACTTTTATTAAGCAGATTATAGCCAGGTCAATGTTCAGAGGTAGAAGGGAAATGCACCAACTCTTAATTATAAACCTCTGCCTATGAAGGGAAAGGACAAGGGACTGAGAACCCCTAATTGTTTATATGTCCCTACCTGCTTTATCTATTTGATCGATTTAGACACATATAAGTGATATTCCCAAGTTAAGCTATTGTTATAATAAACATCTGTATGCATCAGACTTCTAGATTCACACCACGTATCACTCAGATTATCTCCTTCCTTAAAGAAAAAAAAAATCTTGCCTGCCCCAAAAACCTATTAAAATATAATACAGCGAAAGTATAAGAAACTGTGGGGGTCATAGGCTTTTGGCTCCCTGAAAGTTCACTAAAATCCCTGCCATGAGGCAGTTTGATTCACAGGAGAAAAGACATATTTAATGTGTAAGCATGGGAGCCTTCAGAAGGAAAACCCAACTTCCCAATGAGGCACAGAAGTTGTATGATATCCTGAGGTTCCAGGGAGAATGAGGGCTTGGATCCTGGTAAAAAAGGTTATGGGAAGGAGAAGAGGAGGAATTCTATTGAGGGAATAAATGATTACTAGGGAGAATGATTGGATGGGGAAACAGAAATTGACTTCTAGATAGTTCTTTTTGGAATTTAAATGATCCGTGGAGGTAGTCTTTATCTTGAATAGGGCTGTTCGGATGTGGTTAGATTTTTGGTCCTTCCTGCAACGGATAATGAAATAAAAGGGAAAGAAGCAGGGATAATTGTTCTCCTTGTTGGGGGGTACGGGGAGGTGGGGGGGGGATGGCAGGGGGTCAGTCCTATCTTTGTAGTAGGGGAAAAGTCTCTCCAGGAACTTTTTGATCTCTAAAGGCTTTTAATTTAAAATACTCATTTTACCAGGGAAGCCATATATTGCGGTGAAGTATTTTTATTTTCTTCAGAATATTTCAAACCTATAGTCCTAAAAAGACTAAATTTACTTAAAAAAAAAAAAAGATACTAAGCTTTGGATTAGAATAAGTATTATTTAAAGTTGAAAGATTTATTTTCCTGCTTAAAAATTTACTTTTGTATTAAGCTATAGTCTTTTTGCTAGAAAACTACTAAAAAACTATAGTTAGGAAATAAATCTCTGGAAAAACAAAAATTAACTATAAATACTAAGAGTTTGCTTAACCTGATAATAACAAAATAAGAAATGCCTATGGTCTGTATTTAAGGAATTCAGATGAGCAACTTAGCCACAGTTTCACTAAAGTGGCCACATCTTCGGCAAATCACATTGGACTCTCCTGTTAAAATATGAATCCCTCAAAACAAAGAGCTGCTATTTATAATGTTTAATGCCAAAAGTGAACCAAGTGAAAACTTCTTAAAGTGAAATAAATGACTTTAAAGAAATATTTAAAATTCATTCCTATGTTTCTGTCATTTATGCAAGGTAAAGGAGGCAGCTGTCTAATTTTTCTGATCCCAAATATACTAATTAATCCTATCTTTTTCCAACGATGTTAAACAAGTCTATGAGAAGTAATGCTTGACCCTAAAGCCAATGAGGCTGATACGGCCAAAAGGTTAAAATGTATTATCATGCCCAAAAAAAGAAAAACATAAAAGGAAAAAACTGCAGACCTACTACAGACCAAGCGGGGAGGAAGGGTAGCAATTAAGAACAGCTAACACTCTCTGAGCAACCAAAAATAAAAATAAAAAGAGAGCAAAGTACATAGGCCTCTAGGTGGAAGTAAAGAACTAGAAGATAAACTGCAGAGAGATAGATTGTTCTTCAACCCAGAAAATTAGAAAAAAGGGAAAAAGGTCGTTGTACCTACCAGTCATTCTCTATTCCCTTCGGTTTCCTTTTTTCCTATTAATATTTCTCATATTTCTTTTTCTCCTTAATTCTTTTTATTGAAAAGCTGTTCTCTTTTCTCCCTTCCTTCCCAGTGATCCTAGACCATCCCCCTTCGCCCTTGTTCTCAACTGGCTGGGAAGATTCAAGAGAGGCTTCCAACCTGCTGGCAGTGACGGATGGCAGTGCAGAGGCACACAATGGCAAGTGCAGGCGCGTCACCAGCCTTGCAGCTGGCCTTCCAAAGAAAGAACCAAAGTCGAAGTCTGTCCTGACAGAGGCTGATTTAATTAAGGTTATAGCAAAGGGCAGAACTGCCTGTGGGCTGCATTCTCTGCAGAGGGCCAAAGACAATGCATTAAAATACTTCTCAGGAAGAAAAAACCAAGAAAGTTATGTTGGCAAAATGTTGAAAGGTGGGAAAAATGAAAAGACAACAGGGATGTGTTTGAAAAACAAGCAAAGACCTGCCAAAGTTCATGATCTAGTGATGTACAGATACCAAAATGCAATGACAATAGGAAACAGAAGGGGTATGTTTTGATGTGCCTTTCACACTAGAAATATTTCAAATGAATAATGAGATGCCCAGACTGAAATAATCCAAGGCTGTTCAATCCAGCATCATAGTAAAGTTTCTATCAATGGCAGGGCCAGGACCAGAACCCAAGTTGACTATTTCTTTCAACTGTAACACATAGCCTATTTTTAATATAACTTAAACCACTTGGAATAAAGCCTTTTCAAACAGGGCACAAGGTCAGCTTTGAGCATCTCTTATGAGAAAAGGGTTCTGCTAGACACTGGAGACCCAATAGTACAAAAAATAAACATGGTTCCTACATTCAAGAAGCTCACAGCCCAGCATTTGGGGGTAGAAAGAGTAGGGAGACAACACAAGTAAACAAGTAATTAAACTGAATGTTGAGGCAAAGAAGGTGGGCTGAGGAGGTGATTGCTTGAGTTTATTAAATCCCTATGAATGGAATAGAGCTTAATTTTCTAAAAGCCCTGGCAAATTTACTCACCCAAATGTGCACCACCAGACGATTACTAATATCTTTCTTATTTTGCATGTGTAAACTAAAGTCTACCACTGAACTCCGCCATTTAAATGACGACACGTTGCCCAATAGTGACTAAAAAGTATGGGAGGGAGGGGAGGGTGACACACTACAGAAGTCTTTCATATTCTTTGAAAGGGTGTCACCTGCAGGTGAGTTCCAGGCCAGAATATAAAACAGTCATAGTCCCTCTCCTCCTAGGCCACGTGAAACCTAAGCCAAACAAAAGGGCCATCTTACACATTCTCAACAGTTTCCTCTATGTTCCTCAAGACTCAAGGGTGCTACAGAGTCAAAAGGCAGAACTTCTAATGAACAAGTAATTACTCAGCACTAGAGTGGCAGCTGGACTTCACTTAGCCGAATAGGGATACACTGTGGCTAGGAAGAGGTGAACAATGATGTGCACCTGTAGTCCCATCCACTTAGAGGCCGAGGCAGTTGGATGGCTTGAGCCCAGGAGTTCAAGACTATAGTGTGCTAGGACTACTATAGAGCCACTGCACTCCAGCCTGGGTAACCTAACAAGACCCCATGCCAGCCCCGTCACCAAAAAAAAAAAAAAAAAAAAAAACTGGCTAGCAGCAGCATAACAGGCAAACAGGGGCTACGTGACAAGCCCAAGTGCTGCAAGCACTAACAGGAGGCAAGAAAAAACACTTGAAGATTAAAGCCAACCTCAGACTCAGCCAAGCCCTGCTCAAGCATATTTTTCAAATCCTCATATAAAGTTGATTTTATAGTGGTGGCACTGGTGGCATTAAAAAGCAATGTTAGTATGGGTGCAGTGGCTCACGCCTGTAATCCCACCACTTTAGGAGACTGAGGTGGGAGGATCACTTGAGGCCAGGAGTTCAAGACCACCCTGGGCAACATGGTGAAACCCTATCTCTACAAAAAAATATAAAGATTAGCTGGGCATGGTGGTGCATGCCTGTACTCCCAGCTACTCAGAAGGCTGAGATGTGGAAAGATAGCTTGAGCCCAGGAGGTGGAGGCTGCAGTGAGCTGTGATCATACCAATGCACTCCATCCTGGGTGACAGAGTGAGACTCCTGTCTCAAAAAAATATATTTTTTTAATGTTATGTTTTTTCAAACCACAACTTAAAAAAAAAAAAAAGAAAACCTCAAGAACTCATTTTTCTAATTCCTCCTGAAACAGGAATCAGGCATATGTCCCTGTGTTAAGCTAAATCTTTCCCATTCCTAAAATGTTAATAATTAACTTTCCAAACTTCATTGTATGTGAAAAAATGATTCATTCTTCAGGGAAGTGAATCACCATTACAGAGACCATTAAGACAACAGAAGGCTTGCTGTCTCCAAAGTGCACACCAATAATTAAGTAAGAGCCCCCAAATCGATAACAATTTCACACTGGAGGGGGACTTAATCTGACCTGACCACGATATCAAATTTATAGTGGATATTCATATGTTTTAAGATACTTACATGAAACTCAGTCAGAGGTCAATTCTTTTCTCATGGGCTCAATGTGGATTGTCTTAAATTTCAACTCTTTCAGGCAACAACATCCTAATGACACTTCTAACCAGTGGTAAAGCCTTATTAAAAAATATGAGGATTAAGAATGCCACAATCTCTACCAGGCAAACTTTTCACATAAAATTCTTATCAAATATTGAACTTTTACTTATTGTTCAAACTACAATGGACCCTTGATACAACAAATGTAAAAAGGTTTATCACTTTTCACCGTGTAAAGAAAATAAATGTCTTGTTACAAATCTGGTTACTAGGTTACCCTAATATTAACAATTTCAAAGCAGATTTGCCTTATAGATCAAAGGACTGATTTGTTGGGAGATAGCAATTCTGTGTTTTAAGACATACAGTTTATGAGTCTTTCACTTTTTTTAAAGACATTTTAATAAAAACCCTATGCTTAATTTATCTCTGTATTGCTCACAGCAACCAGTACAGTGCCTTGCACATCCTAGGAATGCAATAAAATAGTTGCTGAACATAGTTCCTGACAACCAATATTAAAGGCTTCCCAAAGCAAGTACCAGGAAAACAAAAGAACAAGCAAACATGACCTACAGCCATAAGTTTTGAAGAAGAAAAAAAAGAACATGCAAACATATTCTAGTATGCTTTTATTCTATGATTCACAAGCCAAATCTGAACAGGGTTTCCAGGAACTTGCTTCTTCTAAAAAATGTGCACATCTACAGTACTTTAAATTTCCATCCTGTTTATAGAAAATACAAGTAAAGCTAATGCTATTTTTACACTTAGTTCCTTATTTCCCAGAAATTTGTTACAAGTAACATCACCCCACCATCATGTGTAAGTAGTAGGCAATGAAAAAATATACATAGTGTCTGCCTTAAACCTGAAAGCAGTGACTTTCAAAGCCCAAATACAAATTATCTGATCATTAAACTAATTAAATTGCTAACAAAGCCAAACAGGAATAAAATAAGAATATATCTGAGAAAGAAAAAAAAAAAAGTGCTGACTGGAAACAGGGACAAAGGAGTTCTTGTCCCTGCTTGGCTATTAATTTACTATATGACCTTACCTAATTATTTAGCCTCTCTGGGTCCCAACTTCCTTGTTTTAATATTATCTTTGAGGTCCCTTCAAGCGACATGCTAAGATTCAGCATATGTAGCAGTGTCTAGAAAACTGATTTACATTCATTACCCCCCTCCCCACCGCACCCCTGGCAAAAGGGCACAGTTCACTTGATAGTTTTAAATATCTGAGTTTGGATTTCTATCAAAGGCAATTTATTAAAATGTCAGATGGGCTTAAGTCCATTTCAAGTGGAGAACTAAAGCGAGTATTGCTAACAGATTCGCCTAGACAGCAGCTGCTGCTATTGAGAGAATAGACTTTAACAATCTAGATGAAAATTATACCTCTTTACAAATGGAGAAAACTAGTAATGGGGATTTTCATACTCTCAAAAAGGCAGATGCATAGCTTTTCTTCCTTTTTTTTTTTTTCCTTTTCCATATTCATCATATTGAGAGAGAGGAAAACAGAAGGGCTAGCTTGGCTTGGGAGGCAGAGGGGAGAATGGATGTTACCGTACAAAACCAGACAAGACCTTTTCAATTGATGTACTGTACTAGACAGCCCATTCTTCTCACTAATGCTCACAATCCAAGAGAAATGAAAAGATTTCCTGTGGCTGGGATGGGAAGAAGCCTGGACAAGAGAGCAATACCATATGACAGTAACTAGCTTAAAAGTCTAAAGACTTGCTCTCAAGATGGGATTCAGATCATTCTGGAAAGGGCCAATAAAATGAAAATCTGTAGCTGAGACCTGATTAAGCTATGATTTATATCTATTTATAGCTTTAAAAAACTTTTGAAAGTACCTTTTGATACCAGACAGCATTAGCCTGTACAGTACTTTATCATATATTAATACATAGCAAACTTACTCAAATTGAATCCCCAAAACATTCCCATAAAGCATTTTAAAACTCCTTTTTCAGGTGAAGAAACAACGTGAGAAGGATTAGGGGATTTGCCCACAGCAAATGTTTAGCAAGTGCCAAGCCTTGTTTTAAATCCAAGTCTGACTTCAAGTCCTCCAATCTTCACCATTTTAAGATAGTACTTCTGACACTAGTTTTCAGTCCCTACTATTTTGTCTGATTTAACAAATTTTATTTCTCACAAAATTGCTCCCCCACCCCCAACTGTTCCTTCTCTGGCTTCTTAGAGCGTTCTGTGCGTAATTCTCCCAGACATGCACTTATTGGACCTTCTAATTGTTCATTTCCTTATGTCCGGGGCTAGGCTCATTTCTTCAATAGCAGAGATTGTCATCTCTCTAGTTGCAAGTGACACAGGTATCTTCAATCCCTGTGGCCTCCCGGGTTGCAACCACTTCAACTCCTTCTCTTTACCAACATGAATGCTCCACAAAGCAGGTGTTGCAATTGCTTCCAGAGGGTCTGGACCACAATAGGTGATTAATAAGTGCTAGCTGAATGGATGGTGGGTGGGTGAATGATGCAATGCTCATACATATTTTAGAGCACACATCACAATGCACACATTTACATACAGCACTCCATGTGAGTCTAAGACCATGAATTTGGTAGTGATTATTGTTTCTTCTTTTTTTTCTTTTTTTTTTTTTCAGATGGAGTCTCGTTCCCATCACCTAGGTTGGAGTGTAGTGGCACGATCTCGGCTCACTGCAACCTCCACCTCCCAGGTGCAAGCGATTCTCCTTCCTCAGCCTCCCGAGTAGCTGGGATTACAGGCGTGCACCACCACACCTGGCTAATTTTTTTTTGTATTTTTAGTAGAGATAGGGTTTTACCATGTTGGCCAGGCTGGTCTCAAACTCCCGACCTCAGGTGATCCACCTGCCTCGGCCTCCCAAAGTGCTGGGATTACAGGCGTGAGCCAATTGTGCCCGGCCTAAGTTTCCTCTTTCTAAAATGTGGCTTGTCTTTCTCAATTTCAGAAACTTGCCCAAAGCATGTAGCTCTAAGCAGTACCCTGTCAACTTCAAGATAATGGCCCACAAGACTACATTACCCTCCAGCTTGTCTTTTCTTGATAGCTGTTTGAGGACAGCATTGATTAGGCCTATTAGAACATGACTGAAGTGTTGCCCCATTCTGGTTTCCTGTTATGAATCTGACATTTCTGAAAAGTCACTGGTTACAGACTAGATCAAGGAAGGAGACTACTCAAATAATTAACTGTGACACAGAATATCCAGATAAACACCATGTAAGAATTTACAGATTCTATTTCCCTGTCCACACACAGGAGAGTCCTCAGCTCACTATCTCATTCACAGGTTAATAAGAACAGGTGATGACTCAGAATTCGCTTCTAATCTTAGTTTTCTGAGCCTTTAAGCACACATACATCAGAAAAAAACAGCGTCAGGAGGACTGAACAGAAAGCCAGAAGACAGATTTCCAGTTCCGCCCAAACTGATCCTCTAATGCAGGTACACAGAAGCTGGGGGAAGTCATTTCGGTGTGAAGAGAAAAGCACTCTAAAGTGCTACCCAATGTTTACTAAGCAGAGGACATGCCTACTACACATTCTTCTGCTTTGCCCAGAAATGCAAACTAAAAAGAACCCTTTGTATAGGTAATCAGACCCACAACCACAGTATGATACCCAGACCAATTCTGAAAAGAACAAGCGTCCTTCAAGGGTCAAATAAGCATTAGTAGCTCCATTCTAGCCAACCAAAGAAAGATAAGGCTAACCATTTTAAAGGTGTTTTTTTAACACTGAGCCATTTCCAACAGATTTGCCTGGCTGCTCTGGGGAGTCAGGCCTCCCTCAGCTCAGGTGAAGCCTCTACCCTTTCCCCTCTCTCTAAATTCTTCTCACTTTTTACCGGGAAGAGCAGCACATCTCAATACATGCAACTGTGCAGCAGCGCATCACTCTGTCACACTGAATCAAGGGGAGTGAACTCAAGGCAGTGAGTAGCTCATGTGCACAATGAAAGTTTTAAAAATTATTAGGCAGTCTATCCTTAATCCCAACTGCTGATAAAAGGAGATATATATCAAAGTCTGTTTTCCTAACCTGCGGAGAATTCAAGTGAGCTGTTTCCGCTCCAGGTCGAAGTCTGGTGACACTCATCAACCCTCAGCAGAGAGCATCCAGGGAATTCAGGACCTTGGTTTTATCGCTAAGGGTGTAGCCACTAGTGCTATTAACAGCAGCACTCTGGGTCCTCACAGAGAGGGCCCCCCTCCTTTACCAGGATCTCCCAACTCTGCAGAGAAAAGCTGGGAATAGGGTCCAGGGCTAAGGCTATTCCCCAGATTTAAAGGAAGCTGTACACGATTTTAAAGCCTCACCTTACCTCAGCTAACAGAGAGGCAGGGGGCGGAGGGCGGAGGACCCACCAACCCAGGGGAATTGTAAGGAGACAAAGATGACCCCAAACGCACAAGCGCGCGCGCACTGAAGCCCGGACTGCAAAGCACATTCCATCAACCTTTCACTGTAATCGGCTTACTGTGGGGTTTATCCCCTCACCCCATCCCTCTCCAGAAAGTTTAAGGCTGTTCGCACCGACTTTGAAAGGTCCATTGTTCCCTTCCCCGTAAACGTAATGAAAAGAGAGAGTGGAGAGAAAGAAATCAAGACACCGTTCCCGAGGACCCTTTCTTAAGAAGAGAGGACTGACTCCTGGGGAGTCGGGTCAGTCCCAATCCAGAGATGAAACCGGGAAAGGAGGCGCACGGGGGAAGGGCGGGAGGACGTTTTCCTTTTCGGCAGAAATGCCCAACGCCGGAGCCGGCCAGGCCGCCGGGAGCAGAAAAGGTGGGCGAGACCCGGGTCTGCGTCCCCGCAGTGGCCCCCGAGGGCAGCAAACGAGGTGGAGCGGGGTGGGGGGGCGGGTGACCGAGTCGCTTCTTACCTTCCCCTACCCCGCTTAGCGTCCGTTAACTCAGGTGCCTACACAGCGGTCCAGGGAGACGGAGAGGAGTCCCTGGCGTCCTCGGGTCCAGATCTCCTCTCCATGGCCAGGAAGCCACTCGATTGCCGGCGCCCGCAGCTGCCGCTCGTACTCAACTGGCAGCCGCAGCCTCTGCCTGGAGGTGAAATACTCTCCTCCCGAGAGTGACGCGCACTTCCCTCCGCCTCCGCCTCCTCCTCCTCCTCCTCCTCCTGCCCCGAGCCTCGGGGGCAGGGGCCTCGGCTCGCTCTCTCCCGGAGCCGCCGCTCGGCTTTCTCCGTTCCTTCCCCTCCGGGAGAAAGAGGAGGAGAATCGTGGCCCGGGCGGCGCGGGCCTGAGCGTCCCCGCGACAACAGGGGAGGAGGCGGCGGCGCGGGGCAGAGTGGGGTCCCAGGAGTCGCTCTTGTCCCTGGTCGGCGGGCGCCGCGGCTTGCTAGGGTCGCGCTCAGCCTCCGCCGGCCAGACAAGCAGCCCGGCTCGGCTGGGCCGGGAACTGTGGATTGGGCGGGCGGGCGGGCGGGCGGTGGAGAGCGAGGGAGGCGGAGGGAGAGGAGGAGCCTGCCATCAGAGGAGGCGGTGGCCCCGCCCGGCCCCTCCCGCCGGCCCCGCTCCCCGCGAGCTGCGAAAGCGGAGGCTCAGCGCCACTCGCTGCCGCGCGCTGGAACAGCGCCCGAGCGCACTGCCGGCGGGGCAGAGCCCCAGCCAGCGCCCCCCGCTGCGGCTGCAGGCTCCTACCCTTCCTGGGCGCGCACACCCGCCTGGCCGAACCGGAGCCTGTGCCTCCAGCACCCCCAGATAAGGCTGGTACTGCGCCTGTCACTCCCTGGCTGAGCCTGACACTGCGCCCCCAAAGTCCCCTGGCTGAGCGTGACTGCACCCCATCAACCCTCGGCTGCGTCAGACTTTGAGCCCCATCACCCGTAAAGAGATTTCCACACTCCCACAAATGTTCTGAGCGTCCAGTCACAGCCCCTACCTGGCCAGGCGCGAGCGCCAGGTTCTCAGCGCTGTCAGAAGAACCAGCCTGCTCTGGGACACAGGGCAGCTCTTCTGGTCCCTTGGAGCAACCCCAGCATCCCGCTCGCAGGCCGGAATAAATATACTTAGGTCTTCCCACGCCCCCTACCTGCGCCACTCTGGAGTGGCGGCCGCTTGCAGAGGTGGCGCCGAAAGCCACGCCCCGGCCCACCCCAGTGCCAAAACGCCGCTCTGAGGACACCGGCACCGGCCCTGAAGCAGCCCTGCCGCCGCCACCCTGCCCCCTCGCTGGAGCTGCTCTCACAGCCTTGGCTCTGGGTGAGGGCGCGGCCCGGGCTGGATCACTCAGACGCACGAGGTCCCGAGCTAGTGACAGCTGCAGGACTGCCAAATCCGGGCCGTCGTCATCCTCGATTTAATTGGAATTGGAAGTTTTCCCTCCAGGAAACTCTTTCAGTGAATAATATACAAGGTAGGATAGTTTAGTTTTCAGGGTTGTTCATTCCTCCTCCCTCAACAAACTCAGTCCTGTAACCGCGACACACCCGGCAGTGAAGGGGAATCCCCTATTTCAAGGGTATTAGTTCAGGACTTTGTATAAGAAATTACTGTTTCCAAATCTTGGCTGATGATAAGAATCCCCTGGGGCACTTAGAAAAAATTGGATTGCCAGACGTCGCGCAATCTACTGAATCAGAGGTATCGGGAATATGTAAGTTTGGGAAACAGGGCTAGAATGCATCCTCTAATTAATTAAAGCCTTGGAAAGATGCCTCCAAAACAGCAGCGCGAGCTAGTGCTGAGATCTTACAGAAACTTCACCCAGCTGCCTTTGAGAGCCGCTGTCCCTTCTGGGATAGGCAGGGAGGAAAGGTTTTTAAAATAAGGAACATAGTTTTGAATAACAAGATGGAAGGGACAAAAGACTGTTTTCATGGTCCAAAGGTGTTTTGGATTGTGCTTAATAAAGATAGAAACTGTGTCACCCGTGTGCTAGGCTGAAAAATGTTCCCTCCCCAGAGATAACAGGTTCTAAGTCCTGGAACTTGTGCATATTACCTTACATAGACAGAAGCAGGGCCTTCGCATATGTGATTCAATTAAGGGTCTTCTTGAGTTGGGGAGATTATTCTGGATGATCAAGATGGGTCCTAACTGCAGTCACATGTACTTTTATAAGGGGAAAGGGGGTGGTTAGCACACACAGAGGAGGGCTGGCCACTGTGGAGGCAGAGATTGAAGCGATGCCTCCACAAGGCAAGGAATGCCAGCACAGAGGCAAGGATTCTCCCCTAGAAACTCTGAAGTGAGCAAGATCCTGCTGACACCTTGATTTTGGCCCAGTGAAACTGAGCGCAGTCTCCTGCTTCCAGAAGTGTGAAAGAATAAACTTCAGTTGTAAGCTACACTGAGTTTGGGTGATATGTTGCAGCATAGGAGGCCTGTGCTGGGCCAACTTTATATTACAAATATCCATTTTTTGAATCCTTATTAAGTGCCAGGCACTTTGCTTGGAGTTAGGATATGTTATGGGATATGTTGTCTAATTAAATCCTCCCACTAATTATTATTTCCGTTTTAAAGATGGGACAGTAGGACTTGAAAATTTAAAGGGTCTTCCCAAGGCCACACAGTAAGAACCTCTTGGAATCAAGTCTGCAAACCACTCAAATGTTAAAAATAGCAATTAGGCCAGGCGCGGTGGCTCACGCCTGTAATCCCAGCACTTTGGGAGGCTAAGGAAGGTGGATCACAAGATCAGAAGATAGAGACCATCCTGGCTAACATGGTGAAACCCCATCTCTACTAAAAAAAAACACACAAAAAATTAGCCAGGTGTGGTGGCAGGCGCCTGTAGTCCCAGCTACTCGGGAGGCTGAGGCAGGAGAATGCCGTAAACCCGGGAGGTGGAGCTTGCAGTGAGCCAAGATCGAGCCACTGCACTCCAGCCTGGGCTACAGAGCGAGACTTCATCTCAAAAAAACAAAACAAAACAAAACAAGCAATTAAAAATTTATATACATTAGTCTAATAAAATTTTTGGTTTTAAAAAGGACTTATTTATTTCCACAATCTGTATTTATTGCCCAAACCAAGGGAAATGGATGTTGATTGATAGTGGAGTGGGCTAGTGGGGAACAGGGGTGTAGGAGACCTCTTTACACTTGCGCTCAATTTTGTTGTGAACCTAAAATTGCTCTAAAATATAGTCTGTTAACTAAAAAAAAAAGGGTAGGGGGATTGAATCTGTGTGTGGCCTATCTTTGAGAATTGTATAAACTTTTGTTTTTAGATATTTATCTGGAACATAAAAAATCAAAGGAAAGGCCGGGCACGGTGGCTTAAGCCTGTAATCCCAGCACTTTGGGAGGCCAAGGCAGGCGGATCACCTGAGGTCAGGAGTTCAAGACCAGCCTGGCCAGCATGGTGAAACCCCACCTCTACTAAAAATACAAAAATTAGCCGGGCATGGTGGCACGCACCTGTAGTCCCAGCTACTCGGGAGGCTGAGGCGGGAGAATTGCTTGAACCTGGGAGGCAGACGTTGAAGTGAGCCAAGACCTCATCATTGCACTCCAGACTGGGCAAAAGAGGGAGACTCCGTCTCAAAAAAAAAAAAAATCAAAGGAAACTGATGTGAAAGGAAGCTATGAAGGAAACCAACAAAGTAAGAGGACACAGACTTCTCTGATCAATGGGACTGATGTCACAGATTGAGTTCTCAGGGAAGCAGGCTCTGAGACACTGACAAGATGTTTCACCTGTGGGGGACAGGCAGGAAGCAGCATGGGCAAAGGGAGTAGCTGGGGTGTACCCAATGGCCTTCATTGATCCCACTGGGGGATCTGAGAGATGGCCCATTGGAATTATTGAGCCTAAATGACTGGACCATTAGATACCCTCCTGAATCAGTCATTGGATGTCGTTCATCCTGGGACGTGACATGACCTTGGTCAAGGCGACCCTGCAGCTGAGGCAGTCTCCAAAAGGGCCAGTTGCTGACAGCACCCAGAGCTCGGCAGCAAGTCCTTCTTTGCAAGCAAATCTGGGCAGTGCATCTCCATGTCACTCACTGATATGGTGTGGATCTGTGTCCCCACCCAAATTTCATGCTGAATTGTAATCCCCAGCATTGGAGGTGAGGTCTGATGGGAGGTGACTGGATCATGAGGGCAGATTACTCATGAATGGTTTAGTACCATCCTCTTGGTACTGTCCATGGGATAGTGAGTGAGTTCTTGAGAGTTCTGATCGTTTAAATGTGTGTGGCACCTCCTCCCTCGCTATCTTGCTCCTGCTCTGGCCATGTAACGTGCCTGCTCCCACTTTGCCCCCACCCTCCCTCCCCTGCATGATTTTAAGTTTCCTGAGGCCTCCTTAGAAGCTGAGCAGATGCCAGAATCATGCTTTCTGTACAGCCTGCAGAATCGAGGTCAATTAAACCTCTTTTGTCAATGCAAGAACAGACTAACACACCCACTTACATGTATGTGACATCCTCACCATTGTGCTATTTCTTCCAAATAAGGAGAGAACGCCCCACAGTGAGTGGGATGCCCACATTTTGCATTTTTTTCCTGGTTGTAACTGTGCATTCACACAGGGTAATACACTGGCTAAGACCTGAGACTCTTTAGTCAGATCACGTGCTGTAGCTCACTAGCACAACCAGATGCTCAGCCTCTCTGAGGCGCCTCCATTTTTCATTTTAAAAGGGAATAATAGTAGTACCTAGACCATGCAGTTATTATAAGAATTAAGTATGGCAATGCTGTAAGGGGCTTCACTGCACTTCTCATTAATGCTCAGCACATTCTGTTATTGGTGCCTCCTGTCATCTCTCCTTTACCCTCCATGATTGGCTAAATTGTAAATCTGGGGGGACAAGGGGAGATAGCGTGTCACTATGTTGCCCAGGGTGGGCTCAAACTCTTCAGTTCAAGTGATACTCCCGCCTCAGCCTCCTAAGTAGCAAGGATAAATTGGAATGTTATATTAGGTTACACTTGCGAAGACTTTGAGGTGGAGATAGGAAATGGAGTGCTCTTGGGGTCCAGGTCATAGGTGAAGGCCATGAGATAAATACAATAAGCACTACCTAAAGGAAGCTGGAACTTTCTTTTTAATGATGAGAAACAGCAGCCACACTCCAGACAAATGCCAGGCCTCTCCTTCCTGTACCCTGATGGCCCTAACCCCTCACCACACATGTCGTTGCATCTCCGAAGGACTATATTAAATGTCTGTGGATGCTTAAACAACACGAGGGTTAAGGGCACTGACCCCCACATCTATCCATGGAAGCTGGCTGGGTATGGGAGGGTCAATGTCCCTAACGTGTATATATGTATATATATTTATATATACATGCACACACACATACACACACACACACATTCACCTTCTCTGTGAAACATTCCAAGGCCAGTCATCATGGCCTCCCCTTGGCTCCGATGGCTCCATACGCACACCTGCCGCAACCCTGACCACACCGCATTGCAGTTATTTAGCGGGTTTTATTCACAGCCCTTCCCATCCTGCCTACTTCCCTACAGCTGGTAGACTGGGCACCTGAAGATTTAGAGATTGAAGATACAGCCTTATTCAACTTCAAATCCTCAGGGCCTAGCACAGTGTTTGATGAGTGATACTGCCCCCTGAGTGGGCAACAAAGGAGTCAGCAGAGGCTTTAGGAGAGAGGAGGGGACCAAACACCGTGATATGGAAAGAGTCTGTGCACCTCTGTGTTCTGCAGCTCCAGGTTTCTGCTTGTTTTGCACTCTCCTGCTCCAAACTAAGACAGAACCTCACTTCACCATCACCCACTCTTCCCCTTTCTGTTTTCCCCCAGGCTGTTAGAAATTAATTCCTTCAAACTGTGCTTTATTCTATAAGGGTCTGAATAGATAGCGTTTTGTATTGTCTTGTTTTGTTTTGTTTTTGAGACAGGGTCTTGCTCTGTCACCCAGGCTGGAGTGCAGTGGCACAATCACAGCTCACTGCAGCTTCAGTCTCCCAGGCTCAAGTGATCCTCCCACCTCAGCCTCCCTAGTAGCTGGGACTACAGCTTGATCCTCCTACCGCAGCCTCCCGAGTAGCTGGGGCTACAAGTGTGCACCACCACACCTGGCTAATTTTATTTATTTATTTTTTTTTGAGACGGAGTTTCGCTCTTGTTGCCCAGGCTGGAGTTCAATGGCATGCTCTCAGCTCACTGCAACCTCTGCCTCCTGGGTTCAAGTGATTCTCATGCCTCAGCCTCCCGAGTAGCTGGGATTACAGGTGCCTGCCACCATGCCCAGCTAATTTTTTGTATTTTTAGTAGAGACGGGGTTTCACCATGTTAGCCAGGCTGGTTTCAAACTCCTAACCTCAGGTGATCCACCACCTCAGCCTCCCAAAGTGCTGGGATTACAGCCATGAGCCACCACACCCAGCCAATGTTTGTATTTTTTGTAGAGACGGGTTTTCACCGTGTTGCCCAGGCTGGTCTCCAATGCCTGATCTCAAGCGATCCACCTGCCTCGGCCTCTCAAAGGATTAGGGTTACAGGGGTGAGCCACCACACCCTGCCTAGGTCATCTTTAAATCATGTTTTTCTGTTCATATTTGCTCCTTTTGCACTCAGTGTACATGTGTAGACTGATGTGCAGGTGACTAATGCCTCACTAGTAAGGTGTTGATACACTGTTTGCCATCCACACCTTAATTAAAAGTCTTAGAAAAATTTTCCTCCCATTGACCCCTTGCAATAACATTACAGAATGTTAGTGTGACCTTTCTTTGCTGTGGTAACAGCTGCGTGTCTACAAAACCATCTGTGCTTTCTTTATTTCCTTCCGTCCAACCAGCCTCATTCTCACACTTCATAGGCTCGCAATGAAGGCTGCATGTTTCCTGTCAAACTCTCTGGACACTTGCTTTAAATTATGATGTAAGCAATTCTGTTCCAGTATAGCCAAATTTCTGATGCAGTCTTGTCAGAGAAGGGAAAAACATTTAATTATTTTATTTTAAATTCTATTAAATCGGTGGGAATTAAATTTTTCTTTTTCTCATTCAAAAACATAACTTTCACTTTCTGGAAAAAAGTGATATCCCATCCTGATTCCCATCTAACATCTTCAAAATTGGCATAAATTTCACTGTTGCATAGTAAGTTATATAAACTTGGTATTTTTTTTGGGGGGGGGGCTCTGTAGCCATCTTTATGTAAGTGGTTGTGCTTTGCTGCTGGCACCCAGACCCAAAAACATTCCCCTAATTCTCATGTCACAATTGAGGACACTGTCTCTGAAAAGAGAAATGAGTTGCCTGAAGTCACTTAGCTAGAATGAAGTTGCTTCTGTAATTTATTGTGGATTAAGATTTCCTGTGTTGAGGCCAGGTGCGGTGGCTCATGCCTATAATCCCAGCACTTTGGGATGCCAAGGCCGGTGGATCACCTGAGGTCAGTAGTTCGAGATCAGCCTGGCCAGCATGGTAAAACCCCGTCTCTACTAAAAATACAAAAATTAGCTGGGCATGGTGGCACACGCCTGTAACCCAGCTACTCAGGAGGCTGAGGCAGGAGAATCACTTGAACCTGGGGGGCGGAGGTTGCAGTGAGCCAAAATCAAGCCGTTGCACTTCAGCCTGGGCAACAAGAGTGAAACTCTGTCTCCAAAAAAAAAAAAAAGAAAAAAGATTTTCTGGGTCAAATTTGGTGGTGTGTGCCTGTAGTCCCACATACTCAGGAGGGTGATGTGGGAGAACTGCTTGAGCCCAGAGGTCAAGGCTTCAGTGTGCCGTGATGGTGCCACTGCCCTCCAGCCTGGGTGACAGAGCAAGACTGTCTAAAAAAAAGAAAAAAAAAAGATTTGCTCATAGCATGTCTACAATATATGCAGTATTACCACTAATATCTTATAAATTTGCTGGATGAGGATTACATGATCTGTGTAAACTGAAGAAATACACACAAGAAATGTAGTGTATTTTCATTATATTCACATATGGATATGTACCAGAAGAGTTGATATAGTGAATTTGCATAAGAATTGAGAAACCTGGTTATGAATATAGACTTTAATTTGAAATAATACCAACATCCTGAAATCATGCATTATCTCCAAGGTTTTATCTCTTCCTTCCTGTTCCTTCCAGGCAACCAGCAAAGAAGTATTAACCTGTTCTGCCTAGAAAGACAGGATCCTGTGTAATCTTCAAAGGCACATAATCAGAAAGGAAAAGCAAGATTAGGAGTACCTTACATGCATAAATACATAGCTGTCAAAATTCCCCCAAAGTATATTATATCAAAGCTTTCTAAATTTTCCATAGTTATTATTACAAACTTACTAAAGTACAAGAAAAAATAAATAAATCCCTGCGAAGCCTCTGGGCCACCTGGATGACAAAGGAGCTCTTTAGGAAACTTGAGCTCACCATGGATTTGAAAATACACAATTAACAACATGTCAAAAGTTATCATCAATCCAGCTCAATTACACAAATCTTTTTTTGGACAATTTCTACACTTCTCTCTAAAGAAATGAACATGAGCTGGGCACAGTGGCTCACACCTGTAATCCCAGCACTTTGGGAGGCCAACACAGAAGGATCACTTGAGGCCAGGAGTTGAAGACCAGCCTGGGCAATAAAGCGAGAATCTGACTCTAAAAAATTAGCTAGGTTTGGTGGTGCACACCTGTAGTATAGCTACTTGAGAGGCTGAGCCCAGGAATTCAAAGTTGCAGTGAGCTGTGATAGCACCATGGCACTCCAGCCTGAGCAACAAAGCAAGACCCCATGTCTAAAATTTTTAAAAAGTAAGGGATGAACATGAGACTATTTTGAAAGATAAACAGGATTACTGGATTATGACATATATGATAGATATGTTGATTAATTTGATTGTGGTAATCATTTCAAAATGTATCATATATCAAATCATCACATTGTATCCTTGAATACACAACTTTTGTCAATTATACTTTTGTCAATTATTTTCCAGCTCAATAAAGCTGGAAAAAAATTACTTGAAATAATGTAAACAAACTAACAGAAATCATCAACTACTTTTTGTTTTCAAGAATACAATGGAAAAATGCCATTCATGACAAAAGTAGAAAAATCTGATTTTATAGTCCATTTGGATATAAGAATTTTCTACATGATTAAATTGAGTCATTGTTTTCAGAAAACTATTGTGAAAATACACACGGTGCTTTAAAAAGAAGGGAAGGAATGTCAACCCTTTCCATGATTGTCTTAACACAGGGTCTTTTGTAGATGAGCTGAACACAGCTTAGAAAACTCAGAGCTCAATTATTTATTCTACAGATATTTATTGTTGTCTTATGTAGCAAACACTGATAGATTCTGGAAGCTGAATAAGACAGCAAAGCCCCTACAATTTAGTAGGGGTTTGGACCCCTAATAAAAGGAAACTGACAAATAAACCAATAACGTAATAACACGGCCGGGTGCGGTGGCTCATGCCTATAATCCAAGCACTTTGGAAGGCCGAGGTGGGCAGATCACCTGAGGTCAGGAGTTCGAGACGAGCCTGGCCAACATGGTGAAACCCCGACTCTACTAAAAATAAAAAATTAGCCGGGTGTGGTGGCACGCGCCTGCAGTCCCAGCTACTCGGAAGGTTGAGGCAGGAGAATCGTTTGAACTCAGGAGGCAGAGGTTGCAGTGAGCCAAGGGGAAAAAAATAATAATAACACATGATTATACAGACAGTAATAAGGGAAATAAACAAAATTAGGAGTAATAAGTGGGATAAAAGTTACATCGATGGCCTTCCATAAGCCACATTTCCCAATATTTACATTCTACTAAGGTCCTCTCCTACATTGACTCTGAACTTGGCCATGTGACTTGCTTTGGCCACTGTAACAACAGAAGCGTGATGTAAGCACAGGCTTCAAAAGCACTTGCACACGAGTTGGAGCAGGATTGTGAAAAAGCTTATTTAAGGTGACGTGGTCAGGAAAGACGTGTCCAAGAAAGTGATAGTTAAGCTAACATCTAAAGAATGTTGACCTTGAGGACAGGAATTTAAAAAGTGAGATAAGTTATGATGATGAGAAAAGAGAGACTGGGCAAGGTGCAGGCTCATCCCTCTAATCCTAGCATTCTGGTAGGCAGAGGCGGGCAGATAGCTTGAGCCCAGGAGTTTGAAACCAGCCGGGGCAACATGGTGAGATTTCTACAAAAAATACAAAAAATTGGCCAGGCGTGGGGTTACATGCCTGTAATCCCAGCTACTCAAGAGGCTGAGGTAGGAGGATCACCTGATCCTCAAGAAGTTGAGGCTGCAATGAGGCCATGATCGTACCACCACACTCTAGCCTGGGTGACAGAGCAAGACCCTGTCTAAAGAAAAAAGAAAAGGAAGGATCAGGGCAGGTTAAGGCTTGAGGACCAGAGAATCAAGGCTTGAAACATTGTGGACCCAGCAGATGCCAATGGCAAACTTTTTGCATAATTTCTGCTTGAGCTACCGTTATCCAGATACCACAATAAA
This sequence comes from Homo sapiens, assembly GCF_000001405.40. Lineage (NCBI taxonomy): Eukaryota > Metazoa > Chordata > Mammalia > Primates > Hominidae > Homo > Homo sapiens. The sequence continues at coordinate 71,778,894 of NC_000009.12, forward strand.
ACAAAAGAAGTTATAAAGGTCCAATAATTTTCCAGACAGACTCTCCACTTTATACAAAAACATAGAAAAATCACTTAGTTAAAAATCAGCAACAATTTTAAGAGGGCCAGACAGCTTTCATTGTTGTGTCCTTGGAAGTCCTGAGTTGTCATGTTAAAGCCAGCTAACCTGCTGAAGAGACCACATGGAGACAGTGTTGTGCCTTCAGTTTTTACTATACTGAGAGGCCATGTGTGGGAAAAGAAGACCAGAGACACCAGACAGAGAAGAGCCAGCCATCTCAATATCCCAGCTGAGTTTAGCCCCACCTGCCCCACCAATAAATGCAGCCATTTGACCCACCACTGGCAAGAACAGCAGAGGATATGCTCAGCTGAGCCCCGTGCAGATTTCAGAATATAAGCAAATAAAAGAGTGGTTATTTTAAACCACTAAGTTTGGGGTGATTGGTATGCGGCAATAAAAAATCTCGACCCATCTTCTTTTTTTTTTTTTTTTTTTTTTTTTTTTTGAGACAGAGACTCGCTCTGTCACCCAGGCTAGAGTGTAGTGCACGCAATCTCGGCTCACTGAAACTTCTGCCCCCCAGGTTCAAGCGATTCTCGTGCCTCAGCCTCCTAAGTAGCTGGGATTACAGGCACATGCCACCACGCCCAGCTAATTTTTGTATTTTTAGTGGAGACAGGGTTTCACCATGCTGGCCACACTGGTCTCGAACTCCTGACCTCAAATGATTTGCCCACCTCGGCCTCCCAAAGTGCTGGGATTACAGGTGTGAGTCACTGTGCCCGGCCCCAGCCCGTCTTCTTAAATGGAGGTGATTTTGTCCTCCAGAGTATATTTAGCAATGTCTAGAGTCAGTTTTAATTTCACACTCTGGGGGAGGGATGCTGGCATCTAGTGAGTAGAGGCAAAGCATGCTGCTAAACATCCTTCAATGCACAGGATAAAGGACCATCTAGTCCAAAATGTCAAGAACCAAGGTCGAGAGACTCTGACCTAAACAAAGGATTTTGATAGGTGATTGTCAGTCTTCCACAGAGGTTATGCCAATGTGTTTTCCCAAGAGCAATATACGACAGTATCTATTTTCCTTGCCTCACCTGAGTGAATATAATCAGATATATACATCTCTAGAAATAAATATAGACAAATATCTATCTTTGTCATAGGAAAAAGTGATATAAGAACTTCAACATGTGTTTCTCCAGTAATAATTGAGGGAATCTCTTCACATTTACAAGAGTCATTTCTAGTTCCTTATCTATGACCTATCTGTTCATATTCTTTGCTCATTTTTCTGTATAGCTGTTGTTCTTTTTCTCATTGATTTGTAAAAGCTCTATATGTATTAAGAAAATTATCAGTTGGGCATGGTGGCTCACACCTGTAATCCCAGCACTTTGGGAGACCGAGGTGGGTGGATCACTTGAGGTCAGGAGTTCGAGACCAGCCTAGCTAACATGGTGAAACCTCGTCTCTACTAAAAATACAAAAATTAGCCAGGTGTGGTGGTGTGTGCCTGTAATCCCAGCAACTCAGGAGGCTGGGGCAGGAGAATCACTTGAACCCGGGAGGCAGAGGCTGCAGTGAGCCAAGATCGCACCACTGCACTCCAGCCTGGGCAACAGAGCAAGACTCTGTCTCAAAAAAAAAAAAAAAAAAAAAAGAAAGAAAGAAAGAAAGAAAATTATCCCTTTGTTTATGATTTAAGTTGAAACTATGCTTTCCCTGTTTAGCAGACAAATTTAGAGTGGTAAATAGCTAAAAACCAAACTATATCAAGAAAACCACACTTAAGTGAAAAGATACGTTTGTAAGCTGTGACTTGAAGCAGTGAAAGAAACATACAAATGATGTGTCGAGAAAAAATACTAACTAATATTTGCTGCCAATAACTGTACATTGGGATATAAAGAGAGCCAGAACATGTGAGGCGGGAGCTAAATGGACTGGATGCTGCAAACAGGGAACAAGGAAGCCCCATTTAAGGCCAGATATCCAGACTGTGAATCTGAGAGACTGAATTTCAAACTGTAGGTAATTATTTAAAATAGTAGCTGATACATACCACTGGTGAAAGATGAGACTCCAAGTTTGGACTTTAATTTACCTTTTACCTTTTGAACACTTGACTCTTCTCCCTCATTCAGCCCCTTCTAGTATAAAAATGACTTTCAACCAGTGTTCTCAAGCCATGCTGTCTCCGATCCAGTTTCAGCTGTATTACTTACTAGCTGTGTGACCTTGGACAAGTCACTTAACCTCTCTGTGCTTTCATTGTCTTCTCTGTAAAATAAGAATATTCATTACCTACCCCCACAGAGTGGTTACGCAGTAAATTAGTCAATCTGACCCATTTATAAGAATACATAGTACACGTTTGCATAGTTAAAGTTATTTAATGTTGTTAATGCACACTAATGCACAGACATGTTTACTCTGTTTCAGACAAGTAATACAATATCATCTGTTGGGTATAATTATCCTCATTTCACAGATAAGAAAACAGAGTCTCAGAAAAAGTAAATAAGACCTATTTTCTTTCATCATCTTTGGATCATCTGCAGTATTAAAGAAAATACTACTGTTACAAGGAGAGCCTGGAGAAAAAAAATCTTAGTCACACAGGAAACTGAAAAACCATCTTCAAATATATGAAGAGCTATTGTGGGGAGCACAAATTAACCTTTTGTTTCTGTTGCTTCAGAGGGCAGAAGTGATAGCAGTAGGTGGAAGATCAATCTATGCAAAATATGTTTCACTCTTTTGAAGAATTTGCTGTTTTCATTTCCCATTGTATCCCCAGTGTATAGCTCAGTGCTTGACATACTGAGATCTCAGCTCTCATTAGATATTCATTGAATAAATAAATGAATAAAGCCAATTATAAGAGCTATCCAAAATGAAACAGGCTGCTTCAGGAGCACTCCATCCTGGCCATGACCAAGAAGAGCCTAAGCCAAGCATCTGATGGAGGGTTCGAATAAATGCATATTGTATGCAGGAAGGGATGGTTCAAAAGGGCCTTGACAACATACAAAGTATTATAGAAACTAACAGTCATGGCCAGGCATGATGGCTCATGCCTGTAATCCTAACACTTTGGAAGGCCGAGGCAGGTCGCCCGAAGTTCAAAACCAGCCTGCCTGTGCAACATGGTGAAACCCCATCTCTACAAAAAATACGAGAATTTGCTTCACGTGGTGGCACACGCCTGTGGTCCCAGTTACTCAGGAGGCTGAAGTGGGAGGATCCCTTGACCCTGGGAAGTTGAGGCTACAGTAAGCCATGATAGTGCCACCGCACTCCAGCCTGGGTGACAGAGCAAGACCCTGTCTCAAAAAACAAAACAAACAAATAGATCACAATATCTATCATTTGATAACTTATTATGTGCCAACCACTGTGAAAAACTAAAGTCTCATTGGAAAATGACTACTATCTTCCAATATTTGAAGATGCTAGAGTCTAAAAAGCCCAAGTTCAAATCCTGACTCAACCATCTACTCATTGTTTGACTCTGGACAAATTTCCCAAATCCTCTGTGCTTCAGTTTTGCCACATGCAAATTGATAAAATGGGAATAAATAATTCCACAAGGTGACAAGAATGTAGCCAAAAATCTTCCACAAGGCCCAGTATATTTTTGGCAACACATTTCCTTCTTTCCCTATAATAATCACACACTATAAGGAGCTGTATCTGATTGTTGGAATTCACCAAAGATTAAATGTCTTGTTTTATGAGCTTGCTTCCTTGTAAAGGTAGCTTCATGAGCTTCACATCCCTGGATGTGTTTATGAAGAGATTGGACAGGTATATGCAAATAGCAACACTTATAGAATGCTTGCTATGAGCTAGGCACTGCTGTGTGTGTTTTACAGATAGATATTCATCCTGCCAATCCACACATTTTACAAATGAGGAAACTAAAAGCGACTAAGTAATTTGTGTAAGATTATATAGCCAGTAGGTGCCAGGAATGTGAACCAAGGGTGTCTTTGCTCTTAACCACTTCACCAACTGCATATAAGCAATAGTGACAAGGACATTCCACTATTTGTTGGGTGGGTGCTGGTGCCAATGACATCCCTTCCAGCACAGAGATCCATGGGCCCATAATCTCAGTACAGTGTGAACAGCTAAAGGGATTCAACTGTGACAGACTGAAAAACCAATGTAAAACAGGAGGCAAGAGATGCCCACACCTGGAGTGGCCAAAGGAGCAGAATGTTCCAAGCCTGGACAGCATATCACTGAGAGATGGAGATGCTCAGGCTGGGAAAAGCACTGGCGTGAGGAGGCGGGGCAGCCAGCCAGACATGTTTCCTACAGCTAGGCCCTAGGTGTCACCAGTGTGACAGGGCCACCAGTCATCCCTCCATTCTTTTGTACTTTCATTTACACATTTCATTTCGTGACAGGAAATAACACTGTCAGCAGCACAGTTGCTCACGGCATGTGCTGCAGGGGAGCTGACGCACGGAGGGTGGAAAGGGTGGAGGTGGGACAACGGGTGTTTGTGCCAGCATGTCATATACCGTCCTGACCTGCTGCATGCTCTTCCTTGCCCCGGGGCAGGTCTGGCAGCTGCTTACACAAGGCTCAAGTTGTTTGGAGTGGGGGAGGGAGAGGGGACCCACATCACCTATTTGCAGCTTTGCTTTTAAAAGTCGGTATCACCGATTTAGATTTGGGGTTTGGATTTTGAGGGGAACAAGAGGATTATTAGGTCCTAATATGACTTTTCTTCTCTTGCTCCCCTCTGCCTTCGGAAGTATCTAGATGTAATATCTCGTGCTAACCACAAGTTGAGAGTGGTAAAGTCATTCTGCTGGAGAAAATAGTAAAAATAATACTGACTTCCATGTTCATATTCAGTTTGTTTCTAGGAAAGACAAACATCAGTGGCGTTTAAATAAAAGATTTTTCAGCTGGGTGCAGTGGCACATGCCTGTAATCCCAGCTACTCGGGAGGCTGAGGCACAAGAATCACTAGAACCTGGCAGGTGGAGGTTGCAGTGAGCCAAGATCACACCACTGCACTGCAGCCTGGGTGACAGAGCGAGACTCTGTCTCAAAAATAAATAAATAAATAAGTAAAATATTTTTGTATGATTAGCCCATGTTATATATACTCAACCTTAGTCAAACTTTGTATTGACACCCTCTCCACCCTGCCACCACAGATTATTTGCTGGTCAAAAGAGGAAAATAGTTACAGGCCAGAGCAAGGAAGGGAACTGTTTCAGACCACGAGAGACTTAAAATGCACAATAATCAAGTACAACATGTAGTCTTTGACTGGATCTTTATCTGAGTGGATCAATGGAAGACACATTTGGGATCAAATGAAGAAATTTCAATATGGACAAGGAATCAGGTGCTTTAAGGAATTATTGTTAATCTTGTTAGCTATTGTCTTAGTTCATTTTGGGTTGCTATAAAAGAATACCCGAGGCTGGGTAATTTATTAAGAAAAGAGGTTTATTTGGCTCATGTTTCTAGAGGCTGTACAAGAAGCATGGCATTGAGCATCTGCTTCTGGTGGGGACCTCAGGCAGTTTTCATTCACGGTGGAAGGTGACAGGGAGCAAGAGAGAGGGAAGGAAGGTGCCAGGCTCTTTTTAGAAATCATATCTCAGAGGAACTAATAGAGGGAAAAGTCACTCATTGCCACCGTGAGGGCGGCAGAAAGCCCTTCATGAGAGATCTACCCCCATGATCCAAAATTGAGGATCAAATTTCAACATGAGATTTGGAGGGGACAAGTATCCAAACTATATTAGGAATATTAATGATGTTATATAAAGAAAAGAAATTTTAATCCACATAATTGTTTAGGAAAAAAAAAGAAAAAATTTTTTTAAAAAATATGTGTTTTCATATGTTTATTTCAGCACTATTTACAATAACAAAGACTTGGAACCAACCCAAATGCCCATCAATGATAGCCTGGATAAAGAAAATGTGTCACATATACACCATGGAATACTATGCAGCCATAAAAAAGAGTTGGTTCATGTCCTTTGCAGGGGCATAGATGAAGCTGGAAGCCATCATTCTCAGCAAACTAACACAGGAACAGAAAACCAAACACCTCATGCTCTCACTCATAAGTGGGAGTTGAACAATGAGGATACATGGACACGGGGAAGGCAACTTCACACACCAGGGCCAGTCAGGGGTGGGGGGCAAGGGGAGGGAGAGCATTAGGAGAAATACCGAATGTATGCGGGGCTTAAAACCTAGATGACGGGTTGATAGGTGCAGCAAACCATCACGGCACATGTATACCTATGTAACAAGTCTGCACATTCTGCACATGTCTCCCAGAACTTAAAAGTAAAATAAATTTTAAAAAAGAAGAAAAAAATGTGTGTTTTTAGATGTTCCCACTGAAGTATTAGGGGCAAAAGATCATGACATCTGTTTTCGTTTTTGAGATGAGGTCTCATTCTGTCACCCACACTGGAGTGCACTGGTGCAATCATGGCTCATTGCAGCTTCAACCCCCCAAGCTCAAGCGATCCTTCCACCTCAGCCTCCCAAGTAGCTGGGACCACAGGCATGAGTCACTATGCTCAGTTAATTTTTTTTTTTTGTAATTTTTGTAGAGACAGGGGTCTCATTATGTTGCCCAGGCTGGTCTCAATCTCCTAGGCTCAAGCAATCCTCCTGCCTCGGCCTCCCAAAGCGCTGAGATTACAGGCCTGAGCCACCATACCTGGCAACATCTTTACTTTAAAATACATTAGCAAAAAATAATACATGAATAATAAATAATAAATATGGTAATATGTTGGCAATTGTTAACTCTAGGTTATGGATAAGTGGGTGTTCATTATACTATTCTTTTTTTTTTTTTTTTTTTTTGAGACAGAGCCTCACTCTGTCACCAGGCTGGAGTGCAGTGGCATGATCCCGGCTCACTGCAACCTCCACCTCCCAGGTTCAAGAGATTCTTGTCCCTCAGCCTCCTGAGTAGCTGAGACTATATAGGCATGCGCCAGCTAATTTTTGTATTTTTAGTAGAAATGGAGTTTTGTCATGTTGGCCAGGCTGGTCTCAAACTCCTGACTTCAAGAGACCCAGCCGTCTAGGCTTCCCAAAGTGCTAGAATTACAGGCATGAGACGCCGCACCCGGTGTCTACTATTCTATTTTTTATTAGTTAAATTTTTCTTAGTACGGAGTTAATCTGTTAGAAGACAGTCACTAATTCTTTATTTTTCACTTGAATGCCTTTGTCTATTTTATTTTTGCATTTTTATCTTTTCCTTCATTCATTCCCTTTCACTGAACAGATAATGTGGTATATGAGAGTCATAAATTGTGGAAAGGGTCTCATCTCACATTTGACTGAAATTTAACAGCTAAAATTGTCTTTGATCATATCCCACTCCACACCACTTGGAAAGAAAAGTTAAATGTGCTCTAAAAGAGACTTTAAAATTTTTTTCTTTTCATTTTTTTGAAATTATTGCAAACTTACAAAAGTTGCAAGGATAGTTAGAAAACTCTCGTGTACCCTTCACTCAGATTCATCAGTTGTTAACGCTTTGCTACATTTACTTTTGTTGTTTGTTTTTTCTTGAGACAGGATCTCGCTCTGTTGCCCACGCTGGAGTGCAGTGGCACGATCACAGCTCACTTCAACTTCTGCCTCCTGGGCTCAAGCCATCCTCCTGCCTCAGCCTCTTGAGTAACTGGGACTACAGGCACATGCCAAAATTCCCAGCTAATTTTTGTATTTTTTGTAGACACAGAGTTTTACCATGTTGCCCAAGCTGGTCTCGAACTCCTGGACTCAAGCAATCCACCTGCCTTGGGTTCCCAAAGTGCTGGGATTACAGGCATGAGCCATGGTGCCCAGCCTACATTTACTTTTCTAAATTGATCTCTTTCTGTCTGTCTTCACAGTTATATGTTGTTGTTGTTGTTTTCTGAACTATTTGAAAATAAATGGCAGACTTCACTCCCTTTAACACTTAAATACTTCAGCGTGTAACTCTTGGAAACAGAATTTTTTTAACATAACCACAACGTAATCATCAAATTCAGAAAATTTAGCACACAGTCCATATTTCAAACTCAGTTGGCTCAACAATAGCCTTTATAGAATTTTCCCAAAATCCAGAATTCAAGACCCAAGCGGAATTCAGGAATTGCATTTAGTTGTAATGTCTCTTTAGTTCCTGTTAATCTGGAGCAGTTCCTCAGCCTTTCTGTCTTTTGTGACATGAATGTTGAACAGGACAGGACAGTGGTTGTGTACAATGTCCCTTAATTTAGGCAGAAAAACTCATAACTCTATCTTATAATTGCAAGGTTTTGTCAATACAACCTTTCTCTTTTCCAAGAATAACTAAAATTGTTTTTATAGCAATAGAGAAAAATTGAACTGTTAAGCCGTGAAAGTATACATAAAGTATATTCTCCAGGAGGAGTTTCAGACATGCTCTGCTAATAAGTGAAATTTGTTAAATAAATTTACATGACAATATCAGGTTTAAGCTTGGCAAAAGGTAACTGATAGCTATAATTCGATATTAAAACATATTACCAGCCTGGGTAACATAGACCTCATCTCTACAAATAATAATTTTTTTAAAAACTAGCCAGGCATGGTTGTGTGCCTGTGGTCCCAGTTACTTGGGAGTCTGAGGTGGGAGGATTGCTTGAGTCCGGGTGATTAAGGCTGCAGTGAGCTGTGATTGTGCCACTGCACTGCAGCCGGGGTGACAGAGTGAGGCCCCATCTCAAAAACAAAACAAAACTACTACCAAGAGAATCTCTAGTGATCTCTAAAAGTCTGGCTTTTCTTTTGTTTAATTAATTAATTAATCTTCTTTTTTTTTTGAGACGGAGTTTCGCTCTTGTCACCCAGGCTGGAATGCAATCAATGACGTGATCTCGGCTCACCGTAACCTCCACCTCCCAGGTGCAAGTGATTCTCCTGCCTCAGCCTCCTGAGTAGCTGGGATTACAGGTGCATGCCACCAAGCCCGGATAATTTTTGTATTTTTAGCAAAGACAGGGTTTCATCATGTTGGCCAGGCTGGTCTCAGACTCCTGACCTCAGGTGATCCACCCGTCTCGGCCTCCCAAAGTGCTGGGATTATAGGCATGAGCCACAGCCCTGGGTCTGTTTATCTTTTTTTTTTTTTTAAGTGGGTCTCTTTCTGTTGCCCAGGCTGGAGTGCAGTAGCACAATCTCAGCTCACTGCAACCTCTGCCTCCTTGGTTCAAGCAATTTCCCTGCCTCAGCCTCCCAAGTAACTGGAATTACAGGCACATGCCACCACAGCTGGCTAATTTTTTGTATTTTTAGTACAGACAAGGTTTTACCATGTTAGCCAGGCTGGTCTCGAACTCCTGACCTCAAGTGATCCACCTGCCTTAGCCTCCCAAAGTGCTGGGATTACAGGCATGAGCCACCGCACCCGACTGTTTATTTTTAATTTTTAGAATAGCATAAATATTTTCTTATCTAGGATGTGCAAGGTATGTATATACAAAAGCAAGAGAACCAAATTTAACTTATCTTCCAGAATTGAATTAGTACCTCGAAGAAACCTTAGAGATCATCCAATTCAACTCCTTATTTTATAGAAAATGAGAACAAGACACAGACTGTATCCAAAGGAAATATTTGAAGAAGTCAACATGGATGTTTTGCACTAGGATGTTCACCCAACAATGTTTATAATAATAGGGGAAGGGGAATTATCTCAATATCCCGTCATGGAAAGTTGTTTTAAAAATTATTTTGTTGGCCAGGCGCGGTAGCTCACGCCTGTAATCCCAACACTTTGGGAGTCCAAGGAGGGTGAATCACGAGGTCAGGAGTTTGAGACCAGCCTGGCCAACATGGTAAAACCCCATCTCTACTAAAAATACAAAAAATTAGCTGGGCGTGGTGGCAGGTGCCTGTAGTCCCAGCTACTCGGGAAGCTGAGGCAGGAGAATTGCTTGAACCTGGGAGATGGAGGTTGCAGTGAGCCAAGATCATGCCACTGTACTCCAGCCCAGGTGACAGTTCGAGACTCTGTCCCAAAGAAAAAAAAAAAAAAGAAAAGAGAAGTAAAGAAAATCATTTTATCAATACAATAGATTATCTGTAGCCATTAAATGATGTAAATGTATGTTAAATGAAACTTACTAATCATATATGAAATAGAAAAGCAAATTCTAAAATAGCATGTATAATATAATCCCATTTTTCTAAAAGTAAATGTGTATGGGTGTGTGTGACTGCAGAAAAATGTCTAGAGAGAAATTACTAAAATATCACTAGTGATGCCATCTAGGCAAAACTAGAATTGGTTTTAACTGACTTTTTAAAAAATCTTAGTAAAGTGTGAATTTTTACATCAATTCTTAAACAGGAAAAATAAAGTTATTTTCATTTCAAGAAGCAAAAATATTTTTATTTTGACTCTCACTGATAAATATTAACCACCATCAAAAGTGTGTTGGGGCTGGCCATGGTGGTTCACACCTGTAATTCCTGCAGGTGGCAGGAATGCCCACCTTTGGGAGGCAGAGGTGGGCAAATTGCTTGAGTCCAAGAGTTCAAGATCAGCCAAGGCAATATGGCAAAACCTCATGTCTACAAAAAATACAAAAATTAGCCAGATGTGGTGGCATATGCCTTTAGTCCCTGCTACTCAGGAGGCTGAGGTGGGAGGATCGCTTGAGCCCGGAAAGAGGAGGTTGCAGTTAACCAAGATCATACCACTGCACTCCAGCCTGGATTGCATGGGAGACCCTGTCTCAAAAAAGGAAACAAAGTGTGTTGGACAGTATTTTGAAATTGTTACTAGAGGCATTATTCTTTTCTTTTTCTTTTTCTCTTCTTTTCACTTTTAAGACAAGGTCTCACTTCATTGCCCAGGCCAGAGTACAGTGGTGTGATCGTGGCTCACTACAACCTCTCGGTCTCAAGTGATCCTCCCACCTCAGCTTCTGGAGGGTAGCTGGTACTACAGGGGCACCACCCTGCCCAGCTAATGTTTTTTAAAAAAAACATAAGTTGTACAGACCAGGTCCCACTATGTTGCCCAGTCTGGTCTCAAACTCCTAGCCTCAAGTGATCCACCTGCCTTGGTCTCCCTAACTGTGGAAGCATTATTCTTAATTTCCAAGATCAGAACTCCATTAATGATAACATGGAAGGTCAGGTGAGGTGGCTCACGCCTGTAATCCCAGCACTCTGGGAGGCCAAGGCGGGTGGATCACTCGAGGCCAGGAGTTCGAGACCAGCCTGACCAACATGGTGAAACCTCATCTCTACAAAAAAATACAAAAATTAGCCAGGCATGGTGGTACATGGCTGTAACCCCAGCTACTCGGCAGGCTGAGGCATGAGAATCACTTAAACCTGGGAGGCGGAGGTTACAGTGAGTGACAGAGTAAGACTATCTCAATAAATAAATAAATAAATAAATAAATAAAACACAAGAGAACAACAGTGGACTTGGCAATGGAATTATACCACTGGGATTCAAATTTGAAAAGAAAGCAGAATGTGTCTGATTCATTCGAGAAATACTTGCAATAGGGAGTTTTTTTGTATGGATGTAGGAATGTAGGAATGGATGGATGGATGTAGAGATGAATGGACAGATGACTGGATGAATGGATGGATAGATATGCTTAAATATTTATGAACATACATCACATATTATTCTCTAAATGACTAGAGATGGCTGGAAGGAGAGATGGATTGCTAGAATGACCCTAGGTTTTCATCCTTTAGTATTCATAGCCAACTTTGACAGTAATCATATTTCTTTGTGTTGTAACACCCTCTTAGAGAAAGAAAGGAGAACTTTAGGGCTTTGCTCCTCTGAACCTCTGTCCAATCAATATGCTTTTTTTTTCTTTCTTTCTTTTTTTTTTTTTTTTTTTTTTTTTTTTTTTTTTTTTTGAGATGGAGTCTAGCTCTGTCACCCAGGCTGGAGTACAGTGGCACTATCTCGGCTCACTGCAAGCTCCACATTCCAGGTTCAAGCTATTCTCCTGCCTTAGTCTTCCAAGTAGCTGGGACTACAGGCACCATGCCAGGCTAATTTTTGTATTTTTAGTAGAGATAGGGTTTTACCATGTTGGCCAGGCTGGTCTGGAACTCCTGACCTTAGGTGATCCACCCACCTCAGCTTCCCAAAGTGCTGGGATTACAGATATGAGCCACCGTGCCCGGCAAGTCAATACTCTTCTATCATAAAATGCTCTCACCCAGCTTTGTGGCTTCAAAGAATGGATGGAGGTGTGGTAAATGGTGACAATTACAACTATTTGAGGAGTTCTTAGCCTCTATAGAAGGCACGGGGCCTCTTTAAAATCTGAAGAAAGCTAGGGCCCATCCCTCTAGAAAAAATGAGCACTATATTCTGGCATATTCAGAAGACTCATGAGACCCCAGAGTCCGTCCTTTGATTTCATTGAGGTTCATGAACTCTATGTTAAGGACTCCTAAGATAAGTTGCAGTAAGAGATGACCGGAGCTGGTAATGACAGGCAGAACTGGCCATGGATGTTTTGGAGGTCAAGCCCATGTATTCCTCTTTGACACAGAGGATCCCGACTACCTTGAATGGAGCTGAAGTAACTGGATACTTCCAATTAGAAGGAAGAGGCTGGAAGTTAATATTTTTTTTGGTAAATACTTTGAGTTATAACAATACCTTTCAGAATAAATAATTCACCACAATCCCAAGAGTTGAATTAAGGACAAGAGTCCATGATTCCTCACAAAGAAATGGAAGAAATAAAACTAAAGATGTATTCATTTATTCAACAAGTCTATATTGAAATCTCACTGTGTGCCAGGCCCCATTCCAGGAGCTGAAGACATAACAAAGAACAAAATAGACACAGTGTCTGCCATGTGGAGCTCACTTTATTGTTGAGGTAGGGGGAGGAAGACAATAAACAAATAATTACGTTACATAATGTCATAGTGTAATAAGTGCCCAAAAGAAAAATACAACAGGGTAAAGAGAAAGAGAGCAACCAGGAGGCTGCGTGACAGGGAGCAGTGAGGGAATGCCTCACTGAGAAAGACATTTGAACAGATGCCAGAATGGAGTGAAGGAATGAGCGGTGCAAGCATCTGGGGAAAGGATTTTCCAGGAAAAGAAAAAAAAAAAGGAATTGCAAATGCTCTGGAAAAGGAATGTATCCCATGTGTTTGAGAAACAGCTAGGAGTCTGCTGTGGTTGGAGGTAGGTGAGCAACGGAGTAGGGAGATAGCTGGGAGGTATCCTGGGGTCAAACCATGTAAAGGTTTGCAGGCCACAGGAAGGGCTTAAAATTGTCTTCAGCCATGTGTGGTGACTCACGCCTGTAATTCCAGCACTTTGGGAGGCTGAGGTGGGTGGATCACTTAACGTTGGGAGTTCAAGACCAGACTGGCCATATGGCGAAACCCCCTCTCTACTAAAAATACAAAAATTAGCCAGGAGTGGTGGCAGGCACCTGTAGTCCCAGCTACTCCAGAGGTTGAGGCAGGAGAATCGCTTGAACTTGGGAGGTGGAGGTTGCATTGAGCCAAAATCGCGATGCTGCACTCCAACCTGGTAGACAGAGTGAGACTCTGTCTCAAAAAAAAAAAAAAAAAGCATAAATGTTATATTTTGTCACAAGAAATAAAGGTAGATCCATGTGGGACAAAAAAAAAGAAAAGAGAAAAAGAAAAAAAGTTGTCTTTTAGGAGTTGTGGGAAGCCATCAGAAGGCTTTCAGCAAGGGAGTATCATGATCTGACTTATGTTTTATGAAGAGTCACTCTGGTGCTATGTGAAGAGAAGACCGTCAGAGGAGGACAGTGAAGGCTGAGGGACAGGAAAGAATGCTTATTTTCCATTTCCAGATAGTAACCAGTGATTTTTGGTGGCTCTAGGAAAAGGACATAGATACAAAAATTATTTGGATAAAACCGCGTTCTTTAGTCCAGTTCTTTCCATTCAGTATGTTACGAACATCCAGCTGGTAGGTCCTGGAAACCAGTCAGCAATCACCCCACTCAACATTAGCTTTTTTTTTTTTTTTTTGAGACAGAGTTTTGCTCTTGTCACCCAGGCTGGAGTACAATGGCGCAATCTTGGCTCACTGCAACCTCTGCCTCCTGGGTTCAAGTGATTCTCCTGCCTCAGCCTCCCAAGTAGCTGGGATTACAGGCGCCCACCACCACGCCCAGCTAATTTTTGTATTTTTAGTAGAGATGGGGTTTCACCATGTTGGTCAGGCTGGTCTCGAACTCCTGACCTCAGGTGACCCACCCGTCTCGGCCTCCCAAAGTGCTGAGATTATAGGCGTGAGCCACCACACCAGCCTAGCTCTTATCTTTTTTGTGCAAGTAATTTCTTGTCTTTTCCTCAATCTTCCCACTGCAAGGTAGGGATAGTAGCTAAGATATAGCCAACAAAGCCCTGGACTTGGATTCAGAAGACCTGGTCTGACAACAAAAACCTGTATAGATTGGGTAAGTCATTTAACCTCTCTGGACCTCAGATTCTTCATAAGATGAAAAATAATGCTAAACTTTTCACAGAGAAGTTATGAGAAGTAAAATTCAAAACTGTATTTGAAAGAACTTTGAGAACTGCAAAGGGCTATGCAAACAGAAAGAATGATTACTGAAGCCTGACTCAGCTCCTGTTAAATCTTAACCCAGCTCAGACCTGGCAATCACTAAAGGAAAGAAGATGGGGACAAAAATATTTCTCCCATTACTCTCTTGCACTTAGCTCTGGAGATGGTTGGCCGGAGGGCAGGCTAAGATTTTTCAGGAAAGAGAAAAAGGAATGGGAGAGACAGTGGGAACCTGAGTACTGGAGGGAAATGGGAGAGAAAACACAAGAAAAAAGCTGATTCTGGATAGTAGACAGTGGTGCCACTGCCCAGATTGCCTTTTAAGGCTTGCAGTCAATAGATAGTCTCTAACTACCAGCTATGTCAGGGTCTGACAGTGAAGAATGCACTGGCCAGGGAAGAATGCAGTGAACTGGGAAGAATGCACTGGCCTGGGAAGAATGCACTGAACTGGGAAGAATGCACTGGCCTGGGAAGAATGCATTGGCCAGGAAAGAATGCAGTGAACAAGGAAGAATGCATTGGCCTGGGAGCCCTGTCCTGAGATACAGACCACAGCGGCTCTGCCTGAGGCCCAGAATTCAGGAAAAGGCAAATCCAGACACAGAAAATGTTTCTATTCTTGAGAATGAACTGCTGGCCCTTCCAGAATGAAAGGGGCCCAATGTAGTCAACTTCTTCCCTAGTCTCTGTTGCTGGCAGCTGCACGTTTTGTAGTGGCAGTCTTGGTAAATGGGAATCCACAATGCTTGTTCCATGAGTGACCTCAATCTCTGCTACCACGGTCACTTGATTCGTGTGTCTATCATGCCAACACTGGGGTGGCCAATGACAGAGATGTCTGTCAGTCAACTGGCTAGGACATTTTGGCTACTTGGTTTTTAGTGACTCTTTTGAGGGTGCTCTCTGGTGGATGTTCACATTTTATGCACTTTATGCTCATTCCCGTATGTCTATCCACATCCCTCTCCCCTAGACCTCCAATCTTTTTCCCTCCAAGTCCCAAATCAGCTGACCAGACCATTTGCCATTGCTCATGAGTTTGTATATATCCTAACCTCAAGCTACTTCTCTTTCCACACAAAGTGGTTAGCCAAGTGCCCTCCTCAAAGCACTGCCTATTGGGAGGATTTTCCCCTGCCACTGTCTCTCAAGACCACCTTTGAGCAGACTGTGGAGAAGCTACCATCCACTTCCAGCTTGCACTCATACATAGGGCAGAGCAATCTACAAAGCAAGCTCAAATTTCTCTTTTTTCAACTTGCAATGAAGAATCCCCCATTCAGCTATGAGGGCGCAGCAATGGGAAAACAGTGGTAGGTACATTGGCAGTCTGCGCTGCTGCTCATGCAGCTTACTTCTGCCCTCTGGTCCTGCTTCTCTTCAGTCCGGCAGCACCTTCATTTTAGGATGAATTCCTGCTGGTGTCCCCTTATCTTATAACTTGGTTGATTTGCCCCAGATCACAATGAGAAGTTTCACTGCCTGGTCACTTGGCAACCATTGGCAGGCTTTCTGTCTCTACCAGAGCCTTGTAGCATGGTAGGAGTAGTTTTTCCAAAGGCATGTGATTCTCCACCAGAGATGGCATAGCCTTGCTCCAGATTCCCAAGGCCTTGAGTTGTGATTCTTCCACTGGCACTTGCCACAAAACCCATATAGCATCTTTCTCTCTTTTTAATCTACCTATCTGCACACTGAACACATAGCATCTTTTCTCATAACTGATACCTCCAATGCAAGTGTATCTGCAGGATCATATGGCCCAAGCGACAGGGCCCAGACCTGCTGCGGAGCCTTTTCTTGCGCTAGGTCCTATGTAAGCTTGGCAGTCTTTCATGTCACTGAGTATATGAGCGGGAGCAGTAATCAAAATATGCACATGGCTACAAATTTTCATCTATTTTTGCTAAACATAATGTGAAGGTGGTTGAAAGCTGGATGCCCCAGGAAGAAGTGCATCAATTTACATGTAAGATCTCGGCTCTGAGGGAAGGAAACACTAGAGAACCCTCCTCTCAAAACCACCTATGATTGCTTTTTCCTGAGGCATGCAAAAATCAGACTTTCTAGTTGATTAGCCAGGCATGAAGTTCTATCTTGACAAGAAGAAAGTACATCCTGTTGTCTTCTTGTCTCGATCTCAAATGTGCTCTTGCCAGATATTAATACATTGCCTTTCTTTAAACACAGGAAGTGGGTAAGGCAAATTTTCTCAAAGGCTCAGAACGGCACAATATTTCTCCCCTTTGCTTACATGCAGAAGATATCTGAGAATATATCTAGCCAATATGTGTAAAGTTTTCATTGACTCAAGCAAGCAGAAGAGTTCAGACAATAATAAGGCATCCTAATTGTTCTAGTGTAAAAAAAAGCTCTGCACTTATTTGCGGTTATTTTTTAAAAATCCACTTTGGAAAATGTGCAGAAAATTTCAGGCTTGGCTAATGCTCTTTTTCCATCTCATGTCCTTTAGCATATGACTCAAGTTTTCCATGTTATCATAAGGTAATTTTGCTATCTTTCATTTATTAGTGTTTATTATTAATTACTTATTATTATAATATAATGCCAATATAATCACACTTAATACTTAGAAAAATCTAGTAAAGGAGGCTGTGTCAGGGATCTACAGGACCACTCCCAGGTTAGTGATTTGCTAGAAATCTAAATATAATGACATTCATGGCTAAAATTTATTACAGTAAATAGATGCAAAGAAAAATTAGCAAAGGGAAAAGGCACATGGGCGAGGTCCAGAAGTAACCAAGCACAAGCTTCCAAGAGCCATCTCCCAGTACGGTCCCCTCCCAGTACAGTCCCCTCCCAGTAGAGTCCCAAAGGACATGCTTGATTCCTCCAGCAATGAGTTGTGACAACACATGTGAAATGTTGTCTACAAGGTGAGATAGGAGGTGGGACTCTGGAGGTGATGCTCAGAAACTGGACCAGATTGAGGACTAGCTAAAACAGGGAAGAGATAAAAATACCTCTCTGTAAGACATGCCCACAAGAGTGCCATGTCAGTTTACCATTGCCATGGCAACACCCAGAGATTTCTGCCCCTTTCCATGGCAATGACCCAATGACTCAGAAGTTACCACTCTTTTTCTAGAAATTTCTGCATAATCCACCCCTTGATTTGCATGTAATTTAAAGTGGGTATAACTATGACTGCAGAACTGCCTCTGAGCTGCCACTCTGGGCACACTGCCTGTGGGGTGGCCTTCTCCACAGAACCAGTACCTCTGCTGCTGCTGTACACTGCTGCTTCAATAAAAGTTGCTGTCTAGGCCAGGCGCAGTGGCTCATGCCTGTAATCCCAGCAATTTGAGAGGTTGACGTGGGCGGATCACTTGAGCCCAGGAGTTTGAGACCAGCCTGGGCAACATGGCAAAATACTGTCCCAACTAAAAATACAAAAATTAGCCAGCCATGGTGGCATGCACCTGTGGTCCCAGCTACTCAGGAGGCTGAGGTAGGAGGATCACTTGAGCCTGGGAGGTTGAGGCTGTAGTGAGCTGTGACCATGCCACTGCACCCAAGCCTTTGAGACTCTGTCTCAAAAAAAAAAAAAAAAAAAGGTGCTTTCTAACATGACCAGCTGGCTCTTGAATTCTTTCCTGGGCAAAGGCAAGGCAAGAACTCTCGCTGGCTAAGCCCCAGCTTTGGGGCTTACCTGCCCTGCATCAAAGGGAAGCCCATTAGGGCCTCAGTGCTGAGAATTTTTACTGGGGATGGTGGTTTATAATCTCAGTATTTTTCATTTCTAAAAGATTTATAAAGGAAAAGTAAGGATGTTCATCTATGTAGTTGTCTCTGTTAGTTTCTTTGTGTGATTGTTGGTTTTGACTTTGACCTGATGTGAAAAAATGTCCCAAGGACAGACACCAAGGAAAGCACGAGATGAGTAATCCATCAAAGCTTCTGTATGAGATGCAAGCCTTCCTCTTTCCATCTCTTCATAGGAGGAAATGGGAAGATTCTTCCCCTGAATCACAGCCCTCCAAGTGTCTACAGGATATACAGCTATTTTCACTTCAGTAGCTTCACATGGGAAAAAATCCCTGACATGGCTATCAGGTCAAAATGAATCAAGAGATAAGATATGTGTATCTGTGAGACTTTTAGACCTAAAACCAGGCTACCCATGACAACTATTTATTGGCTCTCTTAACTGTATTAAAGCACAAATACAAAAAGATAAACATGTTGTCTAAAAATAAATCAATAAATTGGTCTACTCTACCCACTTCAGCATTGCGAAGGAACTACTGTGCAACTCAGTCTACACTGTGCTGTTTCTTCTGGCACGTTTCTTGAATTTGATTTGCACAGCAGAAAAGAATCCTCTCATAGGGCATTATTTATGTATCAGCACAGCAAATACTTTGGTCAGCTACCCAATACTAATAAAACTAACGCCTGTTTATGGTTCATCTTAGTCTCACTTGTTTTCTCTTTTCAAATTGTGTTGTTGCTGTTATTGTTGCCATTGTTGTTGTTGAGACAGGGTCTTGCTTTGTCACCCAGGGTGGAATGCAGTGGTACAATCAACGGCTCACTGCAGCCTCAACCTCCCGGGCTCAAATGATCCTCCCACCTCAGCCTCCTGAGTAGCTGAGAGTACAGGTATGTGCCACCATGCCCAAAGAGTTTTATTTATTTTTGTAGAGATGAGGTCTCACTATGTTGCCCAAGCTGTCCAGCTGTCCTTAACTGGACTCAAGCAATCTTCCCTCCTTGGCCTCCCAGAGTGCCGGGACTATAGGCATGAGCCACTGTGCCCAGCCTTTTAAATGTTTTAATTGGCAAATAATAAATTTATTTATGGGGTATAATGTGTGATATTTTGATATATGTATACAATGAAATAAATAAATCAAGTCGATTAACATATTGATCACCTCACTTATTATTTCAGTCTCTCTTGTTTATTTTCAAACCTTAGAAGCTTTGTATAAATAAAAGCATATTTAGCCTTAAGGAATGAAGTCAGTGGTTATTTCAACCACCTCTTGGCCCATATGCCCTTCCGTTTTTCTCCCCAAACCGTGCTTTTATGATCAATATGCCTCTCTAAGCTTAGGTGAAAATTTCAGCCCCATAATTTATAAGTGAAGTGAGCTTGGACCAGCTACTTAAACTTTCTGGCTTCAGTTTCTTCATCTGTAAAATGAGAATGATAATAATATTCATCTCTTGAAGTAGCTGAAAGAATTAATTATACAATGCATGCAAAGCCCTTAGCATACTGCCTGATACTTAATAAATGCTTAACATTTTTTTATTTATTTTTCTTTATTATCATAAAGGCCACTCGGTGATCATTGATAATCCATTTTGAAAAGTCTGTACAATCTATTAGAACAGAAATTCCTTTGGCCAGGCATGGCATCGCACACCTGTAATCCCAACACTTTGGAAGGCCAAGGTGGTGAATTGCTTGAGCCTTAGGAGTTTGAGGCCAACCTGGGCAACATAGCAAGACCCCATCTCAACAACAACAAAAAAGAAATTATTTTATTTTCTTCTTTTTTGACCTGAAGCATTTATGTAATGTTGGTACTGTTCTTATCTATGAAGACTGGGTATTGGGAAAGTCATGCAAAAACCCAGGAGAACCCTTTGGTGCCAAATGTTGAGAGTATAGGGGTCCATCAGGGACTAAATGTGAGCTAAAAGTCACAAGGTTCCAGGCAACAGGAAGATAGAGCACCAGCTGAAACCCTGAGATAACTTTGGAACTAGGAATGGAGGCCACCTTTACTGACACTTTCTTGTAATCTTTCCCAATCAATTTTGCTTATTTGGTATGTGGGTTGCTATGGTGATGGGATAATGGGAAGAAACTGTACAACAGATGGTCCTAATCTATTTAAACTTTACTAAAGTTTATTCCTTTGAGGTAAAACTGTGACAGCACATACCTAGTTGCTAAGATGCCACTAAGCATCATGACTTTAGTCTGGCCTCTGTCTTCCCTATACATCCTTGTAACCCAGGGATGCCACCATTTATGCCAAGTAATACGATTTGGTGAGGGTTAAAGACTGCTATTTGGTAGCAGTTAAGCATATGCTTATGTAAGGATCTAAAGGCTGAGCACGGTGACTCACACCTGTGCTTCCAGCACTTTGGGAGGCCAAGCCGGGAGAATCACTGGAGGCCAGGAATTCAGGTCCAACCTGGGTGACATAGTGAAGCCCCATCTCTATAAAAACTAGAAAAAAATTGCCAGTGTGGTGGTGCACACCTGTACTCCCAGTACTTGGGAGGTTGAGGTGGGAGGAGCACTTGAGCCCAGGAGGTTGAAGCTACAGTGAACTTTGATCATGCCATTGCACTCCAGCCTGGCAAACAGAGATACAGAGTTAGACCTCATCTAAACACACAACACACACACACACACACACACACACACACACACACAAGAATCTAAAAGATTTTACTATAAAGTTGTAAAAAGAACTTGAGATTTGGAATCACAAAAATTTAGCTTTCAAAGCTTCCCTCCACCACTTAATAGCTCTGTGTTCTTGGATGTTTGTTTACCTCTAGAACCTTATACAACAGGACAATAGTGTCTGTTCTCACTGCTTAGTAGTTGTTATGATAATCAAATGAATTAACAAACTTGGAAACTGTTTATGAACTGTCACACATCATAAAGGTATTTTGGTACTATCCAAATGACTGCCTTAGAGTGAGGCTCCATGCAACCTTTTCAGAGAAGTTGCTGCCTGTCTCCCAGAATAAGGTTAATGAGCTGAATTAGAAGGTGACACTTCCCAACAAACCACCAACCTAATGAGCACCCCGAATAAGAGCTTTGGAAAAGCACTGCATTGAACAAAATGTCTTTTAAACCTGTTTACCTTCTCCCAAAAATTTCTTAGTAGAAAACAAAATTAAAGACCATCTCTCTCTCTCTCTTTTTTTTTTTTTTTTTAAGAGACAGGGCTCGCTCTGTCACCCAGGCTGGAGTTCAGTGGCACAGTCACAGCTCACTGCAGCCTCGAACTCCTGGGCTCAAGCAATCCTCCTGCCTCAGCCTCCTGAGTAACTACAACTACAGGCATGTGCCACTGCACCTGGCTGCAAGATCGCCTCTCTAAAAAAAAGAAAAAACAAAATTAAAACTGTAAAATTAAAAGTTTACCAAATGCTTACAATAACTCATGCCTGGCCATTTTTTAAAAATAAAATACAGGTTGAAATTAGTACAAATCCATTCAGACCTTACCTAAACAGAAAGAACCAAGCTGTAACATTTGATGACAGTTTGAAAATATCTATTGGAATAATGGTACAATCTATAAGATACTGAGGCTTAACTCTATAAAAGATATCATCAGCAAGTATGGGTAAGGTTGCTAAATATTTTTCAAGCTGATTTTTTTTTTTTTTTTTGAGGCGGAGTCTTGCTCTGTCGCCCAAACTGGAGTCCAGTGGCGCGATCTCGGCTCACTGCAAGCTCCGCCTCCCGGATTCACGCCATTCTCCTGCCTCAGCCTCCCAAGTAGCTGGAACTACAGGCGCCCGCCACCACGCCCGGCTAATTTTTTTGTATTTTTAGTAGAGATGGGGTTTCACCGTGTTAGCCAGGATGGTCTCGATCTCCTGACCTCGTTATCTGCCCGTCTCGGCCTCCCGAAGTGCTGGGAGGAAGCTGATTTTTTAACCTATTAAAACGTTTGACAGGTTATACCTCCATTTCCTTGCAGTTAGTATTCTGGGTTATTTCTAGCCAAAGGTTGAGATTTCTGTACTTAGGATTATGATTTTTATCTTTATATGTATCTCTTACAGTGTGGCTGTCAATTTCATAAATGAACTATTTCCCCATCTTCTAGCTTTGATGAGGTTTTTTTTTTAAAAAATAAGGAAATTAAAGCCAAAGAGCCTCTTATTTCTATTAAGATTAATTTTTTATCTTTGAATATTTATTCTAAAATGTGGGGTACATAATTTGCCTAAGCCCTTTAGCAATAGCAGAGCAAGCCAAATTTCAGCATATGTGATAGTCATAATTATGTAAGATCATTTTTTAACATGTTTCCATTTTCTATCTGTTCTGTCTTCCAAGATGTCATATCCTTTGCAAAGAAAATGAATAAAATATAAAATGTGATATATTTCCATCTCTGCAGAATATTTTTCACTTCATTGAAACTTGATACATAGATTCAACATAGACTATTAGTTCTAAAATTATTTGAGTATCTGTATTAAGCTTTAATCATTTTTTAATTGTCGTCTTCGTGGAAAAGAAACCTAAATTTTTTTCACAATGTGCCGTATTTTACAAAGTTTGCAACATTTTTAAAAGAATTTTCCTCTCAACAAGAATAATTTTTTTCTCCTAATTAAGCAATAAATAGAAGTATGCAAAAGAAGCCATTGGTTTAAAACTACATGGCAATAGAAAAGGCTTTTGTTTTCGCCTGCTTTGAGGAAACTCAATATAGTGTTTTAGAAAGGTTGGCAGAGGTGCTGACGGGGAGAAAAGGAGGCCCCCTTGCCCCAGTTTCAAGCCTTTTAAACCGAACTTGCATTCTAGGTCATCCACTATGTGTGGTGGTTAGGCTCCTAGTTTAGAATATTTTACATAGATAAAGAGAGGCTTTTTTCATATGAAAAAAAGCTCAATATCACTGATCACTAGAGAAATGCAAATCAAATCCACAATGAGGTACCATTTCCTACCAGTCAGAATGGCTATTATTAAAGAGTCAAAAAATAACAGATGCTGGTGAGGTTGTGGTTGTGGGGAAAAGGGAACACTTATACACTGTTGGTGGGAGTGTAAATTAGTTCAACCATTGTGGAAAGCAGTATGGTGATTCCTCAGTGAGTTAAAAGCAGAACTACCACTTGACCCAGCAATCCCATTACTGGGTATATACCTAAGGAATATAAATCATTCTACCATAAAGACACAAGCATGCAAATGTTCACTGCAGCACTATTCAAAATAGCAAAGACCTGGAATCAACCTAAATGCCCATCAATGACAGACTGGGTAAAGAAAATGTCCATGGTACATATATGCCCCGTATATGTACCACGTATGCGTACCAAAGTATATGTCCATGGTTCATATACACCATAGAATATTATGCAGCCATAAAAAGAGCAAGATCATGTCTTTTGCAGGAACATGGATGGAGCTGGAGGCTATCATCCTTAGCAACCTAACACAGGAACAGAAAACCAAATACTGCACATTCTCACTTACAAGTAGGAGTTAAATGATAAGAACTTATGAACACAAAGAAGGAAACAAAAGACACTAGGTTCTACTTGATGGGGGAGGGTAGGGGGAAGGAGAGGAGCAGAAAAGATAACTATTGGATAGTGGGGATAATACCTGGGTGATGAAATAATATGTACAAAAAACGATCTGCATAACAAACCCTCACATGTACCCCTGAACCTAAAATAATTTTTCTTTTTAAAAAGAAACTTTTTTTTAAAAGAAATGTTTCGCCAGGTGCAGTGGGTCATGCCTGTAATCCCAGCACTTTGGGAGGCTGAGGCGGGCGGATCACCTGAGGTCAGGAGTTTGAGATGAGCCTGACCAACATGGAGAAACCCTGTCTCTACTAAAAATACAAAATCAGCTGGGCGTGGTGGCGCTTGCCTGTAATACCAGCTATTCGGGAGGCTGAGGCAGAAGAATCGCTTGCACCTGGGAGGCGGAGGTTGTGGTCAACAAAGATCGTGCCATTGCACTACATCCTGAGCAACAAGAGCAAAACTCTGTCTCAAAAAAAAAAAAAAAAGAAATGTTTCATAATATGTATTGGTAATAAAAATAGTAAGATGGACACCCCAAAGAGGATAAGCAGTTTATCCTACCCCATGACATGAAACTGCTTGTGTCAAACTCTTCATGTTTCCAAACACGATAGTCCTCAACAGTTGACTGTGGGATAATTTCAAGCCTTTATTGGCAATGACACCACAAAAGAAGAATATAAAGCGAAGACCGATGTCGTGCAACATTCTCTATCATTATGATAGTCTGGTTCAGATTGCCTCTCCAAAACTGGTTCATTGTCAAATGGCTCATCAGCTTTGGCTGTTATGCTACTATATGTCTACGCCAGCACAAAAGAGCTAGGAAATCATAATGATCAAGAAGAACAGAATAGTTTAACTTTTGAAAATAAAAAGTGACATCTGTATCTTTATATAAAATGAAGTTTGGGTCATTGCATCTAAAATTGTAGTGTCACCCAAGTTACTGTGTAAATAGCTGCATGTTCAGAAGCTAATGTTGTGTAAGTGGTCACAGCTCTCTTTTCAAGGGAAAAGAATGGAAACATGAAAGTTAAGTACTTAATACCACAGCATAAATCAGTGACTTTTCTCTCGGAAAAAGCTATCAGGGGCTCCCACTGCTTTAGCATCAGAAGAGTTGGTCAGTCAACCGGGAGTATGACTTGAGGATGCTACTAAAAACTAAAAGATGCTGGGCGCAGTGGCTTATGCCTATAATCCCAGCACTTTGGGAGGCTGAGGCCAGGAATTCGAGAGCTGCCTGGCCAATAAGGTGAAACCCTGTCTCTACTAAAAATACAAACATTAGCTGGGCATGGTGGCGCACGCCTGTAGTACTAGCTACTTGGGAGGTTGAGACATGAGAATTGCTTGAACCCGGGAGGTGGAGGTTGCAGTGAGCCAAGATCGCTCCACTGCACTCCAGCCTGGGCAACAGAGCAAGATCCTGTCTAAAAACAAAACAAAACAAAACAAACAAACAAACAAACAAAAAAACCCACAAAAAACTAAAAGGCTATTGCAAGAATGGAAGCCTTTCTTTTAAATATGTGAAGACATTTAACATGGATGAGCATGTAGAGTACTGCCCAGAAATCATCCTGAAAGCTACCATTACTGTATGAGTAACTTTTTAAAGTATATTGTTATAGATTCTAATCATGCTCATAACCTTTTAAAGTATATTGTTATAGATCCTAATCATGCTCATAATCTTGATGAGGGTGCTGCAAGTTTACAAGCAGAATGTGATGGATTTGAAAATAAATTTCTAAAAGCTGGAGGAATAAATATTTCTGTTGCTAGGAATGATCCTCATAAGAGACAGACACAAGGCATTTTCCCTGTACAAAGCAAAAGTGGAAAAGATTATTTTAGCTTTCCAGCAGCATCCCCAAACTATTTGTTTATATGCTGAAGATGCTACTTTAGAACTAACAGTGAAAATTGTGAAACACTTTACGGTTTAATGAACATGCACAGTAAACTTGTGGGTCCACTCCAGAGTATGATAGAACGAAATTGAAGGCGATTGGAGTAAAATTCTCTTTGAAAGAATAAAATACTTAAATAATTTTTTAACTACTCAATATGATACAACATGGGGAATTCTGGAGGTTGTAATTGTTTTAAAAATCCAATGACTAGCTGGGCGCGGTGGCTCACGCCTGTAATCCCAGCACCTTGGGAGGCTGAGGCAGGCAGATCACCTGAGGTCGGGAGTTTGAGACCAGCCTGACCAACATGAAGAAACACCGTCTCTACTAAAAATACAAAAATTAGCCGGGCGTGGTGGCACATGCCTGTAATCCCAGCTACTCAGGAGGCTGAAACAGGAGAATCACTTGAACCTGGGAGGTGGAGGTTGTGGTGAGCTGAGATTGTGCCGTTGCACTCCAGCCTGGGCAACAAGAACAAAACTCCATCTAAAAAAAAAAAAAATCCAATGACTATATGCCAAACATTTTATATTTAGAGTGTGTCTATTTAATACAAGGGCTTAGGAGACATAGTTGGCTCTCACAACTGACCAGCTGTTTATTATAAATAAATATTTTAAAATAAACTTTGTTACACATAGCCAGCCTATAAAACAGCACAGAAATGAAATATCTGCCTGTTTTAAAGTTGTAAAAGTTAGCCAGGTGCAGTGGTGTGTGCCTATAGTCCCAGCTACTCAGGAGACTGAAGTGAGAGGATTCCCTTGAACCCAGGGTTTTGAGTCCAGACTGGGCAACATAGCAAGACTCTCTTTAAAAAAAATTCAAAAATTATTTTAAAGGTGAAGATTTTGCACATCAAGTACCATTTAAGAGTTTGACTCCAGTGGCATAATATACATAGATTTGTATTGTTTAATTACATGAAGAGACAGCAAACCTTTTCAGTATCAAACAACTTATCTTTGCAAACCTTTATTTATAACATGCTATCTACTTATTTTCTGCGCATTAGACACAAGCTTTTTTGCATAAAGGTGACTTAATCATCTTTCTGTGTTAGCATCTGGGCATCAAAAGTCCTGCCATATATTGTTGACAAAGGAAATCTGAAGAGAAACAGTGCCTAAAAGTGCAGTTTGGCCGGGTGCAGCGGCTCACACCTGTAATCCCAGCACTTTGGGAGGCCGAGGCAGGAGGATCACCTGAGGTAGGATGTTTGAGACCAGCCTGGCCAACATGGTGAGACCCCCATCTCTATTAAAAATACAAAAATTAGTGGGGCGTGGTGGCCCATGCCTGTAATCCCAGCTACTCGGGAAGCTGAGGCAGGAGAATCCCTTGAACCCAGGAGGCAGAGGTTGCAGTGAGCCAAGATCGTGCCACTGCACTCCAGCCTGGCCTGGGCAACAGAGAGAGACTGTGTCCCCGCCCCTCCACCCAAGAAAAGTGCAGTTTATGTCCTTTTGAAAAGTATGTATAAGTGCCTGTTCTTGTGCACTTTCTTCTATAGCCTTTTTTTTCAGATGTGTTTTTATTTTATTTAATAATTTGGGTTCATCCCCTTAATATAAGGTTGTTGGCAATCATACTAAGAAAATTATTTTGAAGAAAATTTTCTGATTGTTGTTTGTTTTTTGTTTCTCTTTTTTTCTTTCTTTCTTTCTTTTTTTTTTTTTTTTTTTTAGACAATGTCTCTTGTTCTGTCTCCCAGGCTGGAGTGCAGTGGCACGTTAATGGCTCATTGCAGCCTCAACCTTCTGGGCTGAAGCAATCCTCCCACCTCAGCCTGCTGAGTAGCTGGGACTACCGCTGTGCACCACCATGCACAACTAATTTTCTTTTATTTTTTGTAGAGAAGAAGTGGGGATTCTCCCTATGTTGCCCAGGCTGGTCTCGAACTCCTGATCTCAAATGATCCTCTCTCCTCAGCCTCCCAAAGTGCCGCGATGACAGGAGTGAGCTACCAGCCTGATTACTGTTAAACTTAATAAATAATTAAACTTATTGTTTACATATAAAAAAATGTCTAAAACGATAATGCGATAAAGTGCATGCAAATTACTGTAAAGTATTTTACATTACCATAGCAACGTGCATGATTAAATTGCAAATAAAAGCATACTGCTTTCTACTTTTAGCTCAAATAATGCTTATAATCAGCAAACAAAAAGCTATCAGGAAGGCCTTAGCAGGTACTGTGGTCTGATTTCGCTGAATGCCCAAAGCCATTAATAATCCAATTCTCCATCCCCTTCCTGGATGTGGCTCCACTTTGCCAGTAGAGGGCACCATGTGCATACAGGGCAGAGAGAGCCAAAGGCTTATTATTAAGTAGGACAGCCTCTGGCACTGTTTTCTTTGTCTTCAAAGGAGTGGCCCAGCCAGTGTGAGTGTGGTTGGAGATCAGAGCTGAAGGGCAGGTTGTTACAGCAATTATGCAGAACTTCAAACTTTCTTATGATGTCCCTCAGCAGTTCACCATCCAGAAGAGCCTGAGTTCAGCCTTGACCCAAATGGGAAAACAAGGTGTAATTATAATCAAATGGCTGTTGGTAGAGGTTGATTGCTGGCAAAATGGACAAACAGGAGGAAGTGGAGGTTGAGGTCTTTTGTGTTTGAGGTAGTCCATGTAGCAAAAATCAGACCAAGCTGGGGGGTCAGGAGACCTGGTTATATCAATTTGGGGGTCACTCTGTACAAACTAAGAGGAGGAACCGAAGTTCCAAATACATTTACAAGCTTTGCTTTTGCTTTTACTACACATGCTCAACATGATAATTACTTTTTTTTTACTTTGCTGTTATAATTATGGAAATTAATATGTCCACTCATTTAAATATTTATAAAATATTTGGTTTGGAAGAATACAACCATATTTTTTATGCATGGTATGTTTAAAGATTCAACTTTGGCTAATATTTATTTTAACTCTGTAATGTTTATGTAATTTAGAGCAATCTAACTAATTTTTAATATAGCAAAGAACAGCTAGCAATGGCTGAGATTATTGCAGAAATGTGCAAAATTGTGCTTATCTCATTAAAGATTTCTTTGAGACTCTCCTAAGAGCAAATAAAGTGCCTAACTTCCCAGAGGCAGATTTTATATGGAAAAGAAAAGATATACAATGTAGAATTGTTCAAAATGTTAGAGACAATATATGTAAAGTGGCTGTTGCATGCTCAATAAATGATCTCCTTGTCTGCTTTTTAATAGCATTATTTTAGGAGTGAGGCTGCATTAAAGTAGATCTCTCTAGGTCATAAATCTAACCTGAAAATAACATGGACATCTCATGTTCAGGTTAATCACATTGTCATAACTATAAAGAACCACATCTTGCCACAAAGAACAATGAAGGGGTTATATAGATTATTTAGGTCTTAACTCTGGGTCTCTTGATGAGGCAACAAAAAAGGAATTTCCACTTTGGGAAGCCGAGGTGGGAGGATTGCTTGAGCCCAGGAGTTTGAGACCAGTGTGGGCAATATAGTGAGACCCCGTCTCTTTAAAAAACAACAACAACAAAAGGAATTTCATTGCACAACACAGAGCAAATCTTCATAAACATCCTCCTTAGAGAACACCCACCTGTCCTTTTCTCCATGTCAGCTACTCACTCCTTCATTCACCTTAAAACACTCACCATTCCAGTCTTCTTCTCAATTCTCTTGCCCCTCACTCTTTTCTTTCATTGTGTAACTCCTTGCCCTTGCTTCTAGAGAACAGTAATTCAGCTTTCTACAAAGAGATATTTTTCAAAATGATGTTTTCTTTTGTTAAATAAGACATCAGCCAAATTACTAACAGAATTTGACATTATCTGGCTAAACTGCATTATTAAAATCACAAATAGCATCAGAAACTCTGTACCTGGTTGCGGTGGTTTGCCCCTGTAATCCCAGCTACTCCAGAGGCTAAGGTGGGAGGAATCCTCGAGCCCAGGAGTTAGAGGGTGCAGTGAGCAATGATCACACCACTCAACTCCAGCCTGGGCAACAGAGTGAGACCCCGTCTCTGTAAAAAAATATATATGCATATATATTTTTTAAAGGAATCAGAAACCCTTTGACCTGGAAAGGATCAACAAGTCCAAATCTCATATTTTACAGATTAGAAGGCTGAGACCCAGAGAGGGTAATTGGATTGTCCAAGTTTCCCTGATTAATTACAAAGCTGGGATCAGAATGCAGATTCATTGACCCTGACCTGCTTTGTCCATTATAGCACACTGCCTTGAGCTAAGTTTTAAGCTACATTTTCATTATAATGAGGTGTTTCTTACTATAAGAAATCTTAAAATAGAAATAAAATCATCTTTCATAGGGTTTTCTTTTCCCATTGCTATTTTGGAACAACTTTTCTGCCTATTTCATCTAAATGATACACTATAAATAATTCAGAAATACAGTGTATGTATTTTTATAAAGGGTGATTTTGCAAATATGTTGAGAAAATCATATGTAGGTAACATTACACTAGTTTACTTAAAATAAAACAACTACAAATCTTTCTTAAAATTGGAAATTTATCTCATCCACTCCATTTATTTGATAAGAAACAAAATGAACTTTTTTTTCTCCTTTATCACCTCTGGTTTTGTGCTAAGATCAAGTACAAATCTTTGGGAGAAATACTAAATTCTGAGTAGAACATATTGTAAATGGCATTGTCATAAGAACTAGCAATACAAAGATGGGTAAGTCATTCTCTTGAGCACCTCAGTCTAGTAGAACGACCTAGCTGTACTCACTCCTTTTGTTTTTTATTTGTCTTTTTGTTTTGTTTTGGTTTTTTGTTTTTATTTTTGAGACAGGGTCTTGCTCTGTTGCCCAGGCTGGAGTGCAGTGGCATGATCACAGTGCATTGCAGCCTCACCCTCCAAGGCTCACGTGATCCTCCCACCTCAGCCTCCTGAGTAGCTGGGACCACAGATGCATGCCAACGTGCCTGACTAGTTTTTAAATTTTTCGTAGAGACAAGGTCTCCCTATATTGGCCAGGCTGGTCTCTAAATCCTAGGCTCAAGTGATTCTCCCACCTTGGCTTCCCAAAGTGCTGGGATTACAGGTGTGAGACACCACGTCCAGCAGAAATATTCTTTATCATCACTGCAAAAGGCAGAATAACCACTTTCCTTCTCTCCAAAACAAACAAACAAAAAATATATATATAGGCCGGGTGCAGTGGCTTACGCCTGTAATCCAAGCACTTTGGGAAGCCAAGGCAGGCGGATCACTTGAGGTCAGGATTTCGAGACCAGCCTGGCTAACATGGTGAAACCCCATCTCTACTAAAAATACAAAAATTAGCAGGGCATGGTGGTGCGTGCCTGTGAGGCCAAAGTGGGAGGATCACTTGAGCCCAGGAGTTGGAGACCAGCCTGGACAACACGGGGAGACCCCACATCTATTTAAAAAGAAAAAAAGAAAGAAGGGAAAAAATAAAGTATAAAGGAGGATATATATAGGTGATATGAAAGTACTACTCTACTTTATATTAGGGACTTGAGCATCCTTGAATTTTGTTATCCGTGGGGAGTCCTGGAACCAATCCCCTGCAGATATCAAGGGATGATTATTTATGAATCTGTTGCCAATAAAACTAATCCCATACATATATGGTTATCTGCTCTACAATATTTTCATCTGCAAACTGAGTGCAGGATGGTGTCATGGTTTTTGGTATAATTAACAGGAAAAAAAAATAAAATGTGCAAAACTAGCTCAAGTGTGATTGTCTTTATCTGGGAACAAAAGAGACTGTCTGTGATTCTTTGCAACCTACTTTGGTTTAAATTAAGAACATTTGGCCAGGCGCAGTGGCTCACACCTGTAATCCCAGCACTTTGGGAGGCCAAGGCTGGTAGATCACCTGAGATCAGGAGTTCGAGACCAGCCTGGCCAACATGGTGAAACCCCATCTCTACTAAAAATACAAAAATTACCTGGGTATGGTGGCAGGTGCCTGTAATCCCAGCTACTAGCAGGGGCCGATGCAGGAGAATTGCTTGAACCCAGGAGGCGGAGGTTGCAGTGAGCCAAGATCATAGCACTGCACTCCAGCCAGGGCAACAGAATGAGACTCCGTCTCAAAATAAAATAAAACAAAATAAAATAAAATAAATTAAGAACATTTGTGGTAAATCACCTACATTTAAGTGTAGAGGTTGAATGCTAATATTTTTCACTTCTCTCCTTGGCAATGATTTTAAAAGCTAACTCCCCACATTAGTGAGGACACTAGGAAATTTGCCCTCTAATATGCCATTGGTAGGAATGTAAGTTGGCATAACGCTGGTAAGCAATTTGGCAGTGAATACCAAGTAGAAAATAGTCATGACCTTTGACTCAACAATTTTGCTTTTAAGAACTTGCATACAGCTGGGAACGGTGGCTCATTCTCATAATCCCAGTACTTTGGGAGGCTGAGGTGGGAAGACTGCTTGGGGCCAGGAGTTCGACACCAGCTGGAGCAACATGTTGAAATCCTGTCTCTACAAAAATAAAAACTGAAAAAAGTATCTGGGCATAGTGGCTTATGCCTGTAGTCTCAGCTACTTGAGAGGCTGAGGCAGAGGATTGCTTGAGTCCACGAAGTCGAGGATGCAGTGAGCTATGATCATGCCACTGCACTCCAGCCTGGGCAATATAGCAAGACCCTCTTTGGGAAAAAAAAAGGATTTGCTTATGAAAACAATCAGAGTTAGGGAAAAGAATTTTGATCACGGCATTATTTATAATTACAAAAAAACCTGAAGAACATTTAAGTACCCAACAAGAGGGAACTGGTTAACTACATTATGGTAAAAGCATAGGATGGAATAGTATAGGCTGCTGAAAATATTGTAAAATAAGATTTAATGGTATGAGAAGATGTTTATTATGTATTTTAAGAAAAAAGAATATCTACACATACACACACAAAAAAACACATAGGATCCATACAAATATCTTTTTTTTTTTTTTTTTTTTTTTTTGAGACGTAGTTTCTCTCTTGCCCAGGCTGGAGTGCAATGGCATGATCTTGGCTCACTCCAGCCTCTGCCTCCCGGGTTCACACAATTCTCCTGCCTCAGCCTCCCGATTAGTTGGGACTACAGGCGCCCGCCAACACGCCCGGCTAATTTTTTGTATTTTTAGTAGAGACGGGGTTTCACTGTGTTAGCCAGGGTAATCTCAATCTCCTGACCTCGTGATCCACCCGTCTTGGCCTGCCAAAGTGCTGGGATTACAGGCGTGAGCCACCACACCTGGCCAATTTTTTTTATTTTTAGTAGAGACAAGGTTTCACCATGTCGGCCAGGCTGGTCTCAAACTCCTGACCTCAGGTGATCCACCCGCCTCAGCCTCCCAAATTGCTGGGATTACAGGCATGAGCCACTGTGCCCAGCCACAAATATCATTTTTAAAGCTGTAAAGAGTATATAACAAAAATGCCACAACGATTCTCCCTGAATGGTAATATGATGAAGAGTATTTATTTCCTTCTCTGTATTTTTCTGTACTTTCTAAATATTCTACAATAAATATGTACTATTTTTGTAA
This sequence comes from Homo sapiens, assembly GCF_000001405.40. Taxonomy (NCBI): domain Eukaryota; kingdom Metazoa; phylum Chordata; class Mammalia; order Primates; family Hominidae; genus Homo; species Homo sapiens. The sequence continues at coordinate 71,812,273 of NC_000009.12, forward strand.
TTAAGAAAAAGTTATTTCTTTTTTTTTTAAGCCAGACTCTTCTCAGTTGATTGTCCAAATGGGATAAGGGCGTATATTTAAGAGAAAATACGCATCAGTGCTGCAATGTGTTCAGAGCACGCTTACTATTGCAGTTGTGCGCAAACCATTTGTCAAGCCTCAAGCACACCCTTGGCTCTGGAGCTCAGCACAGTTTCCTTTCTGTGAGTAACATTCTATCCAAAAAGGAGCGCCTCAGCAGGCTGTTCCTGAGCCACTAAACCTTCCAACACCCTGTGAGCATAGCAGAAAGGCCAATTCCCCACTGAACCGGCAGATGGTGAAACATCCCCTTGGCTCTTGTACATCCAGACATATTGGTGCAGACACAGCTGCAAAAAGGCAAGCAAGTTCTCCAAGGCCAGGCAAAATTAGTCCTTTCTCAAGGGAGTGCTCTGCTATGCCAGCTGGCATTTCCTGCCATGCTCCCAGCCTGTTTTGAGGGTGGATAATGGACAAAAATGGAGAGGGCTTAAACTGAAGGACTGAGTATCTCAACCAGTGCAGAGCTGGGCTTTGAACACCGTGAATACACTGTCAGGAAGTAACAGTCTTTCAGGAAGCAAAGAATTCCATATGACAGCAAAGTAGAAAGAGGCCTGGACTGTGAATTAGGAGCCCTGGGTGCTTGTTACATCTCACAGTCTCCCCTCTTTTCAGTTCCTTCTTCTATAAAATATTGGGGGTGGGCTAGGGAGTCAATAGATGAAATGAGCTATAAAAGTTGCTTCCAGCCTTCAAGACCTTATACTGATTAATAATGAAGTCATGCAATATAGATTTCAGTCAATAAAAATTTACTCAATACCTAGTATGTCTGGCAAGAAGGAGCCAGATAAATAAAACACTGTGGCCACCCACAGGACTCACTGTCCAAAGCATTGGAAAATTTCTTGGTTTCAATATGTATAATTATCCACTATACTATTTATTTAAGATAATGTTTTCCTCAAGATTGAATTTTCTCTGTTGCCAATAAAGTTAATTCCATTTTCGATGAACAATGTGTGTGCTGTATACTGGGAGACAGTATAGGTTTAGGTTAAAAGCATGAATTATAGACTCAGAAAGTCCCAGTTAAATCTGAGCTCCACCATTTCTTAACTGAGTGATCTTCAAAAAATTACTTAAATTCTCTCAGCTTCAGTTTCCTCATCTGTAAAATGGGAATAATAATGGTACTTACTTCTTGGGACTATTGTAGGAAATGAATGACCTGAGTCATTTACATTAAATGAAGTCTCAGTAAATCCCTATTATCTGTTGTTAATATAGGAAGTTTAAAATAATTTTAATATCAGTTTTTAAAAAGCACAAAATCTTGGAATGTTAGATTAAACAAGGGACCTTAGAAATAATCAGTTCCATTTCAATCCTTTGATCCTCCCATTTTACATAGGGAAGCCATGGACTGAAAGAGGCTGAGTAAGGCCCCAGGGACCCTTTCGAGCTTTTTTTTTTTTTTGGTATATTCTGTTAATTAGGAAATATATTGTGCTTTTCTGAGAAACTGAAAGTATACATGCTTGTACATACTTGCAAGTCATATAGAAATTATTTCAATCATTACTATTATTTTGAATTTTCTATCTGCTGCTTACTGAGATTTAACCGCCATTTCAAAGTTTTTCCAAGAATCTGGCATTTTGGCTAAATAGCCCAGTTGACCCTTGCCCCAGCTTCCCAAAATCCATTGTGATTGATCCAAATGGGCTCAGAATTTCCCTCCTTGTGCATAGATGCCACTTATCTGTTTTTCCATCTTGGTTTTTTTTTCTAGCTACTTTTGGCTATCAGAAAAAAATAATTTAAAGTTTGTACAAGCCAAGTTTGTTTCACTGCCTCCAATCAGACAAAGATACCTTTCCAGAAATCAAGACTGTGGATATACACCCGTGTCTGGAGGACAAGAAGAAGATAGAAGAAAATGGAACTCACAGGGATTAGAGAGAAAGGGAACTGACACTTATCCTGTGCTTTCTGTGTTCCCAAGGATTCACTTGGTCCTCACAACAACCCAGTGAATTAGTCATGACTCTCCCCGCTTCAGGTGAAAAAGCTGAGAGTCAGAGAGCAACTTGCATGATGCAGCATAGCCAGGAAATGGAGTGGGAACTTGAACCCAGGCCAGCCTATTTCCAAACTCTTTCCGGTAAGTGGGCCACACTCCTCCCATGGTCTTAATGTGATTCAATTGACAGAACGGCTTGGTGGAAAAAATGTAAAAATGAAAACAAATGGTTCCTATAAGATGGTGTAGTCACATATTTGGAGAAGAGAGATCCATTATGCAATTCACTAAAATGTGTTGAATGTCTACTAAGTGTTACCAAAGCACTGAATTTCACTCATTAAAGACTCATCCCAAGTATCGTAAGTCACGTTTCAGTCCTCCCTAATACGGTTTTCTTGTATTATGTATTATGACTCTTGAATGGTCAGAAATGAGAGTAAACTTAACAGATGAAGATGGAGACAGGATTATTATATACATGTTGTTTCTGTAAGAACTTTTCTCTAAATCTAATGTCTTTGTAATTGATCGATTCACTGTCCATGGCCTTTTTGAGAGTAAAGGTTTTGTGTTCTCTTTCACCTCCCTACCCTGGCTTTTTTTCAAAGCATTTTTCCAGCCCCACTTACAGTTTAGAACAGATGTAGATGCTGGCCTGCTCCCAGAATCTTGCTGCAAAATCATAACTTCACCATTCCCCATGGACTGAGTAGTGCCGAGGTAGAAAATGACTTCAATCCACAGCAGAATCTGTGTTGCTGCCAATCCAATTTAAGCCCAAAGGAGTCACTCCTATTTGTAGCAAGTTTTTTTCATTTCCAGTTTATGCCGAGAATATATAGCACATCATATTTTGATGATTTATAGAGTATATCTGAAGGCCTCTTTCTCCCCAACTGCCCCGACACTTTCATTTGTCAATTTTGCAGACTTGAAGTGCAGCAAAGGAGTAAAGTTTTCAGAAAATCTGAAGAAAACAATAGATCAAGAATATCAGCCAGGCATGGTGGCTCACGCCTGAAATCTCAGCACTTTGGGAGGCCAAGGTGGGTGGATCATGAGGTCAGGAATTCAAGAGCAGCCTGGCCAACATGGTGAAACCCCGTCTCTAGTAAAAATACAAAAATTTGCTGGGTGTGGTGGCGGGTGCCTGTAATCCCAGCTACTCAGGAGGCTGAGGCAGAGAATTGCTTGAACCTGGGAGGTAGAGGTTGCAGATCGTGACACTGCACTCTAGCCTGGGAGACACAGCAAGACTCCATCTCAAAAAAAAAAAAAAATATATATATATATATATATATATATATATATATATATATCCAGGCACAGTGGCTCATGCCTGTAATCCCAGCACTTTGGGAGGCCAAGGTGTGCAGATCACTTGAGGCCAGGAGTTTGAGACTAGCCTGCCCAACATGGTGAAACCCCATCCCTACTAAAAATACAAAAATTAGCTCAGCTTGGTGGCAGGTGCCTGTAATCCCAGCTACTCGGGAGGCTGAGGCAGAGAGAATTACTTGAACCCGGGAAGTGGAGGTTGCAATGAGCCAAGATTGCACCACTGCACTCCATCCTGGGCGACAGAGTGAGACCCTGCCTCAAAAAAAAAAAAAAAAAAAAGAATATCTAGACATGGCTGCCAAGAAAAAGAACATGAACTCAAAGAGAAAATAAAATGGGTCTTTAAGAAAATAACAGCAAATCATTTAAAACATGAGTAAAGTTAGAGCATATGACCTGGAAGATTAACACAAAACAACTTTGGGTTACTCATGTGTACTAATGTCAGCTGTATCATTTCCCTATCACTGATAGGTATAGGAAACTGTACTGTGTTGGTAAAAAGCAGGTAAGAAAGGGGATGGCTGTCAGTAACTCAGCCCCGTATTACAGTAAAACTACTCCAGAAAACCTCTGGCTCAAAATACTGCAACGTACAACAGTGGGAACACAAAGTGACCAAAAAATATTGTTACAACTTTCCATTCCAGAAACATTTAGAGACGACCCACCATGAGATGACCTTGACCAGGCGTGGCTGAACATCTTCATTATAGCTACAGCAGAAACATCATGTGGTATTCTTAAGACAAATTTCAGGGCCCAAAGAAGCTATTCAGGATCCTGTTTTCCACTTGCTTCAATATATTTAAGCTCCTTGAACTATGACATCCTCCCAAATAGGTTCGCTGACTTCCTTCACTAAGGCACCCACCAAATATTTGTTGAGCGCTTACCATGGGTCAGGAACTGTTCAAGGCACTGGACATAGGGTGTTGAACAAGAAAGAAAGACATGATCCTTGCTGTCATGAAGCATTCATTTCAGAGTCATACTTCTTATGTTCACACACAAGTGAAGTGGTATTGGTATTTCAGAGTGAATGTGTTTTATAACCAATATTGATATTTTTCTTCTCTAGAGGCTCCCTTTATTTCTTAGTCACAAAACAAATATTTTTGAAAGATAGCAATGAAAACTTGGAACTTTTAGAAAAGCCATTTATTGCTAGAAATGGGCTAAGCTTACGTTTTCCTAAAATATCTGTAGAATGAAAACATAATCCAAAAAGGCACACATTCGCCAAGAGTGCAGCACGCTGGTCTTTGACTTACATAACTCTAAGGAAATAACTAGTTAGTTTCTGTTAATGTTTGATGAACTTTGACAAATTAGCACGAAGAATTAGATCAAATGAACTGTATGCACTGTCTGAACAAGAGGGATAAGCAAAAAAAAAAAATCCTCTCTAACAAGGAATGTTGGACTCAAGCATACTCTCCTAGAGGAGAAAACTGAGACTTCCTAGATGTAAAGCAACTGGCTCTAAAACACAGAATTAGAATAAAGGGAAGGAGGTCACTGGAGCGGCAAGGGTGGGGGTGAGCTTTACAACAAAGAATGATGATCACTAGATTTCAGCTCTGCGTCTATACGGGCTCACTTCCTTCACATGGGGAAACAAATAAAAATAAAAAAAATAGGGAGAGTAGCTAGGAGCCAAGGCTCAGCTGGGAACAACAGGAAGCAGCCGCGAGCTGAGTGCCATTGTGGCCACTTCAAATGGCAGAAGGTGAGAAACCAGCACAGCTGGCAACTAAAAATGAACTTGCAAACACGAGCGGGCAGAAATCAGGATTTCAGCCTTTGGGGATGCAACAGTGAATAAGACATGGGGCCTCTGTTCTGGAGAACTCTGAGATTAGAAGAAGAAATAGATGAATTACACAATGTGATAAAAGGGGAGAAGAGTCAAAATGAGGAACACAGTGAACCCGGGTAGGGAGGCAGATGATTAATTCAGTCCAATAACACAGGTATCATAGAGAAGGGATTATGCTGTGGGTATTGAAGTATAAACAGGACTTTTCCAGGTAGACAACTTGGAAAGACCACAGCATTTCAATTTGGAAAAGAGCAAGCTCACAGGTAATGAAGTAAAATCATGTATTATGGCTGAAGCTTAAACATCAAGGGGGAAAGAGAGTAGATAAATCTAGAGAAGTAGGTAAGGGCTTTGGATATTATTCTGAGGAAAGCCAGTGAAGCATTTTGTTTGTTTGTTTAACTTTGTTTTGAAAATAAATATAAGCGTACAGAAAAGTTGCCACAATAAAAAAGATTATACAACATACCTGTGTACCATTTATCTACTGTTAACATTTTGCCCCATTTTTCATTCCCCCTCTCTTTCTTTCCATATATATATATGTAATTTTTGAACCCTTTGAGAGTAAATCGCATACAGCCATTGAAGTGATTTCATTAGCGGGAGAACATGATCAGATTTGTGTTTTAGAACAGTCACTCTTATGGGAGTAGGGAGATCTTCAGGAATATATATCAGAGGCCTGGAACTAAACTAATGAGAAATCAAATGAAGGGTATGTCTGTGGGAATGGAGAGGAGAGAGTACATTCAAGAGAGAAATAAGTTTTGCCCATTGCATGTGGTCTCTGAGGGATGGGGTAAAAAGAGTGGAATCTGAGTTTTGGGACTGGGTAACTGAGTGGTGGAGACCCTGTCAAGACAGAGAATAATAAATACAACGTAAGAAAAATATGAATAGTTTATATCTATTGAATGCTAATTATATGCTAGGCACAGTTCCTAACACTTTAGGTCTATTAATCCATTTAATCCTCAAAACAATCCTAACAGGTTTGTTCTTTTATTAACTTCATTTTACAGATGATTTAAACAAAACATGTTTACAGAAAAAAAATTTTTTTAATTAAAAAACGTGTTTTGGCCAGGCGCAGTGGCTTACGCCTGTAATCACAGCACTTTGAGAGGCTGAGGCAGGCGGATAGCTTGAGGTCAGGAGTTTGAGACCAGCCTGGCCAACATGGTGAAACCCAGTGCCTACTAAAAGAACAAAAATTAGTTGGGCGTGGTGGCATGCACCTGTAATCCCAGCTACTCTGGAGACTGAGGCATGAGAATCACTTGAACCCAGAAGATGGAGGATGCAGTGAGCGGAGATCATGCCCCTCTACTTCAGCCTCTGTCTCCCAAAATAAACAAATAAATAAATATGCATGTTTTGAGGAAAAAAATGATAGAGTCATTTTTGGGGACGAAAAGTATAACCTACTCTTTCTAGAAGCTCCTCCAAAAAGATCAAGGGACATGTGGGGCCATGGGTCAAGGAATTGTCTTGGAAAATTTGGAACATTTAAGTTTCATTCACATCAGGATATAGCTTGCCATGCTCCAAACCTCCAACTTTAGCTTAAATACTGAAGATTACATTCATTTAATACGTCATTTTATGTCTATAATGCTGGCGATTATGTACACATTATATTAATATAACTTTAGCTCACCCAGCAAATAATTAAACCTAAAATACCAAAGAGATGCTTTCAATCAGACATTTCTTTCAAATGAGATAAAACAAAATTAGATGTGGAAATAGGAAATCAATTTTATTTCTATTTTAATTTTCAAAAGGATTTTAAAAATCACTGAGAAGAAAAGCAGCATCTTCTGGGCGCCCCCTTGTGGCTTGGATTAATGATTCCCAAATTTGTCTAATGGACAGAAATTACCTGGAGAACTTCATGAAAATAGTTTCCAAGGCTGCATCCACAAATAATCAGAACAGAGTAGAAAGAGATCCATATTTTTGAAAGCTCTCCAAAGAGATTTTGATGACCAGCCACTGTGAAAACCTGCAGCTTAAAAATTCTTTTTTTTTTTTTTTTTTTTGAAACAACTTCAGAGCCGGGCGCAGTGGCTCACACCTGTAATCCCAGCACTTGGGGAGGCCAAGGCAGGCAGATCACAAGGTCAGGAGATACAGACCATCCTGGCTAACACAGTGAAGCCTCATCTCTACTAAAAATACAAAAAAATTAGCCGGACGTGGTGACACGCGCCTGTAATCCCAGCTACTTGGGAGGCTGAGGCAGGAGAATTGCTTGAACCCGGAGGTGGTTGCAGTAAGCAGGGATCGAGCCGCTGCACTCAAGCCTGCACTGAAATAACTTCAGAAACAAAGATTGTAGAATCAGGAGGAAACTTAGGACTCATTTTGTCCTGTTGTAGCCCTTTACATATGAAAAAACTGCAACCAAACACGTGAAATGGCCTGCTCAAGGTCACAGAGAATGTAAATGTCAAAATCAAGAGCAGAATCTAATGTCTCCTGGCCCTAAATTCAGCATGATTAATTGGAACAATGCTGTTTAATCCAATCTATCTCAACATGTTTATCCCTTAACTCGCTGACAGTTCTACGATGCTCCCTACACCCCACATTGCCTCTGACTGAGGAGGGCACAGGCAAAATTGTCAGTGTCTTCTTCGGAGATAATTTTTTCCTTGTTAATATTTGGCATATCATAGATTGATTTTAAGGAGGCACAGAGAAATAAGCCGGAGAAAGTATTTCCTATAGGATGAGCCACTTGAACAAGCTGAGTTTCTTCTCTTCTCCAAGATCTGTCTAGAACTGATACTGGAGGAGTGCTGAGCGAGGACCCTTCCCCACAAATATCAAAGTATTGTCTGTCATTCCACATTAAACATTTATTTCTTTGGGTCTTGAAATTTGAAAGTACATCTGAAATTGAAGCTTCCCAGGGAGGGATGGGGAAGATGTAACAGGAAAAACCACCTTTCTGTCTACCCGTAGGCAAGGATTCGTTAACTAGCTGCAGAAAGATGGGCTAAGGCCCGAGCAAGGTGCTGAGCCAGGAAAGGAATTTGGAAAGTAGAAAAATAGGCCTGAGAACATTTGTCTGCCTCATCATTTTGCAAGATCTAGTTTTGTTTATCCCCAATATAATTACATTTCTGAAATTCCTTTGGGTCCTGTCTCAGTGCCCATGTGTACTTGGAGAAGTAGTGAGTACATCGAAAACTCTGATTTCTTAAAAGTCAGTCAGCATCATGGGCATCCCCTGGGAGCTTGTTAAAAATGCAGAAACTTGGGCCCCACCCCAGACCTATTGAAGCAGAATTGGCATTTTGACAAGATCTCCAAGTGACTCAAATTAAGGTTTGGTTTTGTTTTGTTTTGTTTTGTTGTTTTGTTGTTGTTGTTGTTGTTGTTTTGGAGACGGAGTCTCACTCTATTCCCCAGGCCGGAGTGCAGTGGCGTGATCTTGATTTCGGTTCACTGCAACCTCTGCCTCCCAGATTCAAACGATTCTCCTGCCTCAGCCTCCCAAATAGCTGGGATTACAGGCATCCGCCACCACGCCTGGCTAATTTTTGTATTTTTAGTAAAGACGGGGTTTCGCCATGTTGGCCAGGCTGGTCTGGAACTCCTGACCTCAGGTGATCCACCGCCTCAGCCTCCCAAAGTGCTGGAATTACAGGTGAGCGCCACTGGGCCCAACCTTGCACATTAAGGCTTGAGAAACGCTGCTCTAAAAGATAAGTTTCAGAATCCTGTGGCAGGGTAAGAAACAAAATGTTACTTGCGCAAGTTCAGAGATTTTTCAATTGTATTGAAATCAAAGATTTCATGGGATGTTTCCGTGATTCCAAGAAGCATAATGATATTTTGCTGAAACTGCTGAATGTATACATACTTTGAGAATTAGATCAGAACCCAGTTTCTTCCTCTCTTTCTTTAAATCACACAGTTAACTTCACCTGTGGGAGTGCATTTGTTTCCAAATGCAATCAAAGGGAACTAACACCAAACAGCTCAAGCATTGTCATTTGAAGTAGAAAACAAGGCAGCGGCTCTCAGAAATAATATGTGTGGACTTCAGCAAATTACCTGGTTTTCTTGAATATTAGTCACTATATCAATAAGATGGAGACAATATTGTCTGCCCTGTGTCTCTTCCAAGATCAACAAAGTTCCCAGTCTCCAGAAATGGTGCTGCTGACTAAATAAGTGGCTCAAATCAGTAATGTGGGGGCTGCCCTTGACTTCCCACAAGTCCATCCCCAACTATGATCAAGCTTATCGCTTCTCTCAAAATCTTTGTCAACCTAAAGGACGAAGCTGAGGCACACAATATAATTTTGAAGAATTTACTTAAGCCAAAGTGAGGACAGCTGCCCAGGACACACTTCCAACTTTGGGGAATGCTCTGTTCAGCCTTTGCCACAAGCAGGTTTTTTAAAGGCAAAAGGAAACAAAGAATTCTTTCTTTTATCTTCACTGTCACTACTCTGGACCAAACCACCATCATATTTTGCCTAAACCATGTCCTCCTTTTGGTGAGTCCTGCCTCTACTGCCCTTCAAATAATCATTTAGCCTGAAACTAGAAGGATTTTTAAAAAAACACAACTTCGGCCACAAAATTTCCCTATCTCAAACTCTTCAATGGCTTTTTTGTTGTTTTTTGAGATGGGGTCTCACTGTGTTGCCCAGGCTGGAGTGCATTGGTTAATCACAGCTCACTCCAGCTCAAACTCCTGAGATCAAGTTTTTTTGAGGAGACAGGGTCTCCTTACGTTGCCCAGGCTGACCTCAAACTCCTAGCCTCAAGTGACCTTCCTGCTTTGGCCCTCCAAAATGATAGGATTATAGGCGTGAGCCATCGTGCCTGGTTTCAAAGGCTTTTTTTTTAAAAGCCTTTAGGGAAAAGTCCCAAACTCTCATATGACTTATTCTGCCTTCAAATCTGGCCCTTGCCACCTTCTCTACAATATCTTCTCTTGCCACCCTCTAGGTTATATCGCTGTTGAAAATCAGGACTCACAGAACATAACCAGGAAACAGAAGGAAACCAAAATATGCCACCCCAAAATATATTTATTTGTTGTATCTTGATATGGCTATTCAGAGGGGCTGCAGACCACAGGAATAGCTCTGCAAAGCTGTCCTTGTGTAGTGGAGATTTGTATCTGTAGAGGAAATCTGCATTAGTGAGAAACAGCAGACACAAACAGTCTGTCTCTGAGGCCTCCCTTATCTGTCTTATCCAGATCTAGGAAAGATTAACTCACAGGAGACGCAGACTAAAAGTCAGACACTTTTAAAGGTCTGACAAAGAAACTTTTACCACAAGCGCTCCCATCTAATCTCTCTTTCTCTCTTTCTCTCTCTTTCTCTTTCTCTCCCTTCCCTTCCTTCTTTCTCTGTCTGTCTGTCTGTCTGTGTCAGTCTGTTGCCCAGGCTGGAGTACAGTAGTACCATCCTGCTGCACTGCAGGCTTGACCTTTTGAGTTCAAATGATCTTCCCACCTCAGCATCCCAAGTAGCTGGGACCACAGGCATGCACCACCATGCCCAGCTAGTTTTTAAATTGTTTTCTGTACAGACAGAGTCCCACTATATTGCCCAGCTGGTCTCCAACTTCTGGGTTCCTGTGATCTTCCTGCCTCAGCCTCCCAAAGTGCTGGGATTATAGGCAAGAGTCACCACCTGGCCCCATCTAATTATTCTGAGTTCTGCTACCTGAGGGACTTCATCTGCATAACAAGACAGTCTTTGCTCACCCTGTATTTCCTCCCCACTCCTACCCATAACCTGTCACTGGGCTCCAAGACTCTATTCTTTTCTGTATAGTATAAAAGCTTCAGTCATCTGGCTTTGCTTTGAGTCTCATATTTGCAGGACACCATGTCCATGTGCACATTATTACATTTGTATCCTTTTTTTCTTGTTAATCTGTCTATTGTCAGTCTATTTTATAGACTCAAATGATCAAACCTTGAGAAGGGGAAAGGAAGAAAATTCCCTTCATCTCTACACAACTTAAATCTATCTCCCACTGTTCCTTTAACACTTTATCTGACTAATTATTCTCTGACACTTGGATGAAAATGTCAGCAATTTTTTTTTTTTTTTTTTTTTTGAGATGGAGTTTCACTCTTGTTGCCCAGGCTGGAGTGCAATGGTGCAATCTCGGCTCACCGAAACCTCCGCCTCCTGGGTTCAAGCGATTGTCCTGCCTCAGCCTCCCAAGTAGCTGGGATTACATGCATGCCACCAACTCCGGCTAATTTTATATTTTTAGTAGAGACGGGGTTTCTCCATGTTGGTCAGGCTGGTCTCGAACTCCCAAACTCAGGTGATCCACCTGCCTTGGTCTCCCAAAGTGCTAGGATTATAGGCGTGAGCCACCACTCCCGGCCAGTGTCAGCAATTTTAATGACTTTTTGGTTCTTTTTGGGGAAATAGAAAATACTATAGTCAATTTAAGTAGCAAGCACATTTTCAGTCTAATATTTTATTTTATTTTATTTTTTATTTTTTATCTTTTTGTGAGACAGAGTCTTGCTCTGTCTCCCAGGCTGGAGTGCAGTGGCGTGATCTCAGCTCACTGCAACCTCTGCCTCCTGGGTTCAAGCCATTCTCCTGCCTCAGCCTCCCAAGTAGCTGGGATTACAGGCACAAGCCACTATACCCAGCTAATTTTTATATTTTTAGTAGAGATAGGGTTTCATCATTTTGGCCAGGCTGGTCTTGAACTCCTGACCTCATGATCCACCTGCCTCAGCCTCCCAAAGTGCTGAGATTACAGGCATGAGCCACCATACCTGGCCTCAGTCTAATATTTTAAAATATCTAGTCCTATATAACCATCAAAATACCAAATTTGATCTCAAACTGTGCCCATCTCCATGCTAGGACCGAAAGTGGACTGGCAGTTTACGGAGGCAAGGGGTGAGTCATGATCTCTTCTTCTCTTTTGCTCCCACTTGGTATTCTCAACTTCCTCAACCTCCTCTGTCATGCACAATCTGGTTTCTGACTCCACTAGGGTGTTGAAGCAGAGGAAGAGATTGGAGGTGGGGAAAGAACTAAAGCTCTTTTCTGGCTATGTTTTGGTAAGATGCCACACCAAACGTAAAAGTCAATCCTCCCCTACTGTTGGCCTCTGTCCTGTCTACAACTGCAGATAACGCTGGCCATTTTGCCTGTACATTTTTCATGTGTAGTATTTTTCTGAAAACAAGGACATTCTCTTACATAACCAGAGTACAATGACCAATACTATTGTCTTACCTAGGGGTTGGCAAACTGTGGTCTGAGACTCAGTCAAATCCAAATCACCATCTATTTTTGCAGGGCTCACCAGCTAAGAATCCTTTCAGATAGTTAAGCACTATTTTTTTTTTTTTTTTTTTTTGAGACGGAGTCTCGCTCTGTCACCCAGGCTGGAGTGCAGTGGCACTATCTCGGCTCACTGCAAGCTCCACCTCCCAGGTTCACAATATTCTCCTGCCACAGCCTCCCGAGTAGCTGGGACTACAGATGCCCACCACCGTGCCCAGCTAATTTTTTGTATTTTTAGTAGAGACGGGGTTTCACCATGTTAGCCAGGATGGTCTCGATCTCCTGACCTCATGATCCACCTGCCTCGGCCTCCCAAAGTGCTGGGATTACAGGCATGAGCCACCGTGCTTGGCCAGCACTATTTTTTGTTGTTGTTTTTGTTTTGTTTTTGAGACACAGTCTCGCTCTGTCGCCCAGGCTGGAGTGCAGTGGCACTATCTCAGCTCACTGCAACATCCACCTCCCGGGTTCAAGCGATTCTCCTGCTTCAACCTCCTGGGTAGTTGATACTACAGGCTTGTACCACCACACATGGCTAATTATTTTTATTTTTTTAGTAGAGACAGGTTTTCACCATGTTGGCCAGGCTGGTCTTGAACTCCTGACCTCAAGTGATCCACCCACCTCAGCCTCCCAAAGTGCTGGGATTACAGGTGTGAGCCACCACACCTGGCCATTAGCTGTTTTATTTCAGTGAATGGAAATGTTTGACAGAGAAACAACTTTGGATGCAAATGCTAAATATCAACCATCCGAGCCCCAATTCAGAGGAGCTGTTTTGCCCACATACTGGACAATGGGGGAAAAGTGGGAGGATAAGAACTATGTTCCAATTTTGGCTCTGTCATGATGTTTACCAGCTGCTCAATCTTAAGAATCTTGGCCTCAGTTTTCTTACCTACAAAGCAGGAGTAACAACTCCAACTTCACAGGGTTGTTGTGAGGACAAAATGAGAAAAGCAGGTACCAAGTGCTTGGGACATAGTAAGTATTCAGAACATGTTAATTTCCTTCCCCACCATGAAAGAAATAGGTAAGTTTGGCCAGGCGTGGTGGCTCACACCTGTAATCCCAGCACTTTGGGAGGCCGAGGTGGGCGGATCACCTGAGGTCAGGAGTCCAAGACCAGCCTGGCCAACATGGTAAAACCCCATCTCAACTAAAAATACAAACATTAGCCAGGCGTGGTAGCAGGCCCCTGTAATCCCCGCTACTAGGTAGACTGAGGCAGGAGAATCGCTTGAACCTGGGAGGCAGAGGTTGCAGTGAGCAGAGATTGTGCCGCTGCACCACAGCCTGGGTGACAAGAGTGAGAATCATCTCAAAAAAAAAAAAAAAAGAAATAGGTAAGTTTGTGTTCAAAATGCTGTAGAACTGTCACAGTTACTTAGAAACCAAATTTAAGCCTGTGCACTAGTTTAGTGAACTCATTATTTCATTTGACAGATGTTTATTGAATACTTACTATGTACCAGATATTTTCATGATAGATCTGTAGCTTCAACCTCATAAATGAAAAATGGTATCTCTTCTAACCTAATGACAAGATTTCTGACTCAAGCCATGCCCTACATAAGAATGTAGTTACAACAACTTAGGCTCTGGGTAAATAAAATGTTTAATAAATAATGACAATATGACCCTTGGCGCCAGTATGGCATTTAAGGCCATTAATACTCCGTGCTGTCTACTGAGTCATTGCTAAGCTGGGGAAACATGAGTTTCTAAAGGTACCTGGAAGGCTGGTTATGTGACCTCTGGTTGAAATAGATCCCAGTATATATGTCATGTCCAGGATGGGGAGGGAAAGGTTTTAACTCCTGAAAAATGAGATATTACTTTGTTCCAGTTTATGAAAAAGATCTATTGGACTTCATTCCCAGAAACTGTCTCCTGAATGACTTAAGGCAGTGCTAAGGAAACAGCATATTTTAAATTGACTCTTTCTTTGAGCTGAGCTCCAAGTCACCTAATAAATTTTTAAATTTCCAAAGAGATGCATTCAGAGTGACTCCAAAAAAGATGTTCTAATTTGGGATGTCACTGGCATCAGTGACATAAATCATCACAAACAAAATTGCCGCTTTGACTAATTGTGGGCTGTGTGAAGGATGTCCTCTTTGTCCTCCTTATCTGCTTTCTCCTTATTCACCTTACTGGGTATCGGTTCTCAAAATTAGGGATAAGAATCCAATCTATTCTCTTATTTTTTTTATTTTTTATTTTTTTCAGAAGGAGTCTTGCTCTGTCTGTCACCCAGGCTGGAGTGCAGTGGCACGATCTCGACTCACTGCAGCCTCCACCTCCCTGTTTCAAGCAATTCTCTTGCCTCAGCCTCACGAGTTGCTGGGACTACAGGTGTGTGCCACCACACCCAGCTAATTTTTGTATTTTTAGTAGAGATGGGGTTTCACTATGTTGGCCAGGCTGGTCTGGAACTCCTGACCTTGTGATCTGCCCACCTTGGCTTCCCAAAGTGCTGGGATTACAGGCATGAGCCACCGCGCCCAGCTATTCTCCTATTAATAATTCAGATGTTGGGTCATAGAAGTACCATAGGATTTTGGAGCTGGCAACTGGAGCTGGGAGTTGTTGCATGCATTGCCCAAGGCCACATAACTTAGCTCAGTGCTTCTCAAACTGTATCACGTATCAGAATCACTTGGAGGACTTGTTAAAACATAGCTTGCTGGGCCCCATCTCCAGGGTTTCTGATCCAGTATGCAATGGGTAGAGTCTGAGAATCTGCATTCCTAGCAAGTTTCCAAGTATTACTGATGCTTCTGGTCCAGGAACTACACTTTGAGAGCCACTGTCTTAGTTAATTGTAGGACAAGGTATAGAAGGCAACTTTCAGACAGTTCTGTACTTTCTCCAAGGGGGCTCTTCTTTAGGGTACAGATTTTATGCTAAGATTATAAAAGCCATACTTGTGCCATTACAATAGGAAGGGTTTCTTCTCTTGACATCCTGAAAGGGGAGAATTTCACTGAAGGTAGAGCTAAAAGGATGAGCTTTGGAATCAGACAGATCTGGATAAGGAATCAGGCAGTCCACAGATTAGCTTTGTGACCTTGAACAAATTACTTAGTTTATTTGAGTCCCAGTTTCTTAATCTGTGTATTAGGAGTTATTAGTTCTGAATATTTGAGATTTCTGAAGGATAGTCTAAGAACTATTTGACATAGAGTTATAAGATTGGAAACATTTAACTAATAGAGCATCTAAATTAGCATTTACTAATCTTCATTTTTCAGATGTGGAAACAAAGGTCTAGGGAAAATAAATGTCTCAGTCAGGATCTCATGGCATATGGCAGAATGAGGACCAGAACCTGGTCTTTTAATGGGATTTGTTTTGCTTTACTCCTTCACATTGGATAAATATTTCCAAACTAGACACTTCGAAACTAAACATTTTGATAGTGGATGTTTGTTCACGTGGCAAGGTGGACATTTAGGGCTTATGACAAGCATTTTAGAGAGCTGTATTAGCTAAATTTTATGATTTAATCTACTTTTCATAACACCATTCCTTATACAATGTTGTTATACATTATTAGTAGTAAGATAATAAAACATGTATTCTGCTCACCCCTAACTACTAAAAGAAAATTTATAGGAAGTAAATTGATTTTTTTTCTTTACAATAGATTTTCAAAGTGGTCTCCTTTTTTGGCATAATAGCATATGGAAAAAGGGGTATGGCTATTTATAGAATTATTGTCTACACTGTTAGAAATGATTACATTTGAGAAAGAAGAGATTAGTAGATGGGGAAACAATTTCTACATGAAGGGGAAAAAGTTTTAAATGTGTTGGTCAAATGAAAGTAAATGTTTGAAAGGAAAAAAACACAACTTAAAGGATTCACTCAAGCTGTACTTCTACTTGTTTGGGAAGAATAAAAATTAGAGTGTTTTAAGTCCCAGCTATGCGGGAGGCTGAGATGGGAGGATCCTTTGAGCCCAGGAGTTTGAATCCAGCCTGCGCAACATACCAAGACCTCATCTCTAAAAAAGTAAAATAAAATGAGAGTGTTTTAGACTCAGGTAAATCTCCTTATCTAACAGACATAGACCCTGGGGTGCAGAGATATTGAGAGTTATGCTGAATTGGGCAAATGATAATGGCAGAGAGGGGGATGAAGCCCGGGACTTCTCAACTCTAGTTTGGTGCTTTTGGCACTGTGACCAGCTTGTTATCAGCATTTTCATTTTTGAGTTTAATATTTTGGAGAAGCCATGAAAGAAAGGGTCGTTGTTATATACTAAGCGACTGTAGTATGCCTTGATGCTCTATTATTATTTATTTTGAAATGAGTCAACTGTTCTATACCCATTAAAGGAAAAAATTATCCAAGTACTTGTTAAAGATGGGAAGGCAGACTAAATTCAAGAGGGGGCCATGGTGATAGACAAAGGGACCATTGAAATGAGGCGTTGCAGCAGGGGAGAGAGATTAGACTCAACTCCAACAAGGACCAGTAGAGATTTACAACCAAGGAGTAGGGTGGCAGTCAGCAGATGGAAAATTACTAAGAGAAAACATCGAACATAAGGGTACATGGCTAAACTGACTGGATAGGATTATTGCTGAAGGCAGGTCAGAATGGTGAGATATTGAGGGTGGTCAGACACACCAAGGTTGGGACATTTTTGATAAACCAATTTAGAATAATTCTTGTTCAAACTGGATTCTAAAAGGACAGAGAGGGAAGCCCAAGACTGGGGCTAGTCAAACAGAGAACTCAGAAGAGACTGACTAAAGTTTTGGCCAAAGGAGAGAGTCTTTGTCATACGTAAGTCAACACTTGGTTTATACTAAGAGTAGGACCAATGATATATTTTATAAGTTACTTTGATCCAAGGAACACAGCGCTCTCATTCTGAGAAAAAACATTCCCATTAAGTGACCACCAGCTGGCTAAGTAGACAAGAAAGAGACCTCTTCTCACAACTATTTAGTTACCTGTTTGAAGCTTCAATATCAAGATTTATTCAGTGATACAGATAATCCCATATGGCAAGAATTTTCAACTGCCTTGGAAGGACATACTGATGTGTAACAGATCAGTGGGTGAAAAAGGGGGCATGTTCACAGCTATGGGGCAGCGAATTGTGCATATCAGGAAACCTCTGTTATCTACCCAGTACCTGATATTTAACAATACCCACTGGTAGAATGGTGTCCTCCCAGGGAGAGAATGGAAAATCTTTTTAAAAAGCCAGTTTGATCCTAGTCAAAATTTACAATGTGTTTTTCCTCAGATGATTTGTAGCTCTTCTTCATAGGCCTGAAAATCTGAAAATTAATTATTTTGAAGTGATGATATAAATTATGCATGAGTATCAATTGAATATTCAAGTATAATGAGTTTATAGAATACAAGAGAGTGTTTCTTTTGAGATGTTGCAATACTGCTATTGTTAGATTCAGGGCCCAGCTGATTGCTTATAGAAAGCCTTTGTGCAAATTTGAAAAAGTCACCCCCTCTGGGTGATGCAGCCCTGTGGGTACATGATTTGGCTAGTAGAGCTTGAACTGGGTCTTTGCTCCCTTTTGTTCCATTGGCTGGGTGCCTTTCTGCAATGCACAAACTGTGCTTCCCTCAACAGCAGCCCCAGTTGCTATTGGAAATGTGTGCCAGCAGAAAAGATGTAAAGGCTTGAAGTGCTCGCATTCGTTGTTAGAAAGTACATTTGAAATATGTAGGCCAGGCGTGGTGGCTCATGCCTGTAATCCCAGCACTTTGGGAGGCCATGGCAGGTGGATCATTTGAGGTCAGGAGTTCAAGACCCAGCCTGGCCAACATGGTGAAAACCCATCTCTACTAAAAATACAAAAATTAGCCGCATGTGGGGGCACATGCCTGTAGTCCCAGCTACTCAGGAGGCTGGGGTGGGAGGATCGCTTGAACCTGGGAGGCAGAGGTTGCAGTGAGCCGAGATCATGCCACTGCACTCCAGCCTGGGCAACAGAACCAGACACTGTCTCAAACAAAAAAAAAAAAAAAAAAAAAAGAAAAAAGAAAAGTAATATGTAAAAGTAAGTGGTTCCTTCTCTTACCCCAACACAGAGTGTTATTTGCAAGAGATAGTTTCAGTTCAGTTCTAAAATACCATGAAAGCAAGTGGTGCCTTCATGATAGAGAATTGAGATCTGTCACAGTGGATATATTTCCCGAAAAAAGGACAGCTGGTGAGGGCACACTTCCTTAGCCAGAGGCAAACAACTCAACATCTGGGAAACTTAGATTTTTGGCACCAGAATTGCCTCATTTGCCACCTGTTGCAGTGACACAGGAAGAGAAAAGCTGTGTTGTGTTGGGTGTGGCTTTAAAACTCTTTATACATGCCTAGATGGACTGGAATTTAGGAGTGGTGAGTGTTAGCAATAAAAAGTATATGGGTTTCAATGTCAATTTTCCTTCCTAGAACCATTATAATGCCACAGCAGTGAAAGCAGAACCACAGGAATGAATCTAATTCTGAGTTTCTGGTTTCAGGACACAATGGAGTACACACACATCTTCTTATTTCTCCTGCTAAGTACAGCTAGAGGCCCTGGATATTGTATATAAAACAGGTATAAGAAGTTTCTAAAAGGGAGAGAGAAGATGGGCTCGGCTAGATATCATGGATTTTCTTCTTGCTTCATATAGCCCAAACTGGGTGCTAGAGAAATGGGCAATTAGAAAATGCTAACAGGTGCAGACAAAAAAGGCCTAATAAAAGTCTGCTCTCTCTAACTACAGGACAAGCATAAGCAATCAACAGAGCAAAGAGACAACCAACAGAATGGAATAATGTATTTGCAAACTAAACACCTGAGAAGGAGTTAATATCCAAAATATATAAGATACTCAAACAACTCAACAACAACAACAAACAAATAACCCAATTTAAAAATGGGCAAAAGACCTGAATAGATATTTATTTCTCAAAAAAATACCCATGCAGATGGCCAACTAATATACGAAATAAATGTTCAACATCACTAATCATCAGGGAAATACAAATAAAAACTACAATGAGATGTGACTTTACTCCAGTTAGAATAGCTACTATCAAAAAACCAAAAGACAACAAGTGTTGGCAAGGATGTGGAAAAAAGGGAACCGTTACACATTGCTGATAGAAATGAAAATTAATGTACAAAAATTAGCCAGGCATGGTGGCACTGGCCTATAGTCCCAGCTAGTCAGGAGGCTGAGACAGGAGAATCGCTTGAACCCAGGAGGCAGAGGCTGCAGTGAGCCGAGATCACGCTACTGCACTCCAACATAGGTGACAGAGTGAGACTCTGTCCCAGACAAAATAAATAAATAAATAAAAGAGAGGAAAATTAGTACAGCCCTTAAGAAAAACAATATGGAAATCTTCAAAAAATTAAAAATATGATTACCATATAATTAGCAATCTTACTACTGGGTATATACCTAAAGGAAATAAAATCAGTATGTTGAATACTGCATATTCAGTAAATTTAAAAAGTAATTTAATTCAGGAAATTTAAAAAGTCGTTAAATTCAGGATTTAATGACTTTTTAAATTTCACATATGTGATTTCTCTCATACATGAAATTTAAAAGGTTGTTTTTTAAAACAACTACCCCAGCCAAATACCACTGAAAAAAAATGTGACCCATTCATAACCTGCACCAAAAGCCAAGAGGGAGCCTAGATTTATGTTCTTGCCCAGTTACAACAAAGCAACCCCCTTCTCCTCCCCCTGTTCATGGTGTTAGAGAAGACCAAGTGGGGAGTTGGGACTTTTATCCCCACCTTAAGTAATGGGAACACTCCCCAACTTCTGCTCAAGGTGTCAGTAAAGATCATGTGGGGTAATAAAAAGCTCCCAGTAAGGAAGAGTGCAGGTCCTGATGGCTTCACTGCTGAATTATACCAAACATTTAAAGAACTATTACCAATACTACTCAAACTATTCTGAAAAATAGAGGAAGAGAGAATACTTCTAAACTCATTTTCTGAGGCCAGCGTTACCTTGATACCAAAACCAGACTAAGACACACCAAAAAAAAAAAAAAAAAGAAAACTATAGGCCAATATCTCTGATGAATATTGATGCAGAAATCCTTAACAAAATGCTAGCAAACCAAATTCAACAACACATTAAAAACATCATTCACCATGACCAAGTGGGATTTATACTTGGGATGCAAAGAAGTTTCAATGTATGCAAATGAATAGATGTGATACATCACATCAACAGAATGAAGGACAAAACCATATGACATTTCAGTTGATGCAAAAAAAGCATTTAATTAAATTCAACAACTCTTCAAGATAAAACCCTAAAAAACAAGGTATAGAAAGAAAATACCTCAACATAATAAAAGCCATATATAACTGATGACAGATCCACAGCTAATATCATATTGAGTGGGGAAAACCGGAAGGCCTTTCCTCTAAGATCTGGAACATGACAAGTATGCCCATTTTCACCACCATTATTCAACATAGTACTGGAAGCCCTAGCTAGAGCAATCAGACAAGAGAAAGAAATAAAGAGCATTCAAATTGGAAAGGAAGAAGTCAAATTATCCTTGTTGGTAGATGACATGATTTTATATTTCAAAAAACTTGAAGACTGCACCAAAAACTATTATAACTGATAAATTTAGTAATGTTGAAAGATACAAGATCAACTTACAAAAATCAGTAGCATTTCTATATGCCAACACGAACAATCTGGAAAAGAAATTTAAAAAGTAATCCCATTTACAGTAGCCACAAATGAAATTAAATACTTAAGAATTGTGAACTGGAAGTATCTGAGACAGGTCTCAATTAATTTAGAAAGTTTATTTTGCCAAGGTTAAGGACATGCCTGTGACACAACCTCAGGAGGTCCTGATGACATGTACCTAAGGTGGCCAGGGTATAGCCTGCTTTTATACATTTTAGGAAGACATGAGACATCAATCAATATGTGCAAGATGTACATTGGTTCAGTCTAGAAAGGTGGGACAACTGGAAGTGGGGGCTTCCAGGTTATAGGTGGGTAAGACACAAATAGTTGCATTCTTTTTAGTCTTTGATCAGCCTTTCACTGAACACACAAGTTACATGTGAGAGGTGGGTAGAGGAATAGTCAATTATGCCTTAGTCTGGCTCAGTGAATCTACATTTTTTACATAAATAATAGAGCAGAGGAGGTAATCAGATATGTATTTGTCTCAGCTGAGCATCAGGATAACTTTTAGTTCTGTCCTTTATCTCTCATCCGTGAAGATAAGCTATCAATTTATATTACCAGGGTGAAATTCAACAGAACTGTTTTAGGGTCAAGATCTTGTGGGCAAATTTTGAGGGAGGTATGTAGCTTAAAAAAAAAATCTTGTAGCTATCTTAATTAGGAATAAAATAGGAGATAGGTTTGTCTGACACAGTTCCCAGCTTGACTTTCCTGTTTGTCTTAGTGATTTTGGGGTCCCAAGACTGATTTTCCTTTCACAGAATTAACCAAAAAAGTGAAAAATCTTCACAATGAAAACTATAAAACACTGATAAAATAAATTGAAAGGAACACACACAAAAAAGAAAAGATATTCCATGTTCATGGATTGGAAAAATCAATATTGTTAAAATGTCCATACTATCTAAAGCAAACTACAGGTTCAATGCAATCCTTATCAAAATGCCAATGATATTCTTCATAGAAGTAGAAAAAACAATTCTAAAATTTATATGGAACCATAAAAGACTCAGAATAGCTAACATTATCCTTAGCAAAAAGAATAAATTGGAGGAATCACATTACCTTACTTCAAAATATACTATAGAGCTATAGTAACCAAAACAGCATGGTACTGGTATAAAAACAGAGACAAGGACCAATGGAACAGAATAGAGCACCCAGATATAAATCCATACATATACAGTGAACTCATTTTCAAGAAAAGTGCCAAGAACATACATTGGAGAAAGGACAGTTTTTTCAAAAAACGGTGCTGGGAAAATTGGATAACCATATACAGAAGAATGAAACTTGACCTCTATTTCTCATCATATACAAAAATCAAATCAAAATGGATTAAAGACTTAAATCTCAGACGTCAAACTATGGAACTACTACAAGAAAACTTTGGAGAAACTCTCCAGGACATTGGTCTGGGCAAAATTTCTCAAGTAATATCCCACAAGCATAAACAGCCAAAGCAGAAATGGACAAATGGTATCACATCAAGTTAAAAAGTTTATTCACTGCAAAGGAAACAATTAACAAAGTGAAGGAACAACCCACAGAATGGGAGAAAATACTTACAAACTCACAAAGGGTTAATAACCAGACTATATAAGGAGCTTAAACAACTCTATAGGAGAAAAATCTAATAATCTGATTTTAAAAAGGGCAAAGGATCTGCACAGACATTTCTCAAAGGAAGATGTACAAATGACAAAGAGACATATGAAAAAGTGCTCAACATCATTGATCATCAGAGAAATGCAAATCAAAACTACAATGAGATATCATCTCACCCCAGTTAAAATAGCTTTTATTCAAAAGACAGACAATAACAAATGCTGGCGAGGATGTAGAGAAAAGGGAACCCTCATACACTCTTTGTAGGAATGTAAATTAGTACAACCACCTTGGAGAACAGTTTGGAGGTTCCTCAAAAATCTAAAAATAGACCCATCTAGATCCATGACTCATGACTCAACCAGTCCTGTGTCCCCCACCCAAAGGTGGACTCAGCACACAAGGATCATTTTCCATAACTCTATGATTTCACCCCCAACCAATCAGCAGCACCCATCCCCTATCCCCCTGCCCACCAAATCACCCATAAAAACCCTAATCTTTGAGTTCTCAAGGAGGTTGATTTGAGAACTATCTTCCTGCTTTCCTTGCTTTACATTAATCTTCCTTCCTTCCTTTCTTTCTTTCTTTCTTTCCTTTCTTTCTTTCCTTCCTTCTTCCTTTCTCTTTTTCTTTTCCTCTTTCTTTCTTTTTCTTTTTCTTTCTTTCTTCTTTCTTTCTTTTTCTTTCATTCCTTCCTTCCTTCTTCTTTTCTTCCTTTCTCTTTTTCTTTTTCTCTTTCTTTCTCTCTCTCTTTCTTTCTTTCTCTTTCTTTCTTTCTTTCTTTCTTGACAAGGTTTCACTCTGATACCCAGGCTAGAGTGCAGTGACATGATCATGGCTCACTGCAGCCTTGACCTCCCAGGCTCCAGTGATCCTCCTACTTCAGCCTTCTGAGGAGCTGGGACTACAGGTGTGTGGCACCACGATCAGCTACTTTTTGTATTTTTTGTAGATATGGGGTTTCATCATGTTGCCCAGGCTGGTCTCAAACTCCTGGGCTCAAGCAACCTGCCCACCTCAGCCTCCCAAAGTGCTGGGATTATAGATATGAGCCGCCATGCCTGGCTACCTCTTTCTTTACAGCAATACTACTATTAGAGTGAATTGGTTCTATCTTTGCAGCAGACAAGGGTAATTACAGGAGCAATAGCAGAAGATAAAGGTCAAAGGAAAGAATCAAGGACCTTAAAGACAGAGCAATAGAAATTACCCAATCTAAACAACAGAATGAAAATACATTGGAAGAAAATAAACAGAACCTCAGAGACCTGTGGGACTAAATAAAAGATACAATATTTATGTCATCAGAGTCCCAAAAAGAGAAGAAAAAGAAGATGGGGCTCAAAAAGTATTCAAAGAAATAAGGAGCTGGGAGCAGTGGTTCAAGCCTGTAATCCCAGTACTTTGGGAGGCTGAGGCAGGTGGGTCACTTGAGCCCAGGAGTTTGACAGCAGCCTGGGCAACATGGCAAAGCCCTGTCTCTACAAGAAATACAAAAATTAGCCAGGCATGGTGGTACACACCTGTAGTCTCAGCTACTTGGGAGGCTGAGGCGGGAAGATTGCTTGAGCCCAGTGGGTGGAGGTAGCAGTGAGCCAAGATTGCATCACCTGGGTAAAAAGTGAGACCCTGCCTCAAAAAAAGAAAGAAAGAAAGAAAGAAAGAAAAACAACAGAAATAATTGCTAAAAATGTCATGCATTCGGCAACAGATGTAAACATAAATTTAAGAAACTGAGCCAACTCCAAATAGGAGAATCTAGCACTGAGCCTTCCCTTTGTAGGGAGCTGTAAAACAGATGTCAACTGCACAGTCAGGTAAAACAATTTTTTTTTTTTTTTTTTAGATGGAGTCTCACCCTATCACCCAGGCTGGAGTGCAGTGGCATGCTCTTAGCTCACTGCAACCTCCACCCACTGGGTTCAAGCATTTCTCCTGTCTCAGCCTCCCAAATAGCTGGGATTACAGACTACCTTCCCTGGCTAATTTTTGTGTTTTTAGTAGAGACACGGTTTTGCCATGTTGGCCAGGCTGGCCTCGAATTCCTGACTTCAAGTGATCAGCCTGCCTTGGACTCCCAAAGTGTTGGGATTACAGGCATGAGCCACCTCCCCTGGCCAAACACATTTTTTAAAAACGTGATAATATTGCTTTATAGCATCACTGTCATAGTGTTAAGCATAGTAAGTTTTAAAAAAAACCCATGACTTGGCTGGGCACAGTGGCTCACACCTGTAATCCCAGCACTTTGGGAGGCCAAGGCAGGCAGATCACCTGAGGTAAGGAGTTCGAAACCAGCCTGACCAACATGGTGAAACCCCATCTCTACTAAAAATACAAAAATCAGCTGGGCGTCGTGGCATCTGCCTGTAATCCCAGCTACTAGTGAGACTGAGGCAGGAGAATCACTTGAACCTAGGAGGTGGAGATTGCAGTGAGCTGAGATCGCGCCATTGCATTCCAGCCTGGGCAACAAGCAAAACTCCGTCTCAAAAAAAAAAAAAAAAAGAAAAAAGACACCATGACTTGGGGATTGATAGTTTAATTTCAGAGAAATTTACATCTGCTAAGCAAATAGCTGATAATATATTCAATTAGTGAAGCACCAAAGTGATTTGGGAGGTGATTTTTAAGGAGAGACTTTGATTTTCATAACCTACCAGTATGACTCTTCATGGTTTTCAAATTTATTTATTTTCTATCCTCTGATCAGTTTGGCAGCAAAATTAGAGTGCAGGTATTTGAAAATGAATTCATTGTTATTTGTTTAATGTATTTAGCATTTAAAATGGTTTAAATTTAACGTCCTAGTGAAAATAAAATTCAGAATTATTAGTTTCATGTAAATACAATAACCACATATACCATTAATTTCATCTGGAAATAAAACTGGCTTTTTTGTCAGCTTCTAGAATCAAATGGCCCAAACAGATGAGACTCCTCTGACAAACTTGAATATTTGTCAATGTGTATAGCAAAGAATGTTGCTAATTTTCAGGCCAGGCACAGTGGCTCACACCTGTAATCACAGCACTTTGGGAAGCTGAGGCGGGCGGGTCACCTGAGGTCAGGAGTCCGAGACCAGCCTGGCCAACATGGTGAAACCCTGTCTCTACTAAAAATGCAAAAATTAGCCAGCCATGGTGGCATGCACCTGTAATCCCAGCTACGCCGGAGGCTGAGACAGGAGAATCGCTTGAACCCGGGAGGTGGAGGTTGCAGCGAGCCCAGATCGCACCATTGCATTCCAGCCTGGGCAACAAAAGTGAAACTCCGTCCCTCCCCCGCCCCCCGTTCCCCACTCCAAAAAAAGAATGTCGCTAATTTTCTTATAAAAATGACATATGAAAAGTGGTTGTTAAAAAAAAAGGGGGGGGAAATGATTATTGGTTTATAAGACTGTTTATTCAAACATTATCTCCTTTAGTTCTTATAGGAACCCAACAAGAAGACATTAACTTCTTTATAGAGAACAAAGAGATTCAGAAAAATTAAGGTTTATGCTGGGTCCTTCCCAGCTGAAGCAGTCACACAACTGACACAAAAATCTGATATTCTTTCCACTTAGGTATCTCATAAAGCATAGAAACTTCATCTCATTTTGAGGTCTTAGCTACCAATGTATGGGGGAAAATATCACCTGACTTTATGTCAATCAAACTAAAATCTTTTCTTAAGTGATGCAGAGTATAAATGAGAACATGTAGTGTTCAATAATAAGTTTTTTTTTTGTTTTTTTGTTTTTGTTTTTTTTTTAGAGACGGAGTCTCGCTCTGTCACCCAGGCTGCTGGAGTGCGGTGGCGCGATCTCGGCTCACGGCAAGCTCCGCCTCCCGGGGTCACGCCATTCTCCTGCCTCAGCCTCCTGAGTAGCTGGGACTACAGGCGCCCGCCACCACGCCCGGCTAATTTTTGTATTTTTAGTAGAGACGGGGTTTCACCATATTGGCCAGGCTGGTCTTGAACTCTTGACCTCGTGATCCGCCTGCCTTGGCCTCCCAAAGTGCTGGGATTACTTGCAGGTGTGAGCCACCGCGACAGGCCAGAATAATGTCTTTTTTTTTATGTCTTTCTTTTTTTCTTTTTTTTTGAGACAGAGTCTCACTCTGTCAACCGGGCTGGAGTGCAGTGACGCTATCTTGGCTCACTGCAACCTCCACCTCCCGGGTTCAAGTGATTCTCCTGCCTCAGCCTCTTGAGTAGCTGGGATTACAGGCTTCTGCCACTATGCCCAGCTAATTTTTTTATATTTTTAGTAGAGACAGGGTTTCTCCATTTTGGCCAGGCTGGTCTCAAACTCCTGACCTCGTGATTGGCCCACCTCAGCCTCCCAAAGTGCTGGGATTACAGGTGTGAACCACCATGCCTGGTTCAAAGTTATGTCTTATTCAATATTTAATTGCTTCAAAGATCGCTCTTCTTGATTATTTTCCCTCATTTTAACATATGCACCAGGCACAAGAATGGTCCCTGTTCAGTTTTACTCTAATCTCATCAATGAGAAAATTGATGAGGTGTTTCCGAGACTTTAACTGTTACGTTTTTCCTCCAAGCCCCAAAAATCAACCTCTCACTGTGATCCTTACTTTACACCCAGAATACTCCCTTACACTTTCAATTAAATACCTGGTGAACAGTTACTCCAAATAAGTCTTTGTATACAGCGTGTAAGACCTTCTGGGAAGGTACATATTTATCTTGTCCTTCTTTCCCTAGCCAGTCAAAAAGGCCGATCTAAGCAAAAATCGATTGAGCAAAAATATATCAATCCATTAACTTCCCTTCCCCCAAGAATAAAAAAAATCAGAACAGCATCCTTTCTATGTCTATTTTTTTTTCTTCTTTTTTCCTTTTCTCTCGACACTCTTCCCTTATCCAAATAAGTTTTGCCATTTAGTATTTTCCTGGTGTTTCTCTCCTGCCCCACTCCCACACCCCATTTGATTGCAAGAATATGAGAATAGTCTATAATCCTCAGGGTATGTGCAAAACACTTTCAGCATGGGTTCAGTTAGTTTTGTACCTTGTTCACAAGAGAAAATCTGGGAAAGCCTTTAGTCCCTTCCAAGACAGTGTGACTTGAATCTGAGAAGGCTGTGGCAAACAGTTTGATTTGAATTTGATTTTATTTTTTGGCATCTTCTTCAGAATCTCTTTGTTCTCTGAAGTTGTGTTTAACAATGCTATGCCTTAGGCATGGTCAGTTGTGTTTGAATTAAAAATATAATGTAATTCAATGTCACATTGACATGATAGTGAAAAGGGAATATCCTTGCATGCTCTCTTACTTTATTCATCCACCAAATTGAAGTCTGGCAGTAGAAAAAAAATGTATTATCCTGGCAATGTGCCTAATACATGCTTCTTACAATATGTTTTTTGGGGTACCCCAGATTCAGTCAGTTAATTTAAATAAATAAAATCTGACTAGCCCCACCCTATCCAACACTGCTGTGTTAGAGCAAGTTGGACACTCTTTAACTTCTTGATGAATCCCAGTTACTTCTTGATAGATTTCACTTTTCAACATGCGATAGTAAGCATGAGTTATTTAGTGGTTGCTGTTTATTTTTATTTTCCAAGTTAGAATGATATAACAGCTTGGTAAAATTATCTATTGTTGACTTAGTAGGGGAAAGTTTGAATGGGATTCAC
This sequence comes from Homo sapiens, assembly GCF_000001405.40. NCBI lineage: Eukaryota > Metazoa > Chordata > Mammalia > Primates > Hominidae > Homo > Homo sapiens. Next base: position 71,840,791 of record NC_000009.12, read on the forward strand.
AAGGAGAGGGAAGAAGAGGAAGAATGGGAGAGATGAAGGGTAAAAGTGAGAGGCTAATGATGAAACACATGTTTTTTCATATGTGGAAAGAAGAGAAAACAGCTATAGAGACTAGTATAGAACATAAGCAAAAACTTCCTAATACAAATTAAGTTCCTTCAGCAGCAAACGTGTTTCCTTTTTTATTCTTATCAAAAAGCATCAGCCAGGCATGGTGGCTCACACCTGTAATCCCAGCTACTTGGGAGGCTGAGACGGGAGGATCACATGAAGCCAGGAGTCCAAAACCAACCTGGACAACATAGCAAGACCTTGTCTCTAAAAAAAAAAAAAAAAAAAGACAAAAAACAATTTGAAAAGCCCCAATGCTTTCTTAACAGGCAAGTAGAATAGCTGACTAATCCAAATACAAAATAGATCATTATGGTTGCACATGACGTCAAGGTGAAAATATTTAAGAGCCTACCTGCAGAGGCTGGGTGCAGTGGCTCACATCTGTAATCTCAGCATTTTAGGAGGCTAAGGTGGGAGGATCACTTTAGCTCAGGAGTTCAAGACCAGCCTGAGCAACATAGCAAGACCCTGTCTCTAAAAAAAAACAGAAAAAAAATGTCTGCAGCATTTTTGTATAAATCCCATTCCTCCCCACATCCTGTGATATCATAATGTAAGTTGGTTCTACAATCTCTAAAATGGAGTGGCTTAGGGCCAAAAATTTTTTTTCAGATCTGTGTTTTCTTTTTTTTTTTTTTTGAGACAGAGTCTCACTCTGTTGCCCAGGCTGGAGTGCAGTAGTGCAATCACAGCTCACTGCAAGCTCCGCCTCCCGGGTTCAAGTGATTCTTCCTTCCTCAGCCTCCTGAGTAGCTGGGATTACAGGCATGTGCCACCATGCCCGGCTAATTTTGTATTTTTAGTAGAGACAGGGTTTCACCATGTTGGCTAGGCTGGTCTTGAACTCCTGACCTCAGGTGATCCACCCCTCTTGGCCTCCCAAAGTGCTGGAATTACAGGCATGAGCTACCGCGCCCGTCCCAGATCTGCATTTTCTTGAATGATTTATACTAGAGAGTTGACTGTTATCTTGAGAATGCTTAGATTGAACTGTTTTAGAGAAATTCAGTATTTTCTGGGTTACCTCACTTTTTCTGTAGATATTCCACAGCAAATGATGTATCAGACCACTTTTTCCTGTCTTCATGTGCTATTAGATTGTATGTGATCATGGTACACAATATCATACTTAAATGAAGTGGTAAGGTATATTGAAGTGGAAGGTAAATTGCTTGCCCAATTTATGTCTTTATAGTTTAGATTGTCTTCTCATGTTGTTTTCCCTTAAATTCTTGAACATGTTTATAACTGTTTTCTTGCTAGCTAATTTCATAATTTCTGTCATTTTTAGTTCTGTTCCTATGATTTTTCTACTGGATAGGGTTGCAATTTCTCACTTTTTTGTATGTCCACTAATTTTTGATTGGGTGCTGGACATTATGTATGTGACACTGTATAGTGTTGAGATTTTGTTGTCCTCTTTTAAAAATGTTGAAATTAGTTTTGGCAGGCAGTTGCTACTTTCAGATCATCTTGCTTCTTTTGAAGCCTCATTTAAAATTTTGTTATATTGAGTTTAGTGTTGCCTTTATCCTAGGACCAATACAGCAGTACTACTAAGGTATAAACCTCCTCAGATCCCCTCTGATGGCCATAAATATTCAGAAAAGTCTTTCTGCCCTGGGTGGACAGAATTCAAATGTCCCCAAGCCCTGTGTGAACTCTTCCTTTACATGCTGGCCTTGTGGAGTTTCACCCTATGCATACAGAGTGACAGTATGCAGCCAAGAAATCAAGGAGGTCCTTGTGAGATTTTCTGAGTTCTTTCCCTGTAGTTTGCTCCCCTACAGTTTTCTGCCCTGGAAATTTTACCTGCCTCAGACTCACCAAACTAGAATTTCTATCTCCTCATCCTAATGAAATGATAGTCCATTTGAGTTTTCTCTCCCTGTGTCACAGTCCAAAAATTGCCTCCAGGTAGCATTGCTGGATTTAACAAATAAGAATACAACATTGTATTGTATACATACTTATATTAAAAATTATTCATTATAATCTGAAATGTGTTGTATATGTGAAATTTAACTAGATGTTCCTGTATTACGTCTCACAACCCCACCTCAAGACCAAAAGCCAGGACAATTGTAGGGCTCATTTTAATCATATCACTTCTCTCAGGAATCAAAATGTTGAATATACTGTGATTCCAGTGTGTCTGAAAACAGTTGTTTCATATATGTTTTACAGTTTTCTAGTTGTTTATAGTGGGAGGGTAATTCTGCACCAGTCATTCCTTCTTGCCTAGAAATTGAAGTCCATAGTACATCTTTAAATTTAAAGAAAGCAAGCAAACAAATAGGATAGCTGGAATTGTTCAGGGAATTATTGAAGAAAATAATAAATAAATGTGTCACTTCTATTCATCCTGGGGTATGCTACATAGAATTGTCTGTTTGAGAAAGAGCTAAATTATAATTCAGAGCATCTGCCTTTAATTCAATATTCTTATTTGAAATCACCATTTCTCTTCTGCTTTATGGTCTCATCAGGCTTTAAATGTACCTTAGTTTCAGCTGCTCTGAAGAATGTCAACCTCTCTGGGAAGCCACAATTTATGCCTGGTGAATTCTGTGCAGGTCACAGATCCAACATTGTTAGAAAGTGCATCCCTGGCTGGGCACTGTGGCTCACCTCTGTGATCCCAGCACTTTGAGAGGCCAAGGAGGGTGAATCATCTGAGGTCAGGAGTTTGAGACCAGCCTGGCCAACATGGTGAAACCCTGTCTCTACTAAAAATACAAAAATTATCTGGGCGTGATGGTACGTGCCTGTAATCCCAGCTATCTGGGAGGCTGAGGCAGGAGAATTGCTTGAACCCAAGAGGTGGAGGTTGCAGTGAGCTGAGATTGTGCCACTGCACTCCAGCCTGGGTGACAGAGCAAGACTCAGTCTCGGAAAAAAAAAAAAAAGGAAAGTACATCCCAAATACACCTTGAAAATCTGTGAAATGCAGGCATCTTCATATGGGAAACAGAGTTCATTTTATTTATATGAATAAGTACAATGATGGCTCTCATATCTTGAGAAATTCAAATAGTGTTCATCAAACAATAGTTATATAGCATGGCAGAAAGAACTCAGGCCTGGTGAGGATGAGAAGGCAACTATTATTTATTGAGTATTTGCTATATGTCAAGTGTTACACATTCAGTGGTGTGCTGAAGCTGGCACTTGCTGGCTCATACAGGATTATGATAGGCAATTTTCAGGAATTTCACCAGCTGATTGCTAAACCACTGGTAGCTTGGAACTGGCCACTGGATGAATATTTACACCATAGAAATAACCAAGTACTACAAATTAGGGCTTTTCCCTCAACCCCAAGAGCCTATTATTAAATATTTACCAGCTGGGCACAGTGGCTCACGCCTGTAATCCCAGCACTTAGGGAGGCCAAGGCGGGCTGATGACCTGAGGTCAGGAGTTTGAGACCAGCCTGGCCAACATAGTGAAACCCCATCTCTACTAAAAATAAAAAATTAGCCGGGCGTGGGGGTGCACACCTGTAATCCCAGCTACTCGAGAGGTTGAGGCAGGAGAATCACTTGAACCTGGGAGGTGGAGGTTGCAGTGACCCAAGATCACACCACTGCACTCCAGCCTGGGTGACAGAGGGAGACACCATCTAAAAAATATATATATATATTATATATAATATATATAAATATATTATAAATATAGATATTTATATATTAAATATCTATTTTATATGTATTTATATGTGTATATATACATATATATGTGTATATATATTATATATATTAACCAGTACACCACTGTCACCTTTTTCTTCATAGTTTATTTTCCAAACAAGTCTACAAGGTGCATATTAGAATGCAAAGTCTAAAGATAGAAAAAAAAAAACTCAGATTACATAAATAACAAGTCCACATTTACCCAGAGAACAAGTAATGAAACTAATTCTATGTATCTCCTTGCTTTTCTACTTACATTCTTATACCTTTGGCTTAAGCCAAGTTTTTGCCTTAATATTATATGGTCTTGGACCAAAACCTGACCATTCCCACCCTGGACTGTCCTTCCAGCTGTCAAGTTGGGAACATGAATTACTTAATCCCAGGGTCTCTTTTGGATATAGCAGTCTCTGCTGTCCACTGCCTGGTGCTTAAAATTATGATACCACCAAATTTGCTTTGTTCAAATCTCCACCATCAAGGAAATACAATAAAGAGAATGTGTGTAGTGGATTGACTTATTGGTTTTTTGACAGAGAACAGTAACTTACTGTAAAATTACCTGTTTTGTTTTTCTCAGCTTTAGACTTGAGAGTTACTCACCATCACTCTTGTCCCAGAAGGATAACCAAGTCTTTGTCTCATTGATGGTTTTATCCCTGAGGACGATGTAGATCTTTATTTTCAAATGATTCATTATGGAGATTAAAAGTGGAAATAATGAAGGACTACTTCAAAGGTAGAAGAGGGAAATATTCCCATTTTTTTTTTTAATTTATTTAGAGACAGGATCTCGCTCTGTTGCCCAGGCTGGAGTGCAGTGGTGCAATAATGGCTCACTGCAGCTTTGACCTCCTGGGCTCAAGTGATCCTCCCAGCTCAGCCTCCTGTAGCTGGAACTACAGGTGTACACCACCATGCCTAGCTAATTTTTTATATATTTTTTTTGTAGAGATGGGGTCTTACTTTGGGTTTTTGTTGTCATTGGTGTTTGGGGTTTTTTGGTGGTTGTTTGTTTTGTTTTTGAGAAGAGTCTCCCTATCGCCCAGGCTGGAGTGCCATGGTGCAATCTTGGTTCAATGCAATCTCTGCCTCCCTCGTTCAAGCGATTCTCAGGCCTCGGCCTCCCAAGTAGCTGGGATTTCAGGTGCACACCAGCACATCTGGCTAATTTTTGTATTTTTAGTAGAGACAGGGTCTCACCATGTTGGCCAGGCTGGTCTCAAACTCCTGACCTCAAGTGATCTGCCCGCCTCAGTCTCCCAAAGTGCTGGGATTACAGGAATGAGCCACCATGCCTGGCAATGGGGTCTCATTTTGAAATCCCATTTTAGAGGATGAAAATATTTCTGAAATCTGGGAGAAAAGTTGTAGGCTTATAAGTTTCAGAGGACTGAATTTATGGGTTGTTTATGGGGAAAACTGCAGGGATGTTATTGAGACCAGGTACTAAGCGCCTTGGCCTTCAGGGCTCAGCAAAGTTCCTCATAATGGGGCACCAGCAGAATAGAGCCACTAGTACAACCACCAGCCTTTGAGTGGACTGAGAAGTGATTTCTGAGTAACCACAGACTGAGGACTAAGACTTCCCTATTTTCTTTAACTAAGGAGGAAAGAGGATTGAGTTCTAAAGACTGTTACATTTGGTCCTACATATTCATGAGTTAGGCATCTATGGATGCATAGACAATTCATAGATAGACAATCTGTATGGATTCATATGGATAGACAATACTCAGAAAAATTTCCAGAGTTAGAAAAAGTAAAATTTGAATATGTTGCAGACCAAGTACCACGTTAAATCGCATGAATGAAAGACACATGAATGAATATATAGGCATTGTAATAGGTATTGTAAGTAATTTAGACACGATTTAAAGTATACGGGAGGATATGCATAGGTGACATGCAATATCACCCTATTTTATATAAGGGACTTGAGCATCTATGAATTTTGGTATCTGAGGGAGCTCCTGAAACCAATTCCCCAAGGATACCAATGGATGAATGTATTTGACTTTAGCAACTGGGCTTCAGACCAAAATCTGGTTGTCATGGAGAAATGTATACCCATTATATACAAATAGTTAATACTTTCCAATACGATAAGCAAAGAGATTCTATGATATACCTCTGTGGCAGGGTAGGAAAAAATGATTTTAGAAACTGGCATAGTTCTTAGGGAATGTTCTATATCTTGCCCTCTCCCCAGTAAATCTCTCTCCATGAAGCTAGATGAAATTGTATGTACAAGAGATTTATTGGGAGAGGGTAAGCTGTAAAAAGTAAATGGAGAGGGCAGAGTAGGGAAGAAAAGCCTTCAGATTGTGACGAAGTTATGATATCTCTGAAAGGAGAGCAGAGCTAAATTTGTAGGATGGGCCTCGGACTGCAACACAGTTCTGAGAAAGTCTGGCCAGGTCAATGGGGAGTCCCTGGGCAAATTTCCCATGGGACTTCTATAGAGAAGTCCCCATCCAGCAAGAATGGCTCCCTCTAGTAGCCTTACTATGTGTAGTTACTGGCTGGGAGCATCCCAGGGGAAGCACAATCTCAATGTGATAGCCACAGAAGAAATAAGTTTGGCAGCTGGAAGCTGTCAGTCAGCTCTGCTCCTGAAGCAAGTGCCTTCAAGGGACATCCGAGAGGTGCACCTCCATGTCTGCCATTTTTCAGGAAAATATGTTTTTAGAAAAATACCAAGAGGCACTGCTTTGGGGTACAAAGTGGGACTGTGAGGCATGATCCCACAGGGGAAAAGGAAGCAAAAAAACATGTTCACATTTTCACCTTCATAGAATCAGAAATTTGAGAGCACAATTCAAGAATAAAGGAGACAAGCAAAAAACATGGCAGGAAATGACCAACTGACTTTTTACAAACAGGGGTATCTAATATTCAGAGTTATATTTTTTTTTGTGTGCTCCAATAGAATCCTTTGTGTCATTGCAAGCCATCAGTAAAATCTTATATGTGTACAAACACCTCATGGGAACATGTGTGTGCGTGTGTGTGTTTAAGTCAAGAAAAAAGGCTCTGTTCTATTTGTAGGTCAATAAGATACAAAACCAGGTGCAGTGGCTCATGGCTATAATTCCAGCACTTTGGGAGAGGCCAAGGCAGGAGGATCATTTGAGGCAAAGACTTTGAGACCACCCTGGGCAACATAGCAAGACTGTCTCTACAAGAAATTAAAAAATTAGCCAGGTGCAGTGGCACATGCATGTAGTCCCAGCTACTTGGGAGGTTGAGGAAGGAGGATTGTTTGAGCCTAGGCTGCAGTGAGCTAAGATGGTGCCATTGCACTCTAGCCTGGGCACAGAGCAAGACCCTGTTTCAGAAAAAAAGATACTAAACAGGGACATTGTTGCAGGAAAAGAAAGACAATTCATAAATGAATTAATTCTGTAGAAACAGGAGTTCCGAGCCAGAGGTGGTCACTAGAGAGCATAGTTACCCAGGAATTCACAGAAACCTTGGGGAGGGCATTGGAAATTCCAGATTGTGCAATGAGAGCATTGGACCCATTTTGTCTAGCTTTCCTGGGGTCAATGCAGATTGACTTCAACTACGAGGTCTTCAGGCTTAACCACTGCCAACCCATAGAGTCATGTATAGAGATGTAAAACAGTGGTAAGAATAAAGAAGAGACACCAAGAAATTACATTGCTTTCCAGGGTTTTCCTCTGTCTTCTATGCAATTTTTAGTGCAATTCTGCTAATATATCTTTTCTCCTCCTCTGTACCTCCTTTATAGGATATAATGGTTTCAGTGGTCAATCACATAGAATGCCACTCTTCAGACTGGGCTGAGAAAGTGTTATACATTATTTTTTTCCCATTCTGCAAACAAATCCTTGTTTTTAAATCTAACTGATTGGCATGGCTCTCATAAACAACCACCTGTCTCAGACCCAGAATGCCTTATCTCTTCACTTATTCCAATTTCAACTGGTGTACTGAAGCTTTCTTCAATTAATAATAACAATAGAAATCTTTGTATGAATATCTACCTAAATTATTTCCCATGTATTATCTTCGAAAAGACCCAGTAACGCAGGCAGGGCAAGTATTAATATTGCAACCACTTATAGATGAGAACATTTAAGTTTTGAGCGGACGGTATAAAGTCATGCTGTAAATGGTAGAGCCAGAATTTGAATCCAGATATTTAATGTTAAAAAGCCTCCCTTTTCCATTATACCGCTTTTCTAAGCCTCCTTCCACGTGGATCTAAATAGTCCATGATTCGGTGACTTTGGGAGCCACAAATATGTTTTAAGCAATGGCAGTATCTTTCTAGGGACCCTCCCTCAAGAAGTAGACCCTGAGACAAGGGTTTGAATGCAAATACAGACATACCTCAGAGATATTGCAGGTTCAGTCTCAGACCATTGCAATAAAGCAAGTCACACATTTTTTTTCATTTCCCAGTACATATAAAAGTTATGTTTATATTACACCAAAAGTAATTGCAACAAAAGCCAAAATTGACAAATGGGATCTAATTAAACTAAAGAAGCTTCTGCACAGCAAAAGAAACTATCATTAGAGTGAACAGGCAACCTACAGAATGGAAGAAAATTTTGGCAATCTATCCATCTGACGGAGGTCTAATATCCAGAATCTACAAGGAACTTAAACAAATTTACAAGAAAAAAACAAACAACCCCATCAAAAAGTGGGCAAAGGATATGAACAGACATTGTTCAAAAGAAGACATTTATGCAGCCAACAAACATACGAAAAAAAGCTCATCATCACTGGTCATTAGAGAAATGCAAATCAAAACCATGATAAGACACCATCTCATGCCAGTTAAAATGGCGATTATTAAAAAAGTCAGGAAACAACAGATGCTGGCCAGGCTGTGGAGAAATAGGAACGCTTTTACACTGTTGGTGGGAGTATAAACTAGCTCAATCATTGTGGAAGACAGTGGGGCGATTCCTCAAGGATCTAGAACCAGAAATACTATTTGACTCGGCAATCCCATTACTGGGTATATACCCAGAGGATTATAAATCATTCTACTATAAAGACACATGCACATGTACGTTTACTGCAGCACTACTTACAATAGCAAAGACTTGGAACCAACCCAAATGCCCATCAATGATAGACTGGATAAAGAAAATGTGGCATATATACACCATGGAATACTATGCAGCCATTAAAAAGGATGAGTTCATGTGCTTTGCAGGGACATAGATGAATCTGCAAGCCATCATTCTCAGCAAACTAACACAGGAACAGAAAACCAAACACCACATGTTCTCACTCATAAGTGGGAGGTGAACAATGAGAACATATGGAAACAGGGAGGGGAACATCATGCACTGGGCCTGTTGGGGGGGTGTGGCGCAAGGGGAGGGAGAATATTAGGATGAATACCTAATGCATGTGCGGCTTAAAACCTAGACGACAAGGCCGGGCGTGGTGGCTCACACCTGTAATCCCAGCACTTTGGGAGGCCAAGGCGGGCAGATCACGAGGTCAGGAGATCGAGACCATCCTGGCTAACACGGTGAAACTCCATCTCTACTAAAAATACAAAAAAAAAAAAATTAGCCGGGCGTGGTGGTGGGCGCCTGTAGTCCCAGCTACTCGGGAGGCCGAGGCATGAGAACGGCATGAACCCGGGAGGCGGAGCTTGCAGTGAGCCGAGATAGCACCACTGCACTCCAGCCTGGGCGAAAGAGCGAGACTCCGTCTCAAAAAAAAAAAAAAAAAACCTAGATGACAGGTTGATAGTAACAAACCTGCACATTTTGCACATGCATCCTAGAACTTAAATAAAATTTTAAAAATAAATCTATTTTTGTCCTCACAGCATGCAGTCTACCCTGAAGTACCTCTAGAATTTTTCTATCAGGAGGGATTACGACAGCAATCTGGATGAAAATAGAGCCCAGGAAACTTGTCTTAAGAGATATGTGTGTATAGAAAGCACATTAAAACAAATCAACAAACAAAAAAGTTATGTTTCTATCATACTGTATTATATTAAGTATGCAATACCACTGTGCCTAAAAAAGCAATGTACATACCTTCATTTTAAAATATCTTGCTGCAAAAAAAAAAAAAATCTTGTCGCTAAAAAAGGCTACCAATCATCCAAACCTTCAGCAAGTTGTAATCTTTTTGTTGGTGGAGGCTCTTATATCAGTGTTGATGGCTGCTAACCAGGATGGTGGTTGCTGAAGGTTGGAATAGCTGTGGCAATTTCTTAAAGTAATAGTGAGGTTTGCTGCATCAGTTGATTCTTCCATTCAGGAAAGATTTCTCTGAAGCATAAGATGCTGTCTGATAGCATTTTCTCTATATAACTTCTTTCAAAATTGGTGTAAATGCTCTCAAACTCTGCTGCTGCTTTATTAACTAAGGTTATGTCATATTTTAAATCCTTTGTTGTGTCATCTCAATAATGTTCACAGCATCCTTACCAGGAGGAGATTCCATCTCAAGAAACCACTTTCTTTGCTCATCCATAAGAAGCAACACCTCAACTGTTCAAGATTGTGTTTTCTTTTTTGAGACAAGATCTTGCTCTGTTGCCTAGGCTGGAGTGCAGTAGTATGATCATGACTCACTGCAGCCTCCATCTCCTGGGCTGAAGCAATCCTCCTGCCTCAGCCTTCCAAGTAGCTGGGACTACAAGCACATGCTATCATACCCAGCTAATTTTTTAAAAAAAACTATTTTAATAGAGATAAGGTCTCACTATGTTGCCCAGGCATGTCTCAAACTCCTGAGCACAAGTGATCCTCCTGCCTCAGCCTCCTAAAGTGCTGAGATTACAGTCATGATTACTAGGATTACAGGGCCACTTCACCGGGCCCTGTTCAAGTTTTATCATGAAGTTGCAGCAATTCAGTCACATTGTCAAGCTCCACTTCTAATTCTCCTGCTATTTCCACTACATCAGTACTTACTTCCTCCACTGAAGTCTTAAACTCCTCAAAGTCATCCATGAGGGTTGAAATCAACTTCTTCCAAACTCCTGCTAATGTTGCTATTTTGACCTCCTCCCATGAATCACAAATCTTTTTTTTTGAGATGGAGTCTCACTCTGTTGGCCAGCCTGGAGTGCAGTGGCACGATCTTGGCTCACTGCAACCTCGGCCTCCCAGGTTCAAGCAATTCTCCTGCCTCAGCCTCCTGAGTAGCTGGGATTACAGGTGCCTGCCACCACACCTGACTAATTTTTGTATTTTTAGTAGAGATGGGGTTTTGCCATGTTGGCCAGGCTGGTCTTGAACTCCTGACCTCAGGTGATCCACCCACCTTGGCCTCTCAAATGCTGGGATTACAGGTGTGAGCCACCGTGTAGGGCCCACAAATGTTCTTAGTGACATCCAGATTGGTGACTCCTTTCCAGAAGGTTTTCAATTTACTTTGCCCAGATTCACCAGATTTACTATCTATGGCAGCTATAGCCCTATAAAATGTATCTCTTAATAAGACCTGAAAGTCAAAATTATTCCTTGATCCATGGGCTGCAGCTTGGATGTTGCATTAGCCACTATAAAAACACTAATCTCCTTGTACATCTCTATCGAGCTCTTAGGGTGCATTGACAATGCGCAGTAACATTTTGAAAGAATTCTTTTTTTCTGAGCAGTAGGTCTCAAAAAATGGGCTTAAAATATCCAGTTATCAAGCTGTAAACAGATGTGCTATTATCCAGGCTTTGTTGTTCCATTGATAGAACATAGGCAGAGTAGATTTACATAATTCTTAAGTGCCCTAAGATTTCCAGAATGGTAAATGAACACTGGCTTCAACTGAATGGTAAATGAACACTGGCTTCAACTGAAAGTGACAAGCTACATTAGCTTTATATATATATTATATATTTATATATATAATATAATATTTATATATTATATATATTAGCTTTATATATAGCTATAAATATATATAATAAATATATATAAATAAATATATACATATATAAATAAATATATATAAATAAATATGTGTGTGTGTGTGTGTATATATATATATATATATATATATATTCTTTTTTTTTTTTTTTTTTTCCCTGAGACAGGATCATGTTCTGTCACCCAGGCTGGAGTACAGTGGTATAACCATAGCTCACTGTAGCCTTGAAATCCTGGACTCACGTCATCCTCTGGCTTCAGCCTCCTAAGTAGCTGGGACTACAGGCATACGCCATCACCTTCAACTAATTTTTTCTTTTTCTTTTTTGAGACAGAGTTTCACTCTGCTGCCCAGGCTGGAGGTAGTGGCGCGATCTCGGCTCACTGCAACCTCCGCCTTTGGGTTCAAGTGATTCTCCTGCCTCAGCCTCCCAAATAGCTGGGATTACAGGTGTGTACCACCATGCCCAGCTAATTTTTGTATTTTTGGTAGACAGGGATTACAGGCGTGAGCCACTGCGCCTGGCTAATTTTTTCTGTCTTTTGCAGAAATAGGGTCTCTAACCTGGATTAGGCTTTGGCCTAAGGGAATGTTGTGGCTGGTCTGATCTTTCTAGAACACTTAAAAAACTTTCTTCCTATGACCAATATGGTTGTTTCACTTTCTTATCCATGTATTCATTGGAGTATCACTTTTAATTATCTTCAAGAACTTTTGCCTTCCATTCATAACTTCTTAACTGTTGGGTACAAGAGACCTAGCTTTTAACCTGTCTTAGCCTTACACATACCTTCCTCACTAAGCTTAACAATTTCCAGCCTTTGATTTAACATGAAAGACTAATGACTCATCCTTTCACTTGAACAGTTAGAGGCCATTGCAGGGGTTTTTACATTATATATACATATATAAAATATATAATATATATATAAAATACATATAATATATATGCTGCTTATATCAAAGGACTTTTAAATAATCCTATAATATACGTGAAAGGGCTCTTAAAATTGTAAAGCTATATTCTATTCCAATTATTATTAGAGAAAATGAGCATGATGTCTGTGTATAATATATATATATTATATATATGTATATATTATATATATAATATAGAGTATGTATATTATATATAGTATATACATTTATATATTATATATAGTATATATAGTAGTATATATAATCATATATTATATATACTATATATAATATATATTAAATATAGTATATATATTATATATAGTATATATATTATATATTATATATAGTATATATAGTATATATTATATATAGTATATAGTCTATATATTATATATTGTATATAGTCTATATATTATATATATTACATATAGTCTATATATTATTATATATTATATATAGTATATATATTATTATATATAATATATATTATATATATACTATATATAATTTATATATTATTATATATATATATTATAATATATATATTGGAGACAAGGTCTTGCTCTGTCACCCAGGCTGGTTGTTGCCAACCTCTCTGCCTCCCAGGCTTAAGTGATCCTCTCACCTCAGCCTCCCAAGGAGCTGGGACTACAGGTGTGTGCCACCACACCTGGCTGATTTTGGGGTTTTTGGTAGAGACAGGGCTTTTCCACATTACCCAGGCTGGTCTTAAACTCCCAAGCTCATGTGATTTGCCCACCTCAACCTCCCAAAGTGATGGGATTACAGGCGTGAGCCACAGCACCTGGCCATCGCAGTTATTAATTGGCCTAATTTCAATATTGTTATGTCTCAGGAAATAGGGAGGCCTGAGGAGAGGGAGAGAGATGAGGGAATGGCTGGTTGGTGGAGCAGTCAGGACACACACATTTATCCATGAAGTTTGCCATCTTAGTCATCTTATATGAGCGTGTTTCATGGCACCCCCAAACAATTACCATAATAACCTCAAAGATCACTGATTACAGATCACCATAACAGATACAGTAATAATATGAAGTTTGACATATTGTAAGAATTACCAAAATGTGACACAGAGACACAAAATGAGCACATGCTGTTGGAAAAAATGACACCGATAGACTTGCTTGACGCAGGGTTGCCATGAACCTTCAATTTGTAAAAAACAAAAGCAGTATCTGCAAAGCACAATAAAGCAAAGCAAAATAAAATAAGTTGTCTCATTACACTTTATTTTAGGAGGTCTACAGTTTATTTTAGGCTATGAAGAAGATCCAGGAGAATGGGGAAATGTCAAGGAGGGAAAAGGCAACCAATAAAGTCTGAAATTAAGATAGCTAAGATTCTAAGTGACTGAAGCATAATCTTTGTAATCTCTCTGGGGAAACTCTGGGAACCTGTGAAGGACACGAAGCTCAGTTATCCCACCTGAAAGGCAAGGGAGCTGGGGTGTGCCTAAACTCCAGCCAGTCTTTGGTTAACGGCTGCTCCCAGTGAGTGTAATTCTGGCAATATTTCCGGCAGACTGGACAGCAAAACTGGCTCAGGTAGTGAGAGAAAGCCCTCAGGGAAGAAATACAAGTGCTGGCAGCTGGCAAGTGGGCCCGTGTGCACTGAAGTGGTACAGATTAAGGAATATGAGTGAGGCACCAAAGCATCTTCGTGGAAATTTCAATGGAACAGCCTATACACAGACATCATGCTCATTTTTCTCTAATAATAAATAATTGGAATAGAATATAGCTTTACAATTTTAAGAGCCCTTTCACATATATTATAGGATTATTAAAAAGTCCTTTGCTATAAGCAGCATTATGAATATGGAAAAATCAGGGATAAAAATAAATTGGTCACTTGCATTGAATGCTCTCTAGAAAGTACAAATTTTATCTCCTGAGGATTATCATAAATTTAAAAGTTCTTGTTTTCTTACACCAAATTAATTATTCTAAATTACAGTCTTCCTTATTTTGAGAATTTTCAGACCTTTCTTTGGTGGGGCAGGCAAGGGAGTAGGGAAACAGGAGCTGTGGGTGATGAAGACCATTTTTTTCTTTTCTGAGATGGAGTCTGGTTCTGTTGCCCAGACTGGAGTGCAGTGGCACAGTCTTGGCTCATTGCAACCTCCGCCTCTCAGATTCAAGTGATTCTCATGCCTCAGCCTCCTGAGTAGCTGGGACTACTGGTGTGCACCACCACACCCGGCTAATTTTTGTATTTTTAGTAGAGACGGGGTTTCACCATGTTGGCCAGACTGGTCTCAAACTGCTGACCTTGTGATCCACCTGCCTCGGCCTCCCAAAGTGCTGGGATTACAGGTATCAGCCACTGCACTCGGCCTGATGAAGAGCATTTTAAAACCCCAATCTAAAACCTCTTTTTCAGAACTATACAAGCTAGTATAGCACTTTATAACCTCATTTTAAAAAAAGATTAATTAGCTGCTGGAATCAGAAAACATAAACAACGTATGGATTAAGTCAAATCAATTCAAATCAATAAGTCAATTGCTATTCAGTTGTTCACTTATGTACATTTTACATCACATTATACAGTAGAATAAATATTTTCTTCGTAAAGTAGTGTAAATCAAAGTGTTTTTCCTTCCCCTTCTCCAAGGTCTGGTGAGATGAACTTACTTCAATGCAGCCACCACTGAAAAGTATGGAAAAGCTCCAGGAAAGTCATAAGTAGGAGATTTTCTGTTTATTAGCTTGTTTTTCAGGGCAGCTAAATGAATGGCAACTCTGGACAACCACTTTCAAGGGATTATCCCTAATGGATTAGACTGTTTTAAAAAACCCTCCTATCTAAATTCATTGATTCCTGGTTAATGCAAAGGAGTGACTCTGCTGCCACTACACTTGAATGAGAAACTAATGACACAGATTATAAGAATTTAGTCAAGATACAGAGTTTCCTGTATGTCATATTTTTGTGTTATCATAAAGATAAATAAAATATTAAGACATTAAAAGTTTTACATTTAAAAATCTGCTTTAAAAGATATTAAATCTTATTAATGTGCTAGTAATTTATTTATTTATTTATTTATTTTTTGAGACAGAGTTTTGCTCTTGTTGCCCAGGCTGGAGTGCAATGGCACAATCTTGGCTCACTGCAACCTCCGCCTCCTGGGTTCAAGTGAGTCTCCTGCCTCAGCCTCCCGAGTATCTGGGATTACAGGCATGCACCACCAGGCCCGGCTAATTTTGTATTTTTAGTAGAGATGGGGTTTCTCCATGTTGGTCAGGCTAGTCTTGAACTCCCGACCTCGAGTAATCTGCCCGTCTCAGCCTCCCAAAGTGCTGGGATTACAGGCGTGAGCCACCCCACCCAGCCATGTGTTAGTAATTTATTAAGTTTCTTATTTTTTTTGAGACGGAGTCTCGCTCTGTTGCCAAGGCTGGAGTGCAGTGGCATAATCTCAGCTCACTGCAACCTCCGCCTCCCAGGTTCAAGCAATTATTCTACCTCAGCCTCCCGAGTAGCTGGAAATACAGGCGGGTGCCACCACGCCCGGCTAACTTTTTGTATTTTTAGTAGAGATGGGGTTTCACCTAAAGTTAAACAGCAAACCTCTAACAAACTAAATTTGAATAATTAATTCTGACATAAGTGGAGAAGCACTGTGATTAAAAAATGCAATCAGGATTTTTTTTTTAAGGAAAACTGAGCACCAAGGATTTGCACTACAGATTAAATGTTTTCTGAAACCATGGGATTTTCCTTTCAGCTGTTCCTTTGTTGTTTGTCTTGCCTTCATCCTTTCTAGTTTAAACATCAAAATGAAAACACAAAGGCAGCATGTTTGGGGACAATAGAATACATTTGGACTGAAAGTGTCATGAGAATGAGGCTGTACTGGACAGGACAAAAGGTGCACTTGCTCTCATTTGCTGTGGTTCACCAGGTGTGCCAGCTTCCTGGAGAACCATCACTTTAAGGTACTACAGGCCAAAGAAAAGAAATGGGCCAACTTTAATCAGAGTTCCACAGACTCAAGTGTTCACTGCTAATTCACTTATAAATTGGCACATTATCAAAAATAAAAACTCCTCAAAAATTATCTACAAGTCCCAGCTACTTGGGAGGCTAAGGCAGCAGGAGGATCACTTGAGTTCAAGTCCAGGCTGGGCAACATACCAAGACCCTGTCTCTAAAAAAGAGAGGAAATAAAAAAAAGTAATTCATGGCCTGATACTTAATTGCTAGGTGTAGATCCACCTATAGAACATAAACAATTCCTTATTTTTTTTTTACATTTCTTTAGGGCACTAAGTATTCCCAATTAAGATTATTATTTAATCTTCATAGTAAACCTCTAAGGTCAACAGAAAGGATAATTATCTACCTTTAACTGGTGATGAAACGGTGGCTCAGGGATTAATGTCTAACATTTCAAAAGCTACCCTTCATATCCCCCTTGTACTGTTAATTTTACTAGTTTCTTCTCTAATATAATAAAGATACATGAGGAAAACATAAAGTCACAGCTTTGAATTATAAGGCTATCGTATTGATAGGATTGATTGCTTTCAAATAAGGCAACAAAATGGAAAAGTCTTATTTTTTTGGAACATGTTCTTTCTTTATATTAATTCAATTTTCAGGAAGCTTTCAGTTACCAAGGAAGGGAAGGGTGCAGAGATAAAAATGAAAGACATATTCTCTGCCTTTCAGAGATGTCCAATCTAACAGATAAGAGAGCAGATAGCTTCTTAGAAGGTAGATCTATAATGCAGAAGGCCTTTGTTTCTGGGGGATCTTCTTCCTTTACAATACTCTGCATGGCACTCTTTGTTGAGAGAACTACCTAGAACTGGGAGGATTAAAAGGGACAGTACACAGCAATATCTCTCATGTCTCACTCCAAGTACCGGAGTGAGGCTTTGAGGGAAAACACTGGGAAAGATCCAAACGACTGGTGCAAACAGCTCTTATTAGGCTTTTCTTACATTCTTTTATATTCTTTTAATCATTATTATTATTATTTGCCTTTTTTCTCCTGGGAAGACCATGGCTTCTCTAAAGCACAAGAATGCCAAGTCCAAATGTGACCAAAATAAGGGCTTAAATAGTGCTAAAGACACCCTAGTCATACTCCCACCAATACAGCCTGTTTCCAGCATTTCAAACAACAGTTCCACACTATTTCTTCATACTCAAATTAACTATTAACCCAGAATCTTTTTTGTTTTTTTAATGTTATGCTCAGAGTATCTCATGACTTGAAGTGTTCCTTAACTGGGTGTTTGGGCTACATTTATATCTACACTGCCTTCTAATTATGTATGTATTTGTCTGGAAGGATTTATTAGACCTAAACTATTGCATGTTTCCTCCTATTCTGTTTCTGGTGTTGATTAACCTGTTCCTTCATTTTCAGAGTCACTCTAAGTTCTATTCTGTATCTCCCCAATGTTTGCAACTGCTCAACTTTTTGTCTTTGTTCTCAAAGGGAACACTTCCATATTCATCATCTCAGTCAATGATGGTTATCAAACTACACTAAGCTCAAGGCTGATTGATGCATACTACCACTTCATATATTCCCCCTCAATTTCTCACATTGCTGATGAGTCATTTAGAAACCACTGACTCAACACTAGCAAAACTTGGGGATATATTGCTCTGGTTCTTGAAAATTCATGAATTCTTAAAAAAGAAATACAAAAAATAACAGCAGTAACATTCACAAGAAAAGCAGACTCCTAGCAAGCAGCCCTAGTAATCCTTACCTGCTGGACAGAACCAAATCAACTGGGCAACTAGTAACTACTACTTTTTTTTTTTCCTTTTTTTTTTTTGAGATGGAGTTTCACTCTGTCACCCAGGCTGGAATGCAGTGGCACAATCTTGCCTCACTGCAATCTCTACCTCCCAGGTTCAAGCGATTCTCATACCTCAGCCTCCCAAGCAGCTGGGATTACAGAGGCATGCCACCACACCTGGTTAATTTTTGTACTTTTAGTAGATATGGGGTTTCACCATGTTGGCCAGGCTGGTCTCAAACTCCTGACCTCAAGTAATCCGCCTGCCTCAGCCTCCCAAAGTGCTAGGATTACAGGTGTGAGCCACTGCGCCTGGTGTTACTACTTCTTACTTCAGGGTAGGGGCAACTTTAGTCTTGGCTATCTGGCTATTGCTCACAGCACAGCCTTTCACAGATTTAAGCAGAGCTATTTTGCTCTTAATTTAGACATAACATAATAAGTTTAATTATCAAGTTTCCTAGATCATCTGAGTAGAAATACACAAAAAGCAAGTTGGAGCAAAAGAAACAAACTCACAGTAGTTAAGTAGCAACAGCTGACAATATGAAAGGACAACAGAGGAAAGCAGAGAATAAACGTAAGAATCTAAAAAAGCAAAGCAGCCCGAGGTCCATTAACATAAGAGCAGCTGTAATCCTGTAGCCCTTGTGCTGAGTACCAGGAGAGAAAAGAAAATATTTGGAGAAATAATGGCAGAAAACTTTCCAATTTTATTAGAAAGCAATAACCTATACATCCAAGAAGCTTAATGAATGCTCCGGAAAAAAAGCAAAGATGCCCACAAGCAGATACTTTATAGTATAAATACTGAAAGTCAAAGACAAGGAGAAGTTTTAAAATCAGCAAGAGAAAAACAATGCATCATTTACAAAGGTACTTCAATAAGATTTAAGATTAACACCTTACTTCTCATCAGAAACCATGGAAGCCAGAAGGCAATGGGAAAACATTTCATATGCTCAAAGAAAAAAGTAGGCAACCAAGAATCTTATATACAGTAAAGCTATCTTTCAAAAGCGAAGATGAAATAAATACTTTCCCAGATAAGCAAAACTGAGAATTTGTTAGCAGACTCATTTTACAATACTAAACGAAGTTCTTCAGGCTGAAATCAAGTGACCCTACAGAAATATGAATCTACGGGAACAAACAACATTGATAATTATGTAATGATGAATGCATATTTTTCCTCCTTTAATTGATTTAAAAAAGCAATTTCAAATAATATGTATATAATGGATTGTTGGGCCTATATAACATATAGAAATGTAATGTATGTGTAGTATAATAGCACATAGGAAGTGAGTAAAAACAAAGCTGTAATGGGCTAAGGAAATGACTACAGATGGTAAAGTAGTAACTATAACAATGCATTGTTGAGTTTTTAACATTAATATATTATGTAGGCATTGCCTAAAAAGTACTTTAGACCTGTTACTCAGTGAGGGTAAGTTTCAGATATTATTATCCTATTCATTACACTCCCTATCAAAACAAAACACAAAATTCAATATTGCTCACCCAAATAAAGGAATCCTCCCCTCCTCCAGCTACTTTTATTTGCTGCTCTGATAGCCAGGCTAAAAACACATTTGAGAATTACTTCTCCTTTATCTATTCTTGAGTCTTATGATTTCAGAAGTCCAGAAGCCAGTTTCTGACAGTGAAAACCAGGAGACAGCAAAGAAATAGGTTTCCCCCCTTCTTTTCTACCATAAAAAATAACACACCAACATAAAAGATACCTTTCTAAGTAGGTCAAGGAAAAAAACTCACCCATAATCCTATTGCCTCAACACAATCATTTGTTTCATTGTATTTATTTCCTTCTGTTTTTATTCCATAGACACTTACATTTTATTTTACAGAGGTGTAATCATTTATACTCTTTTTCATTTAGGATTACACTGAATACTTTAGCAAGTTTAATTATCATTTTTGACAGCACCAGATATATTTAGGGATATATAAACTATTTTCTTTTGTCTCCCTCCCTTCTGCCCATTCTATTTCCCGGGGATGGGCCTTGAAGGCTTGGAGCCCAGACTTCTAGACTTAAAAGAGCTCAAAAAGTAGCAAATTCTCACTTTGGTGAAGTAATATAGATGGCCTCTGACTTTACCAAAGTTATTAGGTGTTCAAATAGAAACACAAGTTTCATTTAAGATTCATAACATGAGAATGCTAATTATAAGTTTTGATTTATAGTCTATGAATTCACCATACATAGTGCCCCTATATTCGTAAACCTACCTGCTACCCTCTCTACTTCTTTTCTTCTTCAAAAACCAGAAGACTGAATCTACTTCAATATACTGCCTTAAGTAGTTGTTTTAGAGGAAAAAGAAATCCAAATTTTGAATTAATCAAGTACTACAGTGGCTGAAACTTGCATTTTATTAGGAGATAAAAATGATCTAAAAACAGCATTTCCCCATTTTTCTAATATAACGTCATTTTTTAAAGCACACTATTAAAACTTTTTTCTAAAAGTGTCATATTATGCAAATTTAGTACACAGCCTACAAGAGGAAACAGAGGGAGTAAAATAGTTTCATGTCCATCTGGCTTCATACGAAAAAGCCAGTTTAACAGCTTTCAGCTCACTGACATTTGTTAAGACCTTTGTACTTTCCCTAAAAAAAGAAAAAGTAAAACACACAACTCTAATGTCAAGTGGGTCATTTCCAGCATAGAGGTGTTTGCTTCCTTCCTTAGCATTACTCATTCAACTATTCAGTCAGAGGCATAATCCATTTAGAGATACGATAGACAAATGTCTTCTCCATTCTGCAAGCTCAAACTCAAAGCCTAATTCCAAGTATCGTAAGCATAAATTGTTACTTTTTTGGTTACTGGACATTTGGGGTGCACATTATCAGAATACAACATGTTATCATGTTTGAATAAATTGCCTATTTTAAAACAAAGCAACAAGCTAAAAGCTAATTCGTAGTAACTATATTGATACTTTTTTCAATGTAATTGCTTATTCTGTGTGTTACAATTTATAGTAAATCAGCTTCTGAAGTAAACACTTGTTTATTCATGTGTCTGTGGCTACCATCCTCACTAGGTTTCAACATAACTAACTGTAACTGTGCCTAGTAAAATGAATTAGTATTAAATTCTTTAAATAATCATTAACTTGAGAATTAATTGGCACAATCTACCAATTTACTATTCAATGAATAACTGACAAGGAGGAACCTACCCATTAAAAAAATACAATTGTGACTAACATTGGAGAGCAAATAAGTTTATGTCATATAATTTGAAAGGATCATTGGTATATTAATCCAGTTAAGTTTGGTAAAGAGAAGATAATGGAATACATAGTACCGTCATTGAAAACTGTAGACCTTGAGAAAATCACTTCCCTTCTTTATGTTTCTGCACCTGTAAAATAAAGGGATTAGGCTATATCATCTCTGCAGTTTTCATAATCTGAGTTTATGTGGCTTTCCATAACTGTTTATGAAAAATCACTCTTAAGATTTTGTCATGTATGTCTAAATGCAAGAATACCACTATTTACATGATAATTGCTGTCAGTCTACAATTTCTAAAATTCATTTTATAATTATTTTTGCAGAGACAGGGTCTCATTCCATTGGAGTGCATTGGCACAATCAGTTCACTGCAGCCTTCTAGTCTTGGACTCGAGTGGTCCTCCCACCTCAGACTCTTAAGTAGCTGGGATTACAGGCTTGAGCCACCTCTCCCTGCTTAAAATTCATTTTCACTTATGAAGCTCTCTTAAAGTGAACACTACCTATATATTTATAGAAATCACCGAGAAAAAAAAAATCTATGGTATATATTCATGTAGGATACAGAACTGGTAAATTTGTGTAAGAAACCTGGAAAAGTATGAAGATGACAAACTAGTTCATGAAAGTTCTTCTTCATCATTCTTTTTTGTACTTGGAGGATATGGCACAAGACCAAGGATTTGTGTTACTATCAAAATTGTACTATGTTAGTATGTACAAAAGCCAAATATCAAAACAAACAAATTGGGACCATTTTAGTCATCAGTTAAGGCTAAAAACTGATATGAGCCATTACGTGTGAGTAGGGCTGAAATTTTCACATTACATTAGAAATGTAAGGGATATTATTATTCAATTAGTTCCATTAATTTCTAGTGAGAAAACTGAGGTCCAGAAATAACTTGCCCAATGTTGCAGATCTAGTCACTGTTAGCTGACAAGAGGCCCAGATCTGACTGCCAATTTAATTCTACATCATACTGTCTTCTAAAAACCATAGGTAAGCTCTCAGGAGTAAGTAGGGGAAATCAAAATGGAATACAAAGTCTCAAACGACCTTACACACAGTACATCTAGTTCGACTTTTCATTTAAATCTGGAATTTCTTCTGTGACACCTATGACAGATGTCATTCAGCTTCTGCTCTGTCTCTAGTGATAAGATACTCATTAATGCTTAGGAAGCAATCCCTTTCCTTTATGGACAAATAGCCATAAAGTTATTTCTCATACTGAGCTTTAATCTGGTATTGTGTAATTTTCACCCAGTCCTGCTCTGAGAGCCAGATAAAATACATTGTACATGCCTCTCAAATATTTGAAGGTAGCTATTACTCCTTAGTCACATCTTTCAGCTGGTTTGGGAGTTTCAGTTTACGGTACCTTTTCCAACTTGGCAAATACCTCAGGATTTGCTCTAATTTGTAAATATCCTTTCACTGCATCCTGGAATAACATTAGTAATGTAAATGTGGTTTGAACAGCACTTTGTGTATCATTTTCCCATGATGTATTTTTCACCACTCTAAAATTAGATCAGTTTCTACACAACTGACTTACACGTTATTTCCAGCAAGCGAAAATCTCCAGATTTTTTCATCTATACTCTTGACAAGTGCTGTTTCCTTTTTCTATCAATGGCCTATTTGTTTCTAGGATAAAGACTAGGGTTCACCATGCCATCTGTAATTGTGTTCCTAATTAGCAGCCTCATGCATAGGCCAAACTTTCTTTTTTTTTTTTTTTTTTTTTTTTGAGACAGAGTCTCGCTCTGTCACCCAGGCTGGAGTGCAGTGGTGCGATCTCGGCTCACTGCAACCTCCACCTCCCGGGTTCAAGTGATTCTCCTGCCTCAGCCTCCCAAGTAGCTGGGACTACAGGCGCGTGCCACCACGCCCAGCTAACTTTTTGTGTTTTTAGTAGAGACAGGGTTTCACCGTGTTAGCCAGGATGGTCTCGATCTCCTGACCTCGTGATCCACCTGCCTCAGCCTCCCAAAGTACTGGGATTACAGACATGAGCCACCGCCCCTGGCCCAGTCTTCATATTTAACTGCACCTTCCTTCCTCTAGGCTTCCATATATTATTCATTCCCCTCAGCTAGGAATGCTTCCCCTGGGTCACCCAGGTCTACCCAATTCTTAGTTATCCTTCAAAACTTAGCTGAAATACCACTTCTCTGGGGGACTCTTCCTTGCCCTGCTCCCTATGTTCCCCTCCCAAAAGTACCTTTTACCTGTTACAATACCTTACAAATCTCCTTCAGCCCTTATCAAAATAGTAATATTTGTGCAATGAGGTGCCTGTCTCCTTAGCTATACCATGAAATCTATGAGGACACAGTCTGTCTTTACCTAGCACAGGTTTTTGCATGATTTATACATTCAGTAACTGTCTGTTGAATGAACGAACACTGAATGAATAGGATCAATATTTAGATTTCCCCAGGTAATCAAAGAAAACATTTAGCTAAGCCCTGGGTTGTATGCTGTACAAAGAAGAAACTGTATAGGTTACAAGACAATCTTGAGAAAGAAAGACCTCTCCAAAAAAGTGATGATATAATTTTAAAAATTTTCAAACTATGTCCTATAAAAACGAAGGGTAATTTTTTTTCACTCTTTCTAGTGTGGGGGTGGGGAGCATGGAAAAAGGCAAATAAGCACAGGTCAGTGGTATATTTGTTGTTTTACTGTTAATTTGACACATCTGAACCAAAGCATTCACAATACTTGATATACTTTGAAGAGAGTCATATACTATAGTCTTAAACATAACCACGGAACGAGCAGAACAATTAAAACTACATAAGGCCTTAAAATATATCCACAGTGTGTATTATTTCCATATTCATTCATTTACAAATTAGACTACATACCATTAATTTTATTTTTATTTTTCATTGTTTTATTCAGACAGGGTTCATTCAAGGAAAGGCAACTTAGTTTTTGTATGTGTGAGCTTTATTTTTTTACTATATTGGTTAATATAAAAGTTATGAATTAAACGTATTCTTATCTCCTATACCCAGGAGTGAATCCATGAAATTCTCAGATAGTAATCCAAAACAATAG
Organism: Homo sapiens; assembly: GCF_000001405.40. Taxonomy (NCBI): domain Eukaryota; kingdom Metazoa; phylum Chordata; class Mammalia; order Primates; family Hominidae; genus Homo; species Homo sapiens. Next base: position 71,865,557 of record NC_000009.12, read on the forward strand.
GTCCTATTTTTAAAAATAGCTAAAGTGGGCCAGGCGCAGTGGCTCATGCCTGTAATTCCGACACTTTGGGAGGCCAAGGGCAGATCATGAGGTCAGGAGTTCAAGACCAGCCTGATCAACATGGCAAAACCCTGTCTCTACTAAAAATACAAAAATTAGCCAGGCGTGGTGGCAAGCATCTGTAATACCAGCTACTCAGGAGGCTGAGGCAGGAGAATCACTTGATCCCGGGAGGCAGAGGTTGCAGTGAATCAAGATCGCGCCACTGCACTCCAGCCTCAGTGACACAGCAAGACTCCATCTCAAAAAATGAAAAAAATAGCCAAAGTGAAAAGGGATCTGATAGCCAGTCTGTTAGTGGTCTTTAAGATCAACTCATGGACTTTCGGGATTTCATACAATGAAGACTACTGCAATTCTATGAAGACTATGAGATCAGTCAAAATTTAAAACATCGTATACAAAATCATTCTTGAAATCTCTAAATGCCTTTTAAGTAACCAGCATGAAAATTTTAAGTACTTGCCTCACAGTACCAAACTTAGAAGTCAAAACTAGTTAAAATTCAGTGCTATCATGACTTCTCATTTACAAGGTAACTCATTGGTAAATTAATAGATGGCATAAAAATTAAGATTTACATCTTTTTTAAAGGATAAATGTATGTAATCAGAGTATACAGAAAATTCAATGTATTTTACAATAAAATAACTTTAAACCTCTATCCCTGTACAACAGGGTTTAGGTTAATTCTAGTGAACTTGCATGGTTTTAAATCTCTTTTACAGTTCATTCCATTATGAGTACTTAAATTGCTTTAGATACATAGCTTTTTTCAAAATATTACAGTTGTATTCCAGGATAAGATTTAATATATTGAGATGTTTTAAAAATATTTATAAATTTGTTTCTAGTATGCAAAAGCATTTGGCAATACTTTTACAGCATTTGATTTTATAGAATTAAAATCTCATACAGTACTCATCTTGATGTTAAAAAAAAATTCACAGAAAAAATATAAATTACACAGCCTGACTGCACGGTACTGTTATTTCCAGTTTTTAGTTCTGGTAATTAAAACCTTCATTAAGTCTGTTAACAAATCATTACCTGTACATTTATGAAGGCAACTGACATGATTTGCAAACAAAACCTTCAGGTTTTATGTTATTTACCAAAGAGTGCAGTTCAGCAAGAAAGGAAAACCCAGTAGCAAATTTACAGAATATTTTACAAATTTACCAGTTCCTGTGACACAAACTGTTTCAACCTTTCAAGATACTGTCCATAAAGTTCCACATCATTGTGACCTGCTCCTTCAACCCAGAGAGGCTCCACAGGTCTTTGGCAACGTTCAAACAATGCGAGGCCATGTGAAAAGTCAATGACTTCATCTTCAGTCCCATGAATTATTAATACTGGAGAGGTTATCTTAGAGATTTTGTCAATGCTGCAGGGAAAAAGGAAGGGGGAAAAATGCAATAAATTAACTATGTAAAGGAACATATTCTTGTGCTATATCAGACAGATAATTCAAATATGAGAATTGTATGAATCAGTTCAGAAGGTAAGAATGTCTCCTGAATTTCCAGTAAGATTCAAAAATTGCCTTTTACATACTCCCTACCTTAAGATTATCTGAGGAAGTTATTTTCATGCACTTGTTTTGATGGTTTTGCTGGAATCACTCAATGCTCTTGTCACTCTACTGTACCTTTCTACAATGTTGACTTTTGGCACAGAGAAACTTAGGTGTCCAGAAGAAGAGAAAATTTAAGAACCATTTCAAGTATGCGCTAATTTCACTTTCTGCACTCACTATATTCTTTCTCCTAGTCTCCTACTAAAATGACAGCAAAATGTTTTATGTTTTTGTTCTTGTTTGAGGATAAAGATACAAAAACAAGGAGAATGTACTAAAATATAATAAAATGTTGGAGCTGGAAAGAAGATTAATGTGTGAAACAATTTATTAAAAGAAGAAAACACAATTTTAGGCAGATAGATGGTAAAGTGATGAACGAAACCAATTTATACAACAGAATACCCCAGAAAGCTAAGGAATTACCATGGTGATGAAGGGGGTGATTGAAATATACAGGATTTTTGCAAAGTCTGTGTAAGAAAGTTAGCCTCCCCTTCCCAGTTCCTTTTGCCTGTTCATATACCCAGAAACTGCCTGCCCCCAAGACTGGAATGTCTGTGAACTAGAAGACTGCCAGAGTTTAGAACAGAGGTATCATAGAGACAATGGAAACATATACATTTACATACTGGCTACTATGAACCCATTTTCCCTATGTGGCTCCCAGAATGCTGGTAGTCAGGCCACTGTCCTCCAGGAGGGACTTTTAGAAAGTCTTCTTTGGGCCAGGTGCGGTGGCTCATGCCTGTAATCTCGGCACTTTGGGAGGCCGTAGTGGGTGGATCACCTGAGGTCAGGAGTTCGAGACCAGCCTGATCAACATGGTGAAACCCCGTCTCTACTAAAAATACAAAAAAAAAAAAAAAAATTAGCCAGGCATGATGGCGCATGCCTGTAATCCCAGCTACTCGCGAGGCTGAGGCAGGAGAATCACTTGAACCCTGGAGGCAGAGGTTGCAGTGAGCCAAGATCACACCATTGTACTCCAGCCTGGGTGTCGCAGCGAGACTCTGTCTCAGAAAAAAAAAGAAAGAAAGAAAGAAAGAAAGAGCCTTCTTTGGAGATTATTATCAGATCAGCCCTTTAGTTGATCTGCTAAATCTTGATTGTCTGCTTATATGTAAGAGTAAAGAGTTGATCAGCTCCTTTACTTACATATAAGCAGGCAACCAAGAATTATCAGACATGAGAGGAGAACACTTCAAATAACAGAGGAATCAAAACAAACACTTTTTTAAAAGGCAACTTGGAGGACACAGAAACTACACAGACAATTCTTTTTAAGAATCTTTAGAGAAAGGTATTATAATAAACATAAAATGAAAATGGAATGTTGACAATGAAAAAACCATCAATGAAATAATCTAAGGCTGCATTTGGTAAGAATAAATACTTGGGTTTACTATCTGTTGTCAGAAAGATGTTCAGCGGTAGAGGAATTAAAACTTGAATAAAAAATAAAAAGAAGTATATTATCTTTTTCAAACAGTTTATTTTTATTTTTTGAGACAGGGTCTCGCTCTGTCGCCCAGGCTGGAGTGCAGTGGCACCATCTTGGCTCACTGCCATCTCTGTCTCCCAGGTTCAAGGGATTCTCATGCCTCAGCCTCTCGAGTAGCTGGGATTACAGGCACGCATCACCATGCCTGGCTAATTTTTGTAATTTTGGTGGAGACGGGGTTTCACCATGTTGGCCAGGCTGGTCTCGAACTCTTGGCCTCAAGTGATCCACCCGCCACGGCCTCCAAAAGTGCTGGGACTACAGGCGTGAACCACTGTGCCTGGCCAAACAGTTTATTTTTAGTGTTGCTCTCTGTTGGTGCACCAGAAATGAAAGAGGGAGCTAGATGGAGACATAAGTTGACAACAACACTGATATGGGGATACTCAGATACATCCCTATCATTTTTACCATTCAGCTAGACAGAGGCAGTATAATGCCTATACCCACATTACCTGAAACAAAAACAAACCCAAAACAAAATAAAAACCCAAACATGCCCACAGCTTGCCCTTGTGATAAGATCATGTGTTCACATACTTTCCCTACTAAAGTGATCCATTACTGGCTAATGATGAAAATTCTGTGTTTTTAAAATAATTCTTGAACCATGTGATGACTTTGCCTTTGGCCCATCGGCCATTCACAAAAAAAATCCTTTGTATTGCTGCCAATTGGAGAAAGGAGAGAAAACTAAAATTTGCCAACTTATTTCTTGTCTTCTCCTTGAGAAAAATAGGCCATTAATTTTTTCCAACTATGAAGAGTAGGTGGGAACTACCTCCTGTCTTGAGAAGCATGAAGGAAAAGTAGCTACTTTCCTTTCAAATACATCTAAGTATGTTTGCAGGTTTTGTGGCAGCAATACTTACTAATCTAGTTAATTTAAGATTCAACTTTTTTTCAATTCACTTCTTTTGTAAGTTAGGTATCATTAATCAGATATTTACTCATTTTAGCTTCTACCTGTTCTTCTCTAACATCAAGTGTCTCACTGGATGGCCCTATCCATTAGCACCTCAGGGCAGAAACATGGTAGTCATGTTCAAGTTTTTCTCTTTAGCATCCTACACCCAGTCTGATACTCAGTTCTGTCAAATTTATGTTTCAAATTAATTCCCTTGTCTCCAATACTAGTGCCACCACCTGAGGTGTAAGGCCCTCAGCAATTTTCATCTGGATTACTACTCCTCAAACATTTCAGCCTTCTGACTGGTCACCTGCTAATACCCTCTTTACAAATTAATTTTTCATAATTTCTATGTGCTAATATATATAAAATGAAGTTTATGGTTGAGTGAACTGTGTCATGAATACTTTAAATGATGAAAAAATTCCCAAGTTTCTTGGAATTTAACTATTTTGAATATTGCTACTTACTTTGGGAATGCATCAAAACAGTAGGTCTTCTTGGTATCAGGAAAGGCAACTCGCATTCCCGAAGTCAGAGGAGAATGAAGAATAACAGCAGCACTCTCATATCGAGCAGCAAGATCCACAGACGGTACTGTCCCTATACTTTGGCCATATATAATCACATTTTCAGGGCGAATGCCATATCTACAAAGTTCAGGCGTTAAAAACAAAAACCAAAAAAGTTGGAGTGATATGAAATGTTCCATCATTCCAAAGGATTTGATCTTAGAATAAGACAATGTCAACTAATCCATTTTTTAAACTTAAGTTTCTTAGCTATTACTGTTAGTTTTAACATTACAATAAAGTCTGTATCATCAGTTTATTTCATGTGTTTCTCTACTTCATCTTTTGGAAGAATAATTGCTGAGGTATTTTAAGATTTCAATCTTAAGAAATAAATTTATTAAATAATTTATTACACTATAATATTTCAACCTAGCTTACTGCTGACTAAGCTTGGGGCATATCACTAATATTTTAATGAACTGATGTTGAATGAATAGGTCATATTTATTTTCCGTTCAGTGTAACAAAAGTTATTTATTTCTCCACACATCAAGAGTGGCTCATTTTAATTTCCAAAATTGGTCATATTGATGAACTGTTACATATAGTTATGGTATGAAATGAATATATGTATGGTTTTAGTAAAGGGCAAATTATGATTTTACGATTTTTCTTAAAATTGATCTTTGCTTAGTTGTAGAAATGGACTAATGGTTGAAAAGATAAAAAAGAATTCCAAACACCACATGGTCCAATTATTTATGATTAGACTTTACGCTAAAATTACAAGGTACTATTTTAATCCCTTTAAAATGGCCACAGGTTTAAATAGATGAAAACTCATTGACTCAATAAATATTTATTGGGTACCTAGTATGTTCAAGGAACTGCTTGCTACTTGTCTACAGTATAATCATCCCAAATGTAAACTACTGCAAGTGTAAGTACAGTGCTACCTGAGCTAATGAATGTGGGCTTAAAGGTTATAGTGACATTAAATACACCTTTCCACTTAGAAGGCAGACAGCAGTCACTCTGGCAGCTAAGAACATAACAGCTGCTTTTGGAAATCTTTTGCAAAGGTAAAATATCTTTCTAAGAATCTGGATATTCACCAGGAAAGAGCGAGGGAAACTGTCCGTGTGTTCTCTTCCAGGGGCATAATACTATTTCAACTATACAGGTAGTAACACAGCTCTCCCCATATAGTTTCTTCAAGTCAGTACTACACAAGCATTTGTATAGGACACAGAAAGTGGGGCTCTGTCTACTTCAAATTGACTCTAAATATTAGCAAACTCAGAAAAGCTTTTTTCTTTACAACAGACCTAGTTGCACATATTTCATACGAATGAAGAAATTAGGAGAATGAACATTTGCAGCATGACCACAGTTCTTGAGGCTGCATTGTTGCTGTCAGCTGAATATCAGCATTGTTGGTGGCAATCATGAAATTTGGGCTACAGCTAGCAATGACAATGCTCAAGGATAGAGTCGCAGAGGTAGCTGACAATTAAGCATGAGGGGACTCACAAGAGTAACAACTGCCTAACAGTATGAGCTAGAAAGGAGTTTAGAGACCATCTAATCTAGAGTCCAGCTGCCTAATGAGCAGATCTTCAAAGTCACCAGTAGATGACAGCTCTATAATTAGAACCCAGGTATACTGACTCCCAGTTCAGTGTTTTTTACCTCTGAAGCACACAGATGAGGAACTCAAGGACTTTGTGGGAAAGGTGCATAGTGAATGCCAGGCCCCGAGTTTCTTTTGGTCCATCAGAAGGTCAGAAATTGGAGTTATTATGGATATCCAATTTTCCCAAAAAGGACATTCCAATGTTCATTCATCCCAAAAATGAACATTATTTAAGTTCATTATTTATTTTCTCTCTCCTGGTTACTTAAGTCCTAACTTTTAATCAGGCAAATAAAATAAAAGGCATGTATTCTAATTACACACATTTCATTAGATGACAGAATTCCAGAATTGGAAAAGATCTTGGGGATCATTTAATTCAATCTCTTCATTAAACAGATGAGGAAACACAGGCTCAGAGAAGTAATATTTCCTAAAGTACCTACACTTATGAAACTCCAACTATATTTTGGTTTCAACACGAAAGAAAACACAGGTCTAAAATTCTAAAATATAAGTGCTAAAATAGTATGTGGGATTATTGATGAAATCTGCCCATTCCTGATTAACACTGGCTATCAAATATGTTAAAAAAATTAAGGCTGAAAATCATTTTTCAAAGTTTTCTTCAAATTGGTAAATGCCAAGATTAAAAGAAAAGAAAAGAAAAAAACAGTAAAGTTGACCACTTAAAAAATGGGATTTTTTCATATAGACACAGAACACTGAACTGAATACTAACATGTTTTGTTTGAGTAAAGTGACCCTTTTGCGTTACTGGGAAGCACTAATAATGAAAGCTGGCTATCAGTTTTAACTTAGCACCCTTTAAAACTTCATTATTCCACTGAAGTTAACCTTTAAAAGTGTGAACCTTATCACTCAATAAAGCTATTTTTTTAATTATAATACTTTCTTATAGTTGTTATACGTTATTCAACTGACTGACTCTAAAAAGTGGGCACTCAGTTTCTGTTTGTTTTAAGGCTTGATGGAACTGATATCAATATATGTAAAAGATTTTTATTTAAAGCAGTTTTTAATTTATCAATTAAACAATAACTTTACCATCCCCCATCAACTCTTTACCTACTACTTGCCATCTTTTTTTCCTTATTCCCCATATTTATGTTTTTATATAATTTCAGTTGATTTTAAGAATCCCTTTTATGTAGAACTTCGCTATGAGAGCATAACTTTATTACATTTCTTTGGAGGGAAAAATAGTTTTAAAGATATTTTTAATATCTTTAATAATATTAACTACTTTATTATTAAAATTGAGGAAATTTTTCCTGACTAAATGAAATCTTTAATATTTAAACATTAAATTAGAAACAGTAAGTTTTCTTTATATCCTATAGCTTCAGTCTAAAACATCCTGGAAGTCAGATATTTTATTTTCATATAATATAAAGAATAGCCTATATTAAGGTATCTGTTTATTGTACACTAACCTGACTAATAATACACTGAAGTCTACCAAATTGTGATTTTTTTTTCAAGAAAAATGTTTAGGTATCTTGGTGACTAGAAAAGATTAATGCAATTTCTAGTTCCCCAAAATGTATGCTGCTATAATCAAAGAATAACTGACATAGTAAGAAAATTTTATTAAACAATTTATCATAACATTAAAACTTCTTTTTTTTTAAACAGAGTCTTACTCTGTCACTTGGGCTTGAGTGCAGTGGTGTGATCTCAGCTCACTGCAACCTCCGCCTCCCAGGTTCAAGTGATTCTCCTGCCTCAGCTTCCCGAATACCTGGGATTACAGGCACCCGCCACTGTGCCCGGCTAATTTTCGTATTTTTAGTAGAGACGGGGTTTCACCATCTTGGCCAGGCTGGTCTCGAATACCTGACCTCGTGATCTACCTGCCTTAGCCTCCCAAAGTGCTGTGATTACAGGCATGAGCCACTGCGCCCAGACATTTTTTTTTTGTATTTTTAGTAGAGATGGGGTTTCACCATGTTGGCCAGACTGGTCTCGAACTCCTGACCTTGTGATTCGCCTGCCTCAGCCTCCCAAAGTGCTAGGACTACAGGCGTGAGCCACCGCACCCAGCCTAAAAAATTTTTTTAAACTTGATATAATCTCTCCCAATTTTAGGAACACAGAATATAAAGTAAAATCTCAGTTTTACAGAATGAATACTTGAAAAATAATTCCAATAAGGTATCTTTAAGTTGTACTTCCCAAGAAGTAATCACATAAAATAATGCAAATCTTGGCTTAAGATTTTAATAGAAAGCAATCCAGCCTCATACTGTTAATGACAGATCAAGTGAATAATTAGCTATGTCAGTATTTTCTCTCATTTCCTTGAAAGGTTGCAGCTTTGAATAAACATTTTTTATATCACACTCCAATAAGAAAGCTTACAAAAACCAAACATTTGTCACTGGATTTAATTTTTTTTTTTTTTTAACTTTTTAAGAGATGAGGTCTGACGCTGTCACTCAGGCTGGAGTGCAGTGGCACGATCATAGCTCACTGCAGCCTCAAACTCCTGGCCTCAAGTGATTCCCCTGACTTTGTCTCCTAAGTAACTAGGACTATAGGCATGCACCATGGACTTCCAGCTAAGAATTTAAGTTAAAAAAAACATACATATATACGTGTATTAATGTAGACAAACAAACCTGAAACTGTCTTTAAAAACTTTGTTTTGCTATTATGTGAAATTTAAAATTGCTGTCTAAAATATTTATTCACAGGTATATAATAGTAAATATAACCTCTATATAGCAGTTATGTATAATAAAAACAGCTTTTATTCTATTCTTACACAAGATATTTTTAGCTAACCACCACGAGTATGAAAAATAAATTCCAACCACAATTTACCTTGTCCTAAGAGCAAGCCAAGCAGCTTCAATGTCTGCATAGAGGTTCTTCTCTGTGGGTTTCCCGGAACTGGCACCATATCCAGAATAATCATATGAGAATATATTACAATTAATCCGTGATCCTAGTCCTATGTAAAAGCTGCTCATTTGACCAAGATCAACAGCATTTCCATGTGAGAAGAGTAAAGTGTATTTCGCATTGGGTGAACAACGTACAAACATACAAGCAATTCTGTTGCCTTTACTGGTTCTAGTCATGAAACACTCAATAGCATCTTTTTCTCTAGAAGAATACTGCCAGTCTGCTCGTTCAGACAGATGTAAAGTCCAACGGCTTCCGCTTTCATCACACATCAGTGTGTAAGTTGGATCAGGTGGCAAAAACGCTAATTTTGAAGCAATCTTCCCTGGACAAGGTGGACAGCAGAAGAGGCAACATAGCTCACTAAATGAAAGATTATTCATGCTCTGAAAAAGAAAAGGAGATAGCAAATATTTTAATAACTGAATGTAGACTCATACAATAAAAAGTTAAAACACAGACATGGGTAAATTTTATTGGTGGTTAATGACTATTACTATTTTAGGTATGATTCCAAACAGATTTTTGGCTTCTTTTTTTTTTTTGAGACGGAGTTTCACTCTTGTTGCCCAGGCTGGAGTGCAATGGCGCAATCTCAGCTCATCATAACCTACGCCTCCCGGGTTCAAGTGGTTCTCCTGCCTCAGCCTCCTAAGTAGCTGGGATTACAGGCATGCGCCACCACACCCGGTTAATTTTGTATTTTTAGTAGAGATGGGGTTTCTCCATGTTGATCAGATTGGTCTCGAACTCCTGACCTCAGGTGATTCACCCACCTCGGCCTCCCAAAGTGCTGGGATTACAAGGAGTAAGCCACCACGCCCGGCCTTTGGCTTCTTTCTAGAAGTACTTTAAATCCTGGGGTGAGGCAAATATTCCTGACCAGCAGACAGACTCAAATCCTATATGACAGGTTTCAAATAGCAGTGATTATTATCTCATTTAACATAAATGTCAAAAATGATAAAGGTAATATTTGCCATTTCTTTACAAATAACCTGAAGGTATGAAATATCTTTAGTGTAGTCTGTAATTTCTATGTAACTCAGCAAAAGTTCTTAGAACCTCATGGAGAAGCTAGGAATTTAGCATAAAGTGAATACATACTAATAGCATTTATGAAGCTATTTGTCAGGCATTGTGCCAAGTGCTCTATGTGTGTTACTTGGTTTAATTCTCAGAACAACTGTGTAAGTTGTTGTGAGAAAGGAAACTTGCACAAGATGAGGCAGTGGTGGAGCCAGGATTTGACTCCAGGCTGTCACTACACTATGTTACTGGGCTACACTGCCTCACAGATTCAGAACACGCTCAGAAGACTATCACTTTGGTCACAGTGCCAGTGGCCCAAATAACCTATAGAACATTAAAGTGTATGTATGTATGCATGCATGTATGTATGTATGTAATTACTGCCCAAACTAAAAAGGCTATAATATAAAGTTTATTGTGGAAAAAAGGTAAAATCTACTAAAGGTAAACTTTTCTAAATGTTTGGAAGAGAAAGAGTACAAGGTTTAAAGTTAGGAAGCTGGGGTAAAATCCTAACTCTACCACTTACCGTTTGCCAGCTGTATGTCCTTGGGCAAACTATCTCTTTGACTCTCATTTTCTTCATAAGTAAACAAGGCCAATACCTACACTGAAGGACCTGGTTGTGAATATCAAATGTTGGTGTAGTGAAGGCCCATCATACAACATACGGTGAGTGATGGCCATATCATTGTCACACTTTAACTTAGGGACAAAAATAAAGTAATACTTGTTAGTTCTATCAGTATTTCCTTCTATCTTGTCCTTTTTCAAATTCCTGTCTCTTTTTAGCAAAATTAGGCCATTGCTTAGTTCCAGAGAAAAGGCATTTAAAACCAACACCTTACAGGTTTGGTGGCATCCAATTTTCTCCAAAAAGAAAAAAAAAAAATCTAAATATAAGAATAGGGGGAAAAAAGTACCCTATTACACCAAAAATGGGAAGAAAACAACTCAACAGAGTGACTAAATGGTTGAGAATATCTGGGGGAAAAAATGCCCTTTTCACTCAATACAGAATCAAATATATCCTATAATGCTCAGTATAAATGTGTTTATAAGAAGCAGCAGAAAAAAGCACAGGAAGAGAGGAACAAGGGTAGGTATAACATAAAAGACTTCAAAAGGTGAGGGAAGGGCAGAAAAACATCTTGGATATTAGGAAATGCTTTAATTGCTTCCTACCTTTATTTCTTTTTAGGCTTCAAAATACAGCCTGAATAAGTTAATGGCTTACTCTGGTTGGAACAAGAAATAGGACAGAAATAACAACTAAGTGTCATCTGCTAACTTTAACTGAGGGCTTCCTGAAGTGTTGTGCTGAGAATGATTCTAAGGCATACACAGGGCTTAGCCAGCAAAAGATGTGATAAATTAGTGATGTTTACTATAGACTCTGGCTACAAATTTACTATCCTGGTCAGGAGGATAAAGTGTCTGTTGAAGAAGATGAAAGGGAAGGAACTCAAAGGATCTGTTCCAGAGGAGGAAATGACCTGCAGAAAGATGATGAGGTACAAGGTATAATATCAGTGCTGTCTGTTTAATATCTGTCTATGGTTATTTGTCAACCCTGATTACCTCATATACCATTGACTGCTGAGCCACAATAGCCTTTTAAAAAGCTTAATAAGTAAATGGTACGTATCTAGACTATAGTCCTATAATTTATCTCTTAGCCAGAAACACTTTTGTTGTTGTTTTTCGAGACGAAGTCTCACTCTATCGCCCAGGCTGGAGTGCAGTGGTGCGATCTTGGCTCACTGCAACCTCCGCCTCCCACATTCAAGTGATTCTCCTGCCTCAGCCTCCCCAGTAGCTGGGATTACAGGCACACACCACCATGCCCAGCTAATTTTTGTATTTTTAGTAGAGATGGGGTTTCATGATGTTGGCCAGGCTAGTCTCGAACTCCTGACCTCAAATGATCTGCCTGCCTTGGCCTCCCAAACTGCTGGGATTACAGGCATGAGCCACCGCACCCAGCAGAAAAACTTTCATACACTATAATAAACTACTTTTGAAATAAAGCTGGCTGGTTGAACATATATAATGCTGTGAAGAAGTTTCTGGGGATGAACACCAAAGGAGAGAAGCAGAAAGGAGAAAAACTGCAGTGCCAGGGTCTAGTTTAATGACAACTTCACTTCCTTAATGCTGACAGAATGACTCCCCTCTTCCACTGCCCAAAAGCCAGATAACTGGGGCTTATTTAATGACAACAACTTGCAAATGATCACTTTCCTAATAAGAGGCCTGGTATAGGGCAGCAACACAGACCTACTTTCAAAAGTTAATTGAATACTTTTTAAGTCTGAAAAATTTCACAAAAACTATAAACAAAACAAATAAATCTAGGTTTTAGTATAGTGTGAGCAAGTTACTGAAGAAAAACATTTTATTCTGTAAAAAAAAAAAAAAATCACTGAAATAGCTTGTTAAACTTAGATAATTTCAAGTCCAACTTGTTCTTATAAAACTCATGCCAGACGCAGTGGATTGCTTGAGCAGTTAACAGTTGAAAAACACATCAGTGAGCTAAAAGATCAGGTTGAGTAATTTGCAAATATGGAATTTTTTTGTGGGAATTAAGAGACAGAAAACAACAAAATTTAATAGATAGAAATAGAAGTAGAAATATCACTATCCATACTATAGAAGTTCCAGGAGAAAATAAAGATAAGACTATTTAAGAATTTCTCAGAATTAAAGGGGGAAAAAAAGTCAGATTGAAACACCTCAAAGTGTACCAAAAAACAACAAACTACTTAAAAATGAACAAGATCAGATGAACATATGACTTTCTAATATAAACACTGGAAGCCAAAAGACAATGGAGAGATAATTTTAAGCTAAAGATGAAATCAAACTTTTAACCTAGAATTGTACATAGAACAAAAATACAGTTTTAATATAAGGATAAAGGTATCTGGGCTGGGTGTGGTGGCTCACTCCTGTAATCCCAGCACTTTGGGAGGCCAAGATGGGAGGACCACTTAAGCAACATAGGAAAACATTGTCTCTATCAAAAAAAACAAAGAGAGAGAGAGATCTGCAGGCCCACAAAAACTCGTAAGACTTAACCAAATCAAGTCTCTCTTTGAAAAACTCCAGCAAGGAGGGAAGGAGATAAATCCAAGGGAAGGCCAGGCACAGTGGCTCACACCTATAATCCCAACACTTTGGGAGGCCGAGGTAGGAGGATTGCTTGAGCCCAGGAATTGAAAACCAGCCTGAGCACCATGGCAAAACTCCATCTCTATAAAAAATACAAAAATTAGCTGGGCATGGTAGTGTGTGCCTGTAATCTCAGCCACTGGCGTGGCTGGAGTGGGAGGACTGCTGGAGCATGGGAGGTCAAGGCTACAGCGAGCTGTGATAGAGCCACTACACTCCAGCCTGGGCTACAGAGTGAGAGCCTGTCTCAACAATAACAACAAAACAAACAAAAACCCCCCAAATCCCAAGGGACTTCTATGAGATATCTGAGATATGAGAAATAAAGGAGAATAGTTAATACAATGTTTTTTGTACAAGTGAGCAATGGGAGCAAGGAGGGTGAAGACAACAAAGTATATCCCTAAAAATCCAGAACAAAAACTTTGGTGAATATGAATACGAAGAGGATTGACAAAAGAGAGACTACTTAAGAGGTAAAAATGTGCTGGGGTACCTGACTTGTTGAGGATGCTACTGATACTGATAAGCTTAAGACATAGAAGAAAAGCCTGAATATAAGCATGACTCTTAATAAGTCAGATATAATCATCAGAAAAATGATAGTGCAGGGCACATCTAAAGGAGTTACAATTATCCATTACAAAAGTCTAGCTTTAAATATTAGTGTCCAACTTAAGAAGAGAGTAAACAAAAAGAAAACAAGAAAAAGAAAATTAAGAGCAGATATCAACAAAACAAAGAACAAAAAGCAATGGAGAACCAACAGCTGATTTCAGAAAAGGCTTCCACTACTACTAATAGCAAATAGCATTAACTGAACACTTACAAAGTGTCAGGCACTATTCTAAACACTTTTCACATATTAACTAATCCTTTCAACAATCCTCTGCTTTAGGGACTATTATTACACCCATTTTGCAATTGAGAAAACAGAGGCATAGAATAGTTACATAAGTTGCCTAATGTCACAAATCTGATCAATGGAACTGATACATGACAGAATGACTCTGTAACCCAAACTCATAACTACTGTTTTGTGGAAAGGGTACTCAGACAAGACTGATCACAAGAAAGAGATAAGCAAAATAAACGAAATAATGTACTAAAGGAAAAAGGACTTTGAGCTACAGACATAGTTTCTAGAAATGAAAGAATATCATGTGTCAATAAATAACCTAGACAAAACTCACGCACTTCTTGAGTAATATAAAAGGACAAAATTGGCACAAAGGCTAGAATATGCAAATAACCATCAGAACTTCAAAGGGAAATCAAAGACCACCTTCACTTAAAATACTTTCATTAAGTGAAGTTATTCCAGAAAATGAATGCTGCTCAACAATTGCTTTCTGAGGCTATTATAACCTTTATCCCAAAACTTAGAACTGTAAATAAAACTGTAAGTCCACTTCACTTTGAACATGCATGAAAAAACCTTAAAAACCTTAAAAAAAAGAAACAACATATAAAGTGTATATAAATACAAAATACAAAATCAAGCTGAAAGACAAGAATGACAAATCTTCCAATGTTAAACCAAAGTAATTCACATTAATGAACTAAAGAAAAAAAACACATGGTTTTCTTAATAGATATACAGGGACAAAACAATATGTTTGGTAGATGATATAATTACCCTGATAGAAAACCAAAAGAATCTAGAAAGTATTAAAACAAATGAGACTTCTCAGCAATTTTGGCAAATGCATGAACTTAGGTAAAGTTGGTACAGTTCAATGTTAGCTAGCATTAAACAACTAAAAATAGTTAAAAAAATTATAAATAAGATCGCACCCACAACCAAAACGACTATCTAGGAATTAATATAAAATAGAATGCAGAAAACCTTTATGCAGAAAAATTTTAAATAAGAACATTAAAAAATGGAAAGAATGACTTAATAGCATTGAGAATGTCAACTCTCCCAGAATGAAAATTTCAAGGTAATTCCCATCAAAATTCCAGCAGAAATTTGAGGAACTCAAAAGTGATTATAAAATTTATATAAAAGTATAAAGGTCTATAGAAAATAAAAAAATAAAACTAAGAAAAAAGACTCCTCCACTTATAATCAAGAAAAACAAAATGCAGAGAATTCATACAGAACCTCAAGGAACCCAGAATAGCCAAATCAATCTTGAAAAGAAAACCTAAGTTGGAGGATTCACACTTCCCAATTTCAAAACTCATAATAAAGCAACAGTAATCAAGACAGAATGCTATTGGCATAAGGACAAATATATCTAAGGAATAGAACTGAGAATCCAGAAATAAACCTGACATTTATGGTCAGTTGATTTTTGACAAGAGTGCCAAAACAATTCAATGGTGAAAGAAGTGTTTTCAACAAATGGTGCTAGGGCAACATAATATCCACATGCAAAAGAATGAAATTTTAC
This sequence comes from Homo sapiens, assembly GCF_000001405.40. Lineage (NCBI taxonomy): Eukaryota > Metazoa > Chordata > Mammalia > Primates > Hominidae > Homo > Homo sapiens. The sequence goes on from NC_000009.12 coordinate 71,881,309, forward strand.
TCTTACTTCACACCATATACAAAAATCAACTCAAAATGAGTCAAAGACTAAATGTAAGATCTAAACTATGAAGTTCTCAAAAGAAAATATAGGCATAAATCTTTGTGACCTTGGGTTATAAAATGTTTCCTTAGAAAAGATACTGAAAGTACAAGTAACAAAGAAAAAAAAATAGATAAATCAGACTCCAAAATTAAAAACTTTCATGTTTCAAAAGACACAAGGATACTGAAAGGACAACCTACTGAATGTGAGAAAATACAAATAACCTTTACAATTCAACAATTTTAAAAGGACAGCTGGGCACGGTGGCTCAAGCCTGTAATCCCAGCACTTCGGAAGGCCGAGGCGGACGGATCATGAGGTCAGGAGATCGAGACCATCCTGCTAACATGGTGAAACCCTGCCTCTACTAAAAATACAAAAAATTAGCCGGGCATGGTGGCACGTGCCTGTATTCCCAGCTACTCGGGAGGCTGAGGCAGAAGAATCACTTGAACACGGGAGGTGGAGGTTGTAGTGAGCTGAGATCACGCCACTGTACTCCACCCTGGGGAACAGAGCAAGACTCCCGTCTCAAAAAACAAACCAAAAAAAAAAGGAAAAAAAAAAACAATAAAAGGACAACCCAATTAATAGACAAAGGGATTTATAGACATTTCTCCAAAAGATATACAAATGGCCAATGGGCATGTGAAAAGATGCTTAACACCATCAGTCATCAAGGAAATGGAAATCAAAACCACAAAGAGATACAGCTTCATCTCCATTAAGATAGCTATAATCAAAAAGACATAATAATAAAGGTTATTTGGCAGGTGGAGAAATTGGAACCCTCATACACTGCTGATAGGAAGAAAAATGGTAGTCACATTAGAAAACAATCTGATATTTCCTCAAAAACTTAAAGAGTTGCCATTTGACAAAGCAATTCTACTCTCAAGAGAAAGCAAAACCCATGTCCACACAAAAACTTGTACATGCATGTGCAGCATTATTTACAATAGCTGAAAAACGTAAGCAATCCAAATGTACACCAGCTGATGAATGGATAAACAAAATGTAGGCTGGGCGCAGCAGAGGCTCACGCCTGTAATCCCAGTACTTTGGGAGGCCAAGGCGGGAGAATCCCCTGAGTTCAGGAGTTCAAGACCAGCCTGGCCAACATGGTGAAACCCCGCCTCTACTAAAAACACAAAAATTAGCTGGTGTGGTGGTGCATGCCTTTAATCCCAGCTACTTGGGAGGCTGAGGCAGGAGAATTGCTTGAACTCGGGAGGCGGAGGTTGCAGTGAGCTGAGATCGCGCCACTGCACTCCAACCTGGGCAACAGACTGAGATTCCATTTCAAAAAAAAAAAAACCAAGAAAACAAAAACAAAACAAAAGGTAGTATATATATCCATAAAATGGGGATGAGGAGAACAGGAGGGATGGAGAATAATAACTAAAGGATAACAGGTTTCTTTCTGGGGTAATGAAAATGTTCTAAAATTGATTTGGGTGATTGTTGCACAATTCTGTGAAAATTCTGTGAATATATATATTAAAAACATTGCCGGGCGCAGTGGTTCACACCAGTAATCCCAGCACTTTGGGAGGCCGATGTGGGCAGAACACGAGGTCAGGAGTTCAAGACCAGCATGACCAACATGGTGAAACCCTATCTCTACTAAAAATGCAAAAATTAGCCAGGCATGGTGGCACACACCTGTAATCCCAGCTACTCAGAGGCTGAGGCAGGAGAATCGTTTGAACCTGGGAGGCGGAGGTTGCCATGAGCTGAGATTGCGCCATTGCACTCCAGCCTGGGCGACAGGGCGAGACTCCATCTCAAAACAAACAAACAAACAAAAATTGAGTTGTATCTTAAATATTTGAGTGTTATGGTATGTCAATTATATATTAATAAAGAAGTTACCAGAAAATGTCTATAAAGAGCAAAGGTATATACATGTATTTGTGGGGTAGATAGGAATTTTCCCTCCCAGATATTAAGACACACTGCACAAAGTCCAAGTAATAAAGACAGAGTGGTGCTGGTACAGAAACAAATAGACCTAGTAACAGAGCTTATGAATAAACCCCTATGTGAATGGGACTAGGGATTGACACAGCTGGTTTCTCAAAGCAGTAGGAAAGGATGGATTCTTTAGTAGATTGTGCTGGGAAAACTTACCACATGGGTAAAGTGGTTGGATCACTACATCATGGAATACAGAAAGCAAATTCCAGGCAGATCACAGACTTAAAGAGCAAAACTAATTTTTACACAATCCACAAAAGACAAACATTGGTAGATTTAGCTTCATTCAAATAAAGGATTTCTCTTAAATGAAAAATGTCAGGGCAGCCGTGGTGGCTCACGCCTGTAATCCTAGCACTTTGGGAGGACAAGGCAGGTGGATCACCTGAGGTCAGGAGTTCAGGACCAACCTGGCCAACATGGTGAAACCCCATCTCTACTAAAAATACAGAAATTAGTTGGGCATGGTGGCGCGTGCCTGTAATCCCAGCTACTCGGGAGGCTGAGGCAGAAGAATCACTTGAGCCTGGGAGGCAGAGGTTGCAGTGAGCCGAGATTGCATCATTGCACTACAGCTTGGGTGACAGAGCAAGACTCTGTCTCAAAAAAAAAAAGAAAGAGAAAAGATAAATGTCCTTTTTTGGATGAATTCATCATCCCAAACTGTCAGAATATTTAAAATGTAGGGAACTTCAGCAAAAACAAGAAAAAACTGGGTAACTCAAGAACAATGGGCAAAAGATAGGAATAGGCAATTCATATGGCTAACAAGTATATGAAAAAAGGCTCAACCTCACCAACTATCAGAGAAATCAAAAAATAATACATCAAAACTAAAAGAAAAAATTAGAAAGCTGAGTATTATCAAGTGCTGGTGAGAATGGGGAAAATGGAAATCTTTGTAAACTGCTTGGTAAGCCATTGTGTTTACCAATGACCCAGAATCTCTCTCTTGGGTAAGTACTACAAAGAAATACTTGCACAGGTCCTTTAAGTGTATCTGAAGTATTATTTGTGTCAGGGCCTGAGATGCAATATAGGTTCCATAACTGGGGAAATGAGTAAGCATGTGTTGGATGCAGATAATAGAAAATTAACACAGTCAGAAGCAAAGACTGATGACTAGGGATTAAATATAATGGTATTGGGTGAAAAAAGTAAGGTACGAACAGATCTATAATATCATTAACATACATGCAAAACAGACATAAACATTATCTTTGAGGACAAATACATTTCTAAGGGTACATATGTCAGAGTATATGCTTACCAAAGGGGTAATGGGGATGGAGGTTGAAGGGAAAAAAAAAAAAAAGGAAATTAAGTAAAACAAGAGCAGGGCCTATGCTCATAGATTGATGGTGATAATGCGCCATGAACTAGATTAGAAATTCCAGAGGGTAACAATCACATCTGCTTGCTTACAACTGGACATCTAGTATCAAGCAGAATACTTGACATATAGTAGGGTTTCTAATATTTCTTAAATGAATGAGTTAGTAAATTATTAAGACTGATTCAACTCTTTGCACCCAAGAAGCTCCTACAAAAGAAAGAAATTCACTAAATTTACATGTCAAGAAAAAATGCAAAAATGTTTTGTTACTATTACTTAGGTTTTTCATATGGGGGCAAAACAGAATCTTTTTCATATGGGGGCAAAAGAGAAGCAGTCAAATAAAAATCTATGAACCTAAGTGGGGGCAGGTGGAAAAAGCCTTGCAAGTTACTCAAATCACTCAATGTGTTATGAAACACAGAGAAGGACCCTATTCCAGGGAGGAGGGAATCTTGCCCCTCTTGCAATAAATACACAAAATGAAAGGTCAGGCCGGGAACGGTGGCTCATGACTGTAATCCCAGCAATTTGGGAGGCCAAGGCAGGAGGATCACTTGAGGTCAGGAGTTCGAGACCAGCCTGGCCAACATGGTGAAACCCCATCTCTACTAAAAAAATAATAATAATTAATATAAAAATTAGCCAGGCGTGGAGGCGTACACCTGTCATCCCAGCTACTCAGGAGTCTGAGGCAGGAGAATGGCTTGAACCCGGGAAGCAGAGGTTACAGTGAGCCGAGATTGCACCACTGCACTCCAGCCTGGGTGACAGAACAAGACTCTGTCTCCAAAAAAAAAAAAAAAAGGGGGTCACCTCAATGTTAAACAGATGGCCCATTGTGAAAATTAAGGTTTTCCTTTTGGCAGGGCATTCAACAATTTCTTCACTTACAGCAAGAGCAATTTCCTAAAATTGTATGAAATAATAATTTAAGAATCTGCTTCTCCTGGTAACGTTTTCCTCCTCAATGACAAAGAAAAAAGATAAATAACTGATTCTTTCTCAGCAAAACAGGAAGACTAATGTAAAAAAAAGTCCCTAAATAGAATGACCTACTGTATCTCCTTCCTCTCTTCTAACGTAAGAAATTACTGACATGACTCCTGTCAATTTTTGACATAATAACAATTTACTAGGGGAAAAAAAATCTCCTTTTGATCTCCTTGTAATAGTTTCTTGGTAATGCAGACCAACTCATATTACTACTAATTATTATAAGGTTTAAGATTTTTGTTGTACTGAACTAGCATTAAAAGTCTTTAAAAGCAGGTTTAGAGAAAACATTTAAAAGAATGCTTATATCTTTCTTCATTTTGTGTGATATGTTGACAACTATGCTCAGTACACTGTATGTGATAAACCATTTAAATTTTGATATATTAGATTTCATGTTAAGAACTATAGTCTAAAATTCAAGATGAATTACTCCATTTATGGATAACTCTGGGGATGCAATATCATTCTGTGTAATCTGTAGTAGTATTCAAAGTATAGCTACATGTGAAACTCTAAGCTCTGAGTGTTATGGTTTTTAGAAAGCCATACACATTACAGAGTTTAGTACATACAGAGAAGCTGAATATTCACCTTGAAAGAAGATGAAGCATCCAAAACACAGTATCAAAGTTTCCTGGGCCAGGCACAGTGGCTCATGCCTGTAATCTGAGCACTTTGGGAGGCCGAGTCAGGAGGATCTCTTGAGGCCAGGAGTTCAAGACCAGCCTGGGCAACATAGGGAGACCCTGTCTCAAAAAAAAAAAAAAAAAATCCACTAACTCACTAACTACAACTTGAACAGGAGGTACTTAGTTGTAACAATGTTTTAAAACATTTTCTATCTTATCTGGGCATGCCTTATGCAGGACCAAAGCTCGTCACACTCTGTTGCCCCGGCTGGAGTGCAGTGACGTGATCTCGGCTCACTGCACCCTCCGCCTCCCAGGCTCAAGCGATCCTCCTACCTCAGCCTCCCGAGCAGCTGGGACCACAGGTGTGTGCCACCATGTCTGGCTAATTATTCGTACTTTTTGTAGAGACAGGGTTTCATGGATGAAACGGGTTCACAGATGAAACAAGTTTCATCTGTGAGATCAAAGGGCTCAAAATTCAGGTGACTTTGCAGGAAAAAGTCAGCTCTGCTTGAAGACACAAACTGGATGAACTGCATGCTACATGAGTTTTTAAACTCGGAGAAAAAATTTAAAAATATTAATGTTTTAATATTTTGAATTAAAAGAAGAAATTTTTGCAAAACCTCTTCTTTGAAAAAGAATCATGTCTGGTACTTTTAAGGTAAAGTTGCAATTTTTAAATACCAATAAGATTCTAGATATAGAGTGTAACAGTGCCAATGGGTCACTTGAAAACACCCTTAGAAGTGTGGGTTTTGTTGGGGTAAACTGAACAAACGCCTTAATAATTTGAGTTTAGAAAAATTTAGAGGAGTTTCTCAAATGGAAAAAAAAATGTACTGGGCAATGTGCAAATAAGAGTCCTTTCTCACTGGTGGAAAGTACTGGAGTTAGACGAAAAAAGAAAGTTGAGGTGAAGATAGGAGGCATCAACCAGAGACATCAAAATAGTGTCAGTTCTAGTGTAAGTTGTGAACTTACTATCCTAGTAAAAAAAAAGCTAGTAAGGTTCAGAAATGAAGATGTTAGATCTATGATGACATTATAGTAGAAGATGAAAATTAAGGGTAAAGAGTCTATAAGCTGTGCCAAGCAAACTAATTTGGGTCAGAAGTCCTATTTATTTTAATGCAGTGCTTTTTATTACTTTTGTTTTCCCTCAGTTTCTTGATACTGCTAGACACTGCACTAGCTAAGCACTCACTCTCCACATATGATTATTTAAATTTAAATTACCTAAAATTAAATATTCACTTCTTCAATCCCACCAGCCACTGTGGCTACAAGTTACACAGCATAGTATGAATATTTCTTTCACTACAGAAAGCCCTAATGGGCAGTGCTGAACGAAAACCTTTGAAACCCAGACAATCCAGAACAAACAGTTCCATGCTTTAAATTCATACTAGCTTCAAATGCTAAAGAGCACCTTCCTTCCTGGCTTTTCCATCAAAGTACATATACGTAAATCTCATAGATCTTTCTGTTGAACATTGATAAAACACACAGAACTAAGTGAGATTGCCTACACAAGACTATTCTGGAAAATTTTATCTTTATGACACAGACTTATTTCTAACCCAATTCTAACATAAAAGCCATTTTATTAAAAATGAGCAGTGCAACTCAATTAGGCTATCTATATGTTTTAATCCACGGTTTGATGAATCAAAAGGATTCATGTTCTTGAGAGGTTCCTTGTAAGCTGAAGTTGCAAGTAAACCATGAGAAAGTGTAAAAAACACTTGTGACTATTAGCTAATGAATTTCTGAACATAGTCCAAAACAGTATCCTAAACACTTACAATCTTGATGATCCACCAGAGCAATGTCCTAACAAGTGAACAAAGTCTTACTGATGGAGCAGTAAAATAGGTTGTTGGTTTTTGCATATGCTAGTATCACATATTCCTATAAAACTTTTGGTGACTGGAAAGTACAATTAGCTCAGGGCTTTTAAAAGTCACACCTTTACCTGTTGCTGAGCGTAAGCTAGACATGAACAGACACATGTTTTCTCTCCCTAATCATCAGCTTTTGGCATTTCTATTCTAAGAATCCAAATCATGCTTATCCTCAAACTCAAAGTTCATAGAAAAGCTGTCATATTACATTGTTCCAGAAACATTCCACAATGCACATTATTCCCTAGTTTATAAGTAAAATAAGTCCCTGAGAAACTTTTCAGGTGAGTACCTACTCAGTATTTTTCATACCATAGAACACCCATATGTACCTCAATATTATCTAGTCAATGTAGTCACAAATCTCACAAAATTTAAGGATTATTGATTATAAATAATGAATACAATCTTTTTTTAAAAAGAGGTTCATATTATGGGTACCCCAGTTTGAATTTCTAAGAGTTACAAAAAAGATTATTTCTAAGAGTTTATACAAAAAGTTTATAAAACCATTTACAGGTCAATACAGCATATGAGCATGGACCCACACAACCCTTATTTACCAAGCAGTAAATAAAATAAGGTGTTTCAATAAAGTTAAAAAAACTTTACCAAACAACAACAAAGGTTTTGTTTTTTAGGCAACTGAAACTGCTGTAAAACATATTAGAGCTACAGTGAAAAGACAAAAACGTAAACGGTGATAATACTACTACTGTATGCAAATAAATATTAGTCAAGTTCCACAATAGGGATTTGATATTTTAAGAAATAACATTGCTATTATGAAAGTATTACAAGACAAAGTTTAAAAAAAAAAACAAACCAGCCAGGTGCAGTGTCTCACGCCTGTAATCACAGCACTTTGGGAGGCTGAGGCGGGCGGATCACAAGGTTAGGAGTTCGAGACCAGCCCGGCCAATATAGTGAAACTCCATCTCTACCAAAAATACAAAAAAATTAGCCAGGCGTGGTGGCAGGCGCCTGTAATCATAGCTACTCGGGAGGCTGAGGCAGGTGAATCACTTGAACCTAGGAGGTACAGGCTGCAGTGAGCCGAGATTGCACCACTGCACTCCAGCCTGGACGACAGTGCGAGACTCCGTCTAAAGAAAAAAAAAAAAATCAAACCGCATGTTACACTATTTTTTAAAAGTCTCCTCGCCAGGCTAAAATTAGGATTGGTTAAAAGTCCACTTCAAAAAATGAAGTTCCCTAGATACTGTCTCCAACTCATAAGAGTAGAGGTTTATATTGGGAAAACCTCCTCTGAGGAATCAGACTAATCTGAAAGACATATCTTAAAAGAGACTGATATGGCAAATTACACAGGGAAGTTGGGGGATCTGGGAGCGTATTTGTGCGATACTGGTGGGGGACAGCTATGCTCTCTACTGTAAGTGGGATGTCAACATGTAAGAAGTAGTAATATAATACTGTTATCTAGCGACATGGAAGTAAACACCAAAAGAATCATTCAAAAATAACTAAATGCCCCTGGGAATTTGTAGAATTATTTGGCTTCCTGACCACATACATGTACAAAACTGATAAAAAACAAAAAATGACCAAAACAAACAAACAAACAAAAAAACACTTAAAACTTCTTTAGTCTCTTCCCTAATCCCAACCCAAACCTCAGCCTTGTTCTCAGAAATTACAATTTTGGGTCATTTGTTTTTAATTCTTCTAGTGCTTACTACCATACTCATTTTTTAAAAAAATCCATTATTTCTTATCACAGTGTAGCCTCATTATAAAAGACTGAGCGGGCTGGGCAAGGTAGCTCATACCTGGAATCCCAGCACTTTAGGAAGCAGAGGCAGGTCGATCACTTGAGGTCAGGAGTTTCAAGACCAGCCTGGCCAACATGGTGAGACCCTGTTTCTACTAAAAATAAAAATAAATAAATAAATAAATAAATAAATAAATATTAGCTGGGAGTGACGGTGCATGTCTGCAATCCCAGCTAGTCGGGAGGTTGAGACAGGAGAATAGCTTGAGCCCAGGAGACAGAGGTTGCAGTGAGCCAAGTTTGTGCCACAGCATTCCAGCCTGGGTGACAGAGCTGGACTCTGTCACACAGACACACACACACACGAAAGACTGAGAAGATTTACCCTAATTCCCACCTTCTATGCTCATTCTGATTTATTTTAGTTTGTATTAGTTATAACTTTAGATATTATAGCTGAACCTGTATTTCTTATTCTATCAACTTTAGGAAGTTTCTTCTGGCTCCCCCATGTAATCATATACCATTATTGCTGACTATACAATTAAGTTTCACATTAAGTTTTATATCATTTGCAATTTATTAAGTTTTTATCTATTGGTTGATTCTCATTAATTGGATAATAAAAAGTACTTACAGTGTCATTCACTGCCCATCCAAGGGGCATGGTAAAACTCAGAGAATAAACAGCAATTTTATGTCACTAAATTCCAAGTGTCAAGGTGTTTACATTCTTGATACTCAATTACACCTCACTGTTCAAAAATAAGGCACATTTTCGTTTGCTTCACATTTGGACTTTCAGAAGAGGCTTTAATTTTCTGAAGTTTTTGCCTTTTTATTACATTTAACATATTCCAATTTATTAGAATTTGTTCAACAAAATCCATGTTGTTCTTAAAGACATGTTTAGACCCCAGTGATTTCTGTTTTAATTTGAAATAATTATGTTCTGGGTTAGTTCACAGCCCAGTTGCCTGCCTACCTAGTACTTCTTTTCATCACATACCTCTGTTGATTCTGAATCTCAAGCTCCTTTTTGTAAGATTTTTTTGTTTGATTTTGCTGTACTACAACTCCCAAGCACTACCCCCCACCCCCTTACCCAAAGGTCTGGCGAAGTAAACTACACTGTTATGTATACTTCCACACTTACAGCAAACTAGGTCTGCTTCAGAATTATAGGTTGTTTCTTAAAATTCTCCTCGAAATTTAAATCATTGGTCCACATTTTCTAGTACCAAGTAATAAAAGTGTCTACCAATCTGATTTTTTAAAAGTGATTCTCATCTCTCAAAAATATTTATGAGATTTCCCTACATCCTTAGCTCTGAAATTTCATAAGCCTATTATCTAAATGTGTGTTATTGTTTGTCCATTTTGTTTTATACTTAATGGGTCCATTTGATCTAAAGCCCCGAGTCTTTACTTAGCTCAGATAATTTTTCTTCTATTTCCTCTCCATCTTCTCTGTTCCATGTGGAATTCCTTTTTAGGAATCCTAGGACTATCCACTATATCTATAAAGCTTTTCTTTTTGTTCTCTTCATTTGTGTTTTTCAGGTAATGCTTGTTCATCTTGGGTTTCATGCTGTTGGAATGCTTCTTTCTTGACTGTTCATATTTCTAAGCAAAGAACTAAATTGGGTTTCCTTTATATTTGTGTAAGCCTATTGACCCAGAAGGCCTATAGTCTGAATAGGACTGACTGCAGAATTGGAACTCCTGTAACTGCTAGAATAAAGAGGATTTTGGAGATAGAGTAGTCAGTGTCAGTCTGTCTCTCACAAACACACACATACGCACTCTCTCTCTCACACACACTCATACCCTGTCTATAGGGCAAACAAGTATGTTCTGTTTATCTCTTCAATGGGACCAGAAGATACTTTACAAATATTCGAGAACATAGTACAGCTTTAACTCTTGGTCCAATAATGTAATTAAAAATTTTACCCAGTAAATTCTTCTAGTGAGATGCCAACGAAGCCTTTGGACAGCACGATAGCACAGTGTAGTCCAAAGAGCACTAAGAATCAAAAGAGCCATGGCTTTCAGTTCTAGTTTTACTATTAAAAAGCTGGTGACTTTAGGGAAGTCAATCTCTTTATACCTCATTTTCCTTTTCTACAAAGTGAAAAGCATAAACTGATAATAAGGTTTCTTCTAGTTCTAAAACTTTGTAACTAAGATGTTCTCATAAGCTTCAGATACAATCTTCCATAGTATATAAAAAGAATGAAGAAATTTATAATTTGAAAAACTTCAGGTTTTCAAAGTTGTTCCGGCTACTAAAAACAAAGCTCCTGGCCAGGCGCAGTGACTCACACCTGTAATCCCAGCACTTTGGGAGGTCGAGGTGGGCGAATCACGAGGTCAGGAGATCGAGACCATCCTGGCTAACACGGTGAAACCTCATCTCTACTAAAAATACAAAAAAATTAGCCAGGCGTGGTGGCGGGCGCCTGTAGTCCCAGCTACTTGGGAGGCTGAGGCAGGAGAATGGCATGAACCCGGGAGGTGGAGCTTGCAGTGAGAGGAGATCACGCCACTGCACTCCAGCCTGGGTGACAGAGTGAGACTCCCTCTCAAAAAAAAACAAAAACAAACAAACAAAAAACACAAAGCTCCTAAACAAGTACACTATATTTACCAAAATTTAGTTAATATAAAATTTATAAACATAAATTTACATTTAGCAAATTAATTTGGGGGGGGGAAGGCAGGTGATAAGGTGGGGGAAGTGCAGAGGTGAGAGAGTAAGGGAGGTTGTCATTTCCTACAGCTGTTTTCCAAAATGAGTGGTTTTTGTATCTTGGTCACTGTAGGGAAATAATGTTGTGTTTTTTAAATTATGGTAAAATATAGATAAAAGTTACTATTTTAAGTGTACAGTTCCATGGCATTAAATACATCCACATTATTGTGCAATTATCACCAGATTTTATTTTTCATCTTCCCCAACTGTAACTCTATACCCACTAAACAATAACATCATTTTCTTCTCCTGCCAGCCTCTGGCAACCACCATTTTGTCTCTATGAATTTGACTATTCTAAGTACCTCATACAAGTGGAATTATACAATATTTGTCCTTTTGTGACAGGCTTATTTCATTGTAGCATGTCTTAGAATTTCCCTTCCTTTTCAAGGCTGAAAAATATTCCATTGTACCTAAAACAAACTATTTTGTCCTTTGCACTCACACCACAACAATCACCAGAATACTTCTGTGACCAGATGTATGAGAGATTTCCCCCAATGCAAGCAATCGCTTCTGCAGTGGACACCAGGTGGGTGTCCTCCCACCCAGTTCAATTCCAACATTATCTACCTGGAGACAGTGTCACATCCCACAGGTTGAGGGCTCCCCACTTCCAATCCCAATCTAAAGCCCCAGGTTGTTTTACCTATGCTTCTGACTAACTGGCTATAAATTGGGGTTCCCACAACCTCTTACTCCAGTCTGATTAATGTGTTAGAGCGACGCACAGAACTCAGGGAGACAGATTTACCAGTTTATTATAAAGGATATTACAAAGGATACAGTTGAAGAGATGCACAGGGCAAGGCATGTAGGAAGGGGATGCCACCCTCCATGTGCTCAGCCATCTGGAAGCTTTCTGAATCCAGTCCTTTTGGATTTTTATGGAAGCTTTGTTAAGTAGGCAATGATTGATTAAATCACTGGCTGTTGGTATCAACTTAACCTTCACGCCCTCTCTCCTACCCAGAGATTAACAGGCAGGACTGTAAATCCCAACCCTCTAATCCTGCCTGTTTCTGGGTAACTAACATCCATCCAATAGCTACCTAGAGGTGCATGGCTTTCAGTCAACTTGTTAGCATACAAAGATACTTCACTGGCCGGGCGCGGTGGCTCACGCCTGTAATCCCAGCACTTTGGTAGGCCAAGGCGGGTGGATCACAAGGTCAGGAGATGGAGATCATCCTGGCTAACATGGTGAAACCCTGTCTCTAATAAAAATACAAAAAAATTAGCTGGGTGTGGTGGCGGGCACCTGTAGTCCCAGCTACTCGGGAGGCTGAGGCAAGAGAATGGTGTGAACCCAGGACAGCGCTTGCAGCGAGCTGAGATCGCACCACTGCACTCCAGCCTGGGCGACAGAGCGAGACTCTATCTCAAAAAAAAAAAAAAAAAAAAAAAAAAAAAAAAAAGGATACTTCACTTTGGAGATTCTAAGGATTGTTGGAGTTGTATGACACAACACAAGAATGAAGATCAAATATATATTTCACAATATAATGCACATTTTGCTTGTCCTTTCATCTACTGATGTTTGACTTATTTCTTATTTATCAGTTGGTAACAAAATAGATACTATAACCAATTTGTGTATACATATAAAACTGGATTAAGGTAATAAATACATTAAATTTCAAATTTTTTAGATTTTTTAAAGATGGTGTCTCAGTCTGTTGCCCAGGCTGGAGTGCAGTGGCACCATTTGGGCTCACTGCAACCTCTGCCTCCTGGGTTCAAGTAGGCTCTGCCTCAGCCTCTCAAGTAGCTGGAATTACAGGTGCCCCGCCACGACACCCAGCTGCCAAAATTTTTAGAAGTTTTATCTTTAGCACTTGGGGCATTATTACTAAAAAATTAAATTGCAGTCTGTACATATTATTAAAAGCTACCTTCTAAAAGCATGGAAATGTATACAAAGGGCCCAGAAAGTCTTATTTCAAAAGGAACTAGACTTCTTGGGCTTAAAAATGTTCATTTTAGCCAGGTGTGGTGGCTCATGCCAGCTACTTGGGTGGCTGAGGTAGGAGAATACTTGAGCCCAGAAATTTGAAGCTGCAGTAAGCTATGATCACACCATGGCACTACCAGTCTAGGTGACAAAGCAAGAACACGTCTCCTAAAAAAAAAAAGTTTCTTTTGATTGTACAATTAATCAAATGAACCATTTCATAAATCATTTACTAACTATAAGGTCATGTTTGTCCTTATTAGTTTTGAACCATATAACATACCCCTCCCCACTGCACATACTTAAATTCAAGTATACCTACACCTAGCAATGGCTGCCACACAGAAATCACTCAAAAGCCACTGCTGGCTGAGCTGAATTTTGTCAAAACAAATCAAACAGTATTATTATTGACTGGCAAATCCAAACTTTCAGGTTTAAAACTTTGCTAGGTTAGAAAAGCCAGGCTAGTGTTAATTTACCAAAACACACTTATGCAGCACTTACTAGGTCTTGCTCCAAGTGCTTTAACAATCCTATGAGATAGATATTATTTTTTCCTCCCTCCTCCCACCCCATTTACAGATGAGGAAACAGAAACATAGATAAGTTTAACTTATGCAAGACCACAGTGTTAGTAAATGGTAAAGCCAGGTTTCATATTCAGCAGTCATCAGGAAGTGTTCTTAGACCTGGAAGCCAAGAAGTTATAACTTCTTAAGGAATTTGACTAGACCAGTACTTACTTGCCTAAAGACTATGTCCTGGCCAAATAGGGTATATAATTGTGTTTCAGGCTGAATTATCTGTCTTTGCAACTTACTCTCAAGATTCTTCTGCCTTCTGTAGAATACCAGTATGGAAAAAGGAGGCTATGACCCAGTATAGATTTTTAAAGTTGAGAAGTACTACATTACCTTACTTTGTAAAGTCTGCAATTTGAAGAATGCATCAAGCTGTTCAGCCTCTGAAACACCAATCTGTCAATGTTCTAATACTTAGTTAACTTTCTTATTAATATCTTCTACCAGAAAATGTCAATGTCTCAGGATAACATTATACTGTATATTGCTCTCAGACCTGACTTTGGACAAACCCTTATTTGGATGGTTCGGAGCTAGGTACTATTTAATCAATTCCATGCAAAATCACTTAATGTGCCAACAGCTTGGGGTCAAGCCTAAAAATTACTTTGGAATGCAACAGGACTATTTAGAGCTGTGGTTCATGGAAAACTCCTGAAACTACATGCAAAATTTTGGGACAAAAGGTCCAAAATATTTAATAACAGACTGACTTGAAAACTACTTTCTCAAAACTCTGGAGGTTCTTAAGATATATTACATTTTCATTTTAAGCTTCTCAGGCTTTACCACTCACCCAATCTAGAACAGCTATAATATCTTAATTTCTATTCAGAAAGCTAAAAGAACCCTTCCTTTTTGCACCTATCTCATCTGTGGTTAAGATGGATATTTCCAGTGCTGTGTAAGACATTTGTTACAAAATAAACCAAGCTGAATCTTAATCTACTCATATCTTGATTCAGTGAATGCTCATTCTGTCCCCAACTTCACTTCTATATGATTAACATTCTCAGCTGTAGATAGGAATTTCTACATTGTACTCCTGACTTCAATTTCTTTTTTTATCTTTTAGAATTGCATAAAATTGCAGACTACAAATGTAGTAGCAGACTTCTTATCCCTGCCCTGAAAATATGTCTACATACGGGCATTAAGGAATATCCCTAGTTCTGTCACCTATCCAGTGGGGGTTCAAGAGAACTTGGTCAAGATATCAAACTTCTAAAAAATATCTTGAGTTCTTGGTAACTTAGAGATACTGGTGAAGGAGGAGGGTTAGAATTTCAGCCTGCGAATAAAAAAGATGCCAAATTTGTAGCATAAGGCTTCAGCTTTTCCTAGTGGAAATGCTGTTTAAAAAGTCCTCTGATGGTTATTACAAAGTCAAGCAAATAAACAGGGGGTCTATGTATATATACAGTTCTATCTTCTACCAAAACACACACACACACACACACACATATATATATATACCTTCTTCAAGACATAGGAGTGTCCCTCTCCTCACCTTTTCAAAGGCAAATGACAGAATTAAAAGGGAAAATGGGATAAATGGACATAGAGAAAATTGATTAAACCCCTGTATAGGTTTTCATGTTGTTACAAAAAAGATCCTTTTTTCTGAGCTGAAGAAGCTGAATTTGGTTAGGAAATGTCATTTCTCTCTTCTAGCAGCCCTGGGGCTGATTATATACAAAACCTCTTAGAATAAGGGTTAAGATGTTCAGTGGTGGGTGCCCAAGAGGAAGTACAGAACAATAAGAAAATGTTTAGGTCTCTCATTGGAGACACATGAATTTATAACTAGAAAGAATTTTAGGTGCCAACTAATGGCTAATAAATCAATCTGTCCCCTTTTTACCTAAAGATTAACCAAGAAAAGTTACAGAAGTGGCAGCTCCAAGAATAACCTATAAAACTAATTAATAACAGTTGGCTTAGAGGGTTTCAACCACTCCATATCATTAAACTTCTTGTAACCTTGCCCTACACGAGATATAAAGTCATTCTGCAGGCCACGCTCAGTGGCTCATCCCAGCACTTTGGGAGGCCAAGGTGGAAGGATCACTTGAGCCTGAGTTCAAGACCAGCTTGGGCAACATAGTGTGTACAAAAAATAAAAATTAGCTGGGTGTGGTGGCACACGCCTGTGGTCCCAGCTACTCAGGAGTCTGAAGTGGGAGGAGTACCTGAGCCCAGGAGTCGAGGCTACAGTGAGCCATGATCGTGCCACTGCAATCCAGCCTGGGCAACAGGGGAAGACCCTGTCTCAAAAAATATAAAAAATGAAATTAAAATGAAGCCATCTTGCAAAGAATTTATTTCCCAAAGGAAGTTATATTCCTCGTTTAACTATCAATCCCTTTTCCATATACTATATATAATACCTTTTTAGTAGAGATATGGGGGAATTATAACATTTATGCACTCTCAATATAAATGTAATACTCTTTAACTCTCTTTACATAGATGTTGTAACATGTCAGTCAATCCTTACTAATGTGGCCTTCAGTTTGTCTACCCAGTTTGGCTAGCTGCATAAACTGTCATCTCTACCACTTCCTTTTCCTCTGGCTGCAGCTGTTTTCCCTTAATCATATGCATCTGTAAGTAAAGGTTTGAAGAAATAGCACTACTCTTAGATGTGTAACAAACACTTGTTACTTGTGCTTAATAAAACTTTTCCAGCCTCAAAAAGTTTACATTTCACCACCTTCTTCAAATATGGAAATTTTGTCTTTTCATACATTTTTTTTCAGTAGTGCTTAAGAAGAAATGGAATAAAGATTTCAAAGAATAGACTAGATGCCTAATATAAGAAAATAAGAACAATATATTTAACAGATTGGGAATTAATGTTCTGTAGGGTCTTTTCATCCAATAAAAAATTAAGGGCTATTTAATGTGGAGTAGATTTTAAGCTTTCAGAAATCAGAAGACAGCAGAGATCAAGAATTAGGAAAGCCTTTGTGAGAGAATTAGAACTTCATTTAGATATGACTTCCCAAAACGGAGGGAAAATCCTCCAGGCTAGGAGGATAATGTGTAAAGTGAGAAAGAAGAAAAGCATAGGGTGCATGGTGGAAAGGAAGTAAAAACATGGGAGGCTGGGCATGGTGGCTCACGCCTGTAATCCAAGCACTTTGGGAGGCCGAGGTGGGCAGATCACCTGAGGTTGGGAGTTCGAGACCAGCCTGACCAACATGGCGAAACTCCATCTCTACTAAAAAAAAAAAAAAAAAAAATTAGCTGGGCATGGCGGTGCATGCCTGTAATCCCAACTACTCAGGAGGCTGAGGCAGGAGAATCGCTTGAACCCAGGAAGCGAAGGCTGCGGTGAGCCAAGATCGTGCCTTTGCACTCCAGCCTGGGCAACAAAAGTGAAACTCTATTTCAAACAAACAAACAAACAAACAACACACATGGGAAAGGGCGGGTTTAGACATGTGAGAAATTTAAAAACAAATCTCTGGCTGGGAGTGGTGGCTCCCACCTGCAATCCCAGCACTTTGGGAGGCCGAGGTAGGTGGATCACTTGAGCTCAGGCATTTGAGACCAGCCTGGGCAACATTGCAAAACTCTGTCTCTACCAAAAAAATTAGGCGTGGTGGTGCACACCTGTAGTCCCAGCACTTTGCGAGTCTGAGGTGGATGGATCACCTGAGGTCAGGAGTTTCAGAGCAAGCCTGGCCAACATGGTGAAACCACATCTCTACTAAAAATACAAAAATAAGCCAGGTGTGGTGGTGCATGCCTGTAATCCCAGCTACTCAAGAGGCTGAGACATGAGAATAGCTTGAACCCGGTAGGCAGAGGCTACAGTGAGCCGAGATTGTGCCACTGCACTCCAACCTGGGCGACAGAGCAAGACTCTCAGGGAAAAAAAAAAAAAAGAGAGCTGAGTAGCAACAATACAAGCAAATACTGTTTTTGTTTTTTCTTTCAAAGAAATGTCCTAGGGTAGGTGTGAAAAGTATTTTAGCCAAAGCTGACAGAACAATGTTTCCAAAGCTGTATGCCAAGTAATGCAACTGGGGAAGAGTGGGATGGAGGAAAGCAGAAGAGGTTTGTAAAAACATTGAGGCAAATCCTTTATTTGAGATGAATCTCATAGGCTGAGCCTGTAGTTTTTATTTGGTAGTCTATATGTCTAGGGTATCTTTGGTGTAAATACTTCTTTGTGATAAGGAAGAAAGCAGGCATTTAAGATGGGTGGTTTGCTCACCCTTACAAATGTTGCACATCAGGTTACTAAATGGTCTTGAATACCCTTTTAGGCAGGGATCCCACGGACCCTGTTATTAGATGAATTAAATATATCTTTGACAACATTACTTGGACCTGTAGGAAATATAGGAATTGTGGAAGGAGCACTAGCCCAAGAGTTGGAAAATGAAGGTTCTGGCTATAATTCTATTTAAATGAGCTCTATGCCCCCTACTGCCTCAATTTTAATGTGAAAATAATGCACTATGAGACATAGAGCTTCTCTGGCAAAATTATACTAAATCCTCCCTCTTCTCTGTAAACTGCCTATTTCGGGGACATCATATCCTATGTTAACATTATCTTTATGCAGCTAAATATGGCTCTCTTCCTGCCTTGTCCTTACAGGAAAAAAAAAACACTTTAATTCTACATTCCATTAAAAATACTGAGAATATTTTAAAAGCCTCTAAATGACATTTCTAAAAGAAAAGTAAATTCTTTAGGAGCCTTACTAAAAACAAGCCAGAACAGTATCAGATAGGCAGGAAATTTTCATTGACTTTAATATCTTAAAAGTCTAAACCCCAAAAAAGACAGTTCAATTGAAAAGTCAATTTATGTCATCTTTAATTGTAAATAAGAACAAATGCAATTCTCTGAATTTATTAAGATTGCCTTTTCTATCCTTTTTGTACTAGTTTCTCACTATGAGGAAATGAAAGGACTAACTAGGGTTATATAGAATAAGAAAACAGAAAGAACAACTCAAAATGTGCGAGTAAACACAAAGAAAAATATTTGAGTAAATGTGAATTTCTTCCATTCATATGTTCTCCTAATCTACAGTTTCTTTTCTAGACGGCCTACAAGGTGATTTCCCGCTTAAAAACTCCTTGATGGCTTCTCTCTCTACTTGTAAAAAAATCAAGGTTCGGGGACGGTGGCTCGTGCCTGTAATCCCAGCACTTTGGGAGGCTGAGGCGGACAGGAGTTCGAGACCAGCCTGGCCAATAGGGTGAAACCCCGTCTCTACTAAAAATACAAAAATTAGCCAGGCGTGATGGCGTGTGCCTGTAATCCCAGGATTACTCGGGAGGCTGAGGTGGTAGAATCGCTTGAATTCATGAGGCTGAGGTTGCAGTGAGCCAAGATCATGCCACTGCACTCTGGTCTGGGCGACAGAGTGAGACTCCATCTCCAAAAAAAAAAAAAAAAAAAAAGTCAAACTTCTCCACAGGTCCTTAAAGGCCTTGTGTCAAGTGGCTTTTGCTTACTCCTCCAACCATATCTTGATACTATCCCCCCCTCATCACTATAGTTGCAGCCTCTCTCACTCACCATCTTTCAGTATCTTGAAAGCATGAAGCTGTTTCCACATCAGAGTTCATGCACTTGCCTAAAAAATGTTTGCATGGGCTGGGTGCAGTGGCTCACGCCTGTAATCCCAGCACTTTGGGAGGCCGAGGTGGGTGGATCACAAGGTCAGGAGATTGAGACCGTCCTGGCTAACACTGTGAAACCCCGTCTCTCCTAAAAAAAATACAAAAAATTAGCCGGGCATGGTAGCGGGCGCCTGTAGTCCCAGCTACTCAGGAGGCTGAGGCAAGAGAATGGCCTGAACCCGGGAGGCGGAGCTTGCAGTGAGCCGAGATCGTGCCACTGCACTCCAGCCTGGAAGACAGAGCGAGACTCTGTCTCAAAATAAATAAATAAATAAATAATTTTTTTTTTTGCATGTATCTGTATCTAGATTCTACCTACTGTACCTGAGTTGTTTTTTTTGTTTGTTTTTTGTTTTTCTTTTTTCAGAATCAAACCTCTTTACTTCTCACTTACCAATATTCCCTGTCAGGCCCAAAATGAATTGTAATATAACATCTATCATCAACTTGTAGGATCACTGACAACCTCTTAACAATTTCGAAGTATAACAGGTGTTTTTCAATCTTCAATTTATACAGGATCACTTTATAGCATTTAACATCGTTGTCCTTTCCTTCCTTCTTGAAATTAACCTTCAATCTTGGTTTCTCTGATGGTTTCTTCAAACTCTTTTTTAACCTATTTATTTATTTTTATAGATTGGTCTTTTGTTTTCCTCTTTTTATCGCACCTAAACCTAATGCTTTAACTACCCTTTATACTACAATGTTACCTAGATCTAAAAATCTAAATCTCTAAGATTTCAGGTCTCTCCCCTTAAACTCTAGACTCTGAAATATCTCCACCTGCATTTCACTCTTTCCCCATCCCCCTCTTCATTCCTCTCATTCAATCAAGGTCTACTTCCTATGGACCTCTCTCCAAACCTCTTAGCCACATTTTTAGCTCAACGACTTTTCAATGAATGTTATAAAATCACTCACTAATATCTATTTCATACCCCCCTAATCCATGCTCTACACTGCCACCAGGTGATGTCACTTTCCTGTTTAAAATGTTCCAATGGGCCTTTCAAGCCCTCTTAAATAAGTCTAAATTCTCTGGCATGCTATACATGATTCCCCCTACCCTCCTTGGTCTCTAGCCTTATTTCTGAGCACTGTCCGATTCATTTATTTAATTTAACAGGCTGTTCCTCGCTAAGAGAGGTTCTTTTCTGCTTCTGTGCCTTATCACATATAGTTCCTTTTTTGTTGATAAAATCTCCCCAACTCATCACTCCCCCTTCAAATAAATGAAACTTTTACTAGTTTTTAAACCTCTGTTTAAGCTGTACTTCCTTCCGTAGGGGGCAAAAACAGTCTCCCCTGACCCGTGCCCATGCTGATTAATTTAGATAATCTCTTTAGTGAGACTTATTTTGGTTTTTGGGTGCATGTGTATGAACTAGGTTATGAAGCAAAATGTATTTTTTATAGAATCTAATGAAAAATGGAAAGCCATTACCCTAGGGGTTTGTATCAGAACGCCCTTTATATATGTAAAGTCCTGCTTCTGGCTATTATCTCATTACCCCCACCTTCCACCCCACCCCCACCCTTTTAGTTTTTTTATTTTTTTCAGGCTAGTCAAATGAAGCAGTGGAACTGGAGAAGGAACAAAGAAGTCTGTAGCAGGTTGTTATCAATTAGTTGTAAAGGGACTGTGATCAGCCCCTAACTATTTGATTAATAAAAGTGACAATGAGGTCTGTTAAAAAGCTCGGAAGAAAATGTAACTTGTAGTGTTTCAGATGTAGGCTTGCCAACACAAGTTACTAAATGACATTTTCTTTGCTAATAACTGATATGCAGAGAATAATCATTACTTTTAGGGGTTGGGTCCACAGAGCTAGAGTGAAAAATTATCAGCACACTAAGCAGGACAGTAATCAGAAACAAAATATCTAGGTCACAATCTGCAGATGACATTTTTGGGAAAAGTTTATTATACGAATTATTTCCATTGATTTTAATTTTCAAAACAAACTTAAAAAAACATCTAAATTCAGAAGCCAAACAAGTTTGACATGATTGATAATGTCTTTTTTGTTCCTGGAGGCACTTGCTTTACTTCAAGTTTCTTGTGATTGGAATGGAGACTTGGCTGCACCAAGTAAATGAAGTTATTTCAACCCCCTTTCTTCACTCTGATCTACATTAGGCATGTGCTATGCATTTTCTAAATCCTACCCTTTTAATGTGACTACATCCTCAACATAAATCTTAAATACTCTGATAAGCCATAATTTTAAAAAGTATTTATCTGTATAAAGTATTTTTAAGTGTAAAGGCCTCTAACTATTGTCATCCTTTTTTTTTTCACTGATAGATAATATTTTACCTATTTATGGGGTACATGTGTTTGCTACATGCATAGAATTCTAACATCACCTCAGACACTATAAGAAGCTTCTCATGAGGAAAAAACTGAAAAGTCATAACTAAAATATTAATTGCTTGTTTGCTAGTGATTTTCCAACAATCTACGTATTTTTGCTTTTATACTTTAAAGAGAGTCCATGTTAACACTATTGAAGAAAAGAAAGGAAAATATAATCAAATGTAATCAGATTTGATCCAAATTCTCTGATTTTCTGTCTCTATGCAATTAGCAACCTCAGTTCCTTCAACTGCAAGATGATACATATCCATTGCCTTCATCACAAAGATGACATATGGTAATTAATGGGCTAATACCTGTAATATAATCTGAAGCTCTAGCATAAAGACATTCTATAAGTACAAAACACTTTCTCAATAAATCTGCATGAGATGATTTTTACATGAAAAAGGTTTAGGGTTTGTCTACAAATGACTGTATGTTAACAAAATAGATTTACTGCACTGACTGGTTCTTTCCATCAATGTTTTAGAATGAGTGAGATAAATATTTATCAAATAATGACACAGATAATTATAGACCGTAATAAATGCTATGAAAATAAAGTACAGAGTGCTATGAGAACAAGTGGGGGGCGGGAAGTAGGCACTTTCACTTGTTATATCTTTTAATCTTAATAATACTTTTCCCAGGTTATCATGAAGAAATCAAGAATTCAGGTTAAGTTAATTAGCTTGTCAAGTTCACACAACTTAAAGGTGGAGAGAGCCAGGAACACAGGTTTCACTTAAAGACCATATTCTATCCACTCTTCCAGTATTTTGCTAATATCTGAATTGCTAATACTCTCACTGACTGCACATCTCTGCCCATTCTCTTCTTCCCTATTTAACAGGTTCAACTAACTCCTTTGGTCCACCTTACCCCTCTCTATGTTTTCTTTTATTCCAAAGCAGTTATCACTTTCTAATATATTATTTGTTGTGCATATTATCAGTGGGCCTCTGGTAGGTGATAAGCTCCAGGAAGCTAGGGAGCTTTGCTTGTTTTGCTCATAGACGTCATCCCCACCCTCCCATTCCCAGAATAGTGACTGGTACCCAGTGAACACTGGCCCAATTTTCCTTTCCCGTTTTTCAGCTTTAGCTGTATGCAAGAACTTGTTTGATCATTCTCACTTTTAATTACTAGGAAAACAAAGAAGTTTGACCCTATAGCTGAGAAAAATTTATATTCAAGTAACATTTAAATTTAGCCTGAAATTCTATTCTGTTAAAAAAAAATTAGGGTCATCAGTATCATTTTTAAAATCCTAGCCATAATAAAAAGTGGTGAAAAGACATGTCAAGCAAACTCCGAAATGTGGAAGATGCAGATGAGGATCAATGATTAGTATTTAAGAGTGTCTACTCACATTTGATGATGCTGTAGTGGGTAAATGTGAGACACAGATGAAACATAAGAATCAGAGTACACTAAAGTAGTAGTTACCAAACCTTAGGGATTTCAAAAAACAGGTAAAGTAAAAAAGAGAAAAGTTGGAATGAAAGAGGTGTCAAATTTTAATTTTGACACAAAGGGATATTAAGAACTAAAAACAATTACTATCACTGTAATTTCATCAGAACATCTTAACATAAAAAATTACCTAATTTCACAATAAAGGGCAGTCATTTTTAAGTAAATTTAGATCCATGAGCACCTCATTATATACAAACAGTTCAACAAAAATTTAAGATCTAAATGTGAACTCTTAAAAGATGCTCTGAAAGAATTTTTATAACCCCAGTATAGAGAAGGCTTTCTCCAAAAGAATGATACATTTGATATTAAAATTAAAAAACTTCTAGTCATTAAAAGACAACATATTTAAAGTGAAAATGCATGCTAAAGAGTGGAAGAAGTTTTTTGTTTTTTTTTTTGAGACGGAGTCTCATTGTGTCCCCCAGGCTGGAGTGTGGTGGCGCGATCTCGGCTCACTGCAACCTCTGCCTCCCAGGTTCAAGCGATTCTCCTGTCTCAGCCTCCTGAGTAGCTGGGATTACAGGCGCCCACCACTACACCCGGCTAAGTTTTGGTATTTTTAGTAGAGACGGGGTTTCATCATGTTGCCCAGGCTGGAAGATATTTTTAATGCCTACCAAGTATTATTACAAAGAATACATTAAAACAAGATGCAAATAAAAACTACAATGAGGTACCATTTCATACTCCTCAGAATGGCAAAAATTAATAAAATATTACTACTAATATTTTTCTACCTTCTAAAATATCTGAAATGCAGACAAGCAGACCCTCTCTCATGCATTATGGACTGGAAGTTGTACTTTGTACAGAAAACTGACAGTTATTTAATAAAGTTGAAGACATTCATACGCTGTGATCTAGCAACCTACTACCAGATTTATAAACCAGGGCAATCTTTCTCAATGACAGCTTTTGGCTACTATAATGAATGAGGGGCACTACTAAATAGAGGCCAGGAATGCCAGGCACTTTTCTTGCATAAAGAAAGTGCTGCTCAGATTGGGCGCAGTGGCTCACACCTATAATCCCAGCACTTTTGGAGGGGGCAGGTGGGGTGCAGCGCCATGGTAGGCAGATCACTTGAGCTCAGGAGTTCAAGACCAGCCTGGCCAACATGGTGAAATCCTTGTCTCTACAAAAAAAATACAAAAATTAGCTGGGTGTGGTGGTGCATGCCTGTAGTCCCAGCCACTCGGGAAGCCCAGGTGGGAGGATTGTTTGAGCTTGGCGGGGGTCGAGGGTTCAGTGGGCAGTGATCATGCTACTACACTCCAGCCTGGGCAACAGAGTGAGAATCTGTCTCAAAAAATAAATAAATAAATAAGTAAGTAAATAAACAAATAGTGCTGCTCCATGCCTCATGACTTGAATATTCTGCTGGACATTCATAGAGGGGAACAGAAAGAGGAAAAAAAACCCACTAATGTCAGATAATTCTAAACAGGATTTAATACCAAGTTTATTTGTATAGTTTTAACATAGATGATTTGTTATGAATGCAATCATTGTGTAAAGAGGTAAGATTGCACTTTTATTTCTGTTTAAACTTTTCTGAGGATAGTTTGTTATTTCAGAAAATCATTTTCCACTTTTCCACCAATGACAGGCCCAGCATTGGTAATTGAATGGCTAACATACCTGTTTTAATCTGTAGCTGTTGTATTGATGGAGACACCATCCATTGGTACAAAGCGTCTAATTACTACTATTTCTTTTAGCAGTGCTTCTTATATTTCAATGCGTATATGCATCACCTGGGAATCTTGATAAAATACAGCATCTGGCCGGGCACAGTGGCTCATGTCTGTAATCCCAATGTCCCAGTGCTTTGGGATACTGAGGAGGGAGGATCACTTGAGGCCAGGAGTTCAAGATCAGCCTGGGCAAGATAGCAAGACCCTGTCTCTGTAAAAAATCTAAAAATTAGCCAGGCTTGATGGTGCATACCTGTAGTCCCAGATGCTCAGGAGGCTGAAGTGGGAGGATCCCTTGAGCCCAGGAGTTTGAGGTTACAGTGAGTTGTATGGCTCCAGAGATCCTGTCTTTTACATTATTAAAAAACAAACAAACAAACAAAAAAAAAAACAGCATCTGCATCAGTAGGTTAAAGTCTGATGCTCTGCATTTCCAACAAGCTCCCAAGGGATTCTGATGTTGCTGGTCGACCATTACACTTGGTGGCTAATCTTGAATGTAGTCTTGAGCTCGAGTATTTACAAAGTGAAACACATATTACTTTATTACAATTTTTTCTTATTTTATTAAGGCCAATGCTTTCTTTAAAGTACTGTAAAATATTTTCTATGAACATGGGATGTAGGTAGGGTCAAGAACCACTGCTCTAGAAGTCTTACACAACAGATACCTAACATATACAGGAATATTCCTTATAGTACTGTTTAATAGCAAACAAATGGAAACAACAAAAATGACCATCAACAGAAACCTGACATAGTTATATAACAGAGCACATACCACCTAACAGTAAAAGTAAATAAACTAGAGCTACCTAAATAAACATAGATAAATCTTGGCCAAGTTGTGTGAAGAAAGCAAGCTAAATAAAGATATCTGTATTTAAATAGTCTTAAGACAATCAAAATAAAACTATATATATATAATGTTCATAGGATAAAGGTATGTAGTTAAGTATCAACACGTGGATATAGGAAGGATGCATGTCAACTTTGGGTCACTGGTTAGATATCGGGGGGAAAAGGGAACAGCATTTAAGAGAGGTATTAACATACTAAGGAAACCTCGTTTTTTGTTTTTGTTTTTCTGAGACAGAGTTTTGCTCTTGCTGCCCACGCTGGAGTGCAATGGTGCTATCTTGGCTCACCACAACCTCTGCCTCCTGGGTTCAAGCGATTCTCCTGCCTCAGCCTCCCGAGTGGCTGGGATTACAGGCAAGCACCACCACACCCGGCTAATTTTGTATTTTTAGTAGAGACGGGGTTTCTCCATGTTGGTCAGGCTGGTCTCTAACTCCCGACCCCAGGTGATCCGCCTGCCTCGGCCTCCCTCCCAAAGTGCTGGGATTACAGGCGTGAGCCACCGAGCCTGGCCGGACACTTCGTTTTAATTGGTAGTTTTGTTTGTTTAACTGGGTGATGGGTACATGGATATTCATTATATTGTATGGCACCAACATTTATATTGCTATGTTAGTTCTCACTTCACTTGGACAAAACTCTTGGGCATGAACAGGTGTTTGGAAAACACTGCTCCAAAGCAAAGGATTCAGGACTAGAGAAGACCCAAGTTCAAGCCTCAATTCTACTTCTTACTAATTGCTTAGCTTTAGGCAATTGAAATAATTAACTTATCTGGGCTTTATTTATTTCATCTGTAAAAATTCCACAAACAGTGAAGTGGCTCACACCTGTAATCCTAGCACTTTGGGAGGCCAAGGCGGGTGGATCACCTGAGGTCAGGAGTTGAAGACCAGCATGGCCAACGTGGTGAAACCCCATCTCTACTAAAAATACAAAAAATTAGCCGGGAGTGGTGGCGGGTGCCCGTAATCCCAGCTACTCAGGAGGCTGAGGCAGAAGAATCACTTGAACCCGGGAAGCAGAGGTTGCAGTGAGCCGAGATCGCGCCATTGCACGCCAGCCTGGGCAACAAGAGCAAAACTCCGTCTCAAAAAAAAAAAAAAAAAAAAAGGCCACAAACTCACCTTCCCTCTCTCCAACTCACAAGGCTGGATTCGACAGGCAAATGGGGCAATGTATGTGAGAAATTTTAAAGAGTAGGAAGGGTAGGGGGAATTTTCAGAATTAAGAGCAAAACTTTGGATAAATCAGAAGTAAAATCTACCAGTAAATAAACCAACCAATAAAATATACTCTATTTTCTTGTCATCACTGCTTCTAAAGATCTTAACACCAATCTTAATACGGAAGAAATTTTAATTCTTAAATGATGGCATAGGGAGAGTCATTCTCCTTATCTTTATGCTAACTGTTCATCAAATGATTGAAATTCATAATATCAAAACAAAGTAAGAGCACTGCATTAAAAAGTATTCTCATTTAACTTATATCAATGTCACATAACCAGAGTAACTGTTGCTTACATGGTTCTCACTCCCCTTTTTATAAAGTGAGCAGGTGGCACATTTTATCAGCCCTATATTACAGATGGAGAAAACTGACTCAGATGTGGGATAGCGTGCCTGGAGTTGTAGACCAATTCAGTGTCAAACTTGGAACAGACACTAATTGCTTAATTCTTCTGTGTTCATTAAGCTACTAAAAACATTATTTTTTCATGATGTTTTTTGGTGATTTTGTTTGTCCCAGGAAACAGAAAATTCTTTGTCAGCAGTCATTTCATAAACATTTCAAAATGGGCAAAGATACTCAAGGAAACAAGCTACTCATCAACTAGAATACTGCACACTAAGGGACAAAATTAAAACTGCCTAGCCTGCTAAAAATCTAATCCTGTCCTTGCCAATTAACCTTATTAACACTAGAGTAGGAGAAAAGAGAGGTCAAAATATAGGTGAAGGTGCCATTCATTTCCTTCTGGATTTCAAATGATATGACAATTACTGCACAACAGAGATTTTTACCTCTGCTGTTCCTTAAGTAACACGACCCCTATTCTCCAAATAAAAACTTACCAACAAGTTGAGCAGTCTCAAATTAGAATACTAGCAATCATGACAATTTTCAAAATACTGGCTATCATTAGATGTCACCCAACTGAAATTCATGCTATAAACATATGTAGAGAAACTCTTTACGGAAAAAAGTTCATTTTAATGTAAATTTCCCTGTTAATCTAAACAGATTAACGTTATTACAACATGTATCTGGCTTTCTACTCCGACTCATTAGGTATTATAGTTTCATATGTTGGCACAAGATCTCCAAAGATTTATTAGAGGCATAAAAAAATTCCAAATGAATCATCTATAGATCAAGCATCATATATCACAAAAAGTATTAAACAGGAACACATTTCATAAACAGCGAAATTTAAAGGTCACCCTCTGTATTCCGTTATTCATCCTTTTGCTTACCAAATCTACTTCACACTGACTTAAAGCATCATTTACAAAAAATTCTCTTCTGGCATTGGCAGAGATCTCACCAAAGATCAAAGATCTGAACTTTTTTTTTTTTTAAACAAAAACCCCAGGTTAAATACACTCTTTCCTTCACGAGAGCCCCCACACAGTACAATCTAATTTGACATAACTTTGTTTCGGGGTTAAAAAAAATCCCAAACAAAACCTTTAAATTTTCCAATTCAAAAACGATTCCTGATAAGCCTACCTTAGAGTTCGAAAACAAATAAGATTAAAGCCCAACCATCTAAAGAAAAAGAACCCTACGACAGCCCCACCGGAATACACAAATCGCCAAGCCCCGTGCAGATTCAATCTAAAATCGCGCCCGACAGAGATATAAGGACATTCAGGAGAAAGCTTTTAGGCACCCGCGAATCTCTCAGTGCGCCAGTGAGGGGAATGGGAACCTGACCCCATCTTTTCATCCACTGAGAGAAAAGCAAAGGAAATGAAATGGAACCCTTCTCTTCACCGAGGAGGACCAAAGACCTTCTTAGAGTGTCGGTCGGTCCTCCCTCCCCCACCCCCTGACTCCGGCCGCTCCACGGACCGCAGGGACTGTCCTACCGCTCCCCTTCACGCAACCATCAGAGAATCCTCTCAAAAACACAGACCCGATGAGGAGTGGCTTCCCCGCCTTTCCCCTGTGCCGAGAAGGGATCCCGGTCGCCAACAACAAAGACGCTTCCCGCTCCCCTCCCCCCGCCGGCCCGGGCTCGTCCCTCCCGCGCTGCGGCTCCCGGCCTAGCGCCCCCTCCCCGAGCCGGGCTGCGGCGTCCCCAAACCCCGAGGCCGCACGCACCTGCACCTGAGCGGCCCGGGCCGAAGCGCCGGGCAGAAGGGGTCGAGAGAGAACCGCAGCCGACGCGCTGTCCTCCACAAGGCGAGATCCGCGCTCCGGGCGCCGTCCGACTCTCTCCGCCTGCAGACTGGCCCGACAGAGGAGCGGGGACCAGGGCTACAGCCCCCGGCGCCGGGGCGAAGAAGGACGGCGGCGCCCCAGGGGCCCCGCTCACGCTCCCGAGTCTCGCCTCGCGCCGGCCCTGCTCCTCCACAAGAGCTCGCGTTCTGCTGACTAACGGCCCCGGTGCGGGGCGCTGGAGCGGCCGCCGCTGCCCGTCGGTTGCTCTCGGGCCTCACGTCCCGCGCGGCCGTGGTCGCAGCCGCCGCCGCCACCGCCTCCCTTTCTGGCACTGCAGACGCCACCCAGACCTAGCCAGGTCTTCCTTCTCTTTAATCCTGCTTTCTTTGCTCCTCCTCAGCCTGCCAAGCGCGAGGCTCGTTCCGGTAGCGGGAGGAAGACTGGAGGGGAACGGAGGGGACGAGCACAATCCCCACTGAGCCAGGAGTTGGCCACTGACTGGAGGAAGGTGCCAAAGCTGACCCCGGCTCCAGCCTACTAGCGGGCGGGGGGAGAGACGGAGCCCAGCCTTGCCTCACTTCCACCAATCAGAGGCCGCCCGGCAGGGTGGGAGGCGCTCTGAGCTCAAGGAGAGGCTGAGCTCGCTCAGCAGGAGGCGGGGATTGCGGAAAAGAAGAACCAATAGGAACAAAGGTTCCCCGCCCCTTTGATTTGATGGACTACACATTCGGGCCAATGGGGGAATTCTCATTTCGAAGAAAGTGGGACTTGTTCTCCGGGTTTGAGAAAGAGGCTGCGCGGAGCCGGAGGGGTCGAGGCTGCGCCGCGTGGAGTGGCTTGGCTTAACAGCAGGGAGGGCAGAGCGATGCTCTTTGACCTCCCAGAAGAGTCACGTGGGCTGACCCAGAGCCGGGGCGGAAAGGCTGCGTTTGTTTCTTCCGGGTCATTGACAGAAGCGTCAATTCCTGGGAGTAGTTCGTTGGTTTTCTTTCCCCTCATCCTTTTGCCTGCTCCCGGCGAGGGGTGGCTTTGATTTCGGCGATGAGCTCCCAGAAAGGCAACGTGGCTCGTTCCAGACCTCAGAAGCACCAGAATACGTTTAGCTTCAAAAATGACAAGTTCGATAAAAGTGTGCAGACCAAGGTAGGAACCTGCCTGTTGCACCGTCTTTGACTCCAGGAAGGAATGGCTCACTGGAGAGGGGAGAGAGGAAATGAGAGGAGTCGGCTGGGGCGAGTGTGGACCGCAGCCCAGAGTTAGTCTTGGCTGCAGTGCAACTCTTTCTAAAATGTTATTCTCACGCCCTTTCTTTGACCTGGACATGTTGTCTCCTGGTAAATATTTGATGGTCAGCACACTTAACTAATTGCACAGAGTGAACAGGACCCTAATGAAATCTAAGGTGCAGATGGGGCAGTTACGTCGTTCAGCGTTCCCATCTGGATCACATTAGCAGAGGGAAACGAGGATTGTGGCATGAGTGGCTTTTTCAAATTTTACACCAAGTTTATGCAGCTACGATTTTTTTTTCCAAAAACCCCAAGCCCATAGAGGAAATGTGAATGATTAAGCTGTCTTAGGCTGTCCTCACTAGTATTGTGTGAAATTTCTGTTTTGTAACAATTGTTTTGAAGATAAAAATATTTGGTTAATGTAAAAATACTTGTTTTGCTGTTTATCTTTAGCAGGACTTCTGTAAAGTCCTGCTAAAAAATTCAGACTGTCTAGATAGCCAGAGGACTTGGGTTGTATATAAGTACTAATTTGCAGGCCGGGCGCCGTGGCTCAAAGTGCTGTAATCCCAGCACTTTGGGAGGCCGAAGCGGGTGGATCACCTGAGGTCAGGAGTTCGAGAACGACCTGGTCAACATGGCGAAACTCCATCTGTACTAAAAATACAAAAATTAGCCGGGCGTGGTGGCGGGCGCTTGTAATCTCAGCACTTTGGGAGGCCGAGGTGGTGGGCGGATCACCTGAGGTCAGAAGTTCGAGAACGACCTGGCCAACATGGCGAAACTCCCAATCTGCTAAAAATACAAAAATTAGCCGACGTGGTGACGGGTGCCGGTAATCCCAGCTACTCGGGAGGCTGAGGCAGGGGAATCGCTTGAACCCTGGAGGCGGTGGTTGCAGTGAGCTGAGATCACATCACTGCACTCCTGGGCGACAGAGCAAGACTCCGTCTCAAAAAACAAAAACAAAAAACTACTAATTTGCTCTTTGCTGTGAATCTCTCTCCCTGTCTCCATAGCTGTATGGAGAGAAAATCATTGACAACAGGGGCATATTAGGGGCCAGCATCACTCAGATAAACCTAATATTCACAAAAGTTATGGAGCTCAAATTTACTAGGTGTGCGGCTTGAGTGAGTTGTATAATATTTAATTTCTCTGAGCCTTACTTTGGTCTCAAATGCAAATTTGTCAGGATTGTTGGGAGGCGAAACTATATGATTATGCATAAATGGCCTAGGTCATAGTAAGTGTTCAATAAGTGATTAATTTCCCGACATTGATTGGGAAAGCAAAGTCATCTGTTTTTGGTAACCTGTGATCTCCTTTTCCTTTCCTCTTTCTTTCTTTGCTTATTCTACAAATATTTAATAAGCACCTTCCGTGTGCAAGGCCCTGTGTTCATAGGTATACCGTGTTCAAAAGAGCTGACTCTCCCTTCACGGAGTTTATAGTTTCTAGGTGATATGGGCAAAAAGAAAGCAGAAAGATAAGTAAATACAAATTATGATAAATATTGGTGAAGGGCAACACAGCTCAGTAAGGGAGAATAAGGAAGAATATTTTAAATTAAGTGCTCTCCTTTCCCCCACTTAGGTTGAGAGGTTTTTCAGAATGAAAACCTGAAGCAACATTTGGGAAGACTTTCCCAAGTTTGCTCCCATTATCAATAGGTAAACCAGAATAAAAATAAAAAGCTGCACTATTCCAAATAGATGTCTGCGTCTTGTGTATTCTTACCCTAAGGTTGTGCACAAACATTTGCTTTTGATTGTTTTTCATGTCTGTTTTCGTAAAAAGCAGTTTTAATGAGTATTTAACTATAGTGTAGCTTCTCCTACTTGTACTTTTCATTGTGCATTTTCTTGGTGTTATCTAATAACTATGTCATTCTGGTCCTAAATGTTTTCCTGGGTCTCAGGTTCAGTCACTAAGTTGCATTTGACCATTTTTATCTTTTTATCTTTAATTCCTTTCCCTCTTTTAAGTTATGAAAAAGTCTCATTTGTTAATCAGGAGGACCACCAGGCCACTTCATTATTGAAGGTTCTGACAAAAACAACACAAAATATTTTACTGAGGAAAAATCATTCGGTTGATTGTTCATCTGTGTAATGAATAGCTAATAATTGTCTGTGATCATAACAGATTCTTGCATCTGCTATGAGTAGCCATCTAAAGCCAAGACTTTGTCAGAAGCATCTGATCCTAACTTTGTGCCTGTTCTTTACACTGGAAAGCTATTTGATCTGGTGACATCTAACAAAGGAGTGATAAAAAATGCACGGTTCTCTGTAACTCCCCATAAAGCAAGCTTGTCCAACACATGGTGCAGGGCGTCTTTGAATGCAACCCAACACAAATTCGTAAATTTTCTTAAAACATTATGAGATTTTTTTGTGATTTTTTTTTTTTTAAGCTCATCAGTTGTCATTAGTGTTAGTGTATTTTATGTGTGGCCCAAGACAATTCTTCCAGTATGGCCCAGAGAAGCCAAAAGATTGGACACCCCTGCCTTAGAGGACTGTAGTAACAATTGACTACTTGTATTAAATACTTTATGATTTGGTAGGGGTCCTACATGATAGTTTTTCTTTTCCTCCTCTGCCAAGCAGTTTGTTAGGACTCACTGCAATTAGAAGTTGGATAATTACAGATGTTTTATTGGAAGTTAATATAGGTAAAGCACTCATTCTCAAAAGGACACAGATGATAGCTTTCTTTATATGCTTGAATATACTCTAGAAAAGGAGAGTATATTCAAATTTTGTGCCATTTCAAATGGCCAAACTTGGACCAGGGAATCAAAGTAACAAAAATAGGTTTCAGCTCAATATGAGGGAATTATCTGACAGTGAAGGGGCTTGCGCCGGGATTTGTAACCTCCTCTTCCCTGGGGTTATTTAAAAGAGGTCCCTCTGGCCATTGGTCACCGGTACCCTCAAATGACTTATGGGGATTCAGAGGGTCGGCAGTGGGAATAGGTTTAAATCTTTTCTAGTCATTTAGTACTGAGATGTTGAGCAGATCAAGGCAGCCTTCTTTCCCTTACTGGAAAGGCAGTGATGTCCAACGAAAAGAGCACTGGACTAAGAGAAAAGAGCCATTCCTTAGCCCCAGTTCTGTCATTTGTTTTGCTTGATGATGTCAGGCAATTTACCTATAGCTTTTAATCTATGATACTGGGTTAGTACTATCTCTTGTCTTACTTTCCTCTGAGGATTGCTACAGAGATCATTACAAAAATTATTATTATTATTTTTTTTTTTTTTTTGAGACAGAGTCTCGCTCTCTCGCCCAGGCTGGAGTGCAGTGGCGTGATATGGATCACCACAACCTCCACCTCCTGGGTTCAAGTGATTCTCTTGTCTCAGCCTCCCAAGTAGCTGGGATTTCAGGGGCACACAACCATGCCTGGCTAATTTTTGTATTTTTAGTAGAGATGGGGTTTCACTATGTTGGCCAGGTTGGTCACTCCTGACCTCAAGCGATCTGCCCACCTTGGCCTCCCAAGGTGCTGGGATTACAGGTGTGAGCCACCGTACCCAGCTACAAAAATATTTTTAAGAAATAGGGATAAAAATAAGAACTAAGAATAAAGCCCATAATAATTTATGTGGCCCTGCAGTTGATCAAAGCCTAAAAAAATTAATTAGAAAAGAAATGCATGCTTGTTGAAGAATACTGAAACAATAGAGAAGTATATAAGGTACTGTATAAAAGTGAAAGTCTCTGTTCCCAGTTTTAGTCCTGTTCAGATATAGTCACTGTTAACACTTTGATGTGTACATTTCTAGATATGTCTGTATGATACAGTGCATATGTAATAAAATACATCTTTGCCCTTCTCATTCAGTAAAGTGGATGTGTCAGAACAGAAAGATTAAGCTTATTTTTTAAATGGCTGTGTAATATTATACAGCACAAATGTGGATTAGCTTATTTAACTACTTTCCTATTAATAAACATTGAGTTGTTTTCAGTTTTGCACTATGCCAAAAAGGCCGCAGTGAAATTCTGGTATTCCTGTCTGTATTCCACATGTGTTATCTGGTACCAAACATTGTGCTAGATATTGGAAGTATAGGGTTGAGCAAAATATACAGTCACAGTCTTAATTGAAGCTTGTGATTTGGTGGGAGAAGTGACAGGCATTAATCAAATAATCTTTCAAGTATGTTAATACTACAGCAGTAAGAGCTATGAAAGAACGGTCTAGGGAGCCCTGAGAGTATCTATAATAGCATGAAGTCTTGATTATGTTTGGAGGGTTAAGGAAAGCTCCCCAAAAATCAGAAGGATGAGTAACATTAAACTAAATGGAGGAGCATCTGTCATCCTTTTGAGGATGCTATTAATAATATATATATAGTCAGTATTGTTTTTAATAGCATTTCCCAAAATATATTTCTTAGAGCCCCAAGGTCATGTATCTTCTTCATAGGGCAGGAGAAAATTTCATGATCAAATCACTTTGGAAATACTGTATACTAGATCTCACTTTTAGAGGTGGGTCGTAGTATACATTGGAATAAATCAATGTTTTGCAGTTAAAAAATTATTCAACCAAAACTTGCTTGGCTATGGAACGCTTTGATTTACATAATACCTATTGAACTAATTTGTTGTGGAGCTCACTAATTTTAGGAAACTATAGTCTTCATCTTGAGATGGAGATGGAAAATGGAAGTCTATGGGTGTACTCTAAATAATTTTGGAAATATAGTTTTATTAATACAAGTTGAGTATTATTTATCTGAAATGCTTAGGACCAGAGTGTTCTGGATTTCAGATTTTTTCAGATTTTGGAATATTTACATTATATCAGTTTAGACTCTTTAATCCAAAATGTTCCAACAGGTATTTACTTTGAACATGATATAGGTGCTCAAAAAGTTTTAGATTTCAGATTTTTTGGATTAGGGATACTCAACCTGTTATAGCTAATATTTGTGTACTTAAGTGTATTAGGCACTATGTTTAGGCACTATGTATACTTGCTATACATTATCTATAATAATTTCATCTTCAAAGTAACCCTAAGATAGATGCAAAATGATCCCATTTTACATATTGGGAAATTAGGGCTTAGAGGTGAATGACATGCCCAGAGTTACATAATTAGCACATGCCTCTTCATTGGTTGGATGGGATCTGTGGGAGGACAATTCAAAGGGCAAGTAAATCAAAAGCCCTCCATGTGTATGTGTGATTTTAAAAAATATATGTACTGTATTTTTGGGTGTAATGGAAGCAGTGTGACACCAGATTAGGGTCAGAACAGAAATGAGTGTGGTTTATTGCCACCAATACTAAACATTGCTTGTTTGAAATGTTCTAGGGAGAGTCTTTCCTCATGAGGTGTGGCCCCTGGAGTATCACATGCCATACATGTGGGCTGGTTGGGGTGGATCTCATCTCATCAGCCTGGGCTCTGTAGCAGAGGCTCCTTTTGCTGAGTTAATGTGAAAGTAGATACTAATTTAGTCCATTTTCTTGGCTCCTGATTTAGGCAGAAAGCTGTCAAGTTTAAGATTAGTTATGATTGCATTTATACAGCAGAACAGGATTCTGTGTTTACACACACCTTTATTCACAGTTGTCAAAAATGGGGAAAACCTCCAAATATCTATCAACGGGAGAATATATATAAGCTGATTGTGGCAGAGGCATGCAATGGAATACTACTCTGCTATTTTAAAAAAAAGAAAAACTGATACAAGCAAAGCAGATGAATCTTGGAAACACTAATGTGGAGGGAAACAAACCAGATACAAAAGAGCATACTATGTGATTCCATCTATAGAGACCAGAAAGGCACAAGAAAACTTTCTGGAGTGGCAGGAGCAGTGAAGATTATAAGAGCAAATATATTAAAACTCATTAAATTGTACGTTTAAGGCCTATGCATGACATTGATATAAATTTTACCTCAGTCAAAAATAGGCAAACAAACAAACAAAGAAAACCAAGAAGGCTGGGCACAGTGGCTCATGCCTGTAATCACAGCACTTTGGGAGGCCAAGGCAGGCAGATCACTTGAGGTCAGGAGTTTGCAAACAGCCTGGCCAACATGGTAAAACCTCGTCTCTACTAAAAATACAAAAATTAGCCAGGCGTGGTGGTGGCCGCCTGTAATCCCAGCTATTTGGGAGGCTCAGGCAGGGGAACCACTTGAACCCAGGAGGCAGAGGTTGCAGTGAGCTGAGATCGTGCCACTGCACTCCAGCCTGGGCCACAGGGAGGGAAAAAAAATAGGTATTACAGGCAAAGGACTGATGAACCACCTAGATGTTTTAAAGTTCTGTTTTTGTTTGCTTGCCTTTTGTTTTGGGAAAGTTGAAGGAACACTAATTATATTAGTGTTCCTATTTTAAAAGACAACTATTTTATTCTTCAGAAATAAAAACAAGTTAACATTCTAACAGATATTGAATATCTCAGCTAACCACAAGTCACAATAATTCTAATTGTCTTTTCATCTTTACCTTTTTGTAAGTCTTTATCTGCAAACTCTAGTCATGATGTTTGAGTTTGTCTCCCTGTGGAGCAGGGGTCCCCAGCCCCCGACCCCCGCATCGGTCCATGGCCTGTCAGGAACTGGGCCACACAGCAGGAGTTGAACTGCAGGTGAGTGAGTTAAGCTTCATCTGTATTTACAGCCACTCCCCAACTCTCACATTACCACCTGAGTTCTGCCTCCTGTCAGATCAGCTCTGGCATTAGATTCTCATAGGAGTGTGAACCCTATTGTGAACTGCACATGGGAGAGATTTAGGCCGTGTGCTCCTTATGAGAATCTAATGCCTGATGATCTGTCACTGTCTCCCATCACCCCCAGATGGGACCGTCTAGTTGCAGGAAAAAAGCTAGGGCTCCCAATGATTCTACATTATGGTTGTATAATTATTTCATTATATATTACAATGTAATAATAATATAAATAAAGTGTACAATAAATGTAATGCACTTGAATCATCCCAAAGCCACCCTGATCCCCCACCCCCACCCTAGTCCATGAAAAAATTGTCTTCCACAAACCCCGTTTCTGGTGCCAAAAAGGTTGGGGACTGCTGCTGTTGAGTAAAGATGATCATTACAAAGTAGATTTTGTATATAAGGTACTGAGCCTGGGTACTGATTTTTTTCTAGTTTCAGATAAAGTTGTAATCCTAATTTCGTGGGTTGTGATGCCTGACACTGTAAAATGAATGAATAGACTTTGCTGTGGGAAAAACCTTTACTGTACTATTTGTCCAGGTAGCTTGGTATCAGTTGTTAGGGTCTTTGTCCTGTCTCCCCATGCCCAGAGATGTTGAGCTTTAAGGAATAGACCCAGATTGGTTCATGTAATCCCTGGTGTGAGGAATTTTAGTGTGAGTGGTGAAGTGCCAGTCATGGGAATAAGTGTTATTTCTCAGCCAATGGGCATCAGCAATTAAGGGTAGCCACTGAGCAAAGCAGTTGGCCAGACATAGAATCTACCATAGATCTGAATTGACCATCTCTGACGTTCTACAGATGATTCTAGTGTTATAGAGGTCACCCTCTTTTATCTTTCTCCAAATTGAGAAATATTCTTTGATATGTTTCCCAGTGCTATTAAATGAGTTTATGTTAAATGTATTCCCTCCTCCATTGATTTGTTTTAAATTTAACATATTTTTTCAAGTGACAAGATAATTTGTGGTGTGCTAGGCATTATGATATACATAATATTATACCTAATAGTGCTAGTGAAGCTCTTTACTTTTCCTTTGTGCCCTTTTCAATGCTTTGAAGAATTGTAATCCGTACTATTGTTTACCTTTTATTTTCTCTTCTCTCTTTCACACAGCATAATTTCATCTATGCTTGGGGATGTTCCATATACTTAGATTCCCAGGTTGCTTCCACTTGAAGCTAATAAAGCATGTTTCTTTTTTCTTTTTTTCTTTTTTTTTTTTTGAGACTGAATCTCTGTCACCAGGCTGGAGTGCAGCGGTGCAATCTCGGCTCACTGCAATCTCCACCTCCTGGGTTCAAGCACTTCTCCTGCCTCAGCCTCCCAAGTAGCTGGGATTACAGGTGCACATCACCACACCCAGCTAATTTTTGTAGTTTTTAGTAGAGACGGGGTTTCACCATGCTGGCCAGGACAGTCTCGATCTCTTGACCTCGTGATCTGCCTGCCTTGGCCTCCCAAAGTGTCAGGATTACAGGTGTAAGCCACCATGCCCAGCCTAAAGCATGTTTCTTAATGTTGAGGCCTGATATAATATAATTTTTTTGTGTGCATTAATCATATATTTTAGGTACTTCATTTTATGTCTAATACATGACAGCTGAAATTAATTTGTCTTGATTTGCTCTACTATGGGGAATAGTACTATACTTACTGTTTTTAGGGAATAGTATTATACTTATTGTTGGATTAATTATGACATTTTATAATTGTATCACCAGTATTTGTTTCTACATAAATTCACGCTTAGAAACAGACTATTCTGCAAATTCTTCATTCAGGTAAATTCATTAATCTAAAAGAAAGTTGTAATTAATATGAATTCACCCCCAAATGGGCCATTTTCCTTTTAGAGAAACACTATAGTAGGGAGGGGCATAGTTAGACACAAAACCTTGGGGTTGAGAGTTACAAGCTGTGGCATTTGTTATTTTAAGCCTCAGGACTCCACACCTGCAAAAATATTACTGTGAGGTCACAGGCAGGTATACAGTGAATCCTGCATGTCCTCAGAACACCCCAGCTGCCAGCTCACTTCAACCTCAATGGCTGGTGCTGTTTTTCACATCTTCACTTTTGTGAAAGGAAGAAATGAAATAAGGAGGGGATAAAGGAATAGCTGACATGCCTAAGATTCTTTTCTTAGATTTTTCTTATCACTCCAGACCAAATAGCACTTAAATATATTGAATGTGTAAAACAAAAAAAAAATTCTAAGCCCCTCAACCAACTTAATGGACCCCCCCTTTCAGCCAAGGGGACCTCAAAGAAACTTAGAAAATTAATTCAGGCCATGATGGGAAGTGGGGAACAGGTCAAGACATGCCTCATCATACCCTTCTCCATTTGGAGTCTAGACACAACTGACCAGCAGTAACATTAAAATAGAGATCTTAAGACTAACAAAATAGACTCTGTAGTAGTAAGATACCAACTTCCAACCTGACTCTAGTGTAGTATCACATGACAGATAGCAGGCCCTGAAGGAAATCAAAGTATTTTTCCGGAAAATATATTTCTTTTGACATATTTAAAATAGCCCTGCAAAGCTGTGTTTTGTGGGGGGAAATTTGCATTCTGTAGAGAATCTCCTTCCCCTTAGGAGAGTCTGACACCTTTTAAGGTCTTTTAAGAGACATTCACTGGCTATTCTCTCTGAAGC
Source organism: Homo sapiens (assembly GCF_000001405.40). Classification (NCBI taxonomy): domain Eukaryota; kingdom Metazoa; phylum Chordata; class Mammalia; order Primates; family Hominidae; genus Homo; species Homo sapiens. The sequence goes on from NC_000009.12 coordinate 71,921,312, forward strand.
CTGCTACCTGGAGGCTTCATCTACATGACAAGAACCTTGACTTCCACAACTCCTTTATCTAAAGGCAAGCATTTCTTTATGCTGTATTCAATTGTTCAGGCAGAGCTGAACTCTTTTAACCAATTGCCAGTCAGGAAATCTTTGAATCCACATATGATCTGGAAGGCTCCCCCACCTCCCTTCCCTACAAGATGTCCTGCCTTTCCAGGCTAAACCAATGTGTACCTTACATACAGTGATTTATGTGTTAGCCTGTAACTTCTGTCTTCCTAAAATGTACAAAACCAAACTGTATCCCAACCAGCCCATCTTGGGTACTTGTTCCCAGGACTTCCTGAGACTGAGTCATGGGCCATGGTCCTTAACCTTTGCCAAATAAACCTCTAAATTGATTGAGACCTGTCTCAAATTCTTTTTGGTTTACAAATGAAGTAAATAAACATTCCTTTTTTTTACTGGTCTGATGTGTGCAAGGCACTGTCCATGAAGGTAATTAGCATTAGGATTCTTTAGTTGCTAACTTAAGCAGAAAGGGAATTTATTGGAAAGATACTGAGCTACTCTCTTGAAACTTCCAAAAGGCATTTATTTGTTTTGGTTGGCTTTTTATTTTTTTTTTATTATTATTATTATTATTATTATTATTTTGAAACAGAGTCTTGCTCTGTCGCCAGGCTAGAGTGTAGTGGCGCAATCTTGGCTCACTGCAACCTCTGCCTCCCGTGTTCAAGCGATTCTCCTACCTCAGCCTCCCGAGTAGCTAGGATTACAGTCGCCCACCACAGCTTCTGGCTAATTTTTGTATTTTTAGTAGAGACACGGTTTCACCATCTTGGCCAGGCTGGTCTCGAACTTCTGACCTCGTGATCCACCTGCCTCAGTCTCCCAAAGTGCTGGGATTACAGGCATGAGCCACCGTGCCTGGCTGGTTGGTGTTTTAATGTCCTAGATTCCCAGATCATTCATTATTACTTTTCCCTATTTGGTTTGTACATACCCTAACCCGATGCAATTTTCCAACCTTTCAATGCTCCCTCCCCTAATGCTTCCACTTTACCTTCTACAATTTATAGTCTGTTGTCATGAAATAGAGACATAGTATTGAATATAAAATGTCTTTCACTTTCTTGCCCTACCTGGCTATTCCTGGGAGCACTGTTTCCCTGTAATCCTCTTAAGTGATGATGTATTTTCACCCCACATCTTTACCACCCCTCTCCCATGTAGAACCATTTCTCCCATTTGCTGTGTTTGTTTCTCCTTACTCAAAAACTGTAGCTCCTCGGAAATACATGCTGTCAGACTACTATACTCTCCAGATGTGTACTAAACTCCTAGTTACACCTTCTCATTAGTACCTGGGCTTGCTACCTTTCCACAGTTCCTGTCATCATACTTAGTAATTGCTACATACACATGGATAATCTGTCCAACATCTGACATCTCATTGCCACCTCAGAAGTCTACCCTCATGGTCAGACCACAGACTTGCTCCTCACTGGTAACTGCTGTACTTACAAAGTTTTTAAAAGACTGGGCCAGGCGTCATGGCTCACGCCTGTAATCCCAGCACTTTGGGAGGCTGAGGCGGGCAGATTACAAGGTCAGGAGTTTGAGACCAGCCTGGCCAACATAGTGAAACTCCATCTCTACTAAAGATACAAAAAAATTAGCTGGGCGTGGTGGTGCACGCCTGTAACCCCACCTACTCGGGAGGCTGGAGTGGGAGAATTGCATGAACCCAGTAGGCAGAGGTTGCAGTGAGCTGAGGTCGCGCCGCTGCACTCCAGCCTGGGCAACAGTGCAAGACTCCGTCTCAAAAAAAGACTGACCACCATCCATCTGGTTTCCATATCCCTCAGATAATATTTATTATCCCCATTGGGTAGTCCTGTCCATTAGCCCTTCTACTTTTTACTGTACTTCATTCATGTCTTGATTTCCCTGCTTTTCTATTTTATTTTTATTTTTTTGAGACAAGAGTCTCTCCCTGTTGCCAGACTGGAGTACAATGGCATGATCTCAAAGCTCACTGCAACTTCCGCCTCCTGGGTTCAAGTGATCCTCCTGCTTCAGCCTCCCAAGTAGCTGGGATTACAGGCATATGCCACCACGCCTGGCTAATTTTATATTTTTAGTAGAGATGGGTTTTCTCCATGTTGGTCAGGTTGCTCTCGAACTCCTGACCTTATGTGATCTGCCCACTTCGGCCTCCCAAAGTACTGGGATTATAGGCATGAGACACGGCGCCCAGCCCTTCCCTGCTTTTCTAGTTTGGAGCCTATGTTTCATCAGTGTAACTGTTCTTTTGCATATACCCCAGCTCCCTTGTCCATCTTTCCCTCTGTGGTACTCAGCTGACAGAACCTCACTCTGCTTAGATTCAGCTTTTTATTAAACCACCACCACATCTATCAAACTACCAATGTCTGTACCCATATATTTTATTTTATTATTACCGTAGATGAAACTATCCCTGAGGCTAGCCGCTCCACAACACCCTGGAGCCCATCTTGCCTACCTAAGGATTTAATGTGTAAATTTCCTTAGATTGTTCATGCTTTCTTGCATCCTCAATCTTTCCATCTCTAATGGGTTATTACAATTCCTATTAAAACACTCCCTAGATAGAACAAATGTTAACCTTTAAGTCGTGGCTTTTGGGGACAGATACAGGTACCCAGATGACCAGGCTCTTTTCAGAAATAGTATTAGTGGATGTGAAAAAGCATTCCAAAAGATCCTCTTAACTGTTTAAATATACAAAGCAACTTCAGATAATCCTTCTTTGGGCTGAAAGAAATCAGTGTGATTTGATTTTCTAACAGTGATTAATTTGGTCCCTGTAGGGTTTTTTGGCTTCTAAAAATATCAAGTGAACTTAGACTTTCCCATAGCTTTGGAGTTGATTTTCTCAACCTTAGTCCTAATTCTTTTCCAATTTATCTGCTTATTCTTGAGGTGGAATGACATTTTTAGAACTTTATGGCAAACATTTTCTTTGATATTTTCTCAGATGTATTTTTAGTTAGAAGAGTTGGAGCTACATTCTAAAATGTTAACGCAAATTGTCCTTTTGTAACTAACTTGTATGACGCATTTTCTGTTTTGCTTTTGTTTTTGCAGAGTCTTATGTCATAAAGAAGTATTTCTTCTTGTAGTTGATGGAGTTATGTATATGTAATAATTTTCAAATGATGGTCCATCAGCAGTAGAATTCAATTACAACTTTACACTAATCAGACCCAGTTTTGGAGGTCAGCTGATATTGTAGGCCATTCCCAGCATCATGGATATGAAATGCCAAGCTAAGCTAGGGATTATTTTAAATGCTTTGTTGTTCTGAGAATATTTATATAGGTTGCTTACATCAGGTGTCTGTCTTGTTTGTTTTTAAATGACTCATGCCACTGAAGTCATCAATTTGAGTAATATATTTGACATCATGGTATATACTTATATATGTGAATGTTCAATATACCATCATTAGTCTTTATCATAAGGCACTATAGTAATAGGATGTCATGTTTCCCATAAACTTGAATGACATAATAATGCTAAATCTGGTTTTCAGTAAAACTAGAATAGTCATGTGTGGTAAGTTGTCATCTATTATTGATATAAAATAGTATTGTGGTTACTTTTACATATGTAACACTGTTGCTTGAATTTAAACGCACCAATACAGAACAATGAGCAGTTCTTTGACTCTCATATGATGATTCAATGTCAGCTAGTCCTTAGTATATTAAAAAAAAATTCCTGGCTTACTGTGGTAGTTAATTCTAATTTTAATGTGTCTCTAGGGACACATTTATTAAGGTCTTTTATTCACTGCCCAGTAAGAAAAGTCAGTCAAATTTAACTGAGGTATTTTTCTAATTCAAAATGGCTGACTGAACATGTACTTAAAATTTTCCTTTTCTTGGCTGGGCACGGTGGCTCAGGCCTGTAATCCCAGCACTCTGGGAGGCCAAGGCGGGTGGATCACTTGAGGTCAGAAGTTCAAGACCAGCCTGATCAACATGGTGAAACCCCGTCCCTACTAAAAATACAAAATTAGCCATGCATGTTGGTACACGCCTATAATCCCAGCTACTTGGGAGGCTGAGGCAGGAGTTTTCTTTTTCCCCAAATCTCAGTAAGAAGAAAAAGAAAGAAAAAAAGAACTATGATACCAAAAAACTGAAGAAGGTTCTGTCGGCAGAAAGCAGCATTAAGGAGAGCAGGACAAAGACAGGTCCCTTCTCTGAAGCTGGAGGAGACGGTGGACTCCGTTGTCCAATCAGACTCTCTTGGGAAAAAATATAGGGAGGCAAAATTCGAAGAAAAGGAACATATAGCTGAAAGAGACTGTTTTAATCAGTCAGTAGCTTCTGATAAAGGCCAGATTATCTATAAGAAATGAACAAGCTGTTTTTTTATATATCTGAATGTAGCGAACTTTGTAACATATACATTGAGCAGTTAAACAAAAAAGCAAAATAAGTTCTACTTTTATTTTAAAAATTAAGATAACTAAAGATATGGAGAGGATTAGATTTATACAACTAAACAGTGTATGAATTTACAACATAATATGGGTGGAAGTTAAGGTTTTTTCAGTAAAACTCTAGAATAATGCCAAGATAGAAGAACAACTTTCTAAAGTGGGGAAATGCCATGAAAGAGAAAGGCAGAGCAGTATACCTGATCCCTGTTGGTCTTAGAGCTTAACAAAGAAACCCTTGTGCTTAGAAGCAAAATGCTTCCTGTGTATACTAAAGCAAAGCCATAGCTCTTAATTTTTAGTCTGTCAACAGAGCCAGGGATTGTATAATTAATATCTGAATTCACTTCCAAAGCAATAGTGATTCCCAATTCTGCTTTAGTAATGCATTCTATAGCTACAGCTCTTTAATCACTAGCAGCACTGTCCATTAGACCTTTCTGTGATAGAAATATGCCCGATAATTGCTATCCATTTTGGTAGCCAGTAACCACATGTCCCTATCGAGCACTTGACATACAACCAGCACAACTGGGGAATTTTAATTTTATTTAATTTTAGTTCAATTTAAATAACCAAATGTGAATACTGGTTACCATATTGGATAATGTAGATTTAGGCCCTCATTTATAAATATGAGCTAAGCAGACTAAACTTTTTAGGAAAATAGAAACCATGAAACGCATGCTAGAAACCCTCCCATGCCCAGTTAAGAGAGGTAATGTAAGTCACAGAAGAGTACTTTTAAAAACCCGAAACCCGAAGTATCCTAAATTATATCCTTAATGATTCAAATAGCTTTCAAAGTCCAAAAACCAGCAAACACTGCTGTTGAAAAAAAAAAAAAAAAAAAGAATCCTGTGACATTGCTTAAAAACTACCACTGTGGTTGTAGAAATGTAAACATCTTAATAGAAAGGCTGAATAGGACAAGGTTAAAGACTAAATTAGTGATTTGGGAGATCAAGCCAATGGGCTTGTCTAAAACCTAGTCAAAAAGGTCAAAGTGATAAAAATTATGAAATAAAATTTGATATTTGGAGGCTCAAGCTAAGAAAGCTGCTCTGTCTAAAGGAAATACAGAGGACATGGAAGGTAAGAAAGAAATGATAAAAAGAAAAAAAAAACTCCAAAGTTAAGGAAAATCTTAAGCCTTCAAGTAGAAGGGTTCTATCAAGTGCTTTCTAGGATTATTGTGGGAAAAAGATGTTACCTAGACATATCATGGTGAGGTTGGTAAACTCCAGTGGTAAAGAGAAATTGCTACCCTCTTTCAGAGGAACAAAAGAGGTTAACTACAAAGCAACTGTAAGTAGGCATCAGACTTCTCATCTATTATCATAAAAAGTAGGGTAAGGTCTACAAAATACTGTAAAGGAGTATTTTGAATTTAGAATTTCTTATAGAGCTAAGCTATGGCTCGCTCATATGTCAGGGCAAAAAATCATCCAGGCTGAAAGTTTGTCAAAAAAAAAAAAAAAAAAAGTATACATTTAGGGGTGTACTCCAGAATATAAAAAGATGCGAGAGAAGAAACTGATGAACCAAGAACTTAGGAAAACTGGGTTAACTTTAAAAATGATTGACAATATGGTAGTGAAATTTAATGCTGTTGTTATATAGAATTATAAAAATAGAAGAGGTAAATCTTTTAGAAGAAAAAAAAGTAAACTCATAGTTCCAGGTTTCAACCAAACCTAGGGATTAAAAATAAATGCAAGCTAACGATCTTGTCTTGTTTGGGTGGTGGAGAAGCCACAAACAAGAAAAATCAGTATTGCCATCAAAATTTTAAAGTCTGAGTGCCTATCATTCTGGCCTTTGTAGTGTTAATAGTCTAGCTGGGAGATAAGACCAGTGTACAAGAAGCAATAGTAAGCAATCTAGTAATATTACTAAGACCTTCTTATGATAAAAAGCTTAAAATTAAAAATAGCTGATAAGTTCTTGAAGTAGATTTTTAGTTCATTAGTAAAGTGATATTTGAACTGTAGTAGTATTTATATAATATAACATTAAAAACACGGGGTTTCTCCTCTCTGTAAAAAACAGTTAACTGGATTACTTTATTTTCTGTCCTTTATCAAGTTACTTGCATTTCATGGCCAGGCACAGTGGCTCATGCCTGTAATCCCAGCACTTTGGGAGGCCAAGGCGGGTGGATCACTTGAGGCTAGGAGTTTGAGACCAGCCTGGCCAACATGATGAAACTCCGACTCTAACTAAAAATACAAAAATTAGTAGAGCATGGTAGCACATTCCTGTGATCCCAGCTACTTGGGAGGCTGAGGCAGGACACTCGCTTGAACCCAGGAGGCGGAGGTTACAGTGAATCAAGATTCTGCCACTGTACTCCAGCCTGGGCAACAGAATGAGGCTCTGTCTCAAAAAAAAAAAAAAAAAAAAAAAAAAAAAGGCAATGGCTTATGTGAATATCTGCACGAGCTGTCAATTAGCCCTGTATCTATATGCCTCCTTCTCAATGCAAATTTTTCTAAAAGCTCACTTTGAAGAAATCAGTTAGTTAATTTCTTATTTTAAACACTATTTTAACTCTAAGAATATATTGCTTGCTGTTCAGATTTATAGAATGCACTGTGAGGAAGGGACTACACATCATGAATCTTCTGAATCTTTGAGATGCTTAGCATAATGCGGAGTACATACTAGCTCATATTTTTTTGGATTGTTCCTGTAGACAATAAAGAGATGGTCATGATACAGACTGTACTTAATTCTAACCTGTGACACATTTTATAGTTTAATATGTTGGAAGGAGTCCTAAACTTGGAGTCAGGGCCACACCAGGAGTAGACTCTTCACATGAATACTGAGTCACTCTTTATATAACTGTGGGTGAGTTATACCAACTCTTTATAAGTTAGAATATCAATAAATAACAGTACCACTTATTTTCCTTCACACAAGGATGATTTGAGAATAAAATGAAAAGAATTATAGGACAAATTCAGATACAGCAAAAGTATGGAAATAAAAGGTAGTATTTTATTACAGGTAATTTGCATTCTTCATTAAGAATATATATTAATTTTATCCCTTAGATTTTTATATTCTTGTCATCAAAATCCTCTTTCTGCTGTTTCTAAGAGTGAGAAAATGCTCTCAACTGAAGTTAGGCAGGTCACATGTGAATACTGAGCTTTAAACCAAATGAATCATGGTACAATCTAATTTCTTCCTGATGTGAGTTGACTCTTGAATTCATTGTTACCATAAATAGGGTATTCTTGTGACATATTAATATGACCAGAGCGAGGCACCTATCTTTGAGGAAGTTAGTTTTAAGATGGTCATTGTCCTCTTACACCTGCCCCAAGTAAATGACTTACGAAGCAGATTTTTTTTAAAGACAAAATCATTTGGTTTGTGGACATTACCAATTATTATGTTTGTAAGACTTAACTCCATACATCCCTATTAGGAAATCTCATTCTTCTTTTTTGTTTAATACATGTTAAACAATAGTCCATCAGTGGTTTGTCTCTTTTAAGATCACTAACTTGGGGCATACCGTACCGGTTGGACAAGATCTCAAATGGTGACTTAACTTTTAATGAGTGCTTATAAAAACATGTGTGTTGCCTCATGACACTATGCAATTGCTGCTTTAGTGGTGCTTTTTGCATTCCAGTTGAATTGTACATAGGTTGGCCCATATTGCTCACCATTTAGTTAGATCTTCATTGTTTAGATCTCAGTATGTTGAAAATCTGGGAACAGCATCATAGAAAACTATATCCTCCTCTCTTAGAACATTGCTTAGCAAAAATTATGTTTTGTTCTCTAAATGAACTTTTCCAACTTCGAAATTTTGTGACTTTTAAATAATGTATAATACTCTAATGTTATTCTAGGAACAAGCCAGCATGTTTGGCCTTATTTACAAAGCAGTTAATATACCAGTGTTAGAATAAGTCAAAACACTGTACCAATGAAAATGTGTGCTCTTCCAAGTAGTATATGTGTTTTATTTTAATATTTAGAAGATCTAAAAAGCTATAGGAACACATGTTCCACTTGTAACTTAATAGCATGCCTTAAACTTAAAGATATCTTTTTATGGATTCTGCCTCTGCTGCTTCTGATTAATTTTGTGACCTCAAGCAAATCTCTTAATTCTTTGAGCCTTAGGTTTCTCATCTGCAAAACGAGGATAATTATACCTACTCGTAGCCACAAGAATGTTGTAAAAATAGCAGGGAGAATTTTTATACAGAATTAGACATGTGGTTTGTAGATTTATGGTAGCAGTCTTTTGAATAAAAATTATTTAGTTTGCTATTATTTTTATAATAAAAACCAAAAGATTTATTTTATAATAAACTTTGTAGATAAATAATTCTTCCCTAAGAATGCTTTTGTCTGGACACCTGACCAAAGTACAGCCATGTTCCATGCACATAAAATCACTCAGACTTGAGTAAGCAGAAGAACATTGACCAGAAACATAAACAACCAAGCAGGGAGCTAAATGATAAGGATACTAGAAGATCTGAGAAGATAGAAACTCATGCATATAGCTATATTTCCTTTAATTTTCATGTGGATATTCTCTGTTGGAAGATAATGTTCCAGGTTCTCTATTCCCTGTTTTTCCCCAAAATACTTATTACTCTCCCGTTAATTATGATTTGCCACTTTCTGTATATGATGATGAAGGTATGGCTATGTGGACAGTAAAGACAGAAACAGGCCAGGCATGTTGGCTCACACCTGTAATCCCAACACTTTGGGAGACTGAGGTGGGAGGATTGCTTGAGCCCCAGGGGTTGGAGGCCAGCCTGGGCAACATAGTGACATAGTGAGACTCTGTCTCTACCAAAAAAAAAAAAAAATAGCCAGGCATGGTGGCACATGCCTGTGGTCCCAGCTACTAGGGAGGCTGAAGTGAAAGGATCACTTGAGCCTGGGAGGTGGAGGCTACAGTGAGCCGTGATCCCACCACTGCACTCTATCTGGGTGACAGAGCAAGACCCTGTCTCAAAAAAAAAAAAAAAAAAAAAAAAGACACAAACAAAGGTTGAGAATCACTGATCTAGAAATTACCCACATTTCTTAGCATGTTCCTAATTTTAGATTCACTAGCACATTTGGTCTGACCTTTGAACTTATAACTAAGGCAGAGGTAATTCAGTGGGAAGAGTGAGGAAGAAGGAATAGTCTCCCAACCTTCGAGGTGTTTAGATTTGGCTTAAATTTCAGGAATAGGAATAAAGGCCAGAAACTACTGATGTAAACTTTATTTTTTCTGACCATGGAGGAAGTCAATCCAGAAAACAGCTGATTTCTGTACAGTGCAGTACCCATGTCAATCCATGTCTGAATTAAGGGACTTTAGTCATACAGAGTGAGAATCTGGGAAAAATTACATCTGGGGGTGATGCCTTTTGATACGTGATTTTGGAAAAGCTTCTTAAATGATAGCTCTTCTGGATTCCTGACTTATGCCTCTACCATATCTTTTCCTGTCAGTTCAGAGATTATTCTGGAGACTGTTTCTGCGTATGCTAGACTAATATATCAGATATCTGAAACAGTCTCCAGAATGTTTAGTCTGTAACTAAACAGTGTTTAGTCTGTAAACACTGTATGTTTCAAAGCTTTCTTTAAGTCACTTGTTTGGAGCTCAGAATTCATCACCCCAAAGAATCAGTGCTCTCAATGGTGAAATTAAAAATCAGTCTAAGATTTAGTTTCCAAAAGAAAGGCAGTATGGAATAGTGGGGCAAATGATGAAATTTGGAGTCAGAGGCGTGGCCTTGAGCTCTGGTTGTAATATTTGGTAGATGTGTGATCTTGGACAGATTATTAAACCTGCCTGGATTTGTTTCTTCCTATATAAGATAGGAATAGTACTATTCATCCCTCAAGATAGTTGTAAGGAAATGATTTAATTAATTGTAAAAATTGATTTTTAAGCAGAAGGTACTCTACACTTGTCAGCGATTTATTATTTCTCACCTACACTAACCAGTGTTGTTTAAACTATAAGAATCATAACTTTCTTTTTCAGGAAAAGTATATCACGTCCTTAATAGTATTCCCAGTAGCAGAGGTGAGATAGGGAACACATTTCTCTAGAAATGTCGGTTTGCTTTAGCTGCCTAGGGCAGTGGTTCTTAGACTTTGGTGTGCTTAAGGATCATCTGGAAAGCTTGTTTAAAATGCAGAATCCCAGGTGCCAGACATTCTTAATCAGTATATCTTAGGGTTGAGTCCAGGAATGATCATTCTTAACAAGACTCATCTGTGATTCTGATGTATGTGCTCCTCAAATCATACATGAAACTATTCTAGTAATTACCTTCTCCTGTATTTGATGCTCAGATCTGATACTCCAGTCTACATGAGTAGCTTTCCAAGGAGCACACACACTCAGTTTGTACACACTCAGTTTGTACAGTTTGTACACACTCAGTTTGCCTTGGGAAATGGTCGGGGGAGGAAGAGATTATTTTCATAGAAGCTCATTCTATCTGAATTCTTTCTTGGCATTAATCATACCTTGCTTGCTCTAGTGCACTCCCCATCCCTTAACTGTAGGTTGTCAAAGTGTTGTCTATACAACAGAAACTCCTGAGTTATAAAACCACAATCTCAGAAGGTAGGGCCTGGAAATCTGATTTTTGATATAGTCTTCAGTAGGGTCTTATAGACACTAGAGATTGAGAACTGGCTTAACAGTTGCTCTTCTACAGAGTCATGACTTTGCCTCAGCTCTGTACTAATCATTTTCTGTGTAACCATTTATTGAATCTAGATCATTTCATCTTTATGAGACAATCTACGATAATAAAAAACAAAACAAAAAGAAGCAAACCCTGGGGAAAGAAGAGAATCTGACTTCCAGGGTTACTATCTTATTTGATTCAAATGTTCGGTTTTCAAGAAAAAAATCATAAGGCATAAAAGAAAAGGAAAATATGGCTCATTCAAAGGAAAAAAGTAAATCAACAGAAACTGCCTCTGAAAAAGAAGTGATGGTGGATCTATTAGAACTTTGAAATAGCTGTCCGAAAGATACTCAAAGAACTAAAGAAAGATGTGGAGAGAGTCAAGAAAATGATATATGAATAAAATGTAAATATCAATAAGGAAAAATCCTAAAAAGAAACCAAAAAGAAATTCTGGAGCTGAAAGTAGAGTAACTGAAGTGAAAAATTTACTAGAGGGATTCAAAGGCATTTTTGAGCAGCCAGAAGAAAGTATTTGTACACTTGAAGATAGGACAATGGAAATTGTCAAGTATGAGAAACATAAAAGAAAAGATTGGGAAAAAGTGAACAGAGTCTAAAGAATCTGTGGGATACCCTTAAGTGGACCAACTTACATATTTTGGGGATTCCAGAAGGAGAAGAGAGAAAGTGGCGGAATATTTGAAGAAATACTGCCTGAAAACTTCCCAAACTTGGTGAAAAACATGAATGTAAACATCCAAGAAGCTCAAAGAACTCCAAGTTAGGTGAATTTAGAGACCCACATTGAGATACATTATAATCAAACTGTTGAAAACCAAAGACAAAGAATTTTGAAGGCAGCAAGAGAGAAGTGACTCATAATTTAGAATAATCCCCCTGTTATATGCAGGAGGAAATGCTCCAACTTTTTCCTACTACACAAATTTTACAGATAGATTTGTTCTTACCATAGATCTTAGCAATCTCAATGCACAATTTGTTTTTTCTAAGTTGAGAACTTTCACCTTTTCACTTAAAGGAACCACTCTACAACTTCTCTTTGGCATATCTGAATCGCTAGACTGCTCTTGGGCTTTGGGGCCATGTTACGTGTAATAGTAACTTAACACATGGCCAAGGAAGTTATATTCAGGAGATACTTTGTCCCCTGTAGAAACTAAAGATAACATCATAACATATGTCTTTGAGTTGCTTTTTGGAAACCTGGACTCCCACTAGATGGATCTGCTGGCGCATAGACCTCAGATAAGAGGGAACTGAGAACTAAACTCTAACTGCTATTGTTTGTTCTAATTTTCTTTTTGAAGAGCCTTCAGAAGGTCATGCCCATAAGCCAGAGCTAACTTTTTTTTTTCTGATCCCGAATTTTTAGACAAAGTTTCACCTCCTTAACCAATCACCAACCAGAAAATATTTGAATCCACCTATGACCTGTGTGCTCCCATTTCAAGATGCCCCTCCTTTTTAGGTCAAGCCAGTGTATAATCTCCATATATTGATTTATGACTTTGCTTGTCACCTGCCTTTAAAAACCATTACCTGGGCTGGGCATGGTGGCTCATGCCTGTAATCCCAGCACTTTGAGGGGCCAAGGTGGGCAGATCACTTGAGGTCAGGAGTTTGAGACCAGCCTGGCCAACATGGTGAAACCCTGACTCTACTAAAAATACAAAAATTAGACAGGTGTTGTGCCAGGCACCTGTAATCCCAGCTACTTGGGAGGCTGAGGCATGAGAATCACTTGAACTGCACTCTAGCCTGGGCAACAGAGCAGGACACTGTCTCAAAACAAACAAAACAAACACTGTCTCAAAACAAACAAACAAAAAATCCTTACCTGTAAGCCATCTGGGAGTTCAGGCATGAGCTGCCCAGTTCTCTTTGTTTGGCGTCTTGCAATAAATGCCTCACTTTCTCTTTCTGCTATCAGTATTTGGCTTTGCTGAAAATTTAAACATGTTTTTGCATCAAAAGACACTTATCAACAGAGTAGAAAGGCAGCTCATAGAGTGGGAGAAAATGTGTACAAATCATATACCTGATAAGGGATTAATAGCCAGAATATATGGTCGAGAACAGTGGCTCACACCTGTAATCCCAGCACTTTGGGAGGCTGAGGCAGGTGGATCACTTGAGCCCAGGAGTTTGAGACCAACCTGGGCAACGTGGCAAAACCCTGTCTCTACTAAAAAACACAAAAGCTAGGCAGGTGTGGTGCCTTGTGCCTGTAGTCCCAGCTACCCAGGAGGCTGAGGTAGGAGGATTGCTTGAGCCTGGGAGGCAGAGTATGCAGTGAGCCAAGATGGTGCCATTGTACTCCAGCCTGGGCAACAGAGCAAGACCCTGTCTCAGAAAAAAATATATATATGCAGAATATATAATACTATAACTATTACTCAACAACAAAAGAAACAGCCCAATTCAAAAATGGGCAGAGGACCTAAGTAGACATTTCTCCAAAGATATGCAAATGGTCAGTAAGCACACAAAAGCATGCTCGTCACTAATCACTGGGGAACTACAGATGAAAACTACAAGATACCACCTCATACTCATTCGGATGACTATTATTTACAAACAAACAGAAAGTAACATGTTTTGAGGCTGTGGCAAAATTGGAACCTTTGTTTATTACTCTTCGTGGGAATATGAAATGGCACAGCCGCTCTGGATAACAGCATGGTGGCTACTCAGAAAATTAAAAACAAAATCATTATATGATCATATGATTTCACTTCTGGGTATATCCCCAAAAGAATTGAAAGCAGGGTCTTAGAGATATTTGTACATCCATGTTCATAGCAGCATTATTTACAATAACTAAAACCTAGAAGCAACTGAAGTATCCATCTAGGGAAGAGTAGATAAGCAAAATATGTTATATACATACAGTGTAATATTAGCCTTAAAAAGGAAGGAAATTCTGACATATTCTACAGCATCAATGAACCTTAAGGACATTATGCTAAGTGAAATAAGCCAGTCACAAAAAGCCAGGCGCAGTGGCTCACACCTATAATCCCATACTTTGGGATACTGAGACAAGAGGATCACTTGAGGCCAGCAGTTTGAGATCAGCCAGGGCAACACAGCGAGACCCTGCCCCCCGACCCAAAAAAAAAAAAAAGACAAATACTCTGTAATTCCATTTACATGAGATACTTAAAGTTGTAAAATTATACAGACAGAAAGTGGAATGATCGTTGCCAGGGGCTAGGAGGAAGGGACAATGAGAGTTATGTGTTTCAGATTTGGAAGATGAAAAGAGTTCTGGACATGGATGGTGGTGATGGTTGTACAATATGAATGTATTTAATACCACTCAACTATACACATAAAAATCGTTAAGTTGGTAAATTTTATGCTCTGTGTATTTACCAGGGGAGAAACAGAAAAAAAATAACTGTTGGCTGTTTGGTCTCACTCCCTCCGTCTTTACTCTGTAACCCATCTTCTGTTTGAGAGGCCACTTCAGTAATACAGATTATATAAGGAAGTAAAGAGATATACAGGTGAAAGAGGAAGAAGTAAAAAAAGTGACCTAAGTTTTTTTATCTAAAGATTTTTAAAGATGAGGTTTGGGACACAGGAGGAACAGATTGTATTGCTAATTGAGTGATTGCTGTTTGGTCTTTGAATCTGAGGTGTCTCAAGGATTTCTGTGAGGAGAAAAATGGGTATCTTGCCTGCAATCTGAGACATCAGAACTTCCAGAGACATGAGTTAGCACTAGGGACATAGTTTTGGATGTAATCTTCGTTGAGCTCATTGCTGAGGCTGTAGTTATGCATTCAGTTGACCTGGAGAAAATAGTGTCAAAAGAAGGGACTGAACAGGGTTGAGAGAGAAAGTTGATGACTAAAAGAAGGAGATGTATTGGCAAAACATCTTGAGAAGGAACAAATGGGATTGAAAGTATTACCCTACTTGTAGAGAGTCTTTTTTTTTTCAGGAAAGACATATTATTTCTAGATAAAGTGATTGGCATTCAAAATTTTGAGGAAGGAAAGGTGTGCTTCCCATATTACTGCTGCAACAATATAGCTATTTGTTTCCATTTACATGAGTTTTTCTTGAGTTATTATTTACTACGAGTGACTCATAGTTAATAATGAAGATAGTTCAAAGATAATTTTAAAACATTGCATTGTAGATCCTTTCTTAAAAATATTTTCTAATGTTCATAACACGCCTTGCTGAATTGGAATGGAGAAAATTAAAAATCTTCATACTAGAGTTCTTTGTTCAAGCTTTTTTTTTTTTTTTTTTTGAGACAGGGTCTCACTCTGTCACCAGTGGTATGATCACAGTTCACTGCAGCCTTGACCTCCCTGGCTCAAGCGATCCTCCCACCTCAGCTTCTGGAGTAGCTGGGACCACAGGTGTGCACCACCTTGCCTGGCTAATTTTCATTTTTTTTGTAGAAACGGGATCTCCCTGTGTTGCCCAGGCTGGTCTCAAACTCCTGGACTCAAGTGATCCTCCCATCTCGGCTTCCCAAAGTGTTGGGATTATAGCCCTGAGCTACCATACCTGGCCTGTTGAAACTTTCAAAGTTGCGATAGATTTATCAGCGCAGTGTTTGTTAGAATGCTTCGCAAATATTTATTTGTTAAAATACAATGCCAACCTATTTTAATTTCCTTAAAAGTAAGTGAGAAAAATATACTTGGGAAAATAAAGTTGCTTAAATAGGTTTTCTCAACTGCCAGAAAAAGGTACTGCCACAGCATGTTTCTGCCTGTAGGTAGGTGTGGCTCCACTTTGTGTATGCATTAGGTTTGTCAGTGAAAATCTCGGTAGTTTGCTTGGTTGCTGAAATAAATCAGTGGTTAGTTTGTACACAGACCCTGTCTGCATAATTGCAACTGAATAGCTTTGCCCACTTATTGAAAGAATGGTTCTCTGTTTGGGATGATCAGAACTCATTTTATATTCAGTCTTTGGATAAAAATGTGATTGTTCATTTTTGTAGATGTCATTTGTTAAAGATTCTAGCAGTAACAAGGAAAATGGGAGGAGGGAAATATTATTTCTTGACTAGAAAAAGATATTGTGAGTATATTGAACAAGAGGATCATTTTGAGTATTTCTAGTATATACTTTCACTTCTCAGTTTGTTATTGGTGTTTTAAAAACTTGTGATGAATTTAGAGTGAATGGGAGCAAGAGGGACTAAACTTCAGAGAATATTATTTTAGCTCACAGTGCAGATCTATATCACCTATACTTTAGATATCTTTTAATTAAATTTTTATAGATTAAAAATCAAATATTACTGAAATATTGATATATGTGTGCATATCAGGTTTTTTAGGGTAATAAATTTGCTCAACTTGGACTTAAGTTTTTGTGAAGAATTCTTATAAGTGTTGATTTCTCTCTAATTAGCTATGTGGAACAAACGTAATTTCCTAAAAAGAAGTAAGCTAGTAATAACTTTGATTTTATATTTCTCCTTAAATGACAAACCAATTTTACTACCAGAACTCATTTCAAAAGTATTTCTGGGCTATTTGTATGACTAGCTCATTTTGTGAAATAATAAAATACATAAAAATAGTAAGGCTCAGTAACTTGTCCAAATAAGGTATTTTTGAGGATAGTACACATGCAAATTATTACTTCATATCACATTTTAAAAGGGCTTATAGGTTTGAAAGTTTTCATATAGTAGGGGTGTTCTGTCTGTAGGAAATGTAGTAAGTTGATTATAGCAAGAATTTTAATTCCTTTCTCAAAAAGGGAACTGTCAGTGTCTTCTATTCTTTTAAAAAATCTTAACTGCCAGGATAAAAAAGCGAAGCAAGTTTTTACGGACGGTAGTAGGAAACATTTGCCTCACTATCCAAATAATTATGTGTACTCATTCTAAGTTTGGTCATTTTTTTAAAAATATAAGTCAGTTGAGTTGAGTAATAATGCACAAATTTGAGACTTGTTGTATACTTTATTATAATAGCAACAATGTTTACAAAATAAAATCATTTTGTAATGATTTCTGTATTGATACAGTGGCAAATAAAACAAGAACATGAACTATTTTTTTCTCTTATTCTTATCCATACATGTAAACTCTTTTTAGAGAAGCTTAATAAAGAAGTAGTACACACTTGACCAAAGAAAGGGGACATTTATTTTTTACTATGAGATTTTGCATCTAATAAAATTGCTTGTATTTTCTTACAATGTTGTTCATATGGAACCAGAACTTGTTATGTATAAATATAATGGGATGAGAATTTACATGTTTATTAGAAGTTTTCTGATATTTATAGGCCAATATATTTAAAATATATATATTCAGAAATTGGAAACATTTAAACTGTCAAAGAGTAGATAATAGGTTAACTAAATGATGGTATTACTCTGAGAGACTATAGTACATACAATAAAGACATGCTTTGAAAGTATATATATTAATATGGAAAAATGAATGTTATAAAACAACATATGTGGAAAAAATGTGAACTTATGTAAATATATACTTGAAGTGCTGCAAAGTGTAGAATCTCTGAGTGATAGGACTTGTCTTTATTCTTTATCTGTATTTTTATAAAATTTCTATATTTTGAATATTTATATGTAAAGACTCGTTTTAGCTCTATAAAATTGATCTGTAGAGGTATTTTTCATCTATAAAAGTAATAAAGTCCAGTAAAAAATAATATATATATACAATGCTATATTATTGTATGATTTTCTTATGTGTGATTTTCTTATTATTGTATGACTTTCTTCTCTTGTGCTCTTCTAAGTTATATAAATTCTCCAGCACCTGAGAACCAAAACAGACAAAACCAAAACCAAAGACATTGGAAAAAAAAATCCAAATTACTATAGAGTACAATTCCTCATGCATATATATTCCAAAATCATTAACCAAATACTAGCATATGGAATTCATCAATGTATAAAAAGGACAATATATTACAAATGACTGGGGTTTATCTAATAAGAAATGGAATGTTCATGGACTGAAAGATTGAATGTTGTTAAGATGTCAGTTCTTCCCAAGATTGATTTACAGTTTCAGTGTAATCCTAATCAAAATCATAGCAGGGTTTTTTGTTGTTGTTGAAATCAACAAACAGATTCTAAAATTTATATAGAAAAGCAGAGGAATTAGAATAGCCAAACAATTTTGGAAACAAAAATAGTTGGAAGAATTGAAGTACTGATTTCAAGACTTACCATAAAGCTACAGGAATCAACACAGGGTGGTATTGGTGAAAGACTAGACACATAGATTAATGTGACAGGATCTGAATCCAGAAATAGACCTTACACATACTTAATTTTTGAGAAAGGTACAAAGGCATTTCAATGGTGCTGGAACAATTGTACATCTGTATATAATTTTAAAAGAACATCTACTTGGATTCTGCACTATGTACAACCAAAAATTAACTCAAAATAGATTATAGACTAAATGTAAAATGTAAAATTACTGAACTTGCAGAAGAAAACAGATTAAGATCTTTTTTATTCAAGAGTCAAAAAGTATGGTTCATGAAAGAAAAAAATTGATAAATTGTTCTTTGAAATTAAAAAGATCTGCTCTTAGGAAAAACTATTAAGATAATGGAAATGAAAGCATGGATTGGGAGAATATATTTGCAAAGCATACATCTGATAAAGGGCTGTTAATCCAGAATATATTAATATGTAGAACTCTCACATCTCAATAATAAGAAAATGAACAATTTAAAAAAAAAAGACGCAAAAGATTTGAATAGACACTTAACCAAAGAAAATACAGGGTGGGGCCAGGCACAGTGGTTTATGCATGCAATCCCAACTACATGGGAGGCTTAGGCAGGAGGATCACTTGAGCCCGGGAATTTAAGGTTGCAGTGAGCTATGATCATGCCACTGCGCTCAAGCCTGGGCAACAGAGTGAGATTTTGTCTCTTAAAGAAACAAACAAACAAAAAACCCACGATGGCAAGTAAACACATCAAAAGATGTTCAACATTATTAGTTATTAGAGAAATGTAAATTGAAATCGTAATGAAATAATACTACATACCTATTTGAATGGCTAAAGTAAGAAATAAAATTTCAAGTGCAGGAAATAATGTAGAAAAACTGGATCTTCATATATGGCTGGTATGAATGCAAAATGGTACAGCAACATTGAAAAACTAATAGTTTCTTATAAAATTAAGCATTCCATTATACAACCCAAAAATATCATTCCTAGTAATTAACCTAAGATAAATAATATGTCCACACAAAAACTCGTATGCAAATATTTATTAGCACTCCAAACTAGAAACAACTCCAACTGTCCTTTAATTGGTGAATTGAATAAACATTATGGTAATTTATACAATGGAATACTATTCACCAATAAAAAGGAATGAGCTCCTCAAATGGCTATATACTTAACCATTTCATTTACACAACATGCTGGAAAAGGCAAAACTGTAGGAGCAGATTTGAAATCATTATTACCTGGGAGGTAGTAGAAAGGACTGACAACCAAGGGGAATTAGAGAACTTTTTGGAGTGATGGTAGTATTGGAAGTTTGGTTGTCAGATTCATTAGAACTGTATACTTAAAATGGGTGAATTTTTTGATATGTATGTACTTCTCAAAACTGATTTAAGCTGACGATCTTTTTTAAAAAATTAATATAGAAAGAAAAGAATTCAAGTTAGCATTCTTCATCACTTAGTAAAATGAATGATTCAGGCAAAGATCATGAGTGGATGCCAAAACCATGAGGGAAAGTGTTACTGTGGTACAGTACATTAACATGGCCTCCATAGATTATTGTAGCCGTTGTAATTTGAAGAGATCTGGGTCACCACCTTAAGCAAGTTATCAAATTCAGCATTGCTGACAAGGCAAGAACTGGACAGTATGTGCCTCCTGACTTGGAGTAATAGGAAGTACACAACAGTAGCAGCATCACCTATGAATTATTCTGATCCAAAAAATATTTAAACTGGATATAGTTAAGCCTGTAAACCTAACTTCCACTTTACAGGAAATAAAGCAATGAGTTAAATTACAGCATGAGAAAATGGACAAATCCAGAATGTAGGATATTCTCTAAAATGACTTGCTTGTTACTTTCAAAAAATATTCATGTAATAGGGGAAAAAACATACATAGGTGAAAAGAGAGATAACAGATATACAGTACTTGAATACGGATTGATCCTGATTTGGAGAGGAAAAAACAGCTCTGAAAGCTGTCTTGGAGAAGTTGAAATTTCAATATAAACTGACTACATTCAGTGACATTAAGGAGTTATCTTTCATTTTTCTTAGGTGTGGTAACAGTATTGTGGTTAAGCACGAGAAGGTCTTTATTGCTAGGATATGATGAGTATTAAGAAGTGAAGTGTCTTGATATCCATAAGTTATTTTACCTGTACCCATACACACAAAAAGCAAAAAGGTAAGAAGATGTTAATAGTTGTCTCTGGGAGTGTATATATGTATGCATTAGTATTATTGTTTCCACTGTTTTCTGCAAGTTTGACATTTCTCATAATAGAAGGGAATGCTTTTAGAGCTAAGTTGAGAGAAATAGTGTTTATTGAAGATGGCCTTATTATATGTAGTGCATTCCTGCAGATCCTATGACTATCAGGGATCTGTACCTACATTGTACACCTAAGAATAACTGTATTGCACTCTGTTTTGGCATTGTAACACTGGCCTACATTGAGAACCAGGATAGAAAACAGTTCTGTGAAATGCTTTGTGTTGTAAGGACATTTTTGCGAGCATCGCTTACTGTATCACATGGTATAGGAAAGATGAAACTTTGCACTTCAGTAACAAGAATACTTGTGCTGCTTCTGAGAAACTGGATTTTTGGCATGTTACAGACAATGAGTTATGTTTTACTGGGTGCTAGAAAGCTCAGATTTCATTTGTGGCCCATCTCTAACAAGTGCACTTTCCAGCTGCACTCCTGACTGCTTTGTAATTTCCCTCCTGCCCTTACTTTTCTCTCATTCTGATTCCCTCCTCTATTTTTTGGTTGTGTTTTGTAAGATACTTTATGTCCAACAATGTTCTAGCCATATTTAAAGGAATTTAAATAATGTAGTTTATGATTTGAAACTCACAGGCTAAAGCCAGGTGCTGTGGCTCACACCTGTAATCCAAGCACCTTGGGAGGCCAAGGTGGGCGGATCACTTGAGGTCAGGAGTTCGAGACCAGCCTAGCCAACATGGCAAAACCCTGTCTCTACTAAAAATACAAAAATTAGTTAGGCATGGTGGCGTGTGCCTGTAATCCTAGCTACTCAGGAGCCTGAGGTAGGAGAATCACTTGAACCTGGGAGACAGAGGTTGCAGTGAGCCAAGATCATGCCACTGCACTCCAGCCTGGGCAACAGAGTGAGACTCCGACTCAAAAAAAAAAAAAAAAGGAAGCAGCAGCCTAAAAGTCAGATTTTCACATTATTGTTATTAGTCACGTGAGTTCTTGCCCCCAAATCCAGGGATCTTTTATCCTCTAGCCAAATTTAGAATAAGGGACTCTTTCCAGCAAATTTCAAAGTACCTACTTTTAAATATGATTAAATAAGATATAAAAGTTTCTATTTCTGGAGTAACATTGTTACAGCAGTAGTGGCATAAAATACCTTATTTTAGGAGAAGAGTACTGCAGGGAAAAGAACAAAGCCAGTTTATGGAAATAGATTTTTAGCATTGGAATTGGCATTGGCATTTTTCTTTGAGAATTTCATTTTTTTAATTCTGTTTTTGTTTGTTTTTTGTTTTCAGTTAAGAGGAGTAAACAGGCCTTTGTTTTACCTTTGGCAATTCTGAAAGAATTATGTACAAAAAAAACCTAAGGAAAAATTATTTTAGTTGCTTTTGAATGGTATTCAAATTTCTTTTCAACTACCGTAGTATCTTCCTTCTGTTAAATGATACTTTATAAAATATTTTTCAGCATCAGCATGTTGATACAGATATAATATTTACAATTTGCTCTTGCTACCTTCTTGGGAGTTGAAGTCCTTTCTCGCCCAGCTTCTTTTTTTTGTTTTTTGTTTTTTTTTTGAGAAGGAGTTTCGCTCTTGTTGCCCAGGCTGGAGTGCAATGGCACGATCTCAGCTCACTGCAACCTCCAAATGCCAGGTTCAAAGGATTCTCCTGCCTCAGCCTCCAGCGTAGCTAGGATTACAGGCATGCGCCAGCACCCCGGCTAATTTTGTACTTTTAGTAGAGACGGGGTTTCTCCATGTTGGTCAGGCTGTTCTTGAACTCCCAATCTCAGGTGATCTGCCTGCCTCGGCCTCCCAAAGTGCTGGGATTACAGGTGTGAGCCACCGCACCCGGCCCTTTCTCACCCAACTTCTGTATGGCATTACTGTGTTAAAGATATATTGTTTGACAACAAATAGAATGCTTAAAGCAGCAATAACAACACTGACTCTAAAATATATGTTGTATAGGCCGGGTGCGGTGGCTCACGCCTATAATCCCAGCACTTTGGGAGGCCAAGGCAAGTGGATCACTTGAGGCCAGGAGTTCGAGACCAGCCTGGCCAAATGGCGAAACCCCATCTCTACTAAAAATACAAAAATTAGCTGGCATGCTGGTGCACGCCTGTAATCCCAGCTGCTCAGGAGGCCGAGACAGGAGGATTGCATGAACCCAGGAGGCAGAGGTTGCAGTGAGCTAAGATTGCCCCACTGCACACCAGTCTGGGCAACAGAGTGAGACTCTGTCTCAAAAAAAAAAAAAAGTTGTAGGAATGATGGCTAAGACATTTTTAAGACGTTATGTATATATTAAGTAGGCATGTTTTTTGATGTTCCTTAAGTTTATTCTAACTTTGAAAAGTATTCATTTGATAAGTAAGGGTTTCTTCTTTCACTGATTCCTAAGTTCAGTGGACTCTTCCACTGAAGATTTTTTTTTTCTTCACAAATCTGGAAAGTAGCTTGTTGAACGAACTAAATGACCTTTATAGGCTTTTGTATTTATAAAACTTTTGATTTTATATTTGGACAGACTTAAGTTTTAACCTTAATTACCTATGATCTTCTACCATGAGGGATACACTAAAAGTAATTGCCAAAATAGGGTTAATTGTAAATATAAATGTGAATAAGGTTAGATTGTCATTTCCTTCCCCCCAGGCAGAAGGATTCCTAGAACTAGGATTAACTTTCTTTGCTCACATCTCTGGAATTCACTTCTGTTTTGCCAAAGAATGGTAAAACAGGTATATACTTTTCTTTCTTCTGCACCTATTTTTAAGTGAAAAGTACTATTCTTTCTCATTCTTACTCTCATTAATTTCTTAACACATAAAAATCAAGTTTAATTTGATAGTAGTGCCTGTTAGTCATATGAACCCTGTACAACATATCTATTTATACTGCTTCACACATCACTCACAGGACAAGTTCCCACAAAGACCTGTTTTGTTCTACTGTTGATCCACCCTAAAGAAACCAGTTTCCAAACTCTGCACAGCTTTGTAAATCAAGATGAACTGGTCAGAAATTGGATACAGAAACAAACAAGGAACCAAAGAATGCTTCCTAGTTAACAAGCAGAATGTGTTATATACAATAAAATTGCAGGTAGTGAAATGTCTGTGTTCTAAGAATGTTCCAATTAGGAAGTTAATATCACATTCATATTGAAGTCATAGTTCAAAGTCATTCAGTTAAGGAAATATAAGTAATGCTTAGTAAGATGTTCTAGACGACAGAGAAGACAAATGATGAATGTGAACTTTGCTTCTGCATTTCTTAGCTAGCTTTGTCCATGATAACTATTAATAAGTACAAAGGTTGAGAGGACGAAGAGTTTGGTGTGTAGGCACAGATTTCCTTCTTTCTGGCAACAGTTAGGGGCCTAGAGTAAGCAGGGGATATAGTAGCATGCAGAACTGGGACTCTCCATCTATGTCCAGAAGGAAGGAATGCACCCATACACAATTTGTAAGTAACAGAATGTATTTCTCATCACAAAGTTAAACATAATATATTCACACTTCCTGATGGTGAAGATTCCTTGAAGAAAGAGAAAAATTAAATAAAATGAAATATATTCACAGCTTAATTTATGGTTTTTCACAATATTTCTAAAATATTTTCTCATTGAATAAATGTTTTATCAAATATTTTATCTTTTTGTTTAGAACTTTCAAGAATATCAAGCGCTGTTCAAAAATTGTTTCTTTCAGATGATCTGATGTAAACATTGTGCTTTTAACTTAATATCTAATAGCCTCCCAAAGAATCTGCATACTTGTGGTGCATTTCTTTCTCCCCTTGAGAAATTTTAAAAGAAAACAAAAGAAGCAAAGAAAATTTTAAATGTCTTCTGCTCATTATTCCAACAATAGGCAAAGACCAAGCTTTCACAGCCAAAGCAAACTAGAGAATTCTCAGAGTACTCAGTGAAAATATATAGTCTGTGTCCTGAATCAAATGAGTATGTTACAAAAATATAAAACTATTAGAGAAAATACATGACACATTTAAATTTTTCCTATCTTCCTTCTTTCCCAACACATTTTGAAAAGAAAATTACAATAAAAAACTTTTCCTTATAAAGCCCTTTCTCCACTACAGATATTTACATACAAATACATATTATTTAAGTTTGAAGAAACCAAGTTAGTAGGGGGAACTTTTCTAAAACTTTTTTAACATGAGAATTCAAAAGCATAAAACTGAAAAATGAAATGCCTTTTTGCTTCCAGCTGCTTCTCCCTGGCACCCCTTCCTCAAATTTCAGTCTCTGTTCTCTTCAACAAACTGACAATTCAGGACAGCCCAATTTCTCAGTTTAATTCCAACTCACGGGGAGGATTTGAATTGTTGAAATGATAGTCTTCAAATATGAGCAAGGTTTTCTTTTCTATTATTATGTTTTTATTGAGATATAACTTACATACTATGAAATACACATATCTTAACTGTGCAGTTTTGAGTTTTGACACATATATACATCAGAATCAATGGGAAGGTTAAAAATTTTCTAGATGAGGGCCAGGCCCCAGTGGCTCATGCCTGTAATCCCAGCACTTTGTGAGGCCGAGGCGGGTGAATCATGAGCTCAGGAGTTCAAAACCACCCTGGGCAACATGGTGAAACCCTGTCTCTACTAAAATACAAAAAATTAGCTGGGCATGGTGGCACGCGCCTGTAATCCCAGCTACTCAGGAGGCTGAGGCAGGAGTATTGCTTGAGCCCCAGGAGGTGGAGGTTGCAGTGAGCCAAAATTGTGCCACTGCATTCCAGCCTGGGCGACAGAGTGAGACTCTGTCTCAAAAAAAAAACAAAAAAAAAAGAACGATTGCCTTTGTAAGAAAAAATAACAAATTGAGTAATATACATAAAAATACATAATATATCATAAATTGTTATGCAGATTAAGGTTCAGTTATATTTTAAAACTTACATCTCATACACTCTTTTATGGGATTTGCAATGCTGGCTCACGCGTGAAATTCTCAATTTGTCTTTCTGTTTGTTTTTAAGAAAATTAATGCAAAACTTCATGATGGAGTATGTCAGCGCTGTAAAGAAGTTCTTGAGTGGCGTGTAAAATACAGCAAATACAAACCATTATCAAAACCTAAAAAGTGGTGAGTTAAGATTCTTCATTACCTTACTTGGTGGTATATGTATCATAGTTTATTATTTCATTTCCTGATTTTCAAAATTGTGTCCAAATAAATGTTAAAGTAAATGATGAAAAAATTCCATTCTCCCCTGTAGAATTTCATCTTGTGTGCTGAATCTTGGTTTGTGAAGGCCGACAGATTTAAAAAGTTAAATTCATCATTTCCTGCCCCATTCTTTCATAAATATGCATCATTTTTATAGAACTTTATTCATGAAAGGTGGGTTAGGGCTGAGAAGAGAGTATTTGTTTTCTACAATTCTGTCTTCCACTGATAAGGTAATACTATGCACCATAAATTATCAATTCTTAAAACGGATCAGACCTTTAGACCTTTTAATTCAACTCATGAAGATTACAGAAATGGCTGAGGTTAAATATTAGAAGTGAATCACTAGATTGATAACTTATTATTTCTTTGGGAATAGAGGTCTAAATGAAAAGATACTAGATTTTGTTTCTGATCCTGCCATCCCTAAATCCTTTTTTTTTTTTCTTTCTTTCTTTTTTGAGATGGAGTTTTGCTCTTGTCACCCAGCCTGGAGTGCACTGATGCAATTTCAGCTCACTGCAACCTCTGCCTCCCAGGTTTAAGCGATTCTCCTGCCTCGGCCTCCCAAGTAACTGGCATTACAGGCGCCCACCACCATGCCTGGCTAATTTTTTTGTATTTTTAGTAGAGACGGGGTTTTGCCATGTTGGCCAGGCTGGCCTCAAACTCCTGACCTCAGGTGATCTGCCCGCCTAGGCCTCCCAAAGTGCTGGGATTACAGGCATGAACCACCGCGCCCAGACTTAACTCTTGTGTAATTCTGGGGTTCTCTTATATCAGCCTTCTGTGCATCCTCTACAGCTCCCTGACATCCTTCAGCTCAGCTGTGTAAGGACAATATTGGAGAGTAATTGCTGCATGAAAGAGAAAAGTGATTATCTTAAATAAAAATTAGCATTGTTCCTTTTACATTATAAGATTTAATTTGGTAATCTATATAGTAGCTATTTAGACTATATTTGCTCTCTGTTGCCTTATTTTTCTGACTATTCAATAGTTTCATCATCTTTGAATGCATTCCTTCTTCCTTTATGGGAAAAAATTTTGCTTACAGTTTAGAAAATCAGTCTAAATAATAGATACAATATGACCTTTGTTTATATCTACTAAAAAATTATGACAGCCTTTTGCAAATCTGAAACTTAAGATATAAAATAATTTGTTTACTTCAAAATATTTGAACACTGAAAGGCAAAAGTGTTAAGGAAGGATAAACTAACTTAAGCTTTTTAGATTTTTTTTTCTGTACTCCGTTTTGGAGCAGTCTAGTATTTATTACAGGTATAGTTGACCCCCCTTTTGTTTTATTTTATTTATTTATTTATTTAATTTATTTTGAGATAGGGTCTCACTGTGTCACCTAGGCTGCAGTGCAGTGACATAATCTTAGATCACTGCAACCTCCGCCTCCCAGGTTCAAGCAATTCTCCTACCTCAGCCTCCTGAGTAGCTGGGACTACAGGTACATACCACCATGCCTGGCTAATTTTTGTATTTTTTTGGTAGAAACAAGATTTCACTGTGCTGGCCAGGCCGGTCTCAAACTCCTGACCTGAAGTGATCCACCCACCTCAGCCTCCCAAAGTGCTGGGATTACAGGCGTGAGCCACGCCCCCCCCCCCCCCTTTAAATAGTTTTACCAGCTTCTTGCTCCTTTTAGTCTTTTCTTCCTCTAGCATTTCCTCCCAAAAGAAAACACTCTTAAACAAGTCTGATGAGTTTTATGCTTAGTGGCCCAAATTAGCAGTAAGGAAATTTGGCAACTATTTGCATTACCCAATTTTAGATTTCCATGAATGAATTGTGTTCTCTGCTAGAGTAATTAGATGTTGATTGCAAAATAAATCATGTAGTTTTAGTTAATAGGCCTCATACAAGATTTGTAGCTTTCTGAATATTTTCAACAAGTTTTTATTCCTATAAAGGTATTTTAAGATTTCATGATCCATCTCCATTTTCTCTTTATAGTGTTGTTTCCTAAAAGAATTTGAAGTGTAGGCAATAAACAACATTTATGTAGTCACAGCATTTTAATAGATTAGTGCTGTGTAACAAAGGAAATGATTTAAAAACATTCCTGCCTTATCCATCATCAGTATTTAAATCTCTTACCTTTAATATGTGCTAAATCCTATATGTTTATCTTCATTTTAAATGTGTCAGTGTGTAAAAAAGATCACATCAGTTATTGTAAATTTTCCAGATGCTATATTTTGCTGTAGAACTTCTGAACTTATGTATTTTGTTTTCTCGCGACAGAGCAAGACTCCATCTCCAAAAAAAAAGAAACTGCTAGTTAAAACAAGATCTTGTAGAGGAGGAAAAAAGTCCTTTCCTTCTACCAGTCTAAGTTCTCACCCTTGGCTCTCTAACAAAAACCAGATTAAGAAGAGAAAAATATACAGATTTATTTAATGTAAGCTTTTTGTGACACCAAAGCCTTCATAAGGAAACAAAGACCCAAAGAAATGGGTAAACCTGTGTGGTTTTATGCTAGGTTTGATGGGAGTGGAAAATCATGGGGAAAATGTGATAGGGGATAAAAACAAAGGGCTAAGCATAGTAAACTAAATGAGCTAAGGGTAGTAAACTAAACAGCAGGGCTTGTTCATTCAGATTCCTCTTACTGTTCCTCTGTTTTTAGAGATAAGCATGGTCCTTTCCTCTAGGTATAGGAAGGGCACCTCTCATATAAGGGTCTTATGGCCTACTTCAGGGGTGGATCAGAGAGTCCTTCCTACATTTGCTGTTTGTCACATTTCTTCAGCTCAAAATACTCAGTATGCCAAAGCGCCATATTTTGGGGTAGCATGTTCTGAATCCCATCAGTCTAAACATATTACTTAGGAGGTTACTTGCCTGGCCTAGAACATCATGTATTTCAGAAGGTCCTGAACACATGGCACATTAGACATACTGGAAAGCCTAGCTTTCAAACTCCAATCCAGGATTGAGAGTGTTATAGAAAGTAAAACTCACTTATATTCATTCACTTCACTTTCTCTGCATATTAAGACTTGACCAACATTGTAAGGGATTTGAATCCATTGCTTATGCTGATGGTAGCATTACTTAAAATGTTTAATGTTTTGTTCAAGCTAATCACTTATGAATTAGATTTGTCATTTGTTAGGGTTTGTATATGAATTTTACTGGATATACCTTTTGTCTTTGTTTTTTTTTGAGGCAGAGTCTCACCCTGTTGCCCAGGCTAGAATGCAATGGTACGGTCTCAGCTCACTGCAGCCTCTGCCTCCTGGGTTCAAGCGATTCTTCTGCCTCAGCCTCTGGAGTAGCTGGGACTACAGGCACACACATGCCACTGTGCCCGGCTAATTTTTGTATTTTTAGTAGAGACAGAGTTTCACCATGTTGGCCAGGCTGATCTTGAACTCTTGACCTCATGATCCACCTGCCTCGGCTTCCCAAAGTGCTGGAATTATAGGCATGAGTCACCACACCCAGCCTTGGATATATCTTTTGTATAAAGATTTATTTTTCTGCCATGCTGAGTATTTCCATCAGTTAAAATGTTGAATATTGTTTCATGTGTCTATCTATTGCCACAAATTGTGTAACTAAATGATGTAGATAAAGAAAAGTTCTGCACAACATAAAATACAGGGCATGGTGGGGCTTTTTATAAGTGACATTTCTTTTAGAAGTAATAATATCCTGGATATTGGGAAAATTAAAACTTTTTCTCCCATTTGTTTACCTTGTGAATCACCAAAAACCGCGTGTTAATTAGCAAATTTCCATTTGTTCGTGCGATCCAATGCCAAAAGTTAAATCAAAGAAAAAGAGTTTGACCTATAAACTCTTCAGACTTACCTGTTTCAACCATGGGAAACAAAAATTTTACTGCGTTCGTAGCTGACAGAATATTGCATGTTTCTCTTTTTCTTTTTTCAGTGAGGTGACATGCTGCAGTATTTTTATAAACATGTTCTTTATGGAATTTTCTCTCAGTTACTGAATACAATCCTGGACCATCTCCAGAGACTTTTTAGAAAAGAATAAATGTCCTAACTTAAGTTGGAAGAGAGATGAATTGAAAATTATGTATGTACTGAAGGAGGATAGGATGATGGCTATGAAAGATGAGGGGATAAAAAGCATCTCACTTATCAGCGATACATAAACAGTGTGACAGTGGTACTGTCCTTTGACGTAATGAGATAAATATCTCTGACTACTCAAAGCTTTAGGTCTTTATAGGAATAAAGTGATAAGCTCATAAAGATAAAGCACCAAGACCAGCCACCACCCTTAATTAGAAGTCAGCACAATCTGTACCAAGATCCTCCTACCCATTTCTTAAGGCCAGTACCTACTACTCCCTGCGGGAGGGCTGCAATGGTGCTGTCAGTATCTCCCTTGACACAGGATGGCATAAGCATTGTTAGACTTGAAAAAGAGGGTTCAGACTTTAAGATTATTCATATATATAAGAATTAGGGTTCAGGAAAAGTCTAAATCTTTTTGTATAAAGTTTTATTTTTCAAGTGCCTTGTTTTTTACTTTTGAAAAAGAACCCCAAAATAAATGAAAACCATTCATTACCATTCCTGGTCAATCCCAAGTCATTCATGAACCTGTAAATAATCTCGATATGGAGCTGAATTGTTGGAGAAACAAGAGATCTTATAAATATAAAACAATCCCAGTCAGTAATGCCTATGAAAAAAATAAACGTAAAAATATATTAAATAATTTGTATAAATCTTAAGGAAGGAATCTTGATATTTTTATACTTAAAAGTCATTATAGACATTTATATATTTTTCAAGGTACTAGAAATATAAATGTTTAAAAGATTTTGTCCCTTTCCTCAAGCAGTGCAAGGCCAGATGAAATTAGTTATTTTCTTTATTCTGGGCTCAGAAGGATTATACTTCTTACCAAGACAAAAGTAAAGCAGATGGAGGTAAGATTCAAATGCAAATTGATTGGATTCCAAAGCCTTGTTTTCCTTTTCTCTCAGTGATTTCTCAGCATTGTATTATTCAATTCAAAAAGTCCTTTTCTCCTCTTCACCTGGACCTAATGCTTCATTAATTTTTACAAATATCACCTATCTTGTTTATGGACATTGTCTGCTGTTGAGTACCACATATCCTGCTGAGGACCACCTTGCTTTTATTTATTTATTTATTTATTTATTCATTCTATTTTTTGAGACGGAGTCTCGCTCTGTCGCCCAGGCTGTAGTGCAGTGGCACGATGTCAGCTCACTGCAAGCTCCGCCTCCTGGGTTCACACAATTCTCCTGCCTCAGCCTCCCGAGTAGCTGGGACTACAGACGCCCACCACCACACCCGGCTAATTTTTTTTGTATTTTTAGTAGAGACGGGGTTTCACCGTGTTAGCCAGGATGGTCACCTCGTGACCTCGTGATCCGCCCACCTCAGCCTCCCCAAGTGCTGGGATTACAGGCATGAGCCACCATGCCTGGCCCAGCCTGCCTTTATTTTTTAATACATATACTTGTGGAAAGATAATTGGATTTTGCTTTCAGGCCCTGAAATGCCTATGCTGGTACCTAGAAACCTTTTTTGACTTTTATTTCAGGTAACCAAGCAACCTTTTCTCCTATTAATTTAGAAATGTGGCAGACGAATACCCCCATTTATGTGAGAATCTCGAGCCTGCTTTTCTCTACCTATTAAAAAAAAAAAATCACCAGCATTATAATGTTAGCCAATGTTTAACCTTGCCATAGTAGTAGAAAAGAAAAGAGAAGCTGGTATAAAACAGCACAGTCCTCAAACAGATTGGGGTCTGAGCTTGGAACTGGACCTGTGAATTCTTTACATCTGTGGTTCTCAGTTAAGGAGGTGGCTTGAGGATGGAGTTTGTCCCCAGGAAGGGTGCTACTGACACACAGTGTAAAGAGACCAGGGATGCTGCTAAACATCCCACAGTTCACAAGACGGCCCGCCACAATAAAGAAACACCCAGCTCAACATGTCAAGAGTGTCTTGGTTGAGAAGCCTTGCTCTGTACCGAATAGATAGATACTCACAAAGCCAAGGCACTGAAACATCCTGTATCTTAGTTCAGTGGTTTTCAAACTTTTCAGCTGTCAAATTCTTTAATAAAACGCTTATCCAGGAGTCCCATGAATACAACAGGCTAAAACAGAACTGCCCTAAATGAGGAGAAGGGAGCCCAGACCTTACAAGCTGTGTGATAAATGTTCACTGAAAGAAGATTTCATCATAAAAATATTTCAAGTGAAGGAGGAAAAAGCTAATATAACCTGCCTTGGAACCAGCATTACTCTAGAGATGTCTGGCCTGAGAGTTTCATGTCATGAGGATGCTTTATTCCTTAAAAAACTGTTTCCTTTTCATTAAATATTTTAATTGAACAGAGTCACTCTTCTGGCCCTCACATCCAGGTATTTAACCCCACCAGATTTATTGCCTCTCAACTTTTGTTCCCACTGATTGCCCAAGTGTACCCCTTACCTATTCATACTTCATTGCATTGAATAAGTAAATTCTCCTCTTTTAAATTGATCGTTGCATCTCATCTCACCTCTACTCAGATACCTCTGTGGCTTCAGAGTTGACTAAACCAGTGGTTTAAAAAAAAGTGGGGGAGGGAGGCAGGCACAGTCGCTCACACCTGTAATCCCAGCACTTTGAGAAGCTAAGGCAGGAGGATCACTTGATTCTAGGAGTTTGAGACTAGCCTGGGCAACATAGCAAGACCTCATATCTACAAATAATTTTAAAAATTAGCCAGGCATGCTGACGCGCACCTGTGGTCCTAGCTGCTCGGGAGACTGAGGCAGGAGACTGAGGCTGGAAGATCACTTGAGCCTGGGCAGTCAAGGCAGCAGTGAGCTGTGATCACACCACTGCACTCTGGCCTGGGTGACAGAGCAAGACCCCAGCTTGGAAAAAAAAAAAAAAAAGCGTATTTTACATAAGTTGAGTCAAGGGCTCCAGTGGTGATGGGTGGGACTCTAGCAGCAGGAGGCTAAGAGAGCTTTGTCAGCAGAGAAGTTCTGCTTTTATATGTGTACTATAATGTGAGAGTTGGCTGGGGGGATTGGTTGGTCGGGGGGAGGGGGTCCTCTAGACTGTAGGGAAAAAGGTGTTACTGTTTGGGAGAAAATGAGATGGGGGACTGAGATGTTGCCAAATAGGTTATGTTACAGGACAGGGGTCCCAATCCAGACCCCAAGAGAGGGTTCTTGGATCTCGTGAAAGCAAGTTTATTAAGAAAGTAGAAGAATAAAAGAACAGCTACTCCACAGACAGAGCAGAGCCGAGGGCTGCTGGTTGCCCATTTTTATGGTTATTTCTTGATGATATGCTAAACAAGGGGTGGATTATTCATGTCTTTGCTTTTTAGACCATGTAGGTTAGTTTCCTGACATTGCCATGGCATTTGTAAACTGTAATGGTGCTGGTGGGAGTGTAGCGGTGAGGACAACCAGAGGACATTCTAGTGGCCATCTTGGTTTTGGTGGGTTTTAGCCAGCTTCTTTACTGCAACCTGTTTTATCAGCAGGTCTTTATGACCTGTATTTTGTGCTAATCTCCTATCTTATTCTGTGACTTAGAATGTCTTAATAACCATCTGGGAATGCAGCCCAGTAGGTCTCAGCTTCATTTTACCCAGCTCCTATTCAAGATGGAGTTGCTCTGGTTCACACACCTCTGACAGTTATGCCACCATAAGGCTGCCTTCCTAACCGTGTGCTTGCTCCCTCTTTGCTACAAAGCTTTCTTGTAACTAAATTAGCCAAACCAAGACGTTAAAGATAATATTTTATTAACCAACCCCTTTCCTTTTTTTAGCCTCTATTTTTAAAGGGAAGAATTTCTATACCCCTAAAATGTTGCTTAATAGAGTATCACTGTCCTCATTTTTCAATGAAGACAAATTAGTGGACAGAGAGATATATTGGCCAGTTTATGGTTAAATTCATGATAGTTTCTTGCACTCAGTCCTTGGCATTGTATTATTGTATGTGTCTATCAATTGGCATTCATTACTTATATTTGTTCATTGAGTAAGCACTCAAGGAAACCAGAGTCTCCTTAAACTAGTTGTAATCACAATTTTGATAGGTTATGTTAAAAGAAAACTTTAGACAAATTAAATTTAACAGAGTTTAATTGAGCAAAGAATGAAGAATCAGGCACCTCCCAGAACCAGAGTAGTTTCAGAGCAACTCTCAGGGCTGCCATGTGCTTCAATAACGGTTTTGGACAGAAAAAGGGAAGTGACCTTTTTCTGTCCAAAACTGTCCAAAGGTCATTTTCCTTTTTCTGTCCAAAACTGAAGTACATAAACAGCTGGATTGGTTACAGCTTGGCATTTGCCTTATTTGAACCTACTTTGAACAATTGGCTGACTATGGTTGGCTGAGACTTGGTTACTGTTACAATAGTAGGTTACAGTCAGTTTACACATCAAGTTATGTTACAGTTCAGTATATAGAGAGAAACCTTTAGGCCAAACTTAAAATATGTACCCAGGCAGCTTTAGGCCAAATTTAATTTATCAGTAGATTCCATCTGTAGCCATCCAAGCTGTACTTGTTCTCAGTGCTTAGAAACTGAGCATACCACTCACTAGGAGGTACCTGAGGAATAATGTATGCTATATGCAGTGATCAGTACAAAGTGAGTCCTTGATCTCCATGCAATCTGAATTTGTAGCATCTGAATGGAGACCTATGATTTAAATGGCTAATTTTTATAGTCCGTATGTTTTAACCACTTTGACTTGCCTCCATTTTGATATATTTGTAGTCAATGAAAAGGAAAAATAAATGGATACAAATCCATTTAGTTTACAAATAAATACATTTGTAGTCAAGGAAAAATAAATGGATTTTTTAGTGCATTACTATGAAAGAATTTTTACATGTTTTTTCTTCTTTAAAGAATATGTTTATTTCAGGACATCTGAACATTATATGCCTTATTGTAGAATCTTCTAATAAAACAACTGTTTACATGCTAATAAGCATTGGGTATCACAATTGGTAATAGGAAGGGGAATGCAAAAGTTTTTTTTTTTTTTTTTTTTTTTTTGAGACAGAATTTCGCTCTTGTTGCCCAGGCTGGAGTGTAATGCGCGATCTTGGCTCGCCACAACCTCCACCTCCCAGGTTCAACTGATTCTCCTGCCTCAGCCTCCCAAGTAGCTGGGATCACAGGCATGCACCACCACGCTCAGCTAATTTTGTATTTTTAGTAGAGACGGGGTTTCTTCATGTTGGTCAGGCTGGTCTCAAACTCCTGACCTCAGGTGATCTGCCCGCCTCAGCCTCCCAGAGTGCTGGAATTACAGGTGTGGACCACTGCACCCGGCCCACAAAAGCTTTATATTTTATAATACAGTTTTAGCGTCCCAAATTCCAAATCCAAAATGTCCTAAAATCTGAAACTTTTTGAGTGCCAACATAATGCTCAAAGGCTATGTTTATAGGAGCATTTCAGATTTCAGATTTTTGGATTTGGAATGCTCAACTCTTAGTATTAGCAAATATTTCAAAACCTGGGGGAAAAAAAAATCTGAACACTTCTCACCCCAAATATTTTAGATAAGGGATTCTCAGTCTATACTAGGGTCATAGCCAGAGAAGAGTCTTTGACTTGCTCATATTTTCTAAAGAGAAATAGCTAAAGAGAAATGAACAAAGTTAAGTGCCTTCATGATAGAATATATGACAAGAAGAAACAGTATAGAATGTAAAAGGTCTTGGTTAAAATTGAGTGTTTAATTTGTGTGTTTATTCCCTGAAGACTGACTTTTTTTTTTTTTAAGTAGACACGAGGTTTCACCATGTTGGCCAGGCTGAACTCGAACTCCTGACCTCTGCCAGCCTTGGCCTCCCAAAGTGCTGGGATTACAGTCATGAGCTACAGCACCGGCCAAGACTGACTTTCTATAGTTTTATGTTTACCACTTAAACTAACATAGCAATGTGATTATTTATCCAGTTGATAGATTATCAAGCCCCTTCACATCCTGCCCCAAATTTCACCCATTATTTTTGTTATTAATTTAGGGTATCAGACTAAGTGGAAATAGAAGATGAAGTTCATATCAGTTGTATTCATTACATTTTAAAGATTTATTGGCTAAGACAGAAGAATTGGTATTTTTAAGCATTGAGTTAAATTTTGCACCAAACTCCAGGTGAAATCTCAGTCAATTTCATTGAAATAAGTAATTATTAAATATCATATTACTCAGTGAAAAACTGATTACTTACTGCTGCAAAGAACATAATAAATTAGGAAGGAAAATTTGTTCTAAAATACAACAGGAGAAAGATATTAAATGATTAAAACTTCATTGTTAGCCTGTTCCTCTCTTTAGATGAGTGTGTACCTATGTGTAGTTTATTTGAAAAATCAGGTAAGTTTGTGATGGCAGAGGTTATTAAGATGAAGATAGTCAAAACATAAATGCTATTTTCCAGAATCCAAGCACAATTAAAAGATAGTAAATACTTCAACAGTAGTCCAGGTCTTTTCTTTCTCCTTCCTCCCCATTCCTCATAAACACGGTAAAGATCTACTATAAATAGCTGAGAAAACCCCTGCAGTTGTGTATGTTTTTCCCACCATGAGCCATGATACAGCATCACTTCCACAAATAAGGATTAGGAATGGCATTGCAGAGAATATGTCTTAGATCAATAAAATCCTTATTAGTAAGAATTGGGATGTAGAAGTAGCTTTGGTATTATAGAACCTTTACTGGTATTTTGGAAGTGCAGTCTTTGTACTATTTAAGGTCTGAATGATGTATCCTTTCTAGTGGAATTTTAAGTGTAAAAGGTTGAAACCAGAACAGTTAAGTCCCTTAAAACTAGAAATCATACTCTATTGGTGGGAATTTTGAGAATTATTGCTGGAATTCTTCAGAGAATGTTCAGGAAGCTGGTGTTGTTTGGGGAAATAGGGTAAATGGAAAGGAAAAGATCCCAAGTACTTCAAGCTGGCCTAAGGAGGTAATTGAAGGTAATTAAAATATATATATATATTATATATATATTTTTTATATTTTTATATATATAAATTTTTTTTTTTTTGAGACGGAGTTTCGCTCTTGTTGCCCAGACTGGAGTGCAATGGCATGATCTCTGCTCACCGCAACCTCTGCCTCCCGGGTTCAAGCCATTCTCCAGCCTCAGCCTCCTGAGTAGCTGGGAATGCAGGCATGCGCCACCACGACCAGCTAATTTTGTATTTTTAGTAGAGACAGGGTTTCTACATGTTGGTCAGGCTGGTCTCGAACTCTTGACCTCAGGTGATCCGCCCGCCTCAGCCTCCCAAAGTGCTGGGATTACAGACGTGAGCTACCGCGCCCGGCCAGTAATTAAAATATTTTACCCTGAAAATATATTTCTTTGATGTATTTTGAAATGGCTGCCACTTCACCATCCTGACAAAAGTGGCCTTGCAAAGCTGTCTTAAGTAGGGAAAATTGGTATCCGTATAGAATCTCCATTAATGCAGTCATACCCCCTCCCCTTTCTCTTTCTTTCCCCAGATCCAGGAGAGACTGAGAGCAGGACACCTTTAAAAGTCTCTCTGAGGGAGGCTCCTCTACATAACCAGGCCACTTTTGCTGGCCAAACCTCTTCCCTGCTCTGCTTTACCAGAATCTAAGCCCCCATTCTTTCTATAACCTCAAGATATTATATAAGTTTCTGAAACTGTTGAGAACTTGGATCTTCATTCTGAAGGCTCCTGTGTATGCACATTAAGTAAATTTATAGCCTTTTCTCCTATTAGTCAATCCACCTCTTGTCAATTATTTTTAACAAAACTTTAAGAGGCCAAGGGCCAATGGCTGCCACATCATATATATTATATATTTTAACCCCAGAATTTGAATTCAGAGTGGACAAATAAGATATTTATTTTAAATTTAACATTTTCTTCTTTTTTTTTTTTCTTTTTTGGGACAGAGTTTCACTCTTATTGCCCAGGCTGGAGTACAATGGCACGATCTCGGCTCACTGCAACCTCTGCCTCCCAGGTTCAAATGATTCTCCTGCCTCAGCCTCCCGAGTAGCTGGGATTACAGGCACGCCCCACCATGCCCGGCTAATTTTGTATTTTTAGTAGAGACAGGGTTTCTCCATGTTGGTCAGGCTGGTCTCAAACTCCCGACCTCAGATGATCCGCCTGCCTCAGCCTCCCAAAGTGCTGGGATTACAGGCGTGAGCCACTGTGTCCGGCCAAAGTTAACATTTTCAAACCTCTGTCACATATGTTGGATTCTAATAACAACCCTGTAGAGGTAGCAAGAACAGATAAGGAGGTAGCCTTAGAAAAATTAGGTGTCTTACTCTGTAAGCTAGTAAACAGTATACTCAAAACTAGCATCTAGATTTTTTAAAGTTTCATAATCTATTTCTGGCTTTTATTTTAATGTCAGGTCCCTAACTTAAGTAGAGTTTTCCTTTATAGAACCAAAATAATACCTGTTAGAACACCTTGTCTTGTGTAACCAGGTCTGCTGTTACCTGCAAGAACCAAGAAGCTGGACTGGATGTGAAAGATAATTTACTATAATTCACGTGTTGTATTAAGAACAAAATTGTCTCTAGGAACAGTCCATGGTTATATTGGGGAATAATATTCCAATCAGAGCTCTTAATTTCTGAGCAAAAGCAAGATTGTTAAAGATGACAGATAGGAAACTGCGTTCAATTTGCAATTATTTTAAATAGCATCCTCAATGTACAAGACACTGTGTTGTATGTCAAAAGAAGATAGCAAATGAATCTGTGACGCCCAGGAATTTACCATCTATTTGGAGAGAGAGACTCCACAGATAATTCTGGGCAGTTTGCAAAAAGTGCTAGGTGTGAGTAAAAGGAGAAAGAGATGCAGAGGACACAAGGTAAGGCTGCAGAAAAATGAAATGAAACCCAGAGAGACAGGTCTAGAAAAAACTTAAAGGTAGAAGAGTGGTATGAATAATCACAGTGATAGGAAACCCTGTGAGGAGGGACCAGGGAATGGAGGGAAAATGAACAAGAATCCTGTTGACTTTCATAGACAATACAGATAATCCCGGGCTGTCTTTATATGTCCTGTTTTTTTGTTCCACATAAATTATCATTTCTTCATTCATTTGCTCTTGTTACTTTTTCTTTTTTCTCATTGCATAACTTTTGGTGATCCATGAACAGTAATCAAAGTTGCCTATCAAAAGGAGGTTTCAGTCTATTTTGAATATACATTAAATGAAAAGAAAACTAAACTTGGAAAGTTGGCTTAGGGTCTGGATTTCTAGTTTTTAAAAACTGGGTTATTATTTTTGTTATTTTATCAAACAAAAGTAAACAGTTACATTTTACAGGTCTTTTTTGTCTGTTTTTGTTTTTTGAGACAGAGTCTCTCTCTGTCACCCAGGCTGGAGTGCAGTGGGGCGATCTCAGCTTACTGCAACCTCTGCCTCAGCCTCCTGAGTAGCTGGGAATTCAGGCGCCTGCCACCATGCCTGGCTAATTTTTGTATTTTTAATAGAGATGGGGTTTCATCATGTTGGCCAGGCTGGTCTCAAACTCCTAACCTCAAGTGATCTGCCACAAAGTGCTGGGATTACAGGCGCAAGCCACCACACCCGGCCATATTCTACATATCTATCTGTTCCTTCATGTTTACCAGTGTGTGGCAATGCACATTGGCCGTTTTTCAGTTCCAAATTGTTTTTTTTTTTTTTTTGAGACGGAGTTTTGCTCTTTTTGCCCAAGTTGGAGAAAAGTGACACAATCTTGGCTCACCACAACTTCTGCCTCCCGGGATCAAGTGATTCTCCTGCCTCAGCCTCCCGAGTACCTGGGATTACAGGCATGCGCCACCACACCCGGCTATTTTTGTATTTTCAGTAGAGACGGGATTTCTCCATGTTGGTCAGGCTGGTCTCAAACTCCGGACCTCAGGTGATCCGCCCACCTCGGTCTCCCAGAGTGCTGGGATTTACAGGTGTAAGCCACCACGCCTGGCCTCCAGCATTTCTTATAACAGGCTGAGGCTCTGAAGGTTAATTAGTGATTTGAAAATTGGGTCACCACGGCCAGGCGCAGTGGCTCACACCTGTTATCCCAGCACTTTGGGAGGCCAAGGCGGGTGGATCATGAGGTCAGAAGTTCGAGACCAGCCTGGCCAACATAAGTGAAACCCTGTCTCTACTAAAAATACAAAAATTAGCCGGGCATGGTGGCATGCACCTGTAGTCCCAGCTACCAGGGAGGCTAAGGCAGGAGAATCGCTTGAACCTGGGAGGCTGAGGTTGTGGTGAGCTGAGATCGCGCCACTGCACTCCAGCCTGGGCAACAAAGTAAGACTCCGCCTCAAAAACAAAAAAATTGTGTCACCACATTCCAAGAGTATTAAAATGTTCTAGAGTGGAGTTTTAGTCATTGATAGCTCTTTGTATCACATGATAGTATAAAATAACTGTAAACTGTGGCTGTATTGTCGTTTGTTGCCCACAACCATGGTCTTACTGTCTTTAAAGGTGAAAGCAGTAGAGAGCTTTTATTACTTCCTTCAATGCCTCTCCAGTTCATGAGGACTCCAGTTCATGCTTTGATTTAAAATTGCCTGCCCTAAAGTATTGAATAATTTTTATTTTTTATTTTTCATAAACTACACTTGGTCAGAGGTAAATATTTTGTACCCGTTATGAATTATGGGCTGTAAACCCAGTATTTTGGGAGGCCGAGGCTGGAGGATGCCTTGAGCCCAAAAGTGCTAGACCAACTTGGGCAACATAGTGAGACCCTGTCACTACAAAAAATAGAAAAAATTAGCTAGGCGTGGTGACGTGCTCCTGTAGTTCCAGCTATTCTGGAGGCTGAGGTGCAAGGATTGTTTAAGCCTGGGAAGTTGAGGCTTCAATGAGCTGTGATTGCACTACTGTACTCCAGCCTGGGCGACAGAGTGAGACCCTGTCTCAAAAAATAAAATTAAGAATTATTGTAATCTACTTGTCTACTGCATTAAGACAAGGTAGTATATATAGCCTCTTCATTTACTTTCAAACTTGTAATCTAGGGACACAAGGAAGTGAACTGTGTAATAAGTTCTTATACTCGAGATACTTAGAATTTGGGGATATTGTTTCCTTAAAAGCATTCTCTAAGTAGCATATGATGTTATCCCATAGTAAAGTTTTATGATCTTGCTATGTTGACTACAGATGACTTAGAGCCATTGCAGGAAAATAGGACTTTATGAAACTTCAGCAATGTTGCGTTTCTGTTTTGTACACCAAGGGTGGAGTACTGTGGAACACTGTTTACAAAAGTACCTCGTCATCACATACATGAAAGTACGACAGGAGCTAAATTATGTTAAAGGTTAAAGTGTAATAACCAGGAAATGAAGGCAGTGCCAGAAGAGTTGTAATCACGTAAAGTCTTTTATTTCTAGCAAGTAGTAATCTATTTTATGTCAGTCCCAAAGGGAAACCCTAAGAAGATAGAGGAGAAATTTTACTTCCTTCAAACAGATTTGCCAGATGTTGATAGGTTTAATTATACAATACAAAAAGTTGTGTTACTGGCTGGGCGCAGTGGCTCATGCTTGTAATCCTAGCACTTTGGGAGGCCGAGGCAGGCGGATCACTTGAGGTCAGGAGTTCGAGACCAGCCCGGCAAACATGGTGAAACCCTGTCTCTACTACAAATACAAAAATTAGCCAGGTGTAGTGGTGCGTGGCTATAATCCCAGCTACTCGGGAGGCTGAGGCACGATAATCACTTGAACCCGGGAAGTGGAGGTTGCAGTGAGCCGAGATTGCGCCATTGCACTCCAGCATGGGGGACAAGAGTGAAACTCCGTCTCACCAAAAAAAAAGGTTGTGTTACTATGACAACAGTGTCATAAAAAAATCTTAAGCGTTTTTTGTTTTTTAACTGGGGTTGTGGAAGGGATGATACAGTGATTACTAGTATAATTTGATGCTACTGTTTTTGTTCATGCTAAGCTGCCAGGACTTTTAGTATCCATTATAAAAAATGAGACTCAGAGAAGTTAAAGTAACTTTCAGAGATTACATTGTTACCGGGGGATCCTTGCTCCCAGAGCTCCCAAGATGGTGGCAGGCCACTTCCAAGATGGCGGTGTGCTGCTTCCAAGATGGTGGTGAGAGGTGACGGCGTGCTGGCAGTCCTCACAGCCCTCGCTCGCTCTCGGTGCCTCCTCTGCCTGGGCTCCCACTTTGGCGGCACTTGAGGAGCCCTTCAGCCCACCGCTGCATTGTGGTAGCCCCTTTCTGGGCTGGCCAAGTCTGGAGCCAGCTCCCGCAGCTTGCAGGGAGGTGTGGAGGGAGAGGCGTGAGCGGGAACCCGGGCTGCGCGAGGCGCTTGCGGGCCAGCTGGAGTTCCGGGTGGGCGTGGGCTTGGCGGGCCCTGCACTCAGATTAGCTGGCCGGCCCTGCCGCCCCGGGCAATGAGGGGCTTAGCACCCAGGCCAGCGGCTGCAGAGGGTGTACTGGGTCCCCCAGCAGTGCCAGCCCACTGGCGCTGCGCTTGATTTCTCCCCGGGCCTTAGCTGCCTTCCTGCGGGGCAGAGCTCGGGACCTGCAGTCCGCCATGCCTGGGCCTCCCACCCCTCCCTGGACTCCTGTGCAACCTGAGCCTCCCCTACCAGCGCCACCCCCTGCTCCACGGAGCCCAGTCCCATCAACCACCCAAGGGCTGAGGAGTGCGGGCGCACGGCACGGGACTGGCAGGCAGCTCCATCTGCAGCCCCGGAGTGGGATCCACGGGGTGAAGCCAGCTGGGCTCCTGAGTCTGGTGGGGACGTGGAGAACCTTTATGTCTAGCTCAGGGATTGTAAATACACCAATCAGCACCCTGTGTCTAGCTCAGGGTTTGTGAATGCACCAATCGACACTGTATCTAGCTACTCTGGTGGGGCCTTGGAGAACCTTTGTATAGACACTCTGTATCTAGCTAATCTGGTGGGGACGTGGAGAACCTTTGTGTCTAGCTTAGGGATTGTAAACGCACCAGTCAGCGCCCTGTCAACACAGACCACTGGGCTCTACCAATCAGCAGGATGTGGGTGGGGCCAGAGAAGAGAATAAAAGCAGGCTGCCCCAGCCAGCAGTGGCAACCTGCTGGGGTCCCCTTCCACACTGTGGAAGCTTGGTTCTTTGCAATAAATCTTGCTGCTGCTCACTCTTTGGGTCTACACTGCCTTTATAAGCTTTAACACTCACCGCAAAGGTCTACAGCTTCATTCCTGAAGCCAGCGAGACCACAAGCCCACCGGGAGCAATAAACAACTCCAGACGCGCCGCCTTAAGAGCTGTAACGCTCACCGTGAAGGTCTGCAGCCTCACTCTTGAGCCAGCGAGACCACGAACCCACCAGAAGGAAGAAACTCCGAGCACATCTGAACATCAGAAGGAACAAACTCCAGACACGCCGCCTTTAAGAACTGTAACACTCACCGCGAGG
Organism: Homo sapiens; assembly: GCF_000001405.40. NCBI lineage: Eukaryota > Metazoa > Chordata > Mammalia > Primates > Hominidae > Homo > Homo sapiens. The sequence goes on from NC_000009.12 coordinate 71,964,679, forward strand.
GTCCATGGCTTCATTCTTGAAGTCAGTGAGACCAAGAACCCACCAATTCCGGATACAGTGGCAAGCCTTGTGTTCTCTGACCTGGGGTGCTTGGCCTCACGGATTCCAAGGAATGAAATCTTGGGCCATGTGGTGAGTGTTATAGCTCTACTAGAAGCTGTGGGTCACGGAAGAGAACTGTGGAACCCAGTGACTAGTGTTTAGCTCAGTTAGGACGAACCCGGGCACTTAGCCGTGCAGGAACAATGGCAAGCCTTTAGTCCAGTCAGGAGCGGCAATGGGCACCTGGTAAGATCAGGAGCACAGCGGACACCCTACCGGATCCAGAGGGATGGAAGTCAGTGGTGGGTCTGCGACGGCAGCAAACAGCAGTGGTGGACAATGAGTGAAAGCTCAGCTCGAGCAGTAACAAACAGACCAGAAGAGAGTGCAGTTGTAAGATTTAATAGAGTAGAAACAGAGCTCCCATACAAAGGTAGGGGACCCAAAGAGGGTAGCCATTGCCGGCTTGAATGCCTGGGTTTATATCCCAATTATTGTCCCTCCCACTGCGCTCTCAGGCAATAGATGATTGGCTATTTCTTTACCTCCTGTTTTTGCCTAATTAGCATTTTAGTGAGCTCTCTTTACTACCTGATTCGTCGGGTGTGAGTTTAGTTGCAAGCCTGATGTTTAAAGGTGGATGCGGTCACCTTCCCAGCTAGGCTTAGGGATTCTTAGTCAGCCTAGGAAATTCAGCTAGTCCTGTCAGTATGACAAGGACATGTCAAGGGCGGGCTAGAATCAAGGTCTCCAGTTTCCCAAACTAGTGTTCTTTTCCTACTATTTTATTGCCAGTGCTCAAGTGATCATCCCACCTCAGCCTCTGAGTAGCTGGGACTACTACACTCTGGTAGGTGGTGTGCACCCCTACACCTGGCTAATTTTTGTTTTTTGTATAGATGGGGTCTCTCTATGTTGCCCAGGCTGTTCTCTAACTCCTGGGCTCAGGCAATTCTCCTGCCTGGGCCTCCCAAGGTGCTGGGTTTACAGGCATGAGCCACTGTGCCCACCCAATAGTAGTATTTTTAAGAAGTATATTGTTTCCTTTATCAAGAAACATGTAAACAGTGGTGACCTGTGTTTTTATTTGACCATAGTTTCCACTAAAATGATTAGTTGTGGTATATGTATGGTCAGAATTGTTTGAGTGATTGTTTCTGGGAATTGTGTGTGTTAAAGTGAACTAAAGATAGCTTGATAATGACTCCCTATTTCTATATTTGAGTCCTTGTGGATGAACTGCAACCTAATTTAATAGGTAGACAAGATTGAAAACCTAAGTTTAACTAACAGGAGTATGCGCCTGTAACAATAGCTGAGTCTTGGCCAATCCCAGCAGCCATACTTCAACCATTCATACACTGCTGAGTGTTCAAACTGTTCAAATAAGGCAAATGCTAACCTGTAACCAATCCAGCTGTTTCTATACCTCCCTTCCTATTTCTGTACTGCACTTTACTTTTTTTGTCTATAAATTTGTTCTGACCATGAGGCATGCCTGGAGTCTCTCTGAATCTGCTGTGATTCTGGGGGCTGCCTGATTCGTGAATCATTCATTGCTCAATTAAACTCCTTTAAATGTAATTCAGCTGAATTTTTTCTTTTAACATGTGTATTCCATAAAGAAATGAAAAGAAGGCAAAACTATCATCATTTTGACATTTCTGAAGTTTTCTTAGCAATGGACTCATAAAATACAATATAGCCATTTTTAAGGGAAATTTGGAAAAATTTATATTTAGGAGAATTTAAAATTTTTCCTTACCATTTTAGGGAGGTTTGAATTTTTCCCCTGAAGTTTTGGTAATCTGAATCTATAAAACAAACATAATACATAGATTAACAAGGGAAAAGGATGTACAAATTTTATTGTGTGCATACGTGTGCACAGGAGTCATGACTATAAAAAAAACGCAAAGGCAAGATGGTTAACGCTTTTGTATCATCTTGATGTTACAGAGAGAATGGGGGGCTCAGATTGTGGCAAAGCAGGATATTGTGGAAAGACAGTTATGAGTGGGGGAGAAGAGGAGAAACCTGGGCAAAGGCAGTCTTGTTATGCAGATGAAACCTCACAGGTGGTAGCCCCACAGGGCCTCTGGTAAATGTTTCTGTCAGACCTTTAAAGTTTTAGAGCTGAGTTGATCTTTCCTAGATCCAGACAAGGGCGGGATTCAGAGAAAGCCTGTTTATATCTGTTGTTTACTTCACTTTATTTCCTCTGCAGATGCAAATCATCCTCACAAAAGACAGCTTTGCTGGCCGTTTGTAAGATGTTCAAAATACTTAATAAGTTTTGTGCCACCCTCTGGCTTGTTTTTTCATTCTTTTAAGAGTGTGTTTTGAAGAGGAGACATTTTTTATTCTGGAGAGGGCCCATTTAACAAATTATTCTTTCTAGATCATGGTTTTGTTGTTGTAGATAAGATGTCTTTGCCTAGCTGAGGGTTCTTCTTCTAGAAGTTGTATAATTCTTGATTTTATATTTGAATTTATGTTCTATTTCTTGTTAATTTTAGGGATAGTCAGTTTTTCCAACATTGTTTGTTGAAAAGACTGTCTTTTCTCTATTCAGTTTCCTTTCTACTATCTTGAAAATCAGTTGGTCATATATGTACGTGGGTCTGTTTCTGGTCTTTATTCCATTGATCTGTGTGTCCTTTCACCAGTACTACACTACCTTGATCACTACCTTGTGATAAGTCTTGAAATCACATAGTGAGAATTCTCCAACCTCATTTTTCATTTTCATAACTCTTTTGGCTGTTGTAATTTCTTTGCTTTTTCTTATACAAAGTAATTAATCATTGCTAGAAACATAAAAATACAGTTTATGTTTGTTTACTGACCCCATATATTGTGATTTTATTAAACTCACTGTTTATGTCCAGTTCATTTTAAAAAATAGATTCATTGGTGTTTTCTATATAGACAGTGATTTTTTCTTCTAAATAAAGACACTTATTTCTTCTTTTCAATCTCTATGACCTTTCTTTTTTTTTTTTTTTTTTTTTTGGCTGCCATTGCACTGCCTAGGACCTCCAATATCATGCTGAAAAGGAGTGTTGAGAGCAGATATTCTTGCCCTGTTTCTGATCTTACAGGGAAGGTATTCAGTCTTTCATCATTAAGTAGGAAATTAGCTGTAGTTTCTTTGTAGTTATCTGTTTTTAGGTTGAGAGTGTTTCCTTCAGTTCATAGTTTACTGAGAGTTGTTATAAACGGATGTTATATTTTTGTAAAGCTTTTTTCACATCTAATAACATCATCATATGGTTTTTCTTAGAACATTGCTTTAGTGAATTTTTTTTATTGGCTTTGAATATACTGAATTAGCCTTGTATTCCCAGGATAAATCCATTGCTGCATATATATATATATAGAGAGAGAGAGAGAGAGTGCATGCAAGAGAATGAGCATGCGAGAGAGTGAGCAAGCGTGTGTGCAAGATGTTTATATATTGCTGGATTTGATTTGCTAACATTTTGTCATGGATTTTTACATCTTTGTTCATTAGAAATACTCATCTGTCATTTTCTTGTTTGCTTTTTTTTTGTCTTGATATTAGAGCCTTATCAAATGAGTTGAAAAATATTTCTTCCTATTTGTTTTTCTGGAAGGATTTGTATATGATCAGTATTATTTCTTAAATATTTGATAGAATTTACCAGTAAAGCCATTTGGGCCTGGAGTTTTCCTTAAAAAAAAAAAAAAATTAGGAGAGTTTTTTTAGAGTTATGATTAAATTTTTCTTTAATGGATAGAGGAGTATATTTATTTCTTCTTCAGTGAGTTTTGATATTCTTTCTTTGCAAAACTTTGGCTATTTCTACAGAGTTGTTGGGCTTATATGCATAGAGTTAAATCTAAAATTTTCCCATTATTCTTTGTTTTTTGAGACAGAGTCTTGCTTTGTCATTTGTTAGAAATAAATTTTCGGTGCCACCAAAGAAATAGCACTCAAACATAAATTTTCTCAGCAAGGCAATTTTACTTCTATAGAAGGGTGTGTCTCGCGGATGGAGCAATGGCAAGAGTACACCTGAACAAAGGAGGGGAAGGGGTTCTTATCCCTGACGCAGGTAGCCTCTACTGCTGTGTCGTTCCCCTATTGGCTAGGGTTGGACCACACAATCTAAGCTAATTCCAACTGGCTATTTTAAACAGAGCAGGGATATGAGCCAGAGTGGCGGGGTGAGCAGTTTCGGCAGGAAAGACGGTTATGGAATAGGTGACTAAAGGTGACTCAGGTCAGAGTAGGTGACCAGGGGTGACTCAGGACGGAGCAGGTGACCAGGGGAACAGATGTGAACTACTGATTAGAACTGGCGGGAAGGTTGTTTACTGAAACTAGGGGCAAAGAGATGAAGAGAACAAGGAAGTTAAACTTGAAAATGGAGAACAAAGAACTGAACATACTGACATACTGATTCTTTGAAGAGAAACTTAGAACTCGCTGTGTTTAACACCCAGGCTGGAGTGCAGTGGCGCAATCTTGGCTCACTGCAACCTCTGTCTCCCAGGTTCAAGTGATTCTCCTGTCTCAGCCTCCCAAGTAGCTGGGATTACACCACCATGCCCAGCTAATTTTTTGTATTTTTAGTAGAGATGTGGTTTCACTATGTTGGCTGGGCTGGTCTCAATCTCCTGGCCTCAAGTGATCCACCTGCCTCAGCCTCCCAAAGTGCTGGGAGTACCAGCATGAGCCACTGCACCCAGCCTCTTATTATTCTTTCAATGTCTGTTAGATCTATAGTGCTGTACCATCTTTTATTCCTGATGTTTCAGTGTATGTATTTATGAATTATATTGATCTTTTCAAAGAGCCTGCGTTTGGCTGCATTGATTTTATTTTTCTGTTTTCAGTATCATTGATTCTGTTCTTATTACAGCACCCCTTTGTTTGCTTTGAGTTTAATTTACTGTTCTATTTTCTAAAGGTAAAAGTTTAGATAACTTTTTTGTTTAATATAATTTGTAATCATGTATTAAAATAAATTTCTCAAGGACTTCTTTAGCTCCGTTTTGTAAATTTTGATGCATTTTCATTGTCATTCAATCAAAATATTTTCTTTTTGTGTGTGTGAATTCCTCTTTGATCTGTGGGTTATTTAGAAGTGTTTTATTTTCTAAATATTTGAGCATTTTCTAGATATTTTCTGTTATTGATTTTTTGTTAATTTCACTGTGGCAAGATGATATATACTTTATATAAATTTCAGGGTTTTTTCTTTTTTTTTTCATACAAAGTTTCACTCTTGTCGCCCAGGCTGGAGTGCAATGGCACAATCTCAGCTCACTGCAACCTCCGCCTCTTGGGTTCAAGCAATTCTCCTGCCTCAGCCTCTCAAGTAGCTGAGATTGCAGATGTGCTCCCCCATGCCCAGCTAATTTTTTTTGTATTATTAGTAGGGACGGGGTTTCACCATGTTGGCCAGGCTAGTCTCAAACTCCTGACCTCAGGTGATCCACCCACCTCGCCCTCCCAAAGTGCTGGGATTATAGGCGTGAGCCACGGCACCCGGCCAGTTTTTTCTTTTTTAAAATATGTTGAGGTTGGTTTCATGGCCCAGAATATGGTCTGTCTTAGAGAATGTTCCATGTATACTTGAAGACAATGTATTGCTCTTGTATAGAGTGTTCTAAAATTGTCATTTTGGCTGATAACGTTCATACAGAATAAGTACCTCACGATCCTTATAATAATATACTTCCAATTCCTCCCGGCCAATTTTGTATTATTGTTGTCATACATTTTACTTTTACATATTCTATAAATCCATAATATATTTCCACTATTTTGCCTGTAGACTCTCAATTCTATTCTGATGA